>NC_000009.12:72595552-73220552 GCF_000001405.40 Homo sapiens
TACTTTTTCCATTCTGCTATCTATGGGGTTGGCTTCATCCTGAGGTTGTTTTCCTTTCTGTCACAGGTTTTACATCAATGGGGTAAACTAGTTTACATTGTGGTAACAAGCAACTCTCAACTTTTTTTTTTTTTTTTTTTTTTAGACTGAATCTTGCTCTGTTGCCCAGGCTGGAGTGCAGTGGTACAGTCTTGGCTCACTGCAACTTCCGCCTCCTGGGCTCAAGTGATTCTCCTGCTTGAGCTTCCTGAGTAGCTGGGATTACAGGCATGCACCACCACGCTGGCTAATTTTCGTATTTTTAGTAGAGATGGGGTTTCTTTTTTTTTTTTTTTTCTTTTTGAGACAGAATCTTGCTCTGTCGCCCAGGCTGGAGTGCAGTGGCGTGATCTCGGCTCACTGCAACCTCTGCCTCCTGGGTTCAAGCGATTCTTCCGCCTCAGCCTCCCAAGTAGCTGGGACTACAGGCGCATGCCACCACGCCCGGCTAATTTTTGTATTTTTAGTAAAGACAGGGTTTCACCATATTGACCAGGCTGGTCTTGAACTCCTGACCTCGTGATTTGCCCGCCTCAGCCTCCCAAAGTGCTGGGATTACAGGCGTGAGCCACCGCGCCCAGCCAACTCTCAACTCTAGTAGCTTAAGACAACAAAGATTTATTTCTTGCTCTTACTGTCTGCCCATCTGTATCACCTTCTCTGCAGGACCCAGTTTAATGGAGCACACACAGAAAAAGGTGCTGGTCACTAGGGCCAAGGGAACAATGGCTCTGGAAGGTTTTTCTTGAACAATTCAGTGTTCCAGTCTTGGAGCAATACATCTTATTTCTACTGTTAAATCCATGGCCAGAACTAATCATGTTGTCCCACTCACCACAAAGCCATATGCAGCCCCACCATGTGCTCAGGAAAGAGGAATGGGAAGCATTTGATGAACAGAAATAATGACTTCAACAATTGGGACTATCAGTTCACAGTTTCAATTGTAAAAAAAAAAAAAAAAAAAAAAGACAGAAATAGAAAAAGAACAATTGAAAGTACTTGCTTTCTCATCCACGAAAAAAGTTGGTCAAAGCCTCTTAGTGTAAGTCTATAGCAGATGATGCCTGATAAGGAATTGTACATACCGTTCTTCGTGAAAACCAAGAGTACCATGTATGTAACATAGTTGCTTTGGGCTTCTTATAGCAGTTAAGAGTGTATCAGCAGGCCTCCATGGTATTTGAATGTTAAAAGCTTTCATTCCCCCTGGAAGAAAACACATAGCTAACTAAAGAAAGAAAAAAGAAGGGAAAAAGAACAAAGAAAAAGAACCACTAGAGTCTCTGAAAAGAGCTTATGAGATACCTGACTGTCTGCGCCTTCTAAGTATGTACCATGAAACCTTAGATTCCTACCTCATTTTGTGATGGTGTAGAAGGCACATTGGCCACCAGCAACCCTTGTAAATATTTGCGGATTTGAATTTCACAAATTGAAACCCAGACTGCTGAGGGCTTTGCTGCTAACGTCAAAGAGCTGGGGCAACTACCACAAAACCACATGTGGGAGACTTTTTAGATGAGGAGATAGGAAATTCCTAATAAGAAAAGTTTTTTTGTAAAATACTTTCTAATGCTGGCTCTTTAGAGAAGCACATTTTACATGTGCAATGGTGCAAAGTCCTAGCACTAAGATTTCTTCACTCACAGAAAGAAAGAATGATGCAGGTGCTGTTCACATGCGGCCGGAACCATGCCCTTGCCAAGCAGGTCAGCGGGGCACAGGGACTGCGCTCCTCATGATAGTGCAGATTGGCTCGGAAGTACTCAATTCTGTGGAGTCACAGCGCCCTCTGACAGATTTCAGTTTCTGGAAAAGGAAGGGCCCCCTTCAGGGTACCTGCTGTTCACCTTCCATTAGATTAAGGTTGAAGAGCGAGTGGCCATTTGTAGGTACTGGTATGAGATGTTCCTAGCTACCCGCATGTCAGCCCCGGGAAACGGCAACATTTCCCACCCTTCTTACCCTGGGTCCTGAGTAGGAATAAAAGTTAGTGATTCTTAGGGGCATATTGAGAGCTGGCAATGATACCTCTCACAAATCCATCCCCCAGAGATAAGGGGTCCCCCATGCCTTTGATGTATTTGGGAGCTGTGCTGTATGTGTTCTCTTTGGCTCCCCAGTGGAGAATAATAACAATAACAACCGCGTACTAATACAACCCAGATGTCAGCACAGACCCTCTGTTCTCTGTCTTCCCTGAGATATCTGTATCTTCTCAGGGATTACTGTCGGTTCAGGCCTGGCTCCTGCTTTCAGCTTGTGGGAAAACTCACTCCATCTTCATTCCATAACCTCACATCTCCTATGCCAGTTCCCTTCTCTGTGCTCCATGCTGAACCAAATGCCACACTCATCCCCTTTGCTTTGAATTATATGAAAAAAAGAAAAAACCCTCATGGGGACTTTATGTGTAACAGTCTTCACTGCACATTTGATAACACAGATGGGGGTTTATATCCTAGCAGAGCAGATATTGTCAATGGAAAATGGAAACAAAACAAAACACAAAAGACAATCTTCAGCCATCACTATGTAGCTTGGCTATCATCTTTTGCTTTCTCCTTTACTTCTGGAGTCCCCCCACATACCCTCAGAAATGGAGATAGACTCTACATCAATCTCTGCTCTGGGAAATCTACTCACATATCCAAAGGCAAACTAACAAGCTCTTGCTCCGACAACCCATCGACTTGGGGTCTCATCCCTCCCTGCCTACCAGTCTCTGTGACTGAAAGGGGCCCATACAGAGACTTATTTTCCCAGGAACGTGAATGATATCCTTCTCCTGTTCCTTGACCTTGGGAGGCAGATTTGATTATGGTCAGCTTTGATTCAAAGTAAGTTTTTTTTTTTTTCTCCCTTAGGAGAATGTTGTGAGGTGCTGATTGTTCTCTGCTTCATAATCGTATCACTTATTACTGATAATCTTTTTCTGCCCCCAGAGGTTGCTGAAGAATGTAGCATATACAGTGGACACAGAGCCCTGATAATACAATTACTAAATTCTCCAAGGTTGAGGGCCTGGTCTTAGGTCATGAGATTACTGATCCTTGCCTTCTGCCTGCTAGGAAGGCCCAACTAATTTCACAGTCTTTATCAGTGAACCATAGTAAAGGGGGACCAGAAGAGAAAAAGGTTATGTCTTTTGGGAAAATGCCAAAATCATATTGTGAAAATCCTTCCTACTGTTCTTCTCATGGGAGGGGGAGGACTTTGGACTTGTTTCTCTCCTTTTCCTGTACATTTGGGGATGTCAGAACCGTCTGTTTCCTCATCTACACGTGGTTAGATGCCGACAACAATCTCTTCTCTTAAAATTGCTTACTATTAGACCAGCAGAGTGTTTGGTATTAATTGAGCAAGGAGGAATTTGTAGGAAAGGCTTGGCTTAACTAGGAGAGGGAATGCCAGGGAGAAATCTGTATTTCCCACTATTTTTTTTTCTTTTTTTGAGGCACAGTTTCACTCTGTCGCCCAGGCTGGAGTACAGTGGTGCAATCTCAGCTCACTGCAACCTCCGCCTCCTGGGTTCAAGCGATTCTCATGCCTCAGTCTCCCGAGTAGCTGGGATTACAGGCGTGTGCCAGCACACCCAGCTAATTTTTGTATTATTAGTATAGATGGGGTTTTATCATGTTGGCCAGGCCGGTCTCAAACTCCTGGCCTCAGGTGATCTGCCCACCTTGGCTTCCCAAAGTGCTGGGATTACAGGCATGAACCACCACACCTGGCCATTTCCCACTATTTTGTTGATAAAGACATTTGGATTTCCCTGCATTAGGCAGATGTGGAAGAAGATGGAAGCGATGAAAACCTTCTTGCCAAAATCTCCCAAAAGACCTGGCCAGTGGGTGAGCAGATCTCAGTTACAAAAAGCCTATAGGTTGAATTTTCTAAGAAAAGGCCTGGGGAGGAGGTACCAGGAGTCCAAATTGAAGTTCGATTTTCATTATCACAGATTTTCATATCTCTCTATCTCCCTTTTTTTGTTTTTGGTGAGACAGAGTTCAAGACCAGCCTGGTCAACATGGTGAAACCCCGTCTTTACTAAAAATACAAAAAATTAGCCAGCCGTAGAGGCGGGTGCCTGTCATCCCAGCTACTCGGGAGGCTGAGGCAGGAAAGTCACTTGAACCCAGGAGATGGAGGTTGCAGTGAGCCGAGATCATGCCATTGCACTCCAGCCTGGGCGACAAGAGCCAAACTCCATTTCAAAAAAAAAAAGAAAGAAAAAGAAAAAAGAAAAAAAGAAAATGCACTTTTTGCTGTCAGTAAAAGTTAAGCAAAAGTCTTGCTGAGAGACTGATATTTAAATAACTATTATAATGCAATGTAAAATTACTGCAAGAGATATGAACACAGTGCTCAGGAAGCTTAGAGGAAGGAGAAACCAAGTCCTTAGTGATGGAAGGTGGGCTGTCAAGGAAGGCTTTGTGGAGGTTGTGTAATTGTAGGATGAGGGCCATGTAGTAGGTCGACGGGGCCCTCGTGTGCCAGGTGGAAGGAAGCCATTTAAGTCTTTTAAGCTGAGTGGTGGCATGATTACAAGTGCACTTTAGAAAAATCTCTATGGCAGCAATGTGGAGGATGAAGTAACAAAAATATACACTTTGGTTCATTTTGTTCTAAATGGCAACTTTACCTTTAACTGTGTACAGAGCTTACTGACTATACTCAAGCAACAAAATGCACACTTGGAAATCCTGTGTCACGTGCCTATACTAGCTTTGTCGCTGATTCAGCATATACACATCCTCCAGTGTGACAGGATTGTGTATGGAAACAGGTAAGACTGGTGAATACTAGGCTGTGTTCAAGTGTAGAGTCTCATGATTATCACCAATACTGTGGGCTCTCCCTCTTTTAGATGAGTTTTTCTACCATATCTTTGGCTTTACAAAATATATTAACACAGTTTCATAATAGATCTCTTGGAATATGGTCGTTTGGTGTTAAGCATTCTATCTGGCAAAATGAAAAATAAGATGGTAAGAGTTATCCTACAAAAATCCTAATGTTCTCAAGCTACTGCTGAAATTCTTTTTCTAGTAATTTACAAAAAAGTCCCCATTTTCTTGTAGAAATAAGCCAATTAAAAAAAGAAAAAAATTAAAATAAAAAATTAAAGTTCTTAATGATAAATTATATTAAAATTTATTTCCTGTTTTACCCTATATCCTATGAGCGTGGTTCTCAAACTTCGTTCAGTGCATACCAGAATCATCATGTGCGCTTGTTAAACAGAGGTCTGGGTTCCACCCCCAGAGCTTCTGATTCACTTCATGGAATCTGAGAACTGGCATTTCTGACAAGTTCCCAGGGGATGCTGAGGCTGCTGGTCCAGGGACCACACACTGAGAAATATTGTTCTGAAATAATAACAGCTAATTTTTGTTAGGCAGTTTCTGTGTTCCAAATACAGGTTGAATATCCCTTATCCAAAATGCTTGGGGCAAGCTGGGTGCAGAGGCTTATTCCTGTAATGTCAGCACTCTGGGAGGCTGAGGCAGGAGGATTGCTTGAGACCAGGAGATTAGGACCAACCTAGGCAACATAGCAAGACACTGTTTCTACACACACACACACACACACACACAGACACACACACACACACACACACACAAATTGCCAGGCATGGTGGCATATCCCTATAGTCCCAGCTACTTGGGAGGCTGAGGGAGGAGGATCACTTGAAACAAGGAGTTTGAGACTATCCTGGGCCACATAGTGAGACCCTGTCTCTACAAAAAATATTTGAAAAATTGGCCAGGTGCGGTGGCTCATGCCTATAGTCCCAGCACTTTGGGAGGCTGAGGCAGGTGGATCATTTGAAGTCAGGAGTTCAAGACCAGCCTGGCCAACATGGTGAAACCCCGTCTCTACTAAAAACACAAAAATTAGCTGGGCAGTAGTGGTGGGCGCTTGTAATCCCAGCTACTCAGGAGGCTGAGGCCAGAGAATCGCTTGAACCCAAGAGGTGGAGGTTGTAGTGAGCTGAGATCGTGCTCCTGCACTCCAGTCTGGGTGACAGAGTGAGACCCTGTCTCGAACAAAACAAAACAAAACAAAACCAAAAAAACCAAAACAAAAAACATATTAGCTTGGCATGGTGGTGCATTCCTGTAGTTTCATATACTTGGGAGGCTGAGGCAGAAGAATTGCTCACGCCTGGGCCTTCAAGGTTAGAATGAGCTGTGATCTCACTACTGCACTCCAATGTGGGTCACAGAGCAGGACTCAAATGAAAACAAAACCAAAACCAAAATTCTTGGGACCAGAAGTATTTCAGATTTCAGATTATTTTGGATTTTGAAATATTGGCATGTATCTAATGAGACATCTCAGGGATGGGACCCAAGCCTAAACACAAAATTCATTTATTTTTCATATACACCTTGTATACATAGCCTGAAGGTAATTTTATATAATATTTTAAATAATTTTGTGCACCTGTCACGTGAGGTCAGGTGTGGAATTTTCTACTGTGGTGTCAAGTCAATGCTCAAAAAATTGCAGATTTTGGAGAATTTCAGATTTCAGATGTTTGGATTAAATGTGCTTAGCCTGGACCTTACTTGTTGTAGCTCGTTTAATCCTCATGGCAATGCTAGGACACAGGTGGTTTTAGTATAATATTATTACAAATGAAGAGCCTGAGACTTGAGAAAGTAAGACAACACACTCCAGGTCACTCAGCCAATTAGTGGTGAGCAAGAATTGAACCCAGATTTGATATGCGAATGACTTGCTGTGATTCTCCTATTGGTGATTTTTTTTTTTTTTTTTTTTTTTTTTGAGACAGGGTCTTGCTCTGTCACCCAGGCTGGAGTGCAGTGGCATGATCTCAGCTCACTGCAGCCTCTGCCTCCCAGGTTCAAGCGATTCTCCTGCCTCAGCCTCCTGAGCAACTGGGACTACAGGCATGTGCTACCATGCTTGGCTAATTTTTGTATTTTTAGTAGAGATGGGGTTTCACCATGTTGGCCATGTGGATCTCGAGCTCCTGACCTCAAGTGATCCATCCGCCTCGGCCTCCCAAAATGTTGGGATTATAGGCGTGAGCCACTGCACCCGGCCCCTTATTGGTGTATTTTTATTTCCCAAGTATGACACCTGTTCAGAGACTTTGGAACCCTGAGAACATTTTGTTGGTGTGTTTTGTGACTAATATTGCCTTTTTCTGAGATGAATGCTGTTCTTTGAAAAAACATTTGTATTTTTAGATAGAAATGTACTTCATCCCCAGTGAATATTTCTGACTTTAGAGAAATTGCCAAACCTGCTGACTCATAACAAAAATAAAGAGCATCTACTATTCAGTTTATGGCTTTTAGTTTTGGGAGGTGGTAGGAGGAAGGATAGATTACCACCCACTATAGATCATTTTATTTTCATTTTATTTTAATGCCATTTACCAGTATTGTGTATATGGAGGTGGTCTTGAGAGCTTTGTGGAGATTATTTTTTCAATAGTACAGATGGCTCTGATAAATATTTAAGGCATCTTGGGAAACAAGAATACCATCCTGACTCAGGAGAAATTGGTCACGTAAATCACTTTGTTTCAAGTGCTTTGGCCTCTGAGCATCTCAAATGGACACATACTTCATTGGCTTATTAACTCATTGCCGGAGTCACTGAAGGCCCAAACTACAACTTCATGCCTGACCACACACCAAGGCTTTTTTATTGCTTAGTTTTCTGGCTCTTTGCCTATTCTGCTCTCCCTACCCATAACCATGTGAGTATCATGTCCAGCAAACTAACTTACTCCTTCTCTCTCCCCACTACACACACACACACACACACACACACACACACACACCACACTCCACACGCACACATACACAGAGCATTTTTCATGGGTATGTTGTCAGACAGATTTCTCTGTTCTGAAGGCTCATCTCCTTAGAGAACCTTACCGTGTCAATGTTGCATTTAGTTTAGTTTAGTGTTGTTGTTGTTGTTGTTGTTGTTGCTGTTTTTAAATCTTGCTCTGTTGCCCACAGTGGCGCGATTTCAGCTCACTGCAACCTCTGCCTTTTGGGTTCAAGCAATTCTCCTGCCGCAGCCTGCTGAGTAGCTGGGATTACAGGCCCCCGCCACCATGTCCAGCTAGTTTTTGTATTTTTAGTAGAGACGGGGTTTCACCATGTTGGCTGGTCAAGTCTTGACTTCCTGACCTCGTGATCCACCTGGCTTGGCTTCCCAAAGTGTTGGGATTACAGGTGTGAGCCACTGCGACCGGCTGTTTTTTTTTTTTTTTTTTTTTTTTTTTTCTTTTTTGAGACGGAATTTCGCTCTTGTTGCCCAGGCTGGAGTGCAATGGTACAATCTTGGCTCATTGCAACTTCTGCCTCCTGGGTTCAAGCAATTCTCCTGCTTCAGCCTCCCAGGTAGCTGAGATTGCAGGTGCCCACCACCATGCCTGGCTAATTTTTGTATTTTAGTAGAGATGGGATTTCACCATGTTGGTGTTGTATTTAGTTTTAACACTGTTATCTTCTCAGATTGTAATGAGAGAACAGGCTATCATCACTTGGTGATAAAATTTCCTGTAATTATAATCTCATTCTCAAAGATAAAACATTGATACCTAATGTGCTTTTAACTTTAATGCCAATTTATCACAATGGAAGACATTTCAAATAAATACTGTTTTTTTGTTCATAAGGTCTTAAAAATCTTGAATATAACTGCAAAAAAGCATTACATGTTAAAAGAAATCACAAAATTAGTTAAGAAAGGAGCCAAACTGAAAGAAGATTATATTTCTATGCCCTTGAATCTTTACAAAATTTAGTAAAAACTATTAATATAGAATTATTTACAAGAGACTTCTCTATTTACCAGCCCAATATCTTCACATTTCTACAATCTAAGGGGAGGTGATTGTGGCCAGAAAAGTTTCTGGGCTCTGGTATTGCAGTTTTCCTGCACTTACCACCATCCGGCATGTTATATATTTTACTTATTTTTCTTGCTTATTGCTGTCTCTTTCCACAAGTTCCATGAGCAGAGACAGTTTATCTGTGTTTTTTACGGCTATTCTCAATGTCTGTAACAGTGTCTAACGTACTATAGTCATTAAAGAAATGCTGGTTGGGTGAATTCAGAAATAAATTAGTAAATAGGTGAAGCATGTTGGTTTAATATTCATCATCAGAACTTAAAAACAGTTTAAAGAACCTCAACTGAGTTTTGTACAATAAGTAGTGACAAGGTGGGACAGAGGTAATTTCTTTGTATCTCTGAGGCTTTCCATTTCATGAGGAACATAGAATAATATGTGTTTCCAAATGCAGTGTTCAATATCTGAAGAGTATATATCATCAGTATAGAAAATAGACAACACATGTTAAAGGGAATGTAAAAATTCTAGATGATTTTTAAGGTATGTATGGTTTAATCAATTGTTTATATGCTATTCTCTTCTCTTAAAATGAAATAATGCGAATGAAAAAATAAACCTTACAGGTAGTTTCTGGGAAATTCAGACAACAAAATTGTCTAACATACGCCAAAAACAATATAGCATTTAATGATGACATGGATTCCGAAAGACAAATCACTGCTCATCATATTACAAGGAATCCAAACAACTGAGGGGTTATCATTTATCTATAGTTGCATAACAAATTACCCTAAAATTTAGCAGCTTAAAACAACAATTTATTATTTCATAAATTTCTGGGGATGAGGAATCCAGAAGCAGATTCACTGGGTGGTTCTGGCTCAAAGTATCTTATTTGTTTGCTAGGGCTGCTGTCACAGAACACAACAGCACAGGTGCCTTAAATAACAGAAACATGCATTCTGGAGGCCAGAAGTCCAAGACCAAGGTTTCCTCTGAGGTCTCCGTCCTTGGATTGCAGATGCTTGTCCTCTTGCTCCCTCTTCACATGGTTGTCCCTCTGTGCACATGCACTTCTGTGTCTCTTTTTGAGTGAAAATTTATAAGCATTCCAGTCAGATTAATTTTTTTTTTTTTTTTTTGAGATGGAGTCTCACTCTGACACCCAGGCTGGAGTGCAGTGGTGCAATCTTGGCTCACTGCAGCCTCCACCTCCCTGGCTCAAGTTCTTCTCCTGCCTCAGCCTCCCAAGTAGCTGGGATTACAGGCATACACCACCACGCCTGGCTAATTTTTGTATTTTTAGTAGAGACGTGGTTTTGTCATGTTGCCCAGGCTGGTCTCGAACTCCTGGCCTCAAGTTATCCACCTGCCTTGTCCTCCCAAAATGTTGGGATTACAGGTGTAAGCCATTGCACCCTGCCCCAGTCAGATAAAATTTTAATCTCACTTTAACTTAATCACTTCTTTGAAGGCCCTGTCTCCAAATATAGTCACATGAATTAGGGCCAAGCTGTATGGCTTCATTTAACCTTAATTACTTCTTTAGAGGCTCTATCTGCAAATGCCTCCACATTCTGAGGTGGTGGGGGGGTTAGGATGTCAACATATGAATTTGAGGGGGCACAATTTAGCCCATAGACACCTGTCATGAGGTTGTAGTCAGCTGTCAGTTGGGGCTGCAATCTCATCTGATGGATTAACTGGGGAAAGATGGGCTTCCCAGCTCACTGGTGTAGTTGTTGGCAGGCCTCAGTTTCTTCTCGCTGGAGACTTCAGTTCTTGCCATCGGCTTCTCCACAGGTTGTCCAGATTACCTAATGACATAGCAGCTGGCTTCCCCAAAAGCATGGAATGGGGGTTGGGGATGGGATAAGAGAGAGAGAATCCAAGACAGAATGCACAGTCTTCTTATAACTTAGGTTTAGAAATAATATATCAGTACCTCTGCCACATTCTGTTGGTCACACACACTAACCCTGGTAAAACATGGGAGTGAACCATACAGGGGGAACTGGGGTCATTGGTGGTCATCTTTGAGGCTGGCTATGGTAATTAGGTAAAAATAAAAATTCAGTCTGCAGAAACGTATGTACTTATGTTACTTAAAATATTTTAACCAATTAGTGAAAAATGACTTTGAAGTATTTTTAGCTGCTATAATAATTGAGTAGGAATTATTTTTTCTTGGATTGAGTTATATTTACTATAAAAATACTTACTTTTTTTGTCAAACACATTTATAAGTGCTGCAAATATTAGTGACCAATGGTCTATTGCTCTAAATAAAAAGCACCAGGAGTTAGTATAGTAGTTGACTCCAGCCTCTGGTGCTAGACTGCCTGGGTTTGAATATTTACTTTTGCACTTACAACTTGTAACAACTTGAACAATTTATTCAATCTCTCTGTTCCCTAGTTTTCTCATATGTCAAATGGGAGAAACAAATAACATCTGCTTCATATGGCTGTTATGAAGGCTAAGTAGGTTTATATATATGTATGTATGTATGTATGTATGTGTGTGTGTGCATATATATATATATATATATAGAGAGAGAGAGAGAGAGAGAGAGAAAGAGAACTTAGAATAGGGCCTGGCACAGAGAATATGATAAAAGAATATTATTTGTTTCCTCTTTTTATCATCCAGAACATGGTGTAATGCCCAATACATTGTAGATACTCAATAAATGTTTTTGTATGATCCCTAAACATTGTCTGTAAGGAATTTACAATGGAGTTTACAGTAAAAGGTGGTACATGGTA
Organism: Homo sapiens; assembly: GCF_000001405.40. Lineage (NCBI taxonomy): Eukaryota > Metazoa > Chordata > Mammalia > Primates > Hominidae > Homo > Homo sapiens. The sequence continues at coordinate 72,607,220 of NC_000009.12, forward strand.
GGTACCATGGAAGCATTACAAACAGATGACCATGTGAATCTGAAAGAAGCACAGATTGATTTCTTCGTCATAAAACATGGTTGTATTTGAGCTAAAGCTTAGAACTAATGAAGATTATTGCCAGGCGTGGTGGCTCACGCCTGTAATCCCAGCACTTTGGGAGGCCGAGGTGGGAGGATCACAAGGTCAGAAGATCGAGACCATCCTGGCTAACATGGTGAAACCCCGTCTCTACTAAAAATACAAAAAATTAGCTGGGTGTGGTGGCGGGCGCCTGTAGTCCCAGCTACTCAGGAGGCTGAGGCAGAATGGTGTGAACCCAGGAGGTGGAGCTTGCAGTGAGCCGAGATCGCGCCACTGCACTTCAGCCTGGGCGAGAATGCAAGAGTCTGCCTCAAAAAAAAAAAAAAAAAAAGAGTATCAATGTATCAAAATCATTATTTTAGGCTGGGCATGGTGGCTCACATGTGTAATCCCAGCACTTTGGGAGGCTGAGGTGAGAGATCACTTGAGCCCAGGAGTTCAAGGCCAGCCTGGGCAAAATGGTGAGACCCTGTCTCTACAAAGAAAAAAAAAAGATTATTATTCCCCAAATAGGAAATAACATAAGCAAACGTCCCCTATTTCCCCCACGATGGAGCTGGAGCATGGTGTATGAGAAGGAGAGTCAGAGGGAGCAAGAATGAAGGGGTCAGGTTGGTACCAGGTAATGAAATCATTTTAACATAAGACTACATGATTTGGACTTCATTGTGTGGTCACTTCGGAGCATTTTAGCAACAAAATAATGTCTTAGGAAGATTAATCTGGTCCAATTGTAAAGTAAATTGAGATTCAGGCTTCAGGCTTGGCTTGATCCAGGATTCAAATAAAATCACCAAGAATCTGTATTTCAGATCTGCTTTTTTTGTGTGGCTCTGCCTGTGGCTCCATAAGAAGCACAGAAAAAAGAGAAATGGTCTGTTAAACAGAAAAAGTGAAAAAGCTTCACTCCCAGAAAATATCTTCTTGCATCTCATCGGCCTGAGTTCACTCATGTTCGTATTCTTCAACAAATTATCATGTCCAGGATATGAAACGGCTGCTTGGATCCAGGCACACTGATAACGCTGATACCACACCTAGAAAAAGAAATGAATTTCATTCAAATTCCATTCTACTATTTTAAGGTTTCATGTCTAGATGGCTGGAGATTAAGTGTTGCAGTCCAGGCGTGGTGGCCCACGCCTGTAATCCCAGCACTTTGGGAGGCCGAGGTGGACAGCTCACTTGAGGACAGGAGTTTGAGACCAGCCTGGCCAACATGATGAAACCCCATCTCTACTAAAAATACAAAAAATAGCCAGGCTTGGTGGTGCGTGCCTGTAATTCCAGCTACTCGGGAGGCTGAGGCAGGAGAATCACTTGAATCCAGGAAGTGGAGGTTGCGGTGAGCCAAGATGGCACTACTGCAGTCCAGTCTGGGTGACAGAGACTTCATCTCAAAAAAAAAAAAAAAAAGTAAGTTTTGCAATTAGGAGACATGCCTATAATGTTTATTTAGTGGTGATACGTATGGTTTAGTCCTTTAATTATAGTGTGGTTTAAATGCAAATTTAAAGTAACTCAAATACAGCTATTTTTTCTCACATCATAGGGAGACTATAAAGTCCCTCAGTAATCATTCTTCAAATAGATATTTTTCTTCTTTCATCTACTGCCTTCACGACTGCAGTCACTTTCTCCAACAGTCTTTTCTCCAAATAAAAACAAAAACACCACTACCACCACTACCAAAAATCTCAAGTACCTGCTATCTCTGATCTTTCTCATCTGCTAATATTCTCTTCCTCCCTTACTCCCCTCCTCTTTTCTTCCTTTCCTCCTTCCCCATCTCTCCATCTCACACCTCCCTCTCTTCCTACCTCCCTTTCTTTCAACCTTTTCCCCTTCTATTCTTCCTTCCCTCGCTTCCTCCTTCCCTTCCTTCCTTCCTTCCTTCCTTCCTTCCTTCCTTCCTTCCTTCCTTCCTTTTTGCTATTAAAAATTCCTCAAACTGGCTGGGTGTGGTGGCTCATGCCTGTAATCCTAGCACTTTGGGATGCCGAGGTGGGTGGATCACTTGAGGTCAGGAGTTTGATACCAGCCTGGCCAACATGGTGAAAACCCGTCTCTACTAAAAATACAAAAATTAGTAGTGTATGGTGGCACCGCACCTGTAGTCCCAGCTACTCAGAAGGGTGAGGTGGGCGAATCACTTGAACCCAGGAGGCAGAGGTTGTAGTGAGCCGAGATCGTTCCACTGCATTCCGGCCTGGGTGACAGAGTGAGTGAGACTGTCTCAAAATAACAACAACAACAAAAACAAACTGGCAATGCAGGACTTCCTTGAAAGACAGAGGAAAGGAAAAGATTAAGAGAAGTTATACCAAAACTCTTTTTAATAGGTAGGCAGGGAAAAAATTGGGAACCTTTATACATCAATAATTTTATTCTCATAATACTTGGAAATCATGACTAGCTGTTGCTCTTCTTCAACATCTAACTATTATCATTTCCACATCTGATTCAAGCACTTCCTTTTTACATGTCTTTTTTTTTTCTTTGCCTGAAATATTATTTCCTTCCATCAAATTAACCTTTCTGCCCACCTGGCAACCCTCTCTTCTTCAAGCCTTACTCATCAAGAAGCCTTCCCTAGCAACAGGGAAGGCTCTGCTACCAATCCCACCTTTATGCTCTCTGGACTACCACTTTGTCTTGTACATTTCTATTAAATTGTAACTTTTCATTTTTGTTACACATCTATTGACTCTACTGCTCAGTGAACTATTTGAGACCAGGACACCATTTTGCATACCTAGCACAATACCTACCACATAGTAGACATTTCATAAATCCTTATTGATTGAATAAATCAATGATGAATAACATTTTTATAAATTTCATTTTGTATTTGAGTTGAAGCTCCAAGTATTACACCCTGTTAGAGATTTTAAACTTGATTTTTAAAATATTGGACTAGAGCTTAAAAGAAGATTATATTAGTCAGGGGTCTCAAGAGAAACAGAATCAATAAAGTATACATTTATTATATAATTCATTATAAGAAATTGGCTCACATGATTGTGGAGGCTGACAAGTCTCAATACCTACAGTCGGCAAGCTAGAGACCCAGGAGAACCTATGGTGTAGTCCAGGCTCATTCCAAAGGCCTAAGAACCAAGCGAGCCAATGATGTAGTTCTAGTGTGAAAACCTGCAGGCTCTAGACACAGGAAGAAGCCAATGTTTCAGTTAAAGTCCAAGGGCAGGAAACACCAAGGTCCCAGCTCAAACATAGTGAGACAGAAGGAATTCTCTCTTACTCAGCCTTTTGTTCTATTCAGGCTTTCAACAGATTGGATGAGGCCCACCCACAATCTGCTTTACCCAGTCTACTGATTTAGATGTTAATCTCATCCAGAAACACCCTCACAGACACACCTAGAATAATGTTTGACCAAATGTCTGGGCACCCTGTTACCCAGTCAAGTGGATGCATAAAATTAAACACCATAAAGACTAAAGCCTGTAGATGAATATCTGGTAACACCTCACAGAGGAGAGACCTAAAGCTGTGATAACGTCTCTGAAGCCAAGAGAGAAAGGCTAGAAAAAGCAAGATCTGGGATATTTCCTTAGAATCCTTGCCTGAAGGCCAAGAAGATGAGGAAGTTAATTTTCTCATCCAGAGTGGTGGTATCGAGCTAGAAAATTGTGAAGATCTTTCTAGTTCTAAAACATCTGTTACCTCCTTACCTTGGGGTTTCAAGACTGGGTAAATGGAAATACTAAGATAATTGGATGATGTAAGAAGATTTTGGATGGGAACAATATCTTGTTATGCACCAGTTGTATGGAAACTACTTATTTATAAGATTTAAAATTCTACGTATATTCCTTCAGGAAATGTTGTCGGCTTTCTACAAGATGCAGCTTTAATTGTATTATTGGGAACCATCATTGATTATTAGGTTCTTTGGAGAAATTTCTTTCCTTCAATTAGAAGCACCCATGAAGGATATGAAGAAGAGTTGGTCAAAGAACTATAAGAAGATCATAGAATGTACTGCACTATAGAAGCCAAAGGAAGAGGTAAATCAAGAGGCAAGAAATGATGGAAAGGTATTTTGCTATAGAGAGGTAAAGGTTGATAAGACTTGGGAAAAAGGCCATCGGATTTTACGATTAGGATATTAAGGACAAGTTTCAGCCAAGTCATGAGAAACTGAGCATCAGTTAGGTCCCTGTTGTTTGATATTATGACAATGTGGTGGATTTAGTAATTAGAGTCTTTCAAAATTGTCTGTTAGTGCTTTGCAGCTTGGGGGCATGAGCAGAGAAGGTAGGGGGCAGGAGGAATGGGGAGCATGTCTGTGGCTGAGAGTTGAAGGCTTGAATGGTAAGAGTAGGCTTGAGGATTGTGGCTTGTTAGAAAAGACAGCATTAAAATATCTGAACATGGGACTTTGTTTTTAGAAAGGATACAAATGAAGTTAAAAGCCAGAAGAAGGTCTTGGGTGGGATTTTCAAGCTGCATTCCTTGGAGTCTTGAATCGTGGATTAGAGAAAAGACCACCCTGTGTTGATCTCAGTAGCTTCTCCTGTTAAACATCACAGCACATGTGCTTTGACCAGTTTTGTATATTAAGGCTCTATGTGGCTATCTTCTGTCCCGCTCTGTCCCCCACGGCCATTCTCTTTCCTTCACCATGCTGCTCTATGACCCGGGAGGCTGACCTATATGGACCATATCAGTGGGCTGCTTTGCCCTCCTGCTTCTGTTTGGATTTTGCCCTTGGGGAGCACTTGCATGAGCTTGCAGGGAGGGAGAATGAGAGGCAAGGTATAATCTGCTGTGACCTACAGGGTCATCAGGATCCTTTCCCCTTCAGGCCTAGAGTTGGTAATAATGCCCAGCTTTCTTAGGCCCTTGAAATTTCTCTATACCCTGCTATATCTGTTCAATTGCCTACATAACTTAACCAGTGTATGCTTACTACTCACTGCAGCCTTGATCTCCCTGGCTTAGGTGATCCTTCCACCTCAGCCTCTTGAGTAGCTGGGACTACAGGTGTGCACCACCATGCCTGGTTAATTTTTTGTATTTTTTTTGTAGAGACAGGGTCTCACCATTTTGCCCAGGCTGGTCTTGAACTCCTGGGCTCAAGCAATCCTCCCACCTTGGCCCCCCAAAATGCTGAGATTACAGACAAGAGCCACCACTCCCGGCCCAAACATTTTTTTTTTTTGTAAAAAGCCAGGCAGTAAATATTTTTGATCTGTGAGTTATACAATCTGTGTTACCACCACTTAACTCTGCTATCTCAGTGAGAAAACAGCCATAGATGTTAAGTAAGTGAATGAATGTAGCTGTGTTTCAATAAAACTTTATTTACAAAAACAGGCAGTGAGCTTTGCTTTTGGCCCATAGGCTATAATTGAAAGACCCATGATCTAGGACAAGAAGTTTTCCATCTACTCTATGAGAGTGGTTCTCAATCTGGGATAATTTAGCTCCCTAAGGGACATTTGTTAATTTAAGACATTTTTGGTTGTCACAACTGGAGGAGTAGTGCTACTGGCATCTAGTGGATAAAATCCAGGGATACTGCTAAACATACTGCAATGCACAAGACAGCCCCCACAACAAAAATTACCCTGCCCAAAATATCAATAGTGCTGAGGTTGAGAAATGCTGGTCTTGAAGATGTTAAAAAGATTGTCAGTTTGTTCATCATATCGCTGTGGCTTGGCGAAAAGAATCACAGAGTTAATTTTATAACTATGAAGGATTGTTAGGAGCTGAGTTTTTTTCTAGTTCTTATTTTTTAATTATTTTATGATACTTTTCATAAAAAGTGGTGTAAGTTGTGTTTATTCAGAAATGTGATTTTTTTTTTTTTTTTTTGATGGAGTTTCGCTCTTGTTTCCGAGGCTGGAGTGCAATGGCGGGATCTTGGCTCACTGCAACCTCCGCCTCCCGGGTTCAAGCGATTCTCCTGCCTCAGCCTCCTGAGTAGCTGGGACTACTGGCCACCATGCCTGGCTAATTTCTGTATTTTTAGTAGAGATGGGGTTTCACCATGTTGGCCAGGCTGGTCTTCAACTCCCGAACTCAGATGATCCACCTGCCTCGGCCTTCCAAAGTGCTGGGATTACAGGTGTGAGTCACTGCTCCCAGCCCAGAAATTGATGGTTTCTTTAGCAATTTTGTCACCCATCAAGTCGTTAGTCATATTAATCCTCCATAACTTAGTCTTTTTGCCCCCTGATTATCTTTTGGGTGGGCAGTGAAAGTATTCATACCTCTTTTAGCAAAACCTATCTCTTCTTGGATTTCCTTTGCTTGCTGATTAAGAGGAAGGACTATCTGTGAAAGACTCAGATGTGGCTCAATGGAATGAATGTGAGAATGGTATGAGTGTGGGTGGTGGGTGCTGTGGGGGTCGGAGATGAGTGGCTGAACCATCCAAAAATAAGAATACTGACAAGCGTGTTTTCTTGTGTGTGTGTGCGTGTTGTGGGAGGAGTGTAACTGATGTGGCTAGACAGGATTAACGAAAGTCTCAGGAGTTGAGAGAGACTGGGGACATTTTACCAATGGCGAGAAGGAGGAAGGATGACAGCTGGGAAAATTAGTGATTGGAAAAGGTAGGCTGGGCAGTGTGGCCATGAGCTAGTCCTTTTCATTATATTCTTCTGGGGCTCTATGTTTAAAACTAGATACTTTAACATTTCAGAATGAGAAAGAGAGGAAAGGATGGTAACTGATATGGGCTATTATACTGTGAATTTTAAAGGAGCCTATATATTATCCTAAAACTATTGAACCTGAGCAGAACTGCAACGTTGGTATTCTTGAACTGAACTGATATTTCCTTTGACTAATGTCCTTGTTCAATGACCAGAGACCATGACACTCCCCACCTTCACCCCCACACATTGTTTGTTTGTGTCCAGTTTGAAGAACAATGACACATGGAGGTCAGTGTTTGGATGATGTCATAATTTTGATCAGCTGGAAAGCCTGGAGTGGCCTTGAAGAGATGCTTAACTTTTGGAAATCACTTCTTTATTGCAACCAAAGCTATTAAGTTTAAAGGTCCATAAAGATGAGATAAACAGTCATAAAGGCCTTTTGAAATTCATACTTAGTGTGTTAAATGGATTTAATTGCTGTTAGTTAAATGTGGTGATGTTAAAGCAATGTCTATACACTGGCAAAAATCAGATCATCAACTGCTTAATGAGGGACACGTCTTGAGAAAAACAGTGGAAGAAATGCTGCTTATATGTAATTTGTGATTAATTTTTGCAAGGTTTTCAAGGGAATAACTTGGCCTTAAAATATTACAGTGAAAAACAGCTTTATACTTGGGTCCAATCTTCTTAAAATTAGAGTTCATTTTTGCTATTAGACACCTTTTATTACAGGATAACTTTTTCTTCCCCCTTGGAGACAGAGTCTTGCTCTGTTGCCCAGGCCAGAATGCAGTGGCGTGATCTCGGTTCACTGTAACCACCGCCTCCCAGGTTCAAGTGATTCTTGTGTCTCAGCCTCCTGAGTAGCTGGGATTACAGTGCCTGCCACCATACCTGGCTAATTTTTTGTATTTTAGTAGAGACAGGGTTTCATCATGTTGCTCAGGCTGGTCTGAAACTCCTGAGCTCAGGCAATCCACCCGCCTTGGCTTCCCAATGTGCTAGGATTACAGATGTGAGCCACTGAGCCCAGCCAGTTATAGGATAGCTTCTAAACTTACAATCCTTGAAATATCATTTTAGGATAATTCTGATCCTGCATACCAGTGAAATAAGTATAATTGAAATATTAAACCAAATTTGGCTTCAACATTAAACCAAAATTAAACCAAATTAAGCCAGTATGTTAAATACATAGTTTAATCTTAATTCTAGTTAATATTTTTCATTTCCTATGTGTCAGGCAATATACTAAACAACTTACATGTATTACTATTTTAATTCTCCTGGTAAACTGGAGGGGTGTGCAATTATTGTCATCTCCATTTTATAGATGAAGAAAACTGAGTCATAAAGAGGTTATGTACTTGGCTGAAAGTCACACAGTCAGTGATACTGTTGGAATTTGCACCCAGACAATTTAATTTTAGAGCCTATTTTCAACCACTCTCTGAGACTGCTTTCCTTTTCTGTACTTTTGATGATAAATGTGAAAAGATAATTTTGAGGGCATTATGGTGTATTGGATCTTAAAAACCCAGGTAATAAGTCCCATCTATAGTACAAATAAGCTGCGTGATCTTAGGGAAATCACATAACTGCTTCTGTAAAATGAGAGATTACATTAAGTTATTTCCAAAATGTCTTTTCGACTTCAATGTGGTGATTCCATAGTAATGTATAGGTTTTTAAAAAACCATATCCTTCAATCAAATGGTCATCCTTTAGCATTAAGTTGTTTGGAATAGATACTCCCCAAATTCACAGAATAATTTTCCAGCCTCTCTTTTTGCTTTGACACCTTTCTTATTTTTTTTTTTTTTCTTCGAGATAGGGTCTCACTCAGTCGCTCGGGCTGGAGTTCAATGGCACGATCTTGGCTCACTGCAACCTCTGCCTCCCGGGTTTAAGCAATTCTTGTGCCTTAGCCTCCTGAGTAGCTGGGCTACAGGCGTCCGTCACCACACTCAGCTAATTTTTTTTAATAGAGATGGGGTTTCACCATGTTGGTCAGGCTGGTCTCGAACTCTTGACCTCAGGTGATTCCTCGGCCCTAGCCTCCCAAAATGCTGGGATTACAGGCGTGAGCCACCGTGCCCGCTATTGACCCCATTTGTTGATGCTTAGGGATGAAAGTGGAAACTCCACTGCTAAAACAGAGAATATTACTTGAGTCATTCCTCTGTCATATATGGGATGTTTGCCAGCATGGAACATTCACAGAAATTATAACTGTAAAGGCCCTAGCAATGATTTAATGCCGTCTCTTCACATTATAGTTGGGGAAGCTCAAACTGTGACAGGGTCAGGGACAGGTAAAATTCACAAAGTTGGTTTACAGCAGAACTGTGCTACAGTTATCTGGATTCAGATCCAAGTCCCCTCCAAATGAATCACAACCACTTCTACCTTTATAATTCCAGGCCATGAAAGATCACTGTTTTAGTCTGCGTGGTGCAGTGGAACAGATAGACCTCGGTTTGAATCTCAGCTCTACTGTTTACTAGACATGAAATGGGGAAATCTAAAATGAGTAAGTATACACAGAAACACACATTACATACATATATGTAATGTTCAGGATCATTACACTGAACTTTAGGGCTTAGTACTAATGTACAATCAAGGTTGTGTTAGTACTGAGCAGTATATCTTTTATTGTTGAAGTCCAATAAGAACAGAGCAGATATCAACCTAATTTGTAAGTGATGCATTTTCCTAAACTAAATGCCCAATAATGGAATGGGCTAGAATATTGCAGGACAGGGCTGTGAATGGAGGAAAGCAGTTGGAAAATCAATCCTTTTAAAGGCACAAAAGGATGAATGAACCACATTCCCAAGAACCTGCTCCCACCCACTGCTGTTCCCACCCCCGCTGTAGTTGGTAGCATGTTCACAAGGAAGGAGCTGGCTAGCTTTCATGGGAGCCACATCATCCATCAAATCACATTAGTGTTGTTGATTTGAATGTTGTTTCCTTTGTAGGTCTGCTTGCTTTGACTTTGTAAAATTGTTTAGTCTTGCCATTATTATATAAGGACTATAATCATAAGGCATTTATATTTCATTTTGTATTATGTATTTAAGCAAAATTAAGTTAAAAATTAGACAGAGATATATAGGATGATTTTTCCTTCAAGAGTTATTCATTTATTTCCTTTTGGATATGAAAAACGCTTATGCAGTCCTGTATGTGGTCTCTCTCTCTTTTTATTTTTATTTATTTATTTTTTGAGATGGAGTCTTGCTCTGTTGCGCAGGCTGGAGTGCAGGGGTGCTATCTCGGCTCACTGAAACCTCTGCCTCCTGGGTTTAAATGATTCTCCTGCTTCAGCCTCCTGAGTAGCTTGGATTACAGGTGCCAGCCACCATGTCCGGCTAATTTTTTTGTATTTTTAGTAGAGACGGGGTTTCACCATGTTGGCCAGGCTGGTCTTGATCCTGACCTCAAGTGATCCGCTTGCCTCAGCCTCCCAAAATGCTGGGATTACAGGCATGAGCCATTGTGCCTGGCCTGTGGTCTCTTTTTAAATGTTTGAGATTTTCTCTGACCATCACATGATGGCAGCCGCAAGTTGTAAATATATTAAATGAGATAATACCAAATGGCATAAGACCACTGTGAATTCAGTGATGTTCCAAAATAACTTGTATTTTATTCATCACACAGGCATTTATATAAATTAAAAAATAATAGCACCTGAAAACATGAAAATAATTGTATTCAAGGTTATTTACTGCAGCATGATTTTTAAGAGAAAAGACTGGAAACAACCCAAATGTCCACTAATCGAGACTGTGTGAACCCAAGATGTTATAGCTGCATCACACAGCTGAGAGAAGGAATAAGATCTATTTCTACTCACTGCCAGTGGTAATCTCCAGGAAGCGCTGTTAAGTGAAAGAGCAAACTAGAGAAAATGTGAATAGTGGTTACCATTTACCCAAGAAGTCTATGTGTGGTGTGTGTGTGTGTGTGTGTGTGTGTGTGTGTGTGTGTGTGTATGTGTGATTTCTAGAGGGACAGAGGAAAAAGGTGAAGACAAGGATAGGAGCGAGACTTCTCTGGGTACATCTTTTTTTTTTTTTTTTTTTTTTTTGAGACAAAGTCTCATTTTGTTACCCAGGCTGGAGTGCAGTCGCTTGATCTCAGCTTACTGCAACCTCTGCCTCCGGGGTTCAAGTGACTCTCTTGCCTCAGCCTCTCGAGTTGCTGGGATTACAGGTGCCCACCACCACGCCCGGCTAATTTTTGTATTTTTAGTGGAGACTGGGTTTCACCATGTTGGCCAGGCTGGTCTCCTGACCTTAAGTGATCCACCTACCATGGCCTCCCAAAGTGCTGGGATTATAGGTGTGAACTACCATGCCTGCCTGTCTGGATCTCTTTTTAGTACATTTGACTTTGAAGCCAAGTTAGTATTTTCCATAATTAAGAAAAAAATAGAATAAAAAAGGAACAATTTCTAAAAAGGAAGTCAAAAGAAACACATTAAACTAACTGTAAGTTGAGTTGGTAGCATAACCACACAGACAGAAATTATTTCAAGTGACTTTAACACATACTGATGTGACTGTGCATCCCTATCGAGATAGAAATAAAGGTAAATATAAATAAAGGTAAAAATAAGCAAGATATAAATAAAGTTAAAATGAACTGCAACAATCCTGAATAGTTTTCAATAATTATATCATAAATAGTAATTTTGGTATTGTTATTTTAAAACAGTTATATTTATAATACATATGTTAATGTAATCATGTTTATGCTTATCATAACATATGGATGCACAGCTATTAGGATAATGTATAAACATGATTATGTTAATGCCATTAGGGACCAAGATTTCAGAGAAAAACAAAGAAAAATATAAAATTAAAGAAGCCAGTAAAAATGTTATCTTAAATTTAAACTGGAAACCTCAGTATAAACTCATAATGTGTTTTCTTTTAAAAAATTATTTTCAAATTCAGTCTCCTGAATAGAACTCGCAACAATTACCAAGCCAGTAGCAACGACAATAAACAGCCCTAGTGCCCAGATGGTGCTCTCCAAATGCCATTTTCCACTAAAAGGAATGAGGGCTCCTTGGAGAATTGGATGTTTTCAGATACAGAGCAGAACACATACAAAAAGTTCCTGGAACATTTGTCATACTGAAAAGCAGATACACTATGAAAGACTATAGTAATTGTATCAAAAGAACTCAGGAGCCACCATGAAGAGGCCCCCAGTGTCCAGAAATGGAATAATGTGAACATTAAGAATAATAAATCTTAATTTGTCAAGATACAAATTTAATCATATCGTAGATACTCATAGCAGCATTATTTAAAATAATGAAATATTAGACACAACTTAAATATTCAAAACTAGCAGTGTGCCCTTATATATAGAAATGTCATTTAAACCTTGTAGAAGAGAAGTTTATGATTTAGGAAGATGTTTACAATATGCTGTAAAACACACACAACAAGTCATAAAATATTATGCATGCAGTATATTCCAGTTTATTTTAAATGATCTAGGTATAAATATCCATAAAAAGAAAACTGAATGAATAAATGGTGAAATGTGAATAGTTGCTATATCTGTGTGGCAGGATTACAGGTGGTTGTATTCTAGTTTCTCTTTATGTTCCAATCTTCTACAGTTAGCATGTATAATTTTATATTTTTTTAATACAAAATATGTTATTTAACTAGTATTTACTAAACAAAAAATTAAAAATTAATATATTTTATAAAAACAAAAGCATATGAATAGAAAAGTACATTATTTTTTAGGTTATAGACAATGCTTGTACCTGTGTTTAGGGATTTGATCCTCCAGGTAGGAAACTACAGATCTAATTTAACTTATTTAATTAATTAATTAATTAATTAATTTATTTATTTATTTACTTTGAGACAGAGTCTCGCTCTGTCACCAGGCTGGAGTGCAGTGGTGTGATCTCGGCTCACTGCAACCTCCACCTCCTGGGTTCAAGTGATTCTCCTGCCTCAGCCTCCTGAGCAGCTGGGACTACAGGCATGTGCCACCATGCCCAGCTAATGTTTGTATTTTTAGTAGAGACGGGGTTTCACCACGTTGGCCAGGATAGTCTCAATCTCTTGACCTTGGAATCCACCCACCTCACCCTCCCAAAGTGCTAGGATTACAGGCGGGAGCCACTGTGCCTGGCCTAATTTAAAAAATTTTTAAGTCACCAAAAAGCAAAGTGACATGCTCAAGTCCATTATTGCCAAGCAAAGAAAAAAATGTCAAAAGTACAAAATGTGGTTATGTTTTAAAAATTAGATTATTATTATTAAGATAGGATCTGGCTCTGTTGCCCAGACGGGAGTGCAGTGGTGTACTCATGGCTCACTGAAGCCTTGACTTCTTGGGCTCAAATGATCCTTTCACCTCAGCCTCCTGAGTAGCCGGGACTATAAGGCAGGCACCACCATGCCTGGCTAATTAAAAAAAGAATTTTTTTTTTGTAGCAATGAGGTCTCACTATGTTGTCCAGGCTGATCTTGAATGCCTGGACTCAAGTGATCCTCCTACCTCAGCCTCTCAAAGTGCTGGCATTACAGTCCTGAACCACCATACCTAGCCAGATTTCTATTACTTTGACATGGTCCTGGATACTTCATCTATGTGTGCAAAATTTCGTACTTATCTCTTAAATCTGGAGAAAAATGGCCAAATTTGGTATAGTTGAATTTATCATGGGGTGATTAATAAGTGACTAAAGATTGACCTTCAAGGATCTGAAGATCTGACCAGTGTAGATTTATAGTAATTATAGTAATTACATGGTACCTCCAGGTATTTTCTATACATTGCCGTAGTTAGCTATGAAAGGATGTAAAGAATAAAGGCAATTGACTATTTTAAAGAAATTAACCTCAGAAGGAGATTCTTCACCTAAATGTCCCTGCAAATATTATTGCTTTATGCTCTGAGTTAGCTGAAAATGAGTTTACTATGCCTGGTGTAAACACTTGCACCACCCACCTGTGTCAAAGAACTTTTCACTAACTGCATCATGACTGATTGACGTCAGTCTACTTGGCAACCAAGTGAGCCACTTAGAAGAAGGCTCCCCTTATGAGGTTAATTTCTTTAAAATGGTGAATTGCCCTTATTCCTTATGTCTTTTCATAACTGATTACACAAATGTATAGAAAATACCTCTTGAGATACAATACAATCTGTAACTAGTCATCAGAGAATAACACGTTATTGTAACACAGATTTAGCTTGGCCATAAAGGGCATATTTACATACACATTGAAAACAACTTTAATAAAATGAAAAACATATATCCTTGGATTCTTAGCAATTTAACAGCAATGCTCTCAGGGGATCAAGCTACTATTTATTGACTCCCCCTGTGTGCCTTACACGTAATTACTGACCCTCACAACATCCCTGGGAGTTAGTGTCTTACAGGAGACCTTTGACATTTGTGAGAGGACATCGTGAATATTTTCCAAGTCCTCAATCCAAAAGTGTGGACATAGCTGTTGGTTTTCCTGAATTGTATTTCTTTCAAGAATCAAATGTTGCTTGTGAATATTCTCATGTAAGATTAAAAAAAATCTTTTCCTGACTCTTAGAACTTTAGTTTTATCTCTGCTTTGAGAGCCACTTTAATAAGCAAACTAAAATCACTCTACAGAAAGGCTGTACAGCAAATGAGTAGAGAACAAAAGCTGGCTAAACTGGGCAGTCAGCTAAGATCACTCAGTGTCTGAGAATTTGTTCTAGAAAATCACCCTCCGAGAATCATGCAGATTGTGCTTAGGCTTCCTTCATATATTCATACTCTCCTCGGGTGAACATAAATTGGCACATTTATAAGGAAATTTTATTATTATATACTCAAATATTTTTAAACATATAAATAGTTTGTCTTGTTAATTCTACCTCTTGGAATCTATCCTAAGGAAAATAATCATAAGATATCTGCAAAGAATTATTTGAATGTTGATAATAATTTTATCTATAACAATAAAAATTTGCAAGGTGGCAGATATCAGTTTATGTCTCTGAGCTCCAAATCCACCCTTGTTTATCTTGCTTTGTGTGAATGGAGCTGGACCCTGTGGATCTTTCTCTTTTGCAAATTTGGGGGATATTCAACTTTGTCAATTGAGGGCACTGGAGAGACCCTGCAATGGAATAGAGGCTCCAGGTGCACCTACAGGCCATCTTTCCCTACCAGCAGCGATTTCAGAGTAACTTCAGCCTGTCCATACCCTCCAGCAATGGTGGGTCACTTCTATAGATGAACTCTGGCCCACCCGCAGCACCAAGCAAAGGAAGGTCACTCCTGTACACCAGCTTCCAACCACTCTCATCCACCAGTGATGATAGATTGCTTTTATGGATCAATGCCAGCCTTTGCACTCAGTCGTTTCTTTGTTCCTGCAGGCTGCCTGTGGTAGTTACTATCTCTCTGAAGAGGTCTGAATCTCAGCCTTGGGGCAAGGAGGGCTTGTCCTCATCCTTAGTGCCTTTACTGTTCTTCTTCCTCAGCCTAGAAATAATAGCTCCTTTTAAAATTCTTGATGCCTGGGCCTCTTAGAGTCCTCCTTTATATATCTTTTAGTAGGTAATTTTTGGAACATTAAATTTTCCCTGTTCAAATAATTATCATAGTTTTTGTCTTCCACTTGGACCTTGAATGATACAAAAGTTAAAGGCTCAACAATACCAGACTTGTTAAATAAGTAGGGAGCTATCCACACACTGGCATAAAATTGTTTTGATTATCTATTATTCCCTTGGTGAGGTGACCCAGACCCTTGTTTGAAAGCGTTTTATTGGCTGGGTGTGGTGGTTCATGCCTGTAATCCCAGCACTTTGGGAGGCTGAGGTGGGCAGATCACCTGAGGTCAGGAGTTTAAGACCAGCCTGGCCAATGTGGTGAAACCCCATCTCTACTCAAAAGTACAAAAATTAGCTGGGTGTGGTGGCGGGTGCCTGTAATCCCAGCTACTCGGGAGGCTGAGGCAGGAGAATCACTTGAACCCGGGTGTCGGAGGTTGCAGGGAGCCGAGATTGTGCCACTGCACTCCAGCCTGGGTGACAGAGCGAGACTCCATCTCAAAAAAAAAAACAAACAAAAGAAAAACAACAACAACAACAAAAGAAAAAACAAAAATGAAAGAAAGGGTTTTATTTGTCTTCTCTCTCTCTCCCTGTTTTTTTTTTTTTTCTTTTTTTTTTTTTTGTCTCATCTTTGCTGTAATTGCTCATTTGCTAGGGTCATTGGACACAGAGATACCAAGATGTCTTCAGAAATCATGAATATTCCCCAAGTCCTCTATCAAAAAGTGTGGACAGAGCTGTCGGTTTTCCTGGGGTTTAGACATGTTCTTTCTTGCTTCTGTTGTGTAGTAACCCTAGCTCCTCAAGGAAATCGTGGTCTATGGGCTCTGCCAAACAGTAATTCCTTTCTTTGCTTGCTGGCTCACTGGCTTGAGGAACTCAAAGTAATCCTTTGGTAATTTCAGCTTCCAGGTCAGTGGGGACATTAATGTGTTTCTTGGTAGAAATGTCACTCTACTCCAAGAAATAAGATCTTTAATCCAGAAAACCTGAGTTTTCAGGGACAGAATGCACAAACTTTTATGGTCATTCACTGGGAGTTCTAATGAGCAGGTTCGATCATATTTCTATTCTTTAGTTCCTCGACCCATGCATTTTAGCTACTGGGCGGCGAACCATGTATCAGCTGTTAGTGCTGTGTGTATTCCATATCATGAAGGTAATTTCCCAGGCCCACAACGTTTTCTTCCCAAGCTGGTGCCGTAACTGAGCCTTTACCAGGCTATTCCATCATTTTAGGTGTTTCTAGGGTATAGAGTAAATGATAAGACCAGTGACTCCCATGATAAATGTGCACCATGGTGAACTTCCTTTGCTGTAAAATGTCATCTTGGTCCTAGTCTATATCGTAAGGGGCACCATACTGATAGACCAGGTACTGGTGAGCCCTTGGATGGTGGTACTGGTAGAGGAACTGCAGGAAGAAAAGGTAAATCCATACTCAGAATATGTGTTGATTCTGGTAAGGACACGTTGCTTTTCCCTCCAAGACAGATGGTTCCGATAGATGGTTGTGTAGCTACCCTCCCTGAGGAACGGTACTATGTCAAGGTCTTGGCATCAGATTCCGTGGCTGACAGGTTGGAAATTTAGCATTGACAGTAGCTGAATTATCTTTTGTAAGTGGGAGCTCAAATATGACCATGCATAGCACCATAGTGATTGCAGCACTAGAGACACTATTTATGGGCTTTCCTGCACAAGAACTGGGGTGGCTAAAGACGGCCCGGCTAAAAGGCAGGATGGATCATCCTGAGCACATGGTTGTTGAGAGTCTTCTTTGCAGTCGGGCGGTAGTGTGAGATCTGCTTTGTGTTTATTTCCGTAGGGTTGTCCACATACATTTTTTTCCCCACACCTTTTCTCTGAGCTTCAAATCTTTTTTTCTTGTCCTGTCGAAATGGCCAAGCCATTCACTACTGCTTAGAAGCCAGTGCATACTTAAGGATCTGGTCTTTTCTTCCATATGAAATGAATAACTAAGTGTGTTGCTCATAGTTTTCCCCACTGGGAGGATTTCCCTTTACCTCTCTTCTTTGGGGCCACCTCAAGTGAGGATGAAATGCAACAGCAGACTATCTCTGGCTAGAGGCAATAAATCACACTAGCCCAATTATGCACCAGGCCTGAGCTGTTTCCTCCACTACTGATTGTTTGTAGGTAGCAGTTGTGGGAGCTTCTGTGGAACAGATTCAGGTGGTACAGCTGCTCAAACTCATAACTCACCTGCAATGTGTTCTGAAAATGTGTGGCTTAACTGCATCTACCCTAAAAGAACAAGTTGGTGAGTGATGAGATGAGTGGGAAGTAGTGAGGATGACCTGGATTTTCCATTGAGGAAGTGGCCAAGTCCTGCGGACAAATTGTACCTAGGAAAAGGTACAAAAACAGGAGAATGGATCATGCGTTCAGTATTGGAACTGATGACTATTAAGTTGCTGTGGGCATCTGAATATAGATGTTGTGATGGTTTTAAAACATGTCTGAAAATTCTTTGACACTGTTTCCATCAAGAGGTGATGTCTTTGTCTCCTCCCCTTGAATCTAAATGGGCCTTTGTGACAGATCTGATGAATAGAATGCAGGAATGTGATGTCCAAGGCTAGTTTAGAAAAGACCATGTTTGTTTCTCTGGAGACACTTGCTCTGGGAGCTATTAGTGTCCTTCCACCAAAGCCCCCCAGGAACACCCCTGCAGCTAAACAAATTGGATTTATTGCTTATTGTAGCAAGACAGAACATTCACCAGGGGGAACCATAGGTTATCTCAGTAAGAGGGTTTTAGAAAGAACCTATTATAAGATTTGGGCTTTGGTTGGGTGATTTGGGGGAAGGTTTAAGGAATCAGGGGTGGCCAGGCACGGTGGCTCACGCCTGTAATCCCAGCACTTTGGGAGGCCGAGGCAGGTGGATCACGAGATCAGGAGATCTAGACCATCCTGACTAACACGGTGAAACCCCGTCTCTACTAAAAATTCAAAAAATTAGCCGGGCGTGGTGGCGGGTGCCTATAGTCCCAGCTACTCAGGAGGCTGAGGCAGGAGAATGGCGTGAACCCAGGAGGCGGAGCTTGCAGTGAGCTGAGATCGCGCCACTGTGCTCCAGCCTGGGTGACAGAGCGAGACTCTGTCTCAAAAAAAAAAAAAAGAAAAAAAAAAAGGAATCAGGGGTTTGGTCTAGATTGAATGCTCTCAGAAAATGGGAGTAATTCTAGGGTTGTATATTTTATAGGTGGCATAGTGACCTTGTTTTGTCTGTCCTTACACAAATGATGAAGTAGGCTGATTTTGTTTCATTTTATCTTGGTCGCAGAGTAACTTTGTCTGAGGTTGGTGTTCTATAAGATTGTATATGTCCAACAAGAGAATGACATGGCTTAGCTGTGAATGTCAGATCAGTTCTGGATATGAGAGGCTGATATTTTCTTTTTGAGCTTTCAGTTGTCATGTAAGGAGTGTGGCTACCATGAGGCCACTGCATAGAGTGATTGTATACCTATATATAAGAGAGATGGTTTGGAGTTCAAGCCCCCAGCTAGTCAAGTCTTCCCAGCCCAGGAGACAGATGTTCGAATGAAGGAGACTTAGGTAATTTCAGCCCCAGTCACTGTCTGACCACAACTGCATGAGAGACCCTGAGGGAGAACTGCTTTGCTGAACCCAGTCAACCTCCAGATTTGTAAGTAAAATAAATGGTTATCATTGATTGAAGTCACTGTTCTAGGGTGGTTTTTCCTACAGTAATGTCATTGATACAGGTGTCTGGCAGGCAGTTGGCTCTAGAGGTCTGGAGCTAAGGAGAAAGATCTGGCTTGGAGATGTGGATCAGGAAGTCCTTTTACAAGGAGAAAAGTGCTTGAAGTCATTTGAGTGGATGACATCACCTGAAAGATAATATACATTGAGAAAGAAAAAAATAAAAAGCCAACAATAGCACCTTTAGTAACAACACTGAAGAGAGCAGGAAGAAATAAAGAAACATTTGCAAGGAGACAGAGAAGGAGTGAATAAGGTGATCAAATGGCATCCATCCAAGAGATGATGTCCAGGAAGCCAAGAATGAGAGTATTTCAGAAAGAAGAGTGTTGTCCACAGAGTTAAATGCTATGGAGAGAGATGGAGTAAGACAAGATTGATTAGCACCAATGAGCTTTCATTGTTGACAAATGCAGTTTGAGGGAAACTGGGGGCTAGGGAGTGATGGGGCAGAGACCAGAATGCAGTGGGGTAAGGAGGGGTAAGAAGATGAGAAGAATGCCAAATCTGTGCTGTTTGCCACATCATGGGCCCTCTCTCCATACTATTTATGTGTGTATAATTTTTTTCTACAATTTAATAATGCATTAAACCATCACATCACATCACATCACAAACCCAACAATTCCACAATAGCATGGGTAGATCATACCCTGGTGTATTTTTAATGTTATACTTTAACCGGTAGTTTTGAGTCATAAATGTACTACTATGTTGTTGGTTTTTTTTTTTTTTTTGGGTCTGTCATTATAGTAATAACTTTAAATCTCTTATTGTTTATTTCTCTTGCAATTAAAATAGTTCATCATTTAAAATAGTACCCAGTGTTCAGTGTCCATTGGTGCCTTGTAATTACTTCAGAAAAACAGTCTCAGTTTAAAAGTTATAAACTCTTAATGCCTCTCTGCAGGAGGAATAGCTTCCTTCTGCCAGAGCGGTCTGGGGAGCATTATTCTAGTCATACCCTGCTAATTCATTGGCTTGATTGTCAGGGGTCCTGATCTAGTTCACCCTCCTGGGAGGCTGGTGTGGGACCCTGCTTATCCCAGTGGGGGTCAAGGCCTCCTTGACAACAGTGAATGGGTTGCTAGGAGGCTGCGGAAAGAAATTTCTCTAGTTCCATCCACAAGTAGATCCCACTGCAGTGGCCTCATTTGGCTCCTCTAATCCTCTCTTTCCCACCTTCTTTCAGGGCAAGTCTCACCCTATTTTCTTCATTACTTGCTTGTGGTTTCCTTGCCGGAGATGCTTGGAGGCAAGCATTATGACAAGGATGGGCGCGGGTGGGAGTAAGGCCTTTAAACGAAGAGCTACATTTCAAAGAACTTCAAATGTGTATTTCAAATGTCACTTCCAAATGAGGTTGTACACACAGACAGAAACGCAATTAACAGATTTGGAAGAGGCCACGTAGCATGCATTTGAAACTCCTGTTGCATTCCTTGGCTATTCTTGTCTGTGGCATCTTTTTAACAAATCCTGTAGTTACCTTGTAAATACCATCATAGAATATATTGTATTTAAAAAACATTCTTTACTCAGATATGAAAGTTGAAAAGGTACTATTATTTTTAAAAATCTGTATTGGATTTTTTTTTTTTCATATTTTAGGATGCCAGAAGCCTCAAAAATGGAAAACCCCCTGTGCTTCACATCTGAAAATCTCTGCTGGGGGCAGCAACTTTGAGCCTGTGGGGAAGGAACTGTCCACGTGGAGTGGTCTGGTGAATGCTTAAGGAGCTGCAGAAGGGAAGGTAGTGAGGAGACAGTTAAATATTGAGCACGTTTTGGTGCCTAGCATTGTACTGGCCTTTCACATGCTATGTTTAATCACGCAGGATTGTATGGAATGGGATTGTACAGAATGAGGCCTGGGTTTGCTAAATCCTGGGGGAGATTGTCTAAGCTGTCACTTGAAGGGAAAACTGTAGCATGTGGGACTTAAAAACAGCTTGGGATGGAGTTTGAGGTAGGGCGAGAGGGAAAAAGATCTTGGCAGATACATTCTGAACAAATACTTGTGTCATCCTCAACTGTATAGTTTTTATGACTTTTCCTGTGTTCATCTGGTTGGCAGATGAATGCAAAATGCCTTTTAGCTTCATGGAAGGCACACATGAATCATGGCTATGTGATAAACAGAAGAAGCCACGTTTCGGAGGGTTTCTGGTGTGTGTACGTGTGCACTTGCATGTGTGTGGGCACACCCTTGTGCCAAATGGACCACCAGTTTAAATCGATTTTCAACAGGGCAGATTTCATATGCTTCTTTAGTGTGGCCCAAGTCAATCTATTTTTAGAAGGGGAAAGTAGAGCATGTTCTGAAAGTTCTTTTCTTCTGCCATCAGGGATTGTAGTACTTTTTATTTATAGTAATTTCAGGTCTCTAAATACTTCAAGCAAAATTAATGAGGCAAACAAAAAAAATTAGGTACCAGATAATTGGATCATGTGTTATTTTATAGAGAGCTTTATTTATCTTGCCTTTGGAAAGTATAATTTGTATTTTTCAAAATTATGATTAGATCTAATTCTTTTTCAAGATTTACTTAAAATAAATATTTCTGCCTAGGCACAAGACTGTGTATAGCACAACTGGCCTTGTATTATTGACTTGATGATGCAAAGAAAAATATATAAGAATCAGTTTTTTTTAAATGTGTTAATATTTATCATAATGGAAATAGTCTTACTAATTAGCAATAACTAGAAAAATGTCTACTATTTATTGAGCCACTACTATATGCCATATTCTTTACCTATGTTCATTTTCTCTTCTATATTCAAAATAATCCTATAAGGTGTGCTTTATGATCACCATTTGTTCCAATAGGGTCTCAAGGACGTTAGGTAATTATTCCTATGACATTGAGCCTATGAATGGCAGAGCTGGGAGTTTGAACCTAAGTCTGATGACTCTGAAGCTTATAGTCTTTCTATAAGCTTCTTCAGTCTGAAGCTGCCCCTCAAAGTCATGGCAATAACTGAGAATAGCATTCAGTTTTACAGCTAGGAAGGTAGTTGTAGTTGTGTTTATTATTCAATACTGTCCATATTCAAAGAACCATTCATTGAGCTTCTATTTTACTCCAGTCACGGTGATAAATAATGCAGAATCTAGAGATCAAAGATAAAATGGCCTTGCCCTCAAGGAACCCATGAGCTAGTTGGGAAAACTAATAGGAATATTAATGATTATAATGCAGAATGTTAGGTGCAATGAGAGAGGTAACAAGGTACTACTGGGGCCTGACAAAGGCCACCGTTTCTGTGTGTGTGTGTGTTTATGTGTGTTTGGGAAAAGGCAAAAGACACTTGAGATAAAGGGAACAACATAGACAAAATCAAAGGCTTGAGAGCATATAACTTATATGAGACATAGCAAATTGTTTGCTTTAACTAGAAAATAGTGGTTATGTGTGGCAGACTATGAGAAATGAGAATGTAAGTCCTTGAGAATGATAACTTTAGAAATTCTACATTTGGGATGATCATAACCTTTTAAAATTGTCTCAATATGATAGATATTTTCCTTCTGTTTTGGGGTATCTGTCTTTTTATTTTTTATTTTTTTGAGGTGGAGTCTCACTCTGTCACCTAGGCTGGAGTGCAATGGCGTGATCTTGGCTCACTGCAACCTTCACCTCCTGGGTTCAAGCAATTCTCCTGCCTCAGCCTCCTGAGTAGCTGGGATTACAGGCGCCTGCCACCATGCCTGGCTATTTTTTGTATTTTTAATAGAGATGGGGTTTCTCCATCTTGGCCAGGCTGGTCTCGAACTCCTGACCTCAGATGATCCACCTGCCTCAGCCTCCCAAAGTGCTGAGATTACAGGCATGAGCTACCACGCCTGGCCTGGGGTGTCCATCTTTTAAAGACACACTGTAAGAATCATAATATTTTCCCAAAGAAGAAATGTAATTAGTACACAATTACATGTTAAAACTAGGTGTTATTGGTAATTAAAATTTAAAAAAATTAACCCAACCAAATAATAAAACTAATGAAAATATTTAATATTGGTAAGAACAAGATGCGATAAGCATATTTGTGTTTTGCTGATTGGTCTATAAAGTGGTTCAAAACTTTTGTAAACTATATATAAGCTATTTTAAATGTTTATGCCCTTTGATTCAATAGCACTAGGTTTGGTACTTTATAATAGGAAAGTTATTAGAAATATTTACTGCAGGGTTTCTTCAATGATGAGTTGTAAGAATCAGCCTAAGTAGCTATGGTACATCACTTTGATGCAACTTAATGTGTCATTAAAAATCATGTTTATGAATAACATTCCAGATGCATTTAATACAATTCTAGCTGAAAAAAAGATACTGAAACATTTTGTGTTTATATATGTCTGCATATGTATCTATATATATCCCTCTCCCTGTCAATCTATAAATTAAAAACTATACATTAAAAACTGCAAATTAAAACTATATACTAAAGAAAGAAACTGGAAAGAAATCCACAGAATGTTAATAATCATGGTCATTGTGTTGAGTGGTAGGACTATGGGTAATTTTTTCTTTCTATTTTTATACATTTTTCACTTTTTTTTTTTTTTTCAATTTGAGGCAGAGTCTCACTCTGTCACCCAGGCTGGAGTGCAGTGGAACGATCTTGGCTTACTGCAGCCTCTGCCTCCGGGTTCAATCAATTATTCTACCTCAGCCTCCAGAGTAGCTGGAATTACAGGTGCACACCATCACGCCCGGCTAATTTTTGTATTTTTGGTAGAGACAGGGTTTCACTATGTTGGTCAGGCTAGTCTCAAAGTCCTCCCAAAGTGCTGGGCCTCCAAAAGTGCTGGGATTTGGCCTCCCAAAATGCTGGGATTACAGGTGTGAGCACCACACCCGGCCCATTTTTCACATTTTTAATGATGTTTTTAACTTTAAAAGTAAAAATTTGTAATTTAAAATTTGTTTAACTTTTACAAATAAAAATTACAAATGCAAATTAAAATTGCTATATATTTTTGTTACTGGACAAGAAAAGATGCATTATAGAGTCTCGTTTTATTTTGTTTTCTGATAAATCTATTGCTGGGGAGCATGTGCGTAATTCGTTTTAAAAATTCTCAGTGTTAACTAGATTTCTTTTGGGATAGCTCTGCTGAACTGGAATGAGATCTTCTTCCCCAGAGCCACTTGCTAGTTTGATTTTCTAGAAAGAGAGAAATTATAGAAAGCTACAATCTACAAATTGCTATGTACTACAGTCTACTAAATAGTATAATACTTTATTTTGCAAACTATATCTCTCAGAGTACAAGGCTCCACAGCTAGTCTTGCACCAAATATATGAGGTTCTTGAATAGTCATTTTCTCAAAGTTCTCATCTCTTTACAAAGCAAGTTGAGGGGGGAAGCAGAGAGAGCACTCTGGTGCTTCCAAAAGCATCAGCCATCCACACTCTGCCTATTGAAAACACCAAATCTGAGCATGTGTGTCATTGTCCAGGAATAAACAATCACAAAAAGGCATCAATGAGGCCTATAAAAACAAGAGCGCATGCAAGAAGATGGGATTGTTATGAAACAGGAGCACAAGGCTACTAAAAGAGGGCAAGCCTAAAGGAAAAGTCACCAGGGTGAGATGGAAATAGATATAGGAAGAATAGTGAACGGTGGCAAGGAAGTAAAGGAATACAAAAGTAATAAAATATCCATTGCATTAGTCCGTCCTTGCATTGCTGTAAAGAAATACCTGAGACTGGATAATTTATAAAGAAAAGGGTTTATTTGGTTTATGGTTCTGCAGGCTGTATGAGAAGCATGGTGCCAGCATCTGCTCCTGGTGAGGCCTCAGGAAGCTTCTATTCATGGAGGAAGGTGAAGGGGGAGCTAGCATATCACATGGTGAGAGATGGAGTGAGAGAGAGAGAGAAAGAGAGAGAGGAGATGCCAGTCTTTTAAATAACCAGATCTTATGTGAACTCAGAGTAAGAACTCACTTATCATGAGGACAGCATCAAGACATTCATGAGGAATCTGACCCCATGACCCAAACACCTCCCACTAGGCCCACCTCCAACATGGGCAGTCACATTTCAACATAAGACTTGGAGAGGACAGAACATCCAAACCATATCACCCACATTGAGGGAGCAAGGAGCAGACTCCATACTGCAGAACACACATGGGAAACAAACTTGAGAAGTTTCCCCAGGGCATAGGGTAAGAGGACGAGGGGCTGGAAAAAGAAAGGTAATGGATATAGAGGACAGAGAATGGAGTTCGAAGATACATCTAAGAACTTTACATATTCCTAAGGAACCCACAAAGATAAAACAAACAGAGCAAGTATGAAAGATGTAATAGAAGCAAATGACCCTGCATTGAAAATGATCAAAGTATGCAGATTGGAAAGGCTCACAAATTCCAATAAAAAGAATTGAAAACAAAAAAAAATGCTGCAATAACATTCTTTAAACTATATTAATTGTAAGGTTTTTACAAAAATAAGTACTCAGGCAGTAGTAAAAAGTTTGCGAATAAAGAAACCAAAATTAAACTCTAACTTTTCTTATGTAATACCAAATTCCAGAACTTGGAAACATATCTGCATGCTTTACCAGGGACCAGATTATGAGGCAGTTATTTAAGATTAGAAAAGTTCTCTTTCATTGGTAAAGGCAACAGAAAGATATATTTTAGAGGTAGAAGCTCTCTAACATAGACACTATTCTGCCAAAAAAAAAAAATAAGATAAATGTAACAAAATAAAATGAGCTTCAAGGTGTATTTTGGTCACTGAGAGATGATTCAAAAGAAGACTTTGAACAATGAGAATGTTAACATTTAAAAGAATAGGTGGAATTTTTCCTTACTCAGTTTGTTCAATAAAATCATGGGTCCACTGTAACCTGATATATCTTGTTGCTTAAAGGGAAAGCTTGGCCCTACCTTTTCTGCTTTCTTCTGTGTTCATGGTGTAGAAAATGTATTTTTGTTAACCAATTATTTACTTCACACTTGAGGTAGACTTTGTTGCCATGTTGGATGGCTATTTTGTTAGGTCAAACAGTTTTCTGCCACATGCCTATGTGATTTTAAATAATGTAGCCCTCACCCTGAGCTTCTGCTATAGGGACCACATGCTTTGTGGTAACCAGGTGCTGCCAAAATTGGATGATAGCAGGCTCCTGACCCATGCCTGTCAAGTCATAGGTGGTTAAGGTCATGGGAGTTGGAGTCAGACTGTCTGGTTCCAAATCCAAGGTCTACCAGTTGATTTTGACCTTAATTTTCTTATTCTGTAAAATGAGTTTATTGATTGTTCCCACTCAGTTCGTTTGAGGTGAGGATTAAATGAGTTAATACCTGTAACTTTTTGACTGGCACAAGACACAATCCTATTACATGTTCTGAAAAAAAATTCTCTACATGAACCAAAGGAATGAATTCTATTTCCTCCACTGCTACTACAACTCAACACTTCTAATCACCAAATGTGTGGAGGTTTTTCTACATCAGTTTGTCAGACACCTACTATGTGTCCTATAATTCAGTTCAGTTCTGACACCATCTACATGGAAACAACATCCGATCCCATGGACTAAAAGCTCAGTCTCATAAGACTGTCTATAATGGCTCAAGTGGGTTCTTCTTGCCTGCTGCACAGAAAAACCAATACATCAAGGCAGTGGTGTTGCAGTAGAGAAAGCATTTGATAATCACAAGGCCAGCCAAGTGGAAGCATGGGAGATAATTCTTAAATCTGCCTCCCCAAGAGCTCAGGGGCTAGGGTTTTTAAGGATAATTTGGCAGACAGGGGACTAGGGAACGAGTGCTGCTGATGAGTTGTGGATGAAATCATAGGAGTATCCAAACTGTCTTCGCATGCTGAGTCAGTTTCTGGGTGGAAGTTTCTGCGTGGGAGTCAATTTCTTGGCATGAGTCACAGGTCCGGGTGGAGTCAGTTAGTTGCCAGAATGCGAAAGTTTAAAAATATCTCAGAGACCAATCTTAGATTTTGACAATAGTGATTTTATCTATAGGAGCAAGAGGGGAAGTTAAAAATCTTGTGACCTCTGGCTACATGATTCTTGAGCAGTAACTATTATAGAAAGGTAAGCTAGGGAACAATGTCTGGTTATCATTTAATTACACCTACATCTTAGCAGAATTTAAGTTCTTCTCATAAGCCCAACCTTGTGGACTTTCATTAGTCTTACAAAGGCAGTTTCAGTCCCCCACCAAGGAGGGCATTAGTTTCAGGTAGGGACTGTTATCATCTTTGTTTTAAAGTTAAAAAAGGCAGTTAGCTTGTGATGTTAGAAGAAAGATGTCAGATTTCTCTCACTGTCATAATTTTTGCAAAGGTGGTTTCATGGCCCCACTTGAAATGAGAATGGGAAGTCCAGGTTTTCACCTGTGCTTTAGACTGGGTGGAGATAAATTAAAGGTTCACAGGACCTCCTCCTCAGATTTGACCATTTGCTAGAATGGTTCACGGAACTCAGAAAAACAGTTTACTTATTTGATTACCAGTTTACTTTAAAAGGAAATTACAACTCAGGAAGAGCCAGATGGAAGAGAGGCATAGGGCAAGGTATGTGGGAAGGAGCATGAAGCTTCCGTGCATTCTTGGGCTCATCACCCTCTCAGCACCTCCATGTGTTCAGCAACCTGGAAGCTCTTCGAAAAATGTTCTTAAGCCAGGTGTGGTGGCTCACACCTGTAATCCCCGCACATTGGGAGGCTGAGGTGGGTGGATCATCTGAGGTCAGCAGTTTAAGACCAGCCTGGCCAATGTGGCGAAACCCCGTCTTTACTAAAAAGAGATTAGCCAGGTGTGGTGGCACATGCCTGTAATCCTAGCTACTTGGGAGACTGAGGCAGGAGAATTGCTTGAACTCAGGAGGCAGAGGTTGCAGTAAGCCAAGATTGTGTCACTGTACTCTGGCCTAGGTGACAGAGCAGGACTCCGTCTCCAAAAAAAAAAAAAGAAAGAAAAGAAAAAGAAAAATGTTCCTTCAGATTTTTATGAGGGCTTCATTGCATATACATGCCCCTCCCTGGAGGTTGGTCTGGAGGTTGGGCTGAAAGTTCCAACTCTAACCACATGGTTGATTTCCATGGCAACAGCCCTGCTTATCATTAGGGACTTCCCAAAAGTCACCTCATTAACACAAACTCTGGTGTGACTGAATAACAAAAGATGCTCCTGTTACCTTTATTGCTCTTAGAAAATTCCAAGGGCTTTAGGGGCTTTGTGCCAAAAACAAACACTATATATATCTTATTATAAATCACACTATCTCACATTATTATTATTTAAAATGATAAGTCAGTCAAGCTCTCTTTTCTTGAGAATTTGATTTGGGAAACTTCGAGAATGAGGCAAGGAGCAGTGGGAATAGGAGTTTAAAGTAAGCATAGAAAGCATAGAAAGAAGCTAGGGAATAGATTAAGGTTGCAAGGAGGGATAACAAATGGAGATTAGGAAATAGTGGAGACTGTGATTAAGCAGAGCCTGTCATTAGGCATTTCTGATATAAACCCAGATGCTGTCATATCACCTCACTGAATGCTTGCCCTGAAACACTTGTTTTAGTGCAGATAAATTCATCACCTAAGGATGGCTTATCCTTTCTATGGCCATTGAACTTAAGAGCTCCACTAAATAGGATAACTCCCTTTATGCTGGGAAATCTACCAAAATTACCTGTGTCAGAAGGGTAAGAAAAGAGAATCCAGGATCCAGAATGGGATTGAAGTGATCTCCCATTCTTTTTGTGATATTTAGACTGCCTTCTGCCTCTCCAATCGACAGAATAAAGACCAAACTTCTACCCGGGTGGGTAGGGCTTATCCTGAGGATGGAGACTTTCTAAGTATAGATGGTCAAGAAACTGGTGCACATTTAAGTTAGACGCATCTCTAAATTGTCTGGGCTTAGACTATTCTAAGAATGAATAATTATGAAAATTGAGGCAGCTCAGAGACTCATTTTCTAAGATTTCAATATATGATTAGCAAAGTGCTATAGAAAAAAATAAAATGGCACAGTTTGGCAGTTGGCATCTTGTATCTTTCTGTCCCAGGTCTTTCTTGTGCTTGTAATTCTTTCATTGATAAAGAACTCAGCTATCTATCCAGGCGTGATGGCTCATGCCTGTTATCTCAGCACTTTGGGAGGCTGAGGCGGGAGGATCACTTGAGGTCAGGAGTTCGAGACCAGCCTGGCCACCATGGTGAAACCCACATGGTGAAACATCTGTACTAAAAATACAAAAGTTAGCTGGGTGTGGTGGTGGGAGCCTGCAGTCTGAGCTACTCAGGAGGCTGAGGCAGGAGAATTCCTCGAACCTGGGACTTGGAGGTTGCAGAGAGCCAAGATTGCGCCACTGCACTCCAGCCTGGGTGACAGAGCAAGACTCCATCTCAAAAAAAAAAAAAAAAAGGATTCAGCAATGTGTGGTTCTTTTGAATCTATGGTATGTATTAGCACATCACAGCAGAGCAGAGGTTCTCAACAATTGATTTTATTCCCCAGGGGACATTTGGCAATGTCTGGAGACAATTTTGGAACTTAGAGGCTGATGCTATTTTGGAACTTAGAGGCTTAGATGCTATTGGTGTTGTGGGCAGATGACAAGAGAGATTGCAAACGTTCTCCAATTCAGAAGGCAGCCTCCACAAAAAGAATTATTCAGTCCAAAGTGTTAATAGTGCTGTTATTGAGAAACCATGCCCTAGAGAAGCAGCCTAGAACTTTGAGTTTTTCCTTTTTTTTTTTTCAATCAACTAATGAGAATAAATGTGGAGGAGACGGGCAAAAATGTCAGCAGCCCCGTATGGTTTTCAAAATCATTTCAGATATTTGCTATTCACCAGTGTCAGCCAATGTGTTTATTTTTGAAAGGTCAGAAATTTCATAGGGCCAGATTACTAAAATGGTTATTATTATTTTTTTGTTTTCAAGAGCTTATGTTAGTTATCTAGTATAGAGAAGTCTACCATAGAGATCCCTTTGTTCTGAGTACTGGACTTTTTCACTTACCAAAACTCTCCTACTCTATACGTTCTTCACCGTGATAATCCAAGAAGTCTGAATCCTCCCCATGGCTCTCCCCTGTTTCCATCCCCAGTCGGTGGGTTTCCCACAGGTCTCCAGTGTGCTTTGGAAGTAGGAACTCCTAACAGATTCACAGTTTGAACATGGTAGTCCTCTGAGCTGTTCAGTATTTTAAATCTCTCTGCAGTTAGTTATAATCATTCAACTCTTTTAGTCATTCTTCTAATGTCAGTATAGATAACTAAAAGATTGTAATATTAGAAGACCTATTTCCCAGAGACCACAAAGACAATCTCATGGAAGTCCCACTGTAGTAAATAGAGTCTATTTTCTACCCAGCATCTGGTAGAGTAATTCAGACATGTGTTTTGACAGTTTGCCTGAAAGTAACTTGACAAATAATTTTACTAAAGAATCCTAGAAAGTCAATGGCAACATTTTGTTCATTCTAAGTTGTTCAAGCCACGTCCTTAGATGTGGTTGATTCAAATTTCTTCAGAACTGGAAAAGCACAAGAGAATTAGTATTCCAGTAATAAGGAATCATGGATTGTGGCAGTCTTTTTAAAACATAAACTAGTTTAGCACATAAGTGGTGGCCTAGTACATTTTAAAGTGGAGTCCAAGGGAAGTTTCTTGAATTGCTGTAGTTCTTATGGTGTTCTGCTGAAGCCGTGTAGATCTTATGGTGTTCTGCTGAAGCCGTGTAGATATTGATCATGCTGCCTCCCACCACCACCCCCTTCATTCCAGATCTGCTCAAAGACAACTTAGAAGGTCCTATCCTGGTCTCCTGTCTGAAACATATACTTTCTCTCCTCCCGCCCCCAGCCTGCCCATACTATTCCAATCCTTCTCTACCTATTATTCCTTTGTTTTGTTTTCAATATAAAAATCTTATCTATTTCTTTATACGTTAATCATCTATCACTCCCCACACACTACAATGTGTGCATTCATTCCCTGAGTAACTGAAACCTAGAGGCCCGGGAGTCATTTTTGAAACTTCCTTTCCTTGGCTTTCTCCTCTAACTGCTCTTCCAATTCATCGGCTGGATTTGACTATTCTAATTCCAAATCTGTCTGGAACTCGTGTACCTCTCGCAGTGTCCACTGCTGTTGTTCTGGTCTGGGGCACAATCGACACTCATGCTCACCGAACTGCAGCAGCCCCCTTCCTGCTGCTTATTTTGACCACACCTCTTTTTGAACCTATTCTGTACAAAGGAGCTGGAAAGAGTCAGTAAAAATACAGAGCATAGTGTTCATTGCCTTGCTTGGACAGGACCTGCCATATGTGTCTTCTCTATAGTATTGGCTGAATGCATAAACAGCGAGAAATAAATGTGTAGAGAGTAAATTGATAGAAAGCTGCCCTCAGTCATCTCCCATGGAGAGGGCTAGTGATGACTGGCGAAGGTCACAGAGCTACTATGTGTTAGATTTTGGACTAAAATCCAGTTTTTCTGAGAACGGTCAAGAGTTTATTTATAGAAAACATGCTGCTTTATCTCTTAATTCCTTCTCACTCCCTGCAAATTAGTGGCATTTTAGTTTACTTAAATGCACAATTATTTTTAATTTTGATTGAAAAATTAATACTCATTTACTTCTGAAAACTATTTCTTTACCGAAGAGCATAGAGAAATAAGGGAGTAATTTATCAACCTACCATAGGTGGAATTTTTACTTTCATCTTTATACTTTCTTCTTCATTATTGTTTTTTTTAAAAAACGTAAGTATGCATTTATTTTTATAATCAGGAAATATGTGAAGTTATATAAATGTGTAATGAATTTCATTACTGGGAACTAACTGCTGGTGATATTTTACACTTGATTTTAGCCAAAAGGCCGAGAAGCGATGCTGGTGATATTCTAATGTACTATAACTTATTCTAATATTTCATGGGATTTATTTGCAATTAGTGTGATATAAATTTCCATAATGTATGGAAAGATATATTAGAAGATGCTAACCATGGGCTTAAGAAAGTAGATTTCATAATTTGAAACACGGCCCACACAATTAATAAATATAAGACATTTGGCACTCTACTTCTAATCTCTTGATTTTTTTTATAGCAACTGTCTTTAAGAACCCCAGCATATTCATGGATTTTTTAGAAACCTAATTATTTCCTAGAAAAATCCTTTGAAAAAGGAAAATTATATTTGACAGTTTTCTAAAGATTTTCTGTGCAGAAGTTGTATCTGGATATACATATAAAGCCCTGAAGTAATCTATACATTTTATCGCTGGTCTTCAGATATGTTGGCAGAGTCGCTCGTGAAATATATGCTTGAAATTAATGTAATTACTCTGACATTTGTTATTTTAATAAGCATTCTTAGCTAATACATAGAGGAATACATTAAAGGAACTCTAACACCAAAATTATCCTTTCTTAATTAAATAAGAAGGACTGCAATTATTTAAAAAGTGTATGTCAAATCTAAGTTGCCTTCAAATGTAATTTAATTTTCTGTTACTTACATTTTAAAATGGCCATAGCTTTTTTCGTTGTTCATCTTTCTTAATTCTTTAGGCACTACTTACCCCCCAACTCCAGCAACCAAAATTAATCCTAATTTGCATCACAATAATTTAAAATAGATCAAAGAACCAATTTCATAGCCTAATTCAAAAGCATCATGCGACCAATATGTAGTATTAATAAAACATATTTCTGGTTTTGCCAATCCAATTTTTTTTTTAATTAAGTGCTTAACACAGTGCCCAGCACAGAAAAAGCACTTGATACATGTTTGGTAATGTCTTTGTGACTGTCATTTTTACTAATGTTGTATATTGGTACTACTAAAGTCTAATGGGATGCTTGTATTATGGTGTGATAATATAGTTAGGATGACCACTTGTCATGGCTGGCCTGTGAGAATCCTGTTTAATATCTATTGTTCCAGTTTTCTCCAACTTAACATTTTAGCACTCAAAAGTATGTGATGTGGAGGATAAATTTTATGGTCGCCAATCCTTTATTGTAAAGAATCGTGATGCAAAGGCTCCAGTGTAGTCATCACTCATCTCTTGATTTAGGCATCTAAGCTATCCAGGCATCATCATGGGGGTGAGCAGCCTGAATGACAGTAAGCTTTCCAAGTATGGGGACATGCACTTAAGATAGGTATAGTTATTCCAGTGCCAATCTCCTCTTACCTGCTGTATGTCAAGAATCAGGCAACATTTAGGAAATGAAACCACAAGTCTTTGTCTCTTTTTTTACCCTTTATCTCAAAATGGTTTTTACTTGGGATTTGTTTTTTTGTTTTTTGTTTTTTGTTTTTTTTTTTGAGACGGAGTGCCGCTCTGTCGCCCAGGCTGGAGTGCAGTGGCGCGACCTCGGCTCACTGCAAGCTCTGCCTCCCAGGTTCACACCATTCTCCTGCCTCACCTCCCGGGTAGCTGGGACTACAGGCGCCCGCCACTACGCCTGGCTAATTTTTTGTATTTTTAGTAGAGACAGGGTTTCACTGTGTTAGCCAGGATGATCTCAATCTCCTGACCTCATGATCCACCCGCCTCGGCCTCCCAAAGTGCTGGGATTACAGGTGTGAGCCACGGTGCCTGGCCTTTAGTTGAGATTTGATTATGAATGAAAATGTAAAGAAATTTGCTAGATGTGTCCATCTTTTCATGTGGCAGACAATATGGACTAGATATATGG
Source organism: Homo sapiens (assembly GCF_000001405.40). Classification (NCBI taxonomy): domain Eukaryota; kingdom Metazoa; phylum Chordata; class Mammalia; order Primates; family Hominidae; genus Homo; species Homo sapiens. The sequence continues at coordinate 72,641,025 of NC_000009.12, forward strand.
TGGTCAAAATTATGTTTGTGGGTATAGCCTAATAGCCTAAACCAATGACACTTATGTGGCAGTTTTATTTATTTATTTTTTCTTTTTAAGACAGGGCCTCACTCTGTTGCCCAGTCTGGAATGCAGTGGTGCAATCTCAGCTCACTGAAACCTCCGCCTCCTGGGTTCAAATGATCCTCCTGCCTAAACCTCCTGAGTAGCTGAGATTACAGGCATGAGCCACCATGCCCAACTAATTTTTGTATTTTTAGTAGAGATGGTGCTTTACCATGTTGGCTAGGCTTGTTTTAACTCCTGACCTCAAGTGATCCACCTGCCTTGGCCTCCCAAAATGCTGGGATAGCAGGCGTGAGCCACTACGCCCAGCCTCACCCTGGACTTTATGACAATGCCAAATATATGCACTGTGTCAAAAACAGTCCTCTTCACTGTCCTCCAGTAGAAAAAGCTCAATAATGGGTCTACAAACTCCTGGATTTAGTCCAGGCTATGTAATTTGTGGAACTTAGTGCCAAAAGTAGGGTCCTTTGTTCAAAAATTATTAAGAATTTCCAGATGGCAACAGTGGAACAGTCAATGAAGCACAGGATCCTTCTGTCCCCAAGGTCCTGAACAACTGCAGAAACCTTGTGCCCGTGCATTCATCCCTCCTTCTTGGATCCTTTACCTGTTGATCTCCTTCGTTTTCTTTCCAGACAACAATTATGGACAACTTATTATTAATATATGTGAGCCACTGTGTTCACTATCGGAAATAAAAATATGCTTATAAGGTAGTCCCAAATCTTTTTTTTTTTTTTTTTTTTTTTTTGAGAGACAGTCTCGCTCTATTGCCCAGGCTGGAGTGCAGTGGTGCGATCTCGGCTCACTGCACTCTCCACCTCCCGGGTTCAAGTGATTCTCCTCCCGCAGCCTCCTGAGTAGCTAGGATTACAGGCGTGAGCCACCACTCCCGGCTAATTTTTTGTATTTTTAGTAGAGACAGGGTTTCATGATAGTGGCCAGGCTGGTTTCGAACTCCTGACCTCATGATCCGCCTGCCTTGGCCTCCCAAGGTGCTGGGATTACAGGAGTGAGCCACTGTGCCTGGCCCCAGATCTTAGATTTTGGTGATTAAGGACTTCACGAAGTAGATGAAATAACACCCAGAATTTGGCTGGTTTATTTTCTCCTTAAGATGCTCAGCTGTGATTTTCTGTATATTAGTCTCAAGCTGCAAATTCTCTATTCCAGGATCTTATGATCTGTGTCCTAACTACATATTATAGGGCCCCAGTGGTCCCTATGCCTCTGGTTCTATTGTCATCACACACTTCCTGTTTCATTCCTATAGACAGATTTATTCATGACTAGGGAACAGATTATGCTAGTAAAGGTGTTGGTTAACATGAGTTTAAGGCAAGAACTTAAACGTAAATATCTCTAGGGATTGGACAGGCAATATGCCTTAAATAGTAAAGCTATCAGGTAGGGATTGACTGCATGCCTGCAGAGGAAACTGCTGCCTATTTAGCCACAGAAGATTATTGCCATGTAAAAATGTGAGTATGGTTTGTCACATATTTTTAAAGAAAAGTCAGAAATCCAAAAATTTGTATGAAATTTTTAAACATTTTATATTGTCAATTCAATTTTTAAAAAGACTCAATATAGGCAGAGAAAAATAACTACAGCCCAAGGTTAAGCCAAGAAGTATTGTTTTTCTACTTTTTCTTCGTAGTCAGATTTGTTCAGATATAATTCAGATGTAATAAATAAACCCTTTAAGTTCTATGAGTTTTAACAAACACCTACATTAGTGTGACAATCACTGTAGACAAGATATAGAATAATTCTCTCGTCTCCCCTCCAAAATTCTCTCAAGCCTCTTTGTGGTTAATTCTCCTAGCTCCTGACAATCGCTAATAAATTTCCTGTCTATAGTTTTGCCTTTTCAAGAGTGTCAAATAAATGGAACACTACTGTATGTAGCCTTTTGAGACAGGCTTCTTTCACTGAGCACAAATAATTTGACTTATTCACGTTGTTATATGTATTTAGATTGTTTCTATCTAATTTTCAAAGGTTTTTTCCTTCCTTTCTTCTCCTTTCCTCCCTCCTTCCTTCCTTTCTTTTTTTCTTCTTCCTCCTTTTATTCTGCCTTTTTTCTCTCCTTCCAACTTTCCCGCTTTTTTAGATATCACATGTACAGAAGTAGATTAATCTTGATGTTTATTTCATAACATACTCTCATTTGGGCCCATGCATGGCTTGTATTTCAATAGCTCTATTGAGATAAAACTCATATACATTCACATGGAGAAACAGCCCTGTGGAGGGAAAGAAATTGATATGCAGTAAACTACACATACTCATTTACAACTTGAAAAGTTTGCCATATGTATACACAATGAAACCATCAACACTTTCAAGGTAATAACATATCTCAGTTTCCTTGTGTCTTTATGTTATTCTTCCCTCCTTCCATCTGATCTGCTTTGTGTCACTGCATTTTCTAGAATTTTATGTAAATTAAATCATATAGCATGTGCTCTTTTTTTTGTCTGGCTTCTTTCATGCAGCACAATTATTTTGCCATTCATATCAGTTTTTGTGTGTATCAATAGTTCATTCTGTATTATTACAAATTAGCATTCAATTACATGAATACATTGCAATTTATTCATTTGTGAATGGACATTGCATTATTTCCAGTTTTGGCTGTGACAAAGATTCATGTGGAAGTCTGTATAGGGACATATGCTTTCATTTCTCTTGGGTAAATGTCTTAGAGTAGAATGCCTAAGTCATATGGTAGATGTATGTTTAACTTTTAAAGAAATTGCCAAATTGTTGTCCAAAGTGTGTACCATTTTACATTCCTGGCAGCAGTGTATGAGAGTTCTAGTTCTTCACCATCCCCCTTCCAACACTTGCTATAGTCAGTCTTGCAATTTTAGCCATTTTAATAAATGTGTAGTGATATCTCACTGTTGTTTTAATTTGCATTTCCCTAGTGTCTAGTTATGTTGTGTCTTTACTTTTGTTTATTTGCTATCATTATCTTCCTTGGTCAAATATCTGTTTAATAATTGATACATTTTTTATTGGACTGTTTGTTTTCTTATTAGTAACTTTGGAGAGTGCTATATATATTCTGGATACAAATCCTTTAACAAATGTATGATTTGCAAATATTTTCTCCCAGTCTGTGATTGTCTTTTCATTCTCCTAGCAGTCTTTTGAAGAGCAGATGCTCTTAATTTTATAAAGTTCACTTTATGTTTTTTTTTATTTTGTGGATTGGACATTTGGTGTTATATCTAAAAAAAAATCTGCCTAACCCATAGCCTTATGTGTTTTCTTCTAGAAGTTTTATAGTTTTAGGTTTTACATTTGGGTCTATGGTCCATTTTGAGTTAATTTTTGTATATGGTATAAGATGCAGATTGAAGATTTTTTTTTAATATGTGGAAAACTGATTGTTCCAGCACTATTTATTGAAAAGACTAATTTCTCCATTAAATTGTCTTTGTACCTTTGTTGTGAATCATTTGCCTATATATGTGTGAGTCTATTTCTGAATTCTCTTTTCTGTTTCAGTGATTCATCTATGTTGATGCCAATGCTACACTGTCCTGATAACTGTAGTTAATAAAGTCTTAAAGTTAGGTAGTAAAAGTCTGCTATTTTCTTCCTTTTCAAGGTTGCATTTTCCTATTCCAAGTAATTTGCATTAATCAAAAAGTACATGGAAAATGTGTATTATAACAAAAGGTATGGAATTTTAAAATTTTCAAAATTCTTTTGCATCAAAGTAAATGTGTACTAACTTGTTATAATATGTGTGAACAGGAGCTAGTTTGAGGCACTAAAAAGGATAAATCATCAATTTAAAAACAGCCCCTATCAGAGCAACATGAATTCTGATAAAATTGAAGCAAGAACAAATATCAAATTTATCGTGAAGCGTGGGTGAAAAAAGGGTGAAATCATTGATGCTTTATGAAAAATTTATGGGGAAAATGTCACATTATCAAACAGATAACTCATTTTAAGAACAGATGATATGATGTTGAAGTCGAAGCCCACAGCAGCAGACCATCCACATTAATTGATAGGAAAAAAATTCATCTTGTTTGTGTCTTAATTGAAGAGCACTGATGATTAACAGCACAAGTAATAGCCACAACCATATACACCTCAACTGGCTCAGCTTACACAATTCTGACTGAAAAATTAAAATTGGCCAAAGTTTCCACTCTATGGGTGCCAAAACCATTGTGCCCAGATCAGCTGCAGGCAAGAGTAGAGCTTTTGACGGAAATTTTAAACAAGTGGGATCAAGGTCCAGAAAGATTTCTTAAAAGAACATTAATAGGAGATGAAACATGGATTATCAGTATGACCCTGAAGCCAAAGCACAATCAAAACAATGGCTACCAAGAGGTGGAAGTGGCCCAGTCAAAATAAGAGCAGACCAGTCAAGAGCAAAGATCATGGCAACAGTTTTTTGGATGTTCAAGGCACTTTTCTTGACTTTCTGGAGGGTCAAAGAACAATAATATCTCTCATTATGGGAGTGTTTTGAGAAAGTCAAAGCGTTAGCAGAAAAACGTCTGGCAAAGCCTCACCACAGAGTCCTTCTCCACCATGACAATGTTCCTGTTCATTGTCACGAAACAAGCTCTCACGAAATAAAGCTCTAATTTTGCAAGAATTTCAATGGGAAATCATTAGGCAGCCACCTTACAGTCTTGATTTGGTTTCTTCTGACTTTTTGTTTTCTAATCTTAAAATAATCTTTAAGGGGCACCCATTTTTCCTTAGTTAATAATGTAAAAAAGACTGCATTGACATAATTCAATTCCCAGGGTCTTCATTTCTTAAGGAATGGACTATTTGGCCGGTATCATTGCTTACAAAAGTGTCTTAAACTTGATGGAGCTTATATTGAGAAATAAAGTTTATATTTTTCATTTTAATCTTTTAATTATATTTTTCCACAAAATTTTTGAAGTCCTCTCACATATATAAATTTTTGGAATCAGCTTATCAAGTCATGTACATTTACTGCTATATCACACTCTGTTTTGTGAATATTCCAAAATTATAGTCTATGATTTATATTGTTGTGACTATTGCATAATTTACATATCAATGTACTGATGATCATATTTTGCAATATTTTTGTTATTGTTATTCTATTATGAACAGTGCTACTAATATAAATAGTATTTGCCACCTCATACACAGGTGCAAGTTTATTGTAATAGTCTTAGTATTAAATTTTCTGAGTCATAGTTTAGCAAAAGCTCAACTTTTCACAGGATATTGCTGGATTGTTCTCCAAAGTAGCTAAGTTATACTCCTATTAGCCGTATATGAGAGATTCTAATCATCTTCATTCTTCAACATTTACTATTTTCAGACTTACTAATTTTGCCAGAAAAAATACATGACAATTCATACCCGTACCTGTAGTGGTCTTGATTTCCATTTACTCAGAAGACATTGGACTTTTCTTCTTATGTTTATGGGCTATATTTTCCCTTCTTTTATGATATTACTGTTCATGTTTTTGCTCATCTTATTGGGTTATGGGCCATTTTATTTTATTTTTATTTTTTATTTATTTATTTTTTTTTGAGATGGAGTCTCGCCCCGTCCTGCAGACTGGAGTGCAGTGGCACTATCTCGACTCACTGCAACCTCCAATGGGCCATTTTATATCCTAACATATGAAGTATCTGTTCAAATCTTTTACCATTTTTTTCCTGTAGGTGTGCTTGTCCTTTTCTTGTTATAATAAAACAGTTCTTTATTTTTGATACTAATCTTTTAGAAAGTGTTCTGTTGGGCTGGGCATGGTGGTTCATGCCTGTAATCCCACTCTGGGAGGCTGAGGTGGGTGGATTACCTGAGGTCAGGAGTTCGAGACCAACCTGGCCAACATGGTGAAACTCCATCTCTACTGAAAATACAAAAATTAGCCCGGTGTGGTGGCGGGTGCCTGTAATCCCAGCTACTCGGGAGGCTGAGGCAGGAAAATTGCTTGAACCCAGGAGGTGGAGGTTGCAGTGAGCTGAGAGCATGCCACTGCACTCTAGCCTGGGTGACAGAGTGAGACTCCATCTCAAAAAAAAAAAAAAAAAAGAGAGAGAAAAGAAAATGCTCTGTCAGTGGCAAATATCTCTTACTTTTTTTTTAGTTTTCTTTGAAACCTCTTTTAATGAATAGAAATTTTTTTATTTTAATGTAGTTTAATTCATCTATTTTTCTTTTTTAATTGTCTTCAGTTTCTTTAGTCTTGTTTTCATAATCTTCTGGATATGAGTCTTGCAAAACATCTTTTGTTAATTTTCTCATGGTTTTTGTTATAATAGTATTTAGAGTTATTTTATATATTTATGGTTAATATAAATCAAATTGCATGTTGTTCTTGCTCTAAATTACAGATTCAATAATTTGCAACAAAACCTTATCTCTTTGTAAGTCCTTAAGTTAATTAAGTACTCTGGATATCTTCACATATAAATACTTGTATCAGCTGTCTTCTCTCTTACTACTCCAATTAAAATCCAGTATCTAGAATAGGGAAAAACCAGGTGAACATCACCCTTACAGAGATTTATTTTAAGACATAATTTAGGGTGTGCTCCATACTGCCTTGGCTATGTACTAGTCTATATATTCTAGAAGGGTCATATATGTGCACAAATTGATTTGTGTAGCCAAAAGCTGCTCCAGTATAAATGTGCCACCAGGATCCATTTCAAAACATTGCTTCCTCTTGCCAAGGTTAGTGCAGCTATGCTTGCTATCACTCAAGTAACCAGAGAATGCCAGCGTCCGTACTCTCAAAAAGACAGCCTTTTCTGCACCATTACAATTGGTGTCTTTTGTCCCTTTCTTTTCACTGATGGAAATCTTTTTTATCATTCCAATCAAAGATCACTACCTTCCTAGGAGAAGTTTCAATAGAAAGAAAAAAATGTTATACTTCCTCAGAAAAATAGCACTTTCTTCATATAGCAAGTTTTACTTTCAGAAAAGTTGAGAAAATAAATACTATGCCCCCAGGTTTCCCGTTATTGGAGATTGATTGCTATGTTGAATGTGCTATAGCTTTGCTGCTTAAACCCAAACGCCAAGTGCAGGAGTATCTTCTTTACTAACGCATTTAATTTACCAAGCACACTTAGTGGCTGGTATTTCTTACCTTTCTAAGGGTGCACTCACTTACACTGCCCTCAATATATGTAATTAGGATAAAACCATAGAATGGAAGGCATTAAAAATGAGGCAGGAAAGCACAGGCAGAGTGGGATGAAGCCAGCTTTGCTCTGAATAGGACTTATATGATCAGTTTAGTTTTATTCCAAACATGAACCCCAAATTCAACCCCTTTGACCTGAGTACTCCGTCCCTTAAATGGCAAACTAAACATTCGTGAAAATTTAATGGTGAGGAAATGAGTACCTTCTTAAGTTTCAGATGGTGAAATGGCACCAGGGGAGCACTTTCAGTGGCAGGCAGAAGTGTGTGGATGTGCTAGATCAAACCTGAAATATTTGTTCCTTCATCCTGCAGTCCCTCTCCAAACTAGCCAGCCACTGAGACCTTCTGACAGGACACCCCCAGGATGTCACCCAAAAAAGGTATTTACAAAATCAAGACTGTCTGTAGGACACTATGTCTTTCTGAGAGGTATAAAGGTATTTGAAAACTTTGGAAAGTTTGTTTTACAATTTTTGTTCCCTCTTTTGGGGCTTTCCCTTTTTCATTTTTTTCTGTGGGTAGTTTCCCTTTGTTTCCTGAGAAATTGAGAAGGGTTTAATATCTCTCCACCTTCTTCTCTTTTATGGATGAATGATTTCACCAACTGGTAAGTGCTAAAACTGACCTCGCTTTCACTCAGAAAGACAATGGAGGAAAGGAAAATGCACTGAGATTTCAGCATAGCAACTCAAATGCGGGCTTTATTCCACAGCAGTGACCTATTGTCAGATTGGTGTGTGAGACAGTTTTTGAAAGGGGATGTGTTCTGCTTCCGTTTATGAGTTAAGCAAAGTTCTAAATTAAGTTGAGAAGAGGAAGCAGGTAAAGTCAGGGATAGCAGAGAAAGGAGACATCAAACCCTATTGTTGTAGGATATTTATGTGAAGGAATGAGCAACGTGATAAAACACATTTTTGCTTGCTGTGACTTGCCATAGGGTGCATTTTCAGTACTGTGTGGATAATGTGTGGCATGTTCATTCATCAGTCATTCTGTGACATTTATGTAGCTTACACTTGGATCTATTTTCAACAACATTTCAGTTCCCTAAAGACAAACTGGCAGAATTTTCAAATAGGAAAAACCTGGACACACACATTTGCTTTTCTGTATAGACTGTCTAGTCCAGATAATCTTGCTATCAGTCATTTTGTTAGCTTACTCATTTAATCTTAGAATGGAAAGTGGAAACAGAGACCTCATTTAGAGATAATCTAGTAAAGCCATCCAGCTTCAGGCTCATATCTTGGGAATCTGAGCAGTACCCTATTTAATATGCTCATTTTATTAACTTTAAACACCTGGAGAACATCATTATTGAGAAGGTCATTGCTTTTGAAAAAACAAAAACAAAACAACCACTTCTTATGAGGCTCTACACATCTTTCCAAAGAAGCTATTGGAAATGGCCCAAACTTTCATATTAACTCTTAACAGGGTGGCGTGGTTTTTCATTAGTAAGAACAGGATTCAAATCTTATGGAAGATGGTAGATTTCAACACCTTAGCATTTTTCTCAACCCTGGGATCTTCAAGTTCCTCAGGCTATTTAGGTAGTTATAGTGCTGGCAAACTTTTTAAGTGCCCAGTAGTTTTTACAAAAACTTGTAATAAATCTGCTCAGGCTATCTTAATTGCCAACCATCTCATTAAGCAAGTCAAATTAGAATGGATTATTCCTGCTGTTTATTAGTGCTGCATATTATTTATCATTTATTAACCTTATTGTGCTCACATAGCAGGTATTTTAAAGTTTAACAGCTTTATTTTAATTATGAATGTAATATATGCTGTTGCAGAAAATATGTAAACTTTAGAGAAAATGTACTAAATGATGCACTGATGAAAATACAGAATCCCACCACAAAAATATTATTATCAACATTTGGGTATTCTCTTCCAAACTTTTTATATGAGAGTTATGTTTGGTTTATACATAATAAAATGGGTAAAAATCAATAAATAGAAAGCAAATGTTTTTAAGGCAGTACTTGGGCTTCATAAGAATGGAAAAAAATGATAGACTTGCCTGGTGTGGTTTGCATAATGTCACAGAATCATAACAATAGCTCCATTATTGAGTGTCTATTATGTGCCAGGTTCTGTACAATGTTCAGTGATGCGTCACTGTGATGACTAGAGGTAAAGGAAAGATAAGTGATGCCTTACTATGATGACTTCCAACAAGCTATGAAGGGACAGAACAAGCCTTTTTTTTTAACTTTTATTTTAGGCTTGGGAGTACGTATGAAAGTTTGTTACATAGGTAAACATGTGTCACAGGGGTTTGTTGTGCATATTATTTCACACCCAGGTACCTATGTCCAGAACCCAATAGTTTAGTTTTCTTTTCTCCTCCCCTCCCTCATTCTATCCTCCCCCCTCACATAGACCCCAGGGTCTGTTGTTTCCTTCTTTGTTTTCATAAGTTCTTATCATTATCATACTTATAAATGAGAACGTGGTATTTGGTTGTCTGTTTCTGCATTAGTTGGCTAAGGATAATGTCTTCCAGCTCCATCCACGTTCCCACATAAGATATAATCTCGTTCTTTTTTTATGGCTGCATGGTATTTCATGGTGTATTTTATATATATAGATATATAGATATATATATAAATATATATAGATATATATATAAATATATATAGGTATATATATGTCACATATATATATCACATATACAAGGATATGTCCTCTAGCTCCATCCATGTTCCCACATAAGACATAATCTCGTTCTTGTTTTATGGCTGCGTGGTATTTCATGGTGTATTTTATATATATATATCTATATAAAAATATATAGATATATATATCACATATATATAGCACATGTATCTATATCACATATATATATATATCACATTTTCTTTATCCAGTTGGGACAGAACAAGTCAACTGGCAAGTCCATTGCTCAGCTTGTTGAAATACTCTGCACAGAATGCAAGGAAAAACTGTTTTCATGAGGTAGCCCATGAAGCGATGAAGCAAGGCAAATTTATCTGCCTGGATAACCTCCTGTATGCTGTTTTCACTCCATGGAGAGTCAACACAACAGACTTCTGAGTTGTATTATCGAGCTCCTTCAACAGGGCATTGCTGTAAGATCCTAGATCCCACACTCCATGGTGTGATGTTTTAGCCAAGTCTGGAAGTAGCACAGGCCCTAAAATCTCATGATTGCAGGTTGTCAACTCTGCTGTAGGCTTGCCACTTCAAGGGCAAGTGGTTGGTTGGGGCTGGGATTTGGGCAGAGCCATAGAAAGAAAGGGAACATTCAAGGGAATTTGATGATGTGCATGATGTCTCTGTCTGATACAAAAAGAAAAAAAAACTCTAAAAACATTTGATACATAGAAATACTAGTATTTGGTGAGATTGAATGTGGGAAGATGAGGGATAAGAAGGTATTAAGAATGACTCCCAAGTTTCTGACTTGGTCAGTTGAGTAGAAGGGAAATTTTTATTTTTATTTTTATTTTTAAAATTTCAGTAAGTTTTTAGGGAACAGGTGGTGTTTGGTTACATGAATAAGTTCTTTAGTGGTGATTTCTGAGATTTTGGTGCACCTATCACCTAAGCAGGGTACACTATGCCCAATGTGTAGTCTCTTATCCCTCACCCCCCATCCTTTCCCTTGACTCCCCAAAGTCCATTGTAACATTCTTATGCCTTTGTGTCCTCATAATTTAGCTCCCAATTGTGAGTGAGAACATATGATGTTTGGTTTTCCACTCCCGAGTTGCTTCACTTACAATAATAGTCTCCAATTCATGCCAACATCTATTATTTTTTGATTTTTTGATCATGACCATTGTTGTAGGAGGGAGGTGGTATCCCATTATGGTTTTGATTTGTATTTCCCTGATAATTAGTGATGCTGAACATCTTTCCATATACTTGTTGGCCATTTGTATATCTGAGTAGAAGGTAATTCTAATAAATAAAACAGGAAGGCAGCAGAAAGAGGTTTGTTTGGGATATGGCTTGATTATTTGCAAGATATTTGCTGTAGCTTAGGAGAAAGGTGGATGTTGGTGATACTGATTTTGTCATTATCTGTGAGTTAAAGTTTCTAAAATCACGTGGCTTCCTAGGGAAAGCATATAGAATGACAAGGGAAGATGGCTAGATGGCTAGTAATGGCACCCTGAACAACTTCAGCATTTAGAGGTGGGTGGAGGAGGATAAGCCCATGGAAGAAACAGAAAGGATGGGCCAGCGAGATGAGAGGAGAAGCTAAGGGAGTAGACAGTTACCAGAGGGAAGGTGGGATCAGTTAAGAACCTTAGTATGTTGCAAAGAAATAACCTGCAATGCGGACCAACCCGGGGAACGTCTGTAAAAATGATGACAATTCTTAATTGTAATTTAAAATGTAATTGTATTGAGAGCTCTCTCTGTCTTTGTCTCATCATAATTTGAAGCAGATTAACTACATATTAGCTAGAAAAAGCCCTTTGAAATTTTCCTTCAATGTATCAATAGATTCTATGACTTTTTGTAAGTAGAAACTGCCTATTGGTAAAATAGCACTTAATTGAGATAATGCTTGTGAAAGCCATTTCTAAACTTTGAATTGACATACAAAATAAAGGTGGCAATCATCACCATGTTGCTATACTGTCTTTGGCCATATAAAATTTTTTTCAACAATACAAAGATAAGCCTTGTACAAATTCTTCAAAATTCTAAATTTGTGGTACTTGAATAATGTTTTACTATATATAAAGATGAATAGATAGCATTTCCTACAATAAATAAATAATTTATATATCAATGTGTTGGGATTATAAATTCTCATAGAAATTCACTTTATTAATTCATTCATTCATCTGATCACAGTTCATTCAGCAAATAATTTGTTTTGTTCTTTTTAAGTGCTCTGGGAAGAAGGTATTGTGACAGAGTCCCTTCTCTCAAAGCGTTTATAGATTCATGTGTTTGGGGAAAGTACAGAACAATTATTGAAATAAAACCAGAGTCAGGCACATTGCTATGCCAGCTATAAAGAGCCTATGAAAATTAGGAACATTGACACATTTGTTCCTAACCTGGTTTGTGCTTTCAGGATTCCTCTGAAGTGGCAGCACTCCTTGGGTTTGAAATGTTCGTCAGTAATGACTGATGGACATCAACAGGTGAATAGACACACAAAAAACCTATGAAACTTACATACCATAGGTTACTATTCAACAATAAAAAGAAAAACTGTTGATACATCTAACAATGTAGATGAATCTCAAAAGCATTATGCTATTCCTTTGGCTGATAAAATGGTGACACTCCTTTATTTCTCTTTCTTTCATCCCACTTTTAAAATCAGCCTTAGTATACTTTAGGCACAATATACTATATACATTTAAAATGACAATTTGACAAGTTTTGACAAATGTATATACATTATAAAAATCATGATAAAGATTTCCGCCGCCTCAAAATGTTTCCTCATGCCTTCTTGGAATAAATCCACACATTCCTTCCTTCTCTACACCCCACCACCCATATACTCTACCTCTAGACCCAAGCAATTGCTAGTCTGCTTTTTGTCAGCGTAAATTAGTTTGCATTTTCTAGAATTTCATATTAATGGAAATGTACAGTAAGTACTCTTTTGTGCCTGACTTCTTACATTTAGTATAGTGCTTTTAAGATTTATCCAAATTGTTGGGTGTATCAATAATTTGTTTCTTTTTATTGCTGAGTAGTATTCTATTGTATACGTGGTTCACAGTTTATCCATTCACCAGTTAATGGACATTCCAGTTGTTTTATATTTGGGGCTGTTATGAATAAAGCTGATGTGAACATTTGAATAGAAGTCTGTTGTGAATGTTTGGATTGGAATTGCTGGGTTGTACAGTAAGTGTTTGATTAACTTCATAAGAAACTGCCAAATGATTTTCCAAAGTGGCTACATATAATTTTGCATTTTCACCAGCAGTGTATGAGATTTCCAGTTGATCCTCATCCTCATTCAAAACCTGGAATTAAGAGTGAATCTTTTAAATTTTAGCCTTTTGAGAAAATGTGTAGTGGTACTTCATTGTAGTTTTAGTTCGCACTTCTCTAATGACTAATGATGTTTAACATGCTTTTATATCTTCTTTTGTCTCCATCTATTCTTTGTTCTTCATTCTCTTTTCTTCCTTTAGAGTAAGTATTTTTTATTTTATTCCATTTTCACTATTGGTATATTATCTATAAATTCTTTGTTGTTGTTCCATTTTAGTGGGTTTACAATATAAATCTTTAACTTATCACAGTCTGTCATCAAATAATGGTATACCCCTTACATATGTTTTAGGAACCTTACAGTGGTAAAAATATCAGTTCCCCATCCTGTACTTGTTGCTATTGTTTTCATGCATTTTATTCTGTATATATTATAAACTCTACAATCTATCATTATTACTTTTTGTTTAAATATTAAATTCTTTAAAAGAGATTTTTAAAAATAAGAAAATAGTCTTTCATATTTTCTCATGTATTTGCCATTTTTATTGTTTTTTTTTTCTTCCATATTTGAGATCCAAATTTCTATCTGGTATACTTTTCCTTCTGCCTGAATAACTACCTTTAGTATTTTTTTGTAGTACAGATCTGTTGGCAATGATTATCTGAACTTCTGTATGTCTGAAAAAGCCTTTAGCTAATTTTTGAAAGTTTTTTGATGGACATATGATATGGTTTGGCCCTGTGTCTCCATCTAAATCTTATCTTGAATTGTAATCCCCATGATCCCCATGTGTCAAGGGTGGGACCAGGTGGAGGTAATTGGATCATGAGGGCCGTTCGCCCCATGCTGTTCTCCTAATAATGAGTGAGTCTCATGAGATCCGATGGTTTTATAAGTGTCTGACATTTCCCCTGCTTGCACTTCTCCTTTCTGCCACCTTGTGAAGCAGGTGCCTGTTTCCCCTTCACCTTCTGCCATGATTGTAAGTTTCATGAGGTCTCCCCAGCCTTGCTGAACTGTTAGTCAATTAAACCTCTTTCCTTTATAAATTACCCAGTCTCAGGTATTTCTTCATAGCAGCATGAGAATGGACTAACACGGTACATACAATTACAGGTTGCTAGTCCCTTTTTTCCCTTCAGTGCTTTAAGGATTTCACTCTTCCATAGTTTCTGATGAGTAGTCTGACCATTCCTAACTTTGTGCCATTATTTTCTCATTTTTTTCTGACTCTCCCTTCTGGGACTCCAATTACAAATATCCCAGACTTCCTAACTTTGGCAGGTCAAGAGATCGAGACCATCCTGGTCAACATGGTGAAACCCAGTCTCTACTAAATATACAAAAAATTAGCCAGGCATGGTGGTGGGCGCCTGTAGTCCCAGCTACTTGTAAGGCTGAGGCAGGAGAATGGCTTGAACCCGGGAGGGGGAGCCTGCAGTGAGCTGAGATCGCGCCACTGCACTCCAGCCCGGGCGACAGACCGAGAATCCGTATCAAAAAAAAAAAATCATTCAAAAGATTACTGATGCTTGTTTCATTTTTTTTTAATTTTTCAACTGGTAATTAATTTATTAAAATAGTTGACTTATACGTCTACAATGGTGACTTCCATCTCAACTCCTGGCTCAATACTGATGGAAGTAATCTGCTTAACAATCTCAGAAGGACTGAGCAAGTCAATGAGTCGCTTGTGGATTCTCATCTGGAAATGATCCCATGGCTTAGAACCTTCACCACATGGAGTTTTTTCTTGTAGTGATTCTCAAAGTCTTAGTAGGCATTTGAACTGGTCTTTTCACTTTGAGATTCTTTTCCTTTGCTCCTCTGATCAAGTCAGCACACACCTTCGCCAGGGATTTTACATTGCAGCTTGTTAGAGTGATTCGAATTCGGTGAATTGCCATCTTCGGCTCCGTGGGTGTTTTTCCGGTATCCTTAAAAGCCATCACTGCTGCGCGGCTTCCTGACCTACTTGTTCCGGCAAGAGTGAACAGTGGTGAGTCAGGAGCAGGTGCGGGCGGATCAGAGCTCCACAACACCTACGACCACCTCTTCTTCAAAGAGGTGTTTCATGTTTTAAAATCTTAATTTCCTTCTGTTTCATTTTGGATAAAATCTGTCTTCAAGTTTGGTGCCTTTTTTTTTGGGCCAATATCTAATCTAAAGTTCATCCTATCCAGTATGTTTCTCATTTCAAATATTGTATTTTCTATCTGCAGAGTTTGATTTGTATTTGAAAACGTTTTTTAATCTTTCTCATTGTCTTAAACATTTGGAGTATACTTATAATAATTGTTTTACTGTTGTTATCTGTTACTTCTATCATCTATGAAATTACTATATCTGTTTCTATTGATTGATTTGATTACTATTCTGGTTGGGAGGCAATATTTTCCCTACTTCTTTGCTTACTTGGTAATTTTTTTATCAATGAAAATTTATAAAAGTGAACTTCATTTACAATTGGATATAATGAATTTTACATTTTTGTGTCCTGGATTTTTCTGTATTCCTTTAAATATTGTTGGATTTCTTTTTTTTCCCCCCTCCGGGATGCAGATAAGTTTCTTGGAATTAGCTGGATGCTTTTGAGATTTGCTTTTAAGATTTGTTAGGGTGAATTCAGAGCAGGGCTACTTTGATCTAGGAAATAGCCCTCTGAAGGGTCTCATGTTCTGTGAGATAGGAGGTCTTTCTCCTCTGACTGGTTGGTAGCCTAAGCTATTCCTGATTCTTGTAAGGTCTGGACACTGTTCTGCATACTCTTTTCTGATAGTTCTTTCCCTGGCCTTAGTAGTTACCACACATCTATGCACATAGCGGTATTCAGCCAAAGTTTGAAAGGATTCAAAGATCTCCAGAGCTCTCTCTGTATCACTGTTTCTGTTATTCTATCCCACAAATTCTAAGTGTGTGAAACTCCCTGAAATCAGAACTATGTCTCCTCAACTCAGTGAGACCACAAGCCACTGTTTGGGTTTCCCCTGCCCATGTTGCAGCCTAGAAACTCTCCTCAGGCAAAAAGATCAGGCAACATCGGGGTCATCTCATTTCCTTCCCTTTCAGAGATCACTGTAATTGCCTATTGAACAATGCCTGAAGAAAGATGTTTCATATATTTTGTCTGGCTTTCTAGTTGCTTAAGGTAAGAAGGTAAATGCATTCCTAGTTACTGCATTGTGGCTGGGAGCAGAATTCCAATACTGTTTTTTTTATAATATGCTTTTACTTAATTATTTGAGGATTCCCTTTAGTTATCATAATTTTACATGATGTAAACAGGTAAATGAGAATATCTTCAAAATATATTTTTCAGTTTTGGGGTGGTTCTCTCAGTTCTGGTTTTTGCCAAATATAATAGATTTTTAGTATCTGAGTTCCATATGACAAAATTTATAAATCTTGGGTGTATCCATATGGTATGTTATAATCGGAAAAGATAGATGAAATTCCGCTTTTGTCTAATGTCTTTATAGGTCTTGGAGAAACTTGAAGAAGGGTTGTAAAGTCCATAACTTTACAATGAGACAAAATTAAAAGAATCCAAGCCAAAATTGTCCTAGACAATGAAAAGTATCGCTATGCAGAAGCCAAATCTCTTAAGCTCCTCCACCATATCAGTCATGACACAGTCTATAGTTTAACAATTGTTTCAATTTGGAAATTAATTTTTAGTACTAATTTAAATATTTCATATTAGTATATGAGAATTCTTCCTTCTGTTCAGGCTGTGGTATGGGGAAAAGTCAGTTCCCATCAATGCAGATTCATATCTACCAGCACAGTGATTAAATTATCCTCATATCCTCTTGTGTTTGAACAAGCTGTGTACTTTTAATTTTAATGGATTTAACTCAATATTCAATATATGTTGATTACTGAATACAACAAAAAGTGTAATAGACACTCCTTGAGAAGCTCATAATCTATTTGGGCAGATGGAACAAATACTTAGAAAAATTGAAAGGTAGTTTAGGACCACAGTAAAAAAAAATTGGGGGTGCAGGATATAAAGTATCAATTGAATTGTAGAAGCAATATATACTGTGTATTTTTTCACCTGGGTGAGAGGGTGAGACTCCGTCTAAAAAAAAAAAAAAAACTATGGTTGTTCACCATAACTAAACATTTAATCTCTTTCAGTCTATCTTACTCATCTACAAAATGGAGATAATACCTGTTTTGCAGTGCAGGCCCTGACATACGGGTAGAGTTCCATAAATCCTAGCTTCTATTCCTTAACTCTTTTAACTCTTTTCTTCCTTCCTTCTTTCTAGCTAATTTTTAACTCTCTATCCTAGACAACTTTTGCTAAACGTGTATAACATGTAGTACCTACGCATAGGAATATGTTTTATAGAACAGAATTATTGAAAACAGCTTCTTACATTTCTGTTATTTTTTCAAAAGCAAGAATTCATGTATTCCTTCTGAGCCAAGTACATGCAATAAAAAGTAAGAGAGATTCAGAAATTCTGATGATTATTCTCCCAAGAAGAGTGCTTGCTAGAGTGAGGGTCTTGCAGACACAGAAGGAGCTGATGGGGTGAACTGCTGGGGTGTTACAAAAGGCCTTCGGGAAAATACGTAATCTAAGTCAATAAATCATAGAGTGAAGATTCCCTCAGGGAAAAAGGGAGTGGTTCTGAAGAACTTACAAATTTTTCCAGGCAATAGCCACAGATGCTAGCACAAGGGCATTATGGCCACATAGTGTGAGCAAAAGTGCTTAACTTTTTGCCCTTCTTCTAATATTTACTCTATTAGCCCAGACAACATGAGATCCAGAAGCCTCATGATGAGTGGAGAGGAAATATAAATCAGAAGAAATGGTCAAAAAGATGCCTATATTCACTTCCGCACTTAGGTCTCCAAGCCTCAGTTCCTGGCATGAGTAGGTAGAGGAGAGGAGCTTGGAATAGGATGTGAGATTACAGTTTTAATATAGACTGGACTGGATATTTGAATACCTGAAAATGAATCTGAATTCTCAAAATGAGGTGGTTCCTGCAACTGAAAATAACAAGAAAGCTACAGGATCTTCTGCCATGTTATCCAGGGGTGGAAAAGTGAAATTCAGTGGAGCCAGGTTAAAGATGGAGTTTGGGCCGGGAGTGGTGGTTCATGCCTATAATCCCAGAACTTTGAGAGGCCAAGGTGGGCAGATTACTTGAGGCCAGGATATCAAGACCAGCCTGGCCAACATGGTGAAACCCCATCTCTACTAAAAATAAAAAATTAGCCAGGTGTGGTGGCATGTGCCTGTAGTCCCAGCTACTGGGGTGGGTGAGGCATGAGAATCACTTGAACCTGGAAGGGGGAGCCTGTGGTGAGTCAAGATTGCACCACTGCACTCCCGCCTGGGCAACAGAGCAAGACCCTGTGTGACCTTGTGTCCAAAAACAGACAAACAAACAAATACCATGTGGAGTTTGTTTACTCTTTAAACAAATATCCTTCATGTGTTGAACTGAACTATAATTATAGTTAGTAGGGCACATAGCAGGTTTTAATAAGATATCTAGTTCTTCCTCTTAAGGTAACTCGTTAGAACTTTTATGAGAAAGAACTAAAGAATTTCTAATGGGGCAGCTAATCCACTCTTTTGTGCACTCTGTTCTGCTGATGATCTGATGTTAGTCGGGGTTTCTGTTTGAGATTCCTGAGCCTTAACTGCTGATGACAGAGTTCAAAATCATTGCTTTCTAACTTTGAGAATGACTGCCTAATATGACATCATTTTCTACCCCTGAGTGCTAATAGTCTACCTTATTCCTCCTGCCTGTCCTTCTCCTTGAGGAGGAGGATCATCAATGCACTGTGTGGATTGAAGTGGCTTCATACCCTTTTGATGTTAATGTTCTCCTTTGCTTAAAGTGTGAACTGAATATGGATCCCTCATTTATGAAGCACCATGACACTTCCTGGGTAATGAACAATTAAACAGACTTCTCAGCAATAGTGACTATTTTTCTGATTTTTCACTTCATGGACAATATTGTATGCAAGTTAAATTTGCAACTAGCTTGAGGCTTCACACATGGTGAGTTTGAGAAATTGAATTCTCTACCTCAAATGTATTTCCTTTTCCTTGAACTCTACATTCAGGTCAGCTGTCCAGTTCTTAAACAACAGGTTTTGGAGAGGCAATGAGTAATAAAATAGCATTTTCTCCTTCAATTCTATCTGCATTTGAAAAAAATAACCTTTTATTTTTGATTCAAAGAAGAGAGGAGTTTTCTTGTCTTTCTACATCTGTTCCAACTCCTCCAAATGCACAAAAATTTTTTCAGAGCATTCCAGAGTTTCTCAGACTGCACATAGAAGATTTTGCATATAGATACATCTTGGCCATAATAACCTTCTACTGAATTAGTAGAAAATAGATGTATTCTAGGTTTTCATATCTTTATGGCAATATGAATAGACAAGGCTCTTCTTGCAAAAATATCTCCTGAACTGTGCGGGAGATGCTTGGAAGACCCAGTCAAAATTACGAAGTATCCCAAGTTTGTATCCTCCTGTGGCTTCCCCGTATTACAATAATGTCATTCTGATCCAGGTTCCAGTACTCTCAAGCCCTTGTCCTTCCCTTTTCATTTTAGCTTGCATTCATCCAAGTATTTGGATGGAAATTATCAATACCTTATACGAGAACGTATGGGAGGCTGAGGCGGGCGGATCACGAGGTCAGGAGATCGAGACCATCCTGGCTAACACAGTTAAACCCTGTCTCTACCAGAAAAATACAAAAAATTAGCCATGCATGGTGGCACGCGCCTGTAGTCCCAGCTACTTGGGAGGCTGAGGCAGGAGAATCGCTTGAACCTGGGAGGCAGAGGTTGCAGTGAGCCAAGATCACGCCACCGCACTCCAGCCTGGGTGACAGAGCGAGACTCATCTCAAAAACAAACAAACAAAAAGAATGTAAATGATTGGGAGTTAAAATTATGCTTTTCAGTTTTCAGCCATGGATCATGTTTTCTTGCCTTGCCTGATTCCTAGAGTCTCACTCCATGATGTTTCCTCTTTATTATAAAGATTAGATGGCTTTGCATTGCTGCCATGTGGCATTTATACTTCTCAAGCAGCTGTGTCATCTTATTCTACCGTTTAAACTTAGTTTTACTTTAAGTCCACATCTAAACTGTTTGCCTGCATGCCCAGCACTTTTTCCACCCTCTACATTTTATTTGACTGGAGCAATCACCTTAGCCTCTCTAGGTCTTTGCTTATCATCACTCTGCTCATTCTTCAAGCCTCACTTGATTACTGCCTCCTCTGTGTTGCTTTCCTGGATTTCCTCAGTAAGACATAGTTTCTCCCTTTCATACTTCTGTGGTATTAAGTATGCACCAGTTACATGTGACTCATCTCCAAGTGCTTTGGCATGGAGATATTATTTATGTTCCTTATATGACTACTGACCACTTTTTTCTAGACTAAATATTGAAACACTTGGCCAGATAATTTTGCTTAATTTTGAGTTTCCTTTTATACTTTTTAAAACAAATTTTTGAAATTAAATTACATTTTGTTAGGTTGCAAATCTGAAAAAGTCCAAGGATGAGGTGAGTTTGTTGTGGTCAGTTGGGTAGTTGCTAAACTCATAGCTGGTTTGTGTCTGCTGACCAGCACATTGTTAGCCTAGAGAAAGTCTACATGGGGAACCAGATTATGATGCAAGCGTTGCTTGGAGAGCCCTTGATCAAGAGCAAAACAGGTTGGTAGACTCGAGGGATAGTTCAGCTAGGTCTGATGGAACATTCCAGTTTTGCCAACAGAAGGAAAAACATTGGAAGGGCTTATCTTCCCCAGGATCTGGATCTGTTCCACTGGGTAACATTTAATAAGCACTAACATGGTCTCTTCTTTCACTTGCCATTTCCTGTGCTTCTTTTTCCAACTACTACATCTCCTTTGACACATTTTCTTTTTCTTTTTCTTTTTTTTTTTTTGAGATAGAGTCTTGCTCTGTCACCCAGGCTGGAGTACAGTGGTACGATCTTAGCTCACCGCAACCTCCACCTCCCCGGTCCAAGCGATTCTCCTGCCTCAGCCTCCTGAATTGCTGGGATCACAGATGTGCGCCACCACACTCAGCAATTTTTTTTTTTTTTTTGTATTTTTAGTAGAGGCAGGGTTTCACCATGTTGGCCAGGCTGGTCTCGAACTCCTGACCTCAGGTAATCCACTGGCCTCGGCGTCCTAGAGTGCTGGCATTACAGGTGTGAGCCACTGTGCCTGGCCTCTTTTTAAGTGTATCAATACCATCATTTTGGCTGCTTATTCTGCCCTGGGAGCCATTCTGTCTCTTTAGGAAGTTTTTGCGTGTATCAGATCTCATCTTTTATATTTTGATGTTTAATAGCATTTAAAGGATTTTGTTTTGTGTTTTTTAAATGATTTGAAAACAAGTGTGCTCACTAATTAATAAACAGCAGATTCAAACTTTTGTTGCTTTTTCAAGAAAAAAATGAAAAATTCTGTAACAATATATCTTAGCCATAAAACACTTGTAATCAGCACTCCTCCAGAAATTTCAGGATGTAAGTTATCTTAATGATTATACTAGAAAATCTTGGAAAGCAGGGATATGGCTAACTTTTTATAACATGTATCCCTACTGTCACAACAAGAGTTAAGACTTAATAAATACAGTCATGTGTTGCTTAACAACTGGGATATATTCTTGTAACCACCCAAGGGGTTCATTTTGCCTGCTACCTGGATACAGCCAATTTATCAAGAACCAGGAATTGCAGTAGAGAAAGGGTTTAATTCATACAGAGCCAGCTGAATGGGACACTAGAGTTCTATTACTGAAGTCAGTCTCCCTGAAAATTCAGAGGGTAGGGTTTTTCAAGGATAGTTTGAAGGGCCAGGGAATGGTGCTGCTGATTGGTTGGAGATACAATCATAGGGATGTGGAAAATGGTCCTCATGCATTTCTCAAGTCCACTCCTTTTCTTAGTTCCTGCTTAGCGGAGGTGTTAGAATTTGCTTCTTGGTGGGGCCACAGGACTGGTTGGTGGGTCCAGGTGGGGCCACCAGTTGTCAGAAATGCAAAAACCTGAAAAGACATCTCAAAAGACCAATCTTAGGTTCTGTAATAGTGATGTTATTTGCAGGAGTAATTGGGGAAGTTGCAAATCTTGTGGCTAATTTGTTAGTCCTACAAAGGCAGCCTAGTCCCCAGGAAAGAAGGGGGTTTATTTAAGGAAAGGGCTGTTATCATCTTTGTTTCAAAGTTAAACTATAAACTAAGTTCCTCCCAAAGTTAGTTGGACCTGTCCCCAGGAATGGACAAGGGCAGCTTGGAGGTTAGAAACAAGATGGAATCTGTTAGTTTAGATCTCTTTCACTGTCATAATTTTGTCACTGTTAACGTTTGCAAAGGTGGTTTCACTGTAGACTTTATAAACACCATATACTTAGACTATACTAAGTTTATTAAAAATATTTTTCTTTCTTTAGTAACAAATTAACCTTAGCTTACTATAAGTTTTTTACTTTTTGAAGTTTTTAATTTTTTTGAACTTTTGACTCTTGTAATAACAGCATAAAACACACTTTGTACAACTGTACAAACATATTTTCTTTATATACTTATTCTATAAGTGCTTTCTATTTTCATTTTTTCCCTTTAAACTTTTTAATTTAAATGAAGACAGAAACACAATACCCTAGGTCTACACAGGTTCTGGATCATCAATATCATTATCCACCACCTCCACATCTTGTCCCACTGGAAGATCTTCATGGACAATAACACGAAGCTCTCGTCTCCTGTGTTAACAATGCCTTCTTCTGGAATACCTCCTGAAAGACCTGCCTGAGGCTGTTTTATAGTTAATTTCCTTTTTTACAAGTAGAAGGAGTACACTCTAAAATAACGATTAAGAGTATTGTACAGTAAATAAATACAGCAGTAACAGAGTCGGTTATTATCATTATCAAGTATTATGTACTATACCTAATTGTGCTACATTTTTGTATGCCTGGCAGTGCAGTAGGTGTGTTTCACCAGGATCACCACAAACATATGAGTAATGTGTTGATCTATGACATTACCAGAGCTACCATGTTGATATAAACAGGAGACAGGGAAATACTGGGTAGAAGAGGGCAGTTCCCTGGCAAAAGCCTTACTCCCAAGCCTGGAAACCTGCAGTCCTAAATGGGAATAGGCATTCCTGTTTGTGCATCCAAATGTTGCCTTTTGGCCTGCCATGCCCCTCTGTCCTGTATCCATATAAACCCCAAATCCCAGGCTTGATGAGCAGATGAGCAGACAAACAGAAGAGCAGAGGAGCAGAAGAGTGGTGCTGCAGAGAAAGAGAGAAGAGAAGGAGCATCTGAATGTCAAGAGGAGTTTGGATGGGGATGGTCAGAGAGGAGATCAGCTGCAGGACAGCCAAACTCCAGGGGAAGATCATCTCTCACTCCATCCCCTTTCCAGCTCCCCACCCATCCTGCTGAGAGCCACCTCCATCACCCAGTAAAATCCTCACATTCACCATCCTTCAAGTTCATGTGTGACTTGATTCTTCCTGGACACTGGACAAGAACCTGGGTACCAAGAGGGCACTGAGCTGGTTAACACTTAAGCCATCTGCGGATGGCGGAGCTAAAAGAGCACTGTAGCACACCCACTGGGGCTTTGAGAGTCACAGGCACACACCCCTAGATGCCACCGTGGGATGGGAACCCAAAAGTGCTCGCCCTGGCTCCTGCACCTATCTGTCTACATGCTCCCTCTCCTATAACAGGCTTGCACAGCAGTGACTGCGCAACAGATGAGCCACACCCCTTCCACATGTCTGCAAGGGGTATCAGGGAACTCTCCCCTTTCAATGTCAGTAGGTAATAGGAATTTTTTAGCTCCTTTATAATCTTATGATACCACCTTTGTGTATGTGGTCTGTCATTGACTGAAGTGTCGTTATGTGGTACGTGACTGTATTTATTGAGTGGATGGTCAATTGTATGAGGTACTTGAATAATGAGTGGTGTGAACCTTGGTTTTATGACATCTTCTGAGAGCTGCTTTCAGGTGGGTATAAGAAGAGATATTTCTAGTCTAGGTCCCCACTCCTTTTCTTAGTTCCTGCTTAGTGGAGGTGTTAGAAAAAAAGGTTGGACTCTGGCACTATTTTCCTCCATTGGTTATATGGACTCAAAGCCATAACTTAAGGAAGAATGTCTATTTTTAGATTTGGTGACTGATTTAGATAGGTTGCTACAGAAAGTGGTACAAAGATATTTCACACATAGAATATCAAATCCAGGGTGCTTTAGCACTGCATTCCAATGGCCTGGGATGGATGGGTGGAAGCCCTGGCAAGCTGAAATAAACCAGGGCAAGCTCCTCTTTGGAATTCACAAGTCTGACAACTGGTGACTCAGGCTCTAGTCAGGAGACCTGAATGTTACGTCTGGCATCACGATACCTTAGTTTACAGAGATTAATCTAACAGGCCTTCAGTTAGTTTGCTTTATTTTAAAATTCTGCTTAGCTTTTTGTTGCCTACTAAATTTCTCCTGATGTATATTTAGATGTAGGTGAAGGCTGTAGATGTATGCACTACCAACACCAGCTTCTGGGAGGGAACATTTTCCCACTCACAAGCAAGTGAACTTTGCTTTCTCCATGAAGAAGAATGACCTGCATGATGGCTTTCAGAAGTGGAGAACATGGCTCACAGTTCCCTCCACAGTTCCTCCATGGCCTTTGGTTGCATCTTCTCTGAATGGAGGAGCTTGGGTTATGTGAAAAGCAGAGCTACCAGACTACATAAATGTTTTAGTGAGAAGGCAGCAAATTAAAATATCAGAAATTTTGAAAGGAAAGGTTTATAATAGTTAGATTTAAAACATACTTTGAGGCCAGGCAGCGTGGCTTACGCCAGTAATCCCAGCACTTTGGGAGGCCAAGGCGGGAGGATTGCTTGAGGGCAGGTGTTCGAGACTAGCCTGCACTACATAACAAGACCTTGTCCTGTCTCTATTAAAAAAAAAAAAAGGAAGGAAAGGGAAGAAAAAGTGCTTTAATATTCAGAGGCATGAGAGATGCAATGAGTAATATAGGACCTTCTCTAAGGACACTGGGGGAGCACTCTACAGAGGTGGTTCTAATCTAGCCTGGCAAATCTCTGTTCCCTTCATGCCTTGTACTTCCTTCTTCTTTGTGACTTTGCTAATGTTATTCCTTCCTCTTGGACAAATTTCCTATACTAACCAAAAGGCCCCAAGACACAGGGGGAAATGTGGTAAATCTGAGACTGGAAGGAAATTACCATCTAATGTCACTCTTGTACAGTATAACTATTGTTAATATTATTGCTGGGGTCACTCATTTATTCATATCACAAACACTGACTGAGTGCCTATTATTTGCCAAGCATGGGCAATAAAGAGTTGAAGACCAACAAAGCCCCTGCCTTCCCAGAAGCTTATTTGCTTGTGGGGAAAATAAACAGTGGATCAATTAACAAATAAGTAGATAACATAATGTCACGGCCAGGCGTGGTGGCCTCATGCTGGTAATCCCAGCACTTTGGAAGACTGAGGTGGGAGGATCACTTAGGCCCAGGAGTTTGAGACCAGCCTGGGCAGCATAGGGAAATCCCATCTCTACCAAAACAAAACAAAACAAAACAAAACAAAACAAAACAAACAATAAACGAAACACATGGTGGCGTGTGCCTGTAGTCCCAGCTACTCAGGAGGCTGAGGTGGGAGGATCACTTGAGCCCAGGACACAGAGGTTGCAGTGAGCCAACATCTCCCCACTGCACTCCAGCCCGGGTGACAGGGTGAGACCCTGTCTCAAAACAAACAAACAAACAAAACAACCAAAAACCAAAAAAAGTAATGTCAGATGGTGACTGTTTTGAGGAAAATAAAGCAGGGTAGGGGAACTAGTGATAACTGGTAGATTTGGGTTTCTCCATCTCTGGCTGCTTTTGCATCCTCAGTAAGGTGAGAGTGGCAAAGGAAATTCCAGGTTGACTTTCGGGTTCAGTGAATTTTCTACCCCGTGTCTCTTCA
Source organism: Homo sapiens (assembly GCF_000001405.40). Taxonomy (NCBI): domain Eukaryota; kingdom Metazoa; phylum Chordata; class Mammalia; order Primates; family Hominidae; genus Homo; species Homo sapiens. The sequence continues at coordinate 72,667,300 of NC_000009.12, forward strand.
CTGCCCTTTCCCTCCCCAGAACCTCTAAAATCTGATCCTTAGATTCTGCAATGTAAGTCAGCTTCCTTCTTCCTGGTTGCCAGCTCACTACATTCTTATTCCTGGATAAACCAAAAATCTCTTCCTTGTTTTCATATTTTCAAAAAGATGTAGAAATCTCTCACCTGCTCATGTTCCTTCCTTTTTGTCTTGTTGGTATATATACCTTTTACAATTCTTTCACTACCAAATGTAGTTGGATATTGGGATGTAGTCACAACAAACACATAAATACAATTCACCATTTTTAAATGGACTTATTCATTTAGTCTGCTTAAAATTGAGATAATAACACACGCACCAGTTGGGTTTCTCTGAGAACTCTGGGCATTTTTAATCCTGGCAATTTTTAAATTGCTTAGCAGTAAAACAGTCAGACAACAGCACCTATTGTTATAAATCCCTGCCTCTTCTTACCTCAATGAGGCTATCCTTTCTCTCTATCAATTCTGTCAGCAGAATTAAGAAGAGCCATTGATTTCCAGTTTGTTCAGCGTTTTTCTTCTTAGGATGGGAGTGATGACTTCTAACCTCTTTACATCTAGAGACTCAATTTAAGTCTACTTCTTTCATTCAGCCTTCTCTCTTCATTTTCAGCTGCCTGGAATGTCTTCTTTCTCTCAGTTCCTATCTTTGACATTAAAAATCACAGTACTTAGTTATATTCTACCTCACACCAATCATTTTACTTGTTAATATCTTTTTTCCTAGTTAGATTGTGACATTTTGGAATAAAAGAAAAATATCCTTTTTTACTTTATAGCTCTCCAGATTTCATTAGATTAGTATAGATTCGAGTGCCTTTTATATATCAGGCAATGCCTAGTGTATAATATTTTTACTTATGGGTTTTAGCATTTAACTTATTTAATGATCACAACATTCCTATGATGTTATTTGTTTTCATAATTTGTTGAAATGAAAGCTGATGGTCAGAAAGGTTAAAAAGTTGTCTGGTCATAATTTTTGAGGAGGCAGAGCTAGGTTTTGAACGCAGGTCTGTCTGATTCTGAGAATAATCCTGTGCTCCTTCAGCTGAACCACACAGCCCCTCTTAGTGCTTTGTCTCCATAGACACTAAGTGTATTCTTGTTGATTGAGTGAATTAACGAGTGAATTATCTGGAGCTCTTTCTGCTTCTGTTTTCTTCTCTGTACAATGAGGATCATCACATGAACCTGATCTAAGAATAGAATAGTCCAACTGAGTTCCCTTAATTTGGTAACCAAGAGAGAGTAGAGTTAATTAACTAGAACCCTTTGCCATCACTTCTCTCTAAACTTTTCATCATTTTCCTCTAAAAGTCCGGTCCTGAGCTCTATTACAAGATAGAACATTTTAGCCTCTATCGAAGAGAGCACTATTAATATTTTATGGCATTGGCTCCTTTTTTCCTAATACTGTGGGATTAAAATAATGTTTACTAAATTCTGGATGTTCGATTCCTGTTTTTTCATGATATTTTATAATCCAGGCCTTCTTCATAGAGACACAGGGCTATGTTTTATAACTGCCAGGGTCAAGCAAAGAACAGCTTGTGTGAGATACTTAAAGAAATAGCTAAGCAGTAACTTCAGACCTTCTGTATATTTTCCTCAAAATTTTCTCTCAGTTTTTGTCTCCCTACAACTCATTTTTAGAAAACAAAAACATAACACAATTTTGCCCTTTTAAAAGATAATACAGCTGGGTGCAGTGGCTCACGCTTGTAATCCCAGCACTTTGGGAGGCTGAGGTGGGGCAGATCACCTGAGGTCAGGAGTTCAAGACCAGCCTGGCCAATATGGTGAAACCCTGTCTCTACTAAAAATACAAAAATTAGCTGGGTGAGGTGGCGGCAGGCGCCTGTAATCCCAGATACCCGGGAAGCTGAGGCAGGAGGATCGCTTGAACCTGGGAGGCGGAGGTAGCAGTGAGCTGGAATTGCACCACTGCACTCCAGCCTGGGCGAAAGAGTAAGACTCTATCTAAAGAAAAAAAAATGTACTATAATAATTTACAAAGTACAGAAAATATCTAAAGGAAAAGAAATAACATCTCACAACCTCATCATCTAGATATGACTGCAAAAATTTTGGCATATTTCATTTCAGCTTTTAATTAATTTATTTTTGCAGAAGACATTTATTTCAGATATTCTAACTTTATAATCTGTAGAATTTTAATGATATTTTTGTATGACATCTATCATAAACATTTCTGCATGTCATTGAAATATTTATAAATGTTATTTTTATTTAAACAATGCATAATTGATATAACCCTTCTCTTAAAATTGGTGATTTCACATACCTGGGGATGAGCCGATGTGAAACAAAAGAGAAAGGGTAAGAGATAGCTAGTCTCTTGACTCATTTTTTTTTTTCCATATGACTTGAAAAAAAGAACTTATCTTAGAGACCTCTAGAATAGTTAGCACAAATAGATTTCTCAATGTGGTTAAGATGAAATACAGATACTGAATTTACTCTTTTATGTGAAATAAATAAAAACTGGATAAGATATATATAGCAACAGTTTTCAAGACATTATACCTCAGACAACAAAGGATAATGACCTCTGAGAGAGGGAAAACAAATTAGGTGAGCCTGTGATTGCCCCAGTTTACTGCCTGGAGAGAGATTCCAGGCCAGGGTGCAGAGAGAAGGGTTGCGAATGGAAACTATTGCTCTTTCTGAGTTAAGGAGAGAGACCTGAAAGTCTGCAGGTACAAAGATAGCTGCAATTCATGAGAAAGAGTTCCAGAGAAAAGAAAACTGAACAGAGAGTGAGCTCTGGATTTCTGTAGTGTTCCTGCTGACTCTTCTGCTGAATCATGATCAGTGCATGTGTGTGGCTGGAGAAAGAACCTCTGAAAAGGTTTAGAGGGACAAATCCTTAGAATCACATAGGCCTGGGAATAGCTCCTCTTTCCACCAGAAAGAGTATAAAAACCATGAAATTCATGGGACATTAGGTAGAGTACTTAGAAGGGTTTTGCTTCAGCAGTGAGAAAAAATTAGTCCTAGACCAAATGTTGCTCTGATCCTAACAAAACTTAAAAAATGAGACCCTAAAGGATAAAACTGTTTCCAGGTAACTTAAATATATACCAGAACAAAGCCGAAGACTATAGGAATATGAAAATATCTAGCAGTCAGTAAGGTAAAATTCATAATGTCTAATATGCAACCAAATATTACCATGAATATAAAGAAGCATGAAAATAAATACCCATAATTCCAAGAAAAATCAATTATACATAATTGCCCCATCAATGACACAGATGATGTAATTAGTAAACAAAGAGCTAATTATAACTGCCAACTCTAGCCATTACACATGTTCAAGTGGCTAGAGGAAAGATCAAATCACGACACAGAAGAAATAAAAAGACAATAAAATATGTACAGATGAAAATTACAATATCTGAGATGAAGCATAAGCGAGATGGGATTCGCAGCAGATTAGATATAGAAGAAGGATTAATGAACATCAAAACATGTATGACAACAGTAGTATAAAGTCTGTAAGAAAAGAAATGGAAACATACTGGTATAAGGTTTTACACTATGTATGAAATGGTGTAGTATCACTTGAAGAGAGACTGTGACTAAAGACCACTGTAACCTCTTAGGGAAAGAAAAATATCTTTTTCTACCCATCCTGGGTTCACAGCTGAGGCCACTATAACAAAAAACAGATTAATAACACAGAAGCATACACATTTACTTAATATAAGTGTTATGTGACACAGTAGCCATCATAAGGAAAGAAGACTCAAAGAAACAGATCTGAGTATTTTTATAGTAGGTTTGATGAAGAATGGATAGTCATGGAGAAATATAATGGGGCATATAATACAATGGGGTTATGATCTAATGGTAGTAAACTGGGGGAAATTTAGCTGGGTTTGCTTGTTCAGATTTTTCTCCTTGACCTTTTGTCGTGAGAGACAAGGATGTTTCTTTTCTCTGGGTATAGGGAGGGCACCTCTCACATGAGGGACTTATGATCTGCTTCAGAGAAGTGCCAGGGAAGAACAGAGTGACCGTCCTGCTTCTGCAGTTTTCTCAAATTCATACAGCTTAAAATATTTAACATGCTAAGGTGTTACATTTTGGGGTAGTATATCTTGATACCCATCACCTGAAACCAACCACTTTATAATAGTAACACAAAGAGTTGTACATAATATACCATAAAGGTGGTAAAATGGAATCATTGGAAAAGTCAATTCATCCAAAAGAAGGCTGAAAGAGGAAAGCAAAAACAAAGAAGAGATGGGAGAAATAAAAATTAAATGGTAGGGACATGAGCATCCATTAATTTTGGTATACAGGAGGGGCTTGAGGGGTGTCCTGGAATCAATCCCCCTCAGATACCAAAGGATGACTGTATATTTTTTAAATTAAGAGACTTTCATTCTTTAAATATTCTTGACTTACAGTTTTTTAAAAAGAAAAAAAATCAAAGCATAGTATAGTTGTTAAATCATTTTAATAGTATATTCAGTGGCTGAAATGACAGGGAGTATCAATCATTATTTATTCAATATAAAGTTATCCTTACTGAAAAAATAAGATATAACTGGGAAATATGCTTGGATCCCTCACACATCCACTTAATTTCTTAAAGGAAGAAAGATGAAACACATGTAAGAACAGAAACAAATAAACCATTTACTGTAACATTCCAGGAATTGTGGGATCCTTTTCTTCCCAAGTTTATTTATTTGCTTATCTTTATCTCCTAGTGGTAGTTTGTTTCCTTTGGTAGAATATATGGCAGTCCCACATTGGTGACACCTGGTGCTCCCTTCATCCAACTGGATCACTTTGAGATTCAGTTTTACACCTTTTTAGCATTTTCTTTGTGTTCATATATCAGTTATGATGAGCCACTGATAATATTTTGTTCTAAAACGAAACATATTACTTAGTACTTTTTTTATTGTCTCGCTGACTTTTAAAATTTGAGTGATGTACAGACTTTGTTTTTTTAATGAAATATAAATATTTTCTCATGGTTTCTAAATTCCTTATAAAATTAAATTAATTCAATCTGCAAAAATATTAAATGGTAAGAGAATAAACTCATCACTTAGATGTTCATATTAAATGTAAATGGCCTAAATACCCCAATTAAAAGTTAAAAATGGTCTAATTGAATAAAATACCCATATCCAACTATATCTTGCCTATAAGAAAATATTGCCACTTGCAGTATAAAAATACAAATAGGTAAAAGATAAAAGGATGGAAAAAGACATACTATTTTAAACTAATAAAATATTAATTAATTAATTAGTCAGATTTCAGGACCTTTTTCTGAATAATTGATAGAATAAACAGACAAAAATATCAGTAAGGATACAGAAAACCTCCAAAATATTATCAATCACCTTGAATTAATTAATATTTATGGGGCCAGGCTTGGGGCTCATGCCTGTAATTCCAGCACTTTGGCAGGCCTTGAGCTCAGGAATTCGAGACAAGCCTGGGCAACACACACACACACACACACACACACACACACACACACACGTGTATATATATATGCACACACACACATCAGCTAAAAGCAGCAGAATACACATTTTCTTCAAGAGAACACAGAATATTTAGCATGATATGCTATATTCTAGGCCATAAATAAATCTCAACAGACTTAAAATAATTCAGCTAATACAAAGTATATTCTGTAACTACAGTGGAATTAAGTTTGAAATTAATAGCAAAAGATATCTGGCAAATCCCCAAATATTTGGTAACTAATATCATACTTCTAAATGACCCAGGGTCAAATAAGAAATCAAAATAGAAATTTGAAAGTGTTTGAACTAAATTAAACACACATTTCAAAACTTTTGAGATGCAACAACAGCAGTATTTAGAGGAAAATTTATAATAGTATAGACCTATATTAGAAAAGAAGATCTCAAGCCAGTGATCTCAGTTTCTACCTGAAGAAACTAGAAAAACAAAACAAATAAATCCAAAATAAGCAGAAGAAAGTAAGTATTAAAGACCAGAGCTGAAATCAATAAAGTAGAAAACAGAAAAACAAAACAAAACAAAATTTAATAACACCCAAAACTTGTTATTATACAGATCAGTAAGATTGATAAACCACTGGTCAAGACTGATTAGGAATTTATCAAGAAGAAACGATTTCCTTTTTTTCATACTGTATATGTAGCACCCAAAAATAAATAACTTTAGTATAACATTTATTCATCTAATACAGAAGACAGAAATGAGAAAAGTGGCATCATTACAAATTCTACAGATAGTAAAAGAACAATAAGATAATATGATAAAAAACTCAGGCCAATAAATTTGACAACTTAGATAAATTGCACAAATTACTTATATGACACAATCTACCAAAGTTCATTCAGGAAGAAATTGATAATCTTAGTAGCTGTATATCTATTAAAGAAATTAAGTTGATAGTTAAAAATTATCCTACAAAACGTATTCCAAGCTCTGACTGTTTCCCTAGAGAATTGTACCCAATATTTAAGGAGAAAGTAATTCTAATTCTGCGTAAACTTTTCTAGGAAATTGAAGAGGAGGAAATATTTCCCAACTCTCCCTGAGGCCAGTGCTACTCTATCCAAAACCAGAAAAAGACATTCCAAGAAAACAAAACTACAGACCACTGTATGCAAGAAGCAATCGGAAATTAAAAATTGTAAAATATCATTTAAAATATCAGAAAAAGTAATTATGAAGTACTTAGGAACAAACCTGACAAAAGTGGCTCAAGATTTGAACACTGAAAACTATAAAACATTGCTGTAAGAAATTAAAGAGGGCAGAAATAAATGGAAACCTCATTTGTGAATTAGATAAATTTAACACTGTGAAGATATTAATTTTCCTTAAATTGGTCTATAATTCAACAGAATCTCAATCAATACCTCAATAGGCTTTTAAAAATGCTTGCAAAATTTGACAAGCTAATCCTAAAATTTATATGAAAATGCAAAGGACCTACAAGAGGCAAACTATCTTTGAAAAAGAAGAGTAAGTTTGGAAGACATATACTTGCCCTCAGAGCTCATTATAAAGCTACAGTAATCAAGACAGTGTGAGACTGAAATAAAGATAGACAAAGAAAGACAATTTCTAGGTCATGAGAGTTATGTTTCCTAAAGGAAGGCAGCAGATGCTTATTAACTTTCCCCGTGCCCTCAGGATGCCTTAAACAGTGGTTGCCAACCACTAGCAGCTTTAGCACCACTTGGAAGCTTTTTAGAAAAGCTAATTACTGGGCCCATCCCAGACCTACTGAACCAGAATCTCTGTGGGCAAAGCCCAGGAATCTGTGTTTTCACAAGCTCTCCAGGTGATAATGATGTCCATTAAAGTTTGAGATCCATTGCCTTGGCCTTTCCCTGCTAGAAATCCTCCAGGATTTGGGAGACAGGGGAAGAGGTCTGGAGAGAGTGGCAGAATTCAACACCACAGAATGAAGAGGAAAATTGATGGTCTTTGTCCATGGAATCCATTAAAATATACTCTCATTGCTGCCAGGCTGAGCTGATGAATAAAAAATAAGCTAATCTCAAATCAAGCCATCAGGCTATTGATGATAATTGTGTTTTAGGGTGAGCAAACAGCTTTACCAAGCTCACACAGTTGAGACAATTTGTTGTTTGGAACTATCTTACTGTAAGATCCTTAAGAAGAATGCAGAAGTATGAAAATAAATCCAGGACTCAGAAATCTTTCAACTAAATCTTTAAAATTCTCTCTCTCATGCACACACACACATATGCACACATACACATATAGTAAGATTTCATGACACATGAGACAGGATGTGAAGCTGAACAGTTCGATGAATGCCTGAGTGGTAAGATCACCTTGAAGAACCAGAAGTGAGGGTCTATTCTAGCTGGGTATGAGCTACAAACTCATTTCTTGGGGAACACATGAACACATCGGGGAGGCTAAGTAGCTTCTGAGGCTACTAATAGAATTTCAGTCATTTCTCCTGTCATCTGAAAAATATATGATATTGAATTTCTAAAAATGGGTTTAGTGTAGTCTAGTCTTACTGTCTAAAACTAAGATGTGGCTTATTCCAATAACCAAAGTGATTCCATCCCATGTGAGGGAAAAAAAGGATAATGGTGAATTAAAAGCACCTGCGTGTATTTGTTGCTCCTTTAGAGGAGTCTCTCTTCATCAACGTTAACTTTCTTTCCTACTTTTGATCTGGCTGCTAAAAGTCTAGGTTTAGATCTCAAACCATTGTCCTTCTCTGCATGATGTAATAGTTACAATTACAGTCTCAACCCTCTGGCATTTAATGAAGATGAAATTGATTTCTTTAGACTGAAAACAAAAAAATCACTTACAATCAGGATACTGAATATGGTAGCAAGTACAAGGTCCCAGCTTCTAGTAGACTTGGCAGACTGTCAAGCTCTTACTAAGTGACCCCACCCCATGCCTTTTTGTCTTTTCTGTTGCCACACAATTACAATAATTTGTTCTCTGAATGCCAGAGTACTGACAAGGAAAGGAATTCTGAAGCTGGCTGAGAGAAGTCGTGTAAATCTCCCAATCTAGGCTCCATTGACTCTTGTCTCTTTCTTTGTATGGAACTGATTTTATAATTTCTGTGGCAATGAAAGACTAGTACCCAAAATGACTGCTGGTCCTTTGTTTATTGATCAATCTGAGCATGGACTAGAATTCATCCTCCAATTGGTAACAAGAAAAAATTGGATGGGGAAGCATACCATTGGCTAAGGCAGCACAGCAAGTTTGAATTTGGCTGCCTCTTCTTTCAATATTGGTTGACATCATCAAGAGCAGACATTGGCGTTGGAGTTAAGAGTATCAAGAGAGTTAATAAATACCAATTTAGGGTAATATTTTATGCCTAGTCTTTATCTTTTGGTGAAGTGGTTTCTAATATCATCTCAGACTAAATCTTATGGGATATTTCTACTTGTAGATGCTAAGGTATTAAGAAAAAGCTCAAAGTAGTTGTGTTTTCCTTATCTTCCTAAAAGTTTAGATTAAAGATGCCAAAAATTTGTGTGTTGGTATGTGTCAAAGCATTTGAATGCCCTTGTAGACTATTAAAACCTTTGTTCTGTACCAGGCACTGTATTGAGTATATTGCATGTATTTATTATTATATTTAGTTCTCACAGCAACCGTACACAATAATTACAATTCCTTCCTTTCACTAAGGCATAGGGAGTTTAAATAAATTAGCCACAGTACAGGATGGCATAAAACTGTAGCAGAGCCAAAACTCAAACATGTCTCTGTCTGACTCAAAAACATAGGCTCATTCTCCTAGAGCCAGGCAACAACCTGAAAGCTCTTGAGTTGACTTTTCTAGTTCTGTGGATGAATGCAATCATCTCAGGACCCAGATAAACAGAAGTCCTTCTTTCTTATTCGTATTTCTCAGTACTAGGCCAGTCAGGACAAACTCTGTTCTCCATGGCCGTGATCTTGAAGAAATTGAGATTTCATCCAAAGGAAATCAGGTATTGAAACGTGTGTTTATGTGTATTGATTAATCTTCTGCCTGTTTCTGGAAACATTTGAAGAAATATAACAAAAAGCAAATATCCTGAAACTGCCTAATGAACCTGATCTCTCTCTCTGTCTTTCCCTTTCTCTCTCATAGGTCTTTTGCCTGTATTTCTCTGGTGGAATTTACTAAATAATTATATCAGGTGTCTTCTTATTGTACTTGACTGCTTTCATCAAGGTAATCTTGAGGACAGAGACTTCCTTTGTTAGCCAGGGCACTCTAGGGGAACAGAAATTACACACACACACACACACACACACACACACACACAGGAACTGGTTCATGGAGGCTAAAAAGTCTCAAAATCTGCAGGCCAAAGGCTTGAGAACCCGGAGTCCTCATTGTGTAAGTTCCACTCAGAGTCTGAAGAGGGGAGAAGACAGATGTCCCAGCTCAGAGACCTTTAGGCAGAGAGAGAAAATTCTGTCTTGCTCAGCCTTTGGTTCTTTTCAGGCCTCCAGTGGATTAGATGAGGCTCACCCACATAGGGGAAGGAGTCTGATTTCCTCAGTCTACCAATGCAAAGGTTAATCTCATTCAGCAACATCCTCACAGACACACCCAGAATAATCTTTCACCAAATATCTAGGCACTTTGGCCCAGCCAAATAGACACATAAAATTCACTTCCACACTTTCTTACTAATCCGTGCATTCTCTCCAATACAGGGCACCCGGCCTGGCAAGGAGTAAGTGCTCCATATATATTTACTAAATGACAAGAGATGAGATTATCCTTAGACTATGACTCAGATATAGACAATCAATTATTAATACCCTATCATTTTTCCCCACTCTGACAACCCAAACTGAAAAATGTTGGGATTGCCTTTTTTGACAATATGATTTTCTCTGAATGCAGACTCATGTTTTGACCTTCCCTGTCTGTTCCTGTTTAGTATTCATGCTGGCTTAACTCATTGATTGATCAAGTAACCATTGAGCATCTGCCGTGTTAACACTCTGAACAAGATCCTGTAATATGAATGGTGTTTAGCCTGATGAATAAAGTGTGGTGTCTGTGCATTCATTTTTATATATTTATTGTTTTTAACCAAACTTTACCCATGTAAAGAATAACATTGATGGCAGGAACTTGAATTTGGATCTACGTACATGTTCCATTTCAGACTCACCATGAAATGAGGTGCTTGCATTTTTCATTGCTGATTTTACAATACACTTTCACACCTTTTGGGTAAAATTTTGCAATCAATGTAACTGAGGCAGCATGGTATGAAAGCAACCCTGGAGGTGGAAATAGAAGACTAGAATTTAAATCTTGGTTATGCCACTTATTGGTTGTATGATTTTTGTCAAGTCATTTGACCCGTGTCTATTCAGAGTTTCTTTGCTAGAATGAAGGAGTTAACTAGAATTTATTGATCTCAGTAGTCAGTCTCCTCAGGCACAGATAAATCTTGGATATGTATCCTGAGATAGCTTTCCCATTTCCACATTGAAGACAACATTCTATTTTAGAGCAAAAATGAATTATATTATTTAAGAATATGAGTTTCAGAATTCAGACTCATGCTTACGGGTTTGAATTCTAGTTCTGCCACTTTCTTACTATGCAGACTTTAGCAAGTCAGTTAATGTTTGTGAGCCTCAGGTTTCTCACCAGTAAAGCAGTGTGAGTAATAACTATCATATTATATTATTACAAGCATAAAATGAAATAAGAGTACTTGGCACAAAGAAGGATCTTAATTTTTAGCTTTTTAAAAAAGCTGTATTTGTTTATATGCAGTATGTATATATATATTCTCAATTCTATTATTATAGACTATATTTATTATGTTTTTCATAAAGTCATTAGTTTCACTCAGGAATTAGTTGACCCTTGTGAGATACATGGTTTGACCACTTTTCACTTTGATGTTCTTCAGAAAATAAGACAATTAGAAATCTCTGATTGTAATCTTCATGTAAAATATTTTACAGTCATGGCTAAAATGATCCCAGGAGTGGAATCATACACATAAATTCTTTTCTTTATTCTAATAATGTTACCTTTAGTGTCTATGCCAAGCAAGTATGTTATGTGTTGAGATAAAAATTCTTAGTATGTTTGTATGTGACATTCCCAACTCCCATCCCACTGAAGTCTATATTTACCTAGTTTCTTTCTTTTGTTTTCCTCTAACATTCATGCTATTTTAATCAATGTTCTTTCATTTTGAAGCCCCCAATAAGTTTGACCCCAAAGACTTTCAGTTTGCCCCTGCTATTCATAAGCATACTTATGACAATGCATGTCTCCCATTCTTTTCTCATATTTACACCGATCTTTTTATTGGGACAAATGGGTTTGTTTTTTCATGCTTGTGTTTAATATCTCACTGAGTTCAGCATAAGTTATTAAACATAATTTTCTGTTTTCTCTTTCTCCCTCAAGACTTTCTTTTTCTCTAGACCTTTATTTCCTAACTCCAGAGTATTTGCCCAGGTCTATAGGCCCCTCTCTCTTTTGCTTTCTTACCAACCCATCCACCTTCTTCTGTTTCCTATTGCCCAACTGGCTTCACTTAAACAAGAGCATTTGTTATTTGTACAGAGTGCAACATATAATTGTCCTACTCTGTTTGGTTGCTATAACAAAATATCATAGACTAGGCAGCTTATAAACAACAGATATTTATTTCTCATAGTTCTGGAGGCTGGAAAATCCAATATCCAGGCACTACTGGCAGATTTGGTGTCTGGTGAGAGCCTACACTCTGGTTCATAGACAGCCATCCATTTGCTGTGTCTCCATATGGTAGAAAGAATGAATAAAGTTTCTGGAGTCTTCTTTACAATGGCACTAATCCATTCATGAAGGTTTCATCCCATGACCTAACAATACCATTGTATTGGGGGTTATCTTGCAACATATGAATTTTGGGGAACATAAGCTTTCAATCTATAGTAATGAAGTAGGAAATTTTCCCTGATCCTTTCATGGGCAGGAACTGGAGTATGCCTATTTCACAGAGGTCTTATCAGATAAAAAAATTCTCCATTAAATGGCAAAACAAGTAACCATTTGGGATTCCTGGGTGTACAGTGCCTACTATTCCAAAATGAGATTATTGAGGCTAACATGACCCTTTGTATACAAAGACGGGGGCAGAAATAATATTTCTAGCAAATCCACACATCTCAATCACATTTAATTTCACAAAATTTACTTCTAATAAGCATTGTTCCAACTAACAAACCATCTGGTGCTAGTCTAAGATAGAGATGGCTGAAGTGCTCCTGATTCCAGTATTTTAGGTGTTAAATCTCCATTCTAACATTGTCAATCCTTAACTGGAGTACTCAAATATTAACTAACTTCCTCTAGGATATAAATTAATATGTATACCACATTCTATGTGAATTATTTTAATTATATTACATGCCATATACAAATTATATATAGGTTTAGTCTTCCTGAATATTGCAAGTTGAGTCTGTGAGAGAAAAAATTAGGATGAATTGAGAATAACTAGAATTCAGAATTCTTTTTCATTAAGTGTTGACTGTGTTAACTCATATTCCCGGTTAGGTAGCAAGTCCTATGAAGTGTGATTTTCTCCTAACAGCTAAAAAGCAGAAAAAAAATGGATTTATTCTAGTTAATGACTTGCTTTTTCTATTTTTATAGAAAAAATGAAGTAAATTATTTCACTTTTCTTGATGCTATTACTATTTTGTCAGGAAGATAGATCTTCTAAATTTTAGGAAACTATGAATCTAAGTTCTATATTGCTCTCATTTCCTTTTTCTCTTTGTCTCTCTTCTGTTGTAGCCCCTCCCTCACCGCTAAGCCTTCACCCTGACTCTACCCTGCCCCCACTGCCTTTTGTTCTTTGGAAGACACTCATTAACATTTGCTAATGTATGCTAATGAGCAATAATTAGCATCTCTAATGTGAACAAAAGCAGTGCTACAAAGGAAGGGTAAAGATGTGTACAGAGTTCAGCCAGCCTTTTATGCTTCTTTATGCCTTAGGAACAATCCTCTTCTTTCAGTTCTTTCACAATTCTTTAGTGTTTTTTGTTTGTTTCATTTTGTTTGCTTATCCATGAACCCTGAAAACCATTCTTCTTCTTGAGTTAGAATATTGCAAAAATGCTACGGAGGACAGAAAGATTCCTTTTTGTCCTAAATAACCCAAGGATATAAGCACAGCTGCTAAGAGGTTATAATGCACATTTGTATTTTCATCTGGTTGTTATTTTGGTATCCTATTACTAGAAAAGGTTTTAACCAGAAAACCTCACACAAGATAATGTATTTCATTTTACCACACTTATTTACAGTGGTTGCCCTTTATGGTGGTAATTGCAATGTGAAAGCATACACTCTGAATATATATTATGACAGCATGGTTAAATAAGAAATGTTCCCTCCCTCAAACAATCTAAATGCAAAGAAAATGCAAGACTCACCACTTACTTTTTCATAACCACAGAGGGCTCTAAATGTCTTTGTAAATAGCTATTTATTTATTGAATATGTATAGTTTTTTTTTTGAAAAAGCCAGCCCTCCAAACCACATAGAGTAAGAGCTGTTTTTGTTCTTTCTGTAGACTGATGGTGTCGTGAAATACCTAATTGCAGTTTCTCACAAATACTCCAGCATGTAATTTGCCATTTGCAGAACCAGGCTTCACATTTCATATTTGCTCTTCCAGCTCAGGGGTGGTAGAATTTGGAAACATACCAGCAACCCACTTCACTCAGCCTGTGTTTAATTATAATTTCACGTACAATAAAAGCAGAAGGAAAACGTGCAAAAAAATTGGTGTGCATCCCTTTCCCCTCCTTCTTACGTATATAAAAAAGATTTATTTCCATTGTAAAAGGATAGAATGGGGATCTTTATTTTGAGTAGATTTTCTATTTTTGTTCTTTCTGTTTGCCTCAGAGTTAGTGTCCTCTCTCTGTGACCTCAGAGTAAAATGTGTTTCTCCATAGGCTTCATCCTGTTCTATTTATCAACTATATTATATTTATCAATTATTTTATATTGTGTTTTTAATAAAGCAGACATCAGCAGCTATTTATTTTCTACTTCTGAGGGCCTAAAGAGTCTCAGAAAATGAGTGTAATCTAGAAGGGAAAACATTGAAGAGTGACAGCTATTATAACAGTTGTGATTTTTGCCTGCCTCCCTCTTTTGGATTGGTGAGTCCTACCAAAAACCAAAACTATTATTCTCCTTGTAATTTTGAAACCACAGAGATTGAAAATAACTATTTAGTATCTCCAAGATATTATAATGTTTGAAAATATGACCAGTTTTGGGGGCATTTATTACAAAAGTTTCCAGTAGGGTGTTTTTGAATGTCTGTGCCCTCTGGTTTTCACAAAACTGGTCTTAAGGAAGATAAGATACTGGTACACACAGAAGAAATATCAGCCTACGTCTGTCTCATTAAATCTTATCCCCAGATACTTTGATGATATTTAAGTGTAATGATCTCATTCTGTGTTTCTCACTCCTGATAATTTTTTAAATGTCTTATAGCTTACAGGTTTATTAAGGTATTTGATTTATTTAAGAACTACATAATTATTCTCTTCATTCAATGGCTTCTGAAATATTATGTTTAATTCTATCATTTGAAGGACTTGGGATTGTTATAAACAAATGGCACGAGCTTCTTTTTGTCCTGACCTAGAAGTAGCAAAGATAAAGGGAGCTGCTTAGTTAACCTGAGTGAGATTTAATAATCTTGGGTATATTTTATTCTAGAGTAAGAAGAATTGCACCCTATTACTTTTATTCAGTTTTGTATGCAGTAGCTTCTGTTGTCTACTTCACAACCACCAATAGTGTTATCATAAATTCAGAGTGTTGGGCTGTATTAGCCCATTCTTGCACTGCTATAAAGAACTACCTGAGACAGGGTAACCTGTAAAGAAAATAGGTTTAATTGGCTCATGGTTCTGCAGGCTGTACAGAAAGCATGGCTGCTTTCTGCTCTCCAGCCTCCTCATGGAGGCCTCAGGAAACTTACAATCATGGCAGAAGGCAAAGTTGAGGAAGGAGGTACCTCCTACATGGCCGGAGCAGGAGGAAGAGAGAGAAGGGGAAGGTGCTACACACTTTTAAACAAGATCTTGTGAGAACTCACTATTCCAGGAACAGCAAAGGGAAAGTCTGCGCCCATGATCCAGTCACCTCCCACCAGGCACCTCTTCCAACACTGGGGATTACAATTAGACATGAGATTTTGGCACAAATTTGAACCATATCCTGGGCCATTCTCTATATGGAGATGATGCCTGAATATGATTTGGTGACTCAGTCTAGCATCCAAGTGGCTCATTGTTGGGCAATTCTTCTTTAGTCTTCTTTAGGGCTAATTTTACTCATTCCTTTTGAAAATTGGATTGATTTACTTTTTGTTTGGTTTTAAGAAAGCAAAATATCTAAATGCTGTTCTTGGCATAGCTTATATACATATACATGCATACACATGTGTAATTTTCTTCAGATCAAAATATGCATCCCCATCATTCGTATTGCTATAATCAGAAATTAGTAATTTGAGGGGCAACTGAATGACCTTATACCTAGAGTTTTCAGAGTATAATATTACACAGTGTGTATTCATAAGAATGCTGCCTTTTAAAGAGGTTTTTTTTTAAAAAAATCATAGCTTATTTTTTATAGTTTCACTGGTCTGTCCTCCCTTTTCTCTCTTTTTTTCCCCCTTGAGAAGAGAGATTTCACATTTTTGTTAAGGGGCTCATAATTTCCTTATGAAATATGACAAATTTCACTTTATCTTAAAAGCAAAATATTAATAGTACAGACAGCTGAAGGTGGTCTGAGTTAACCTGAGTTACACATTTTATATATATATATATATATATATATATATATATATATATATGTTAAAAATATTTATTTGTCATATGTAGCAAGACTAAAATGCAAAATTTTGCTTTATGCTTATTCTTTTCCAGTATCATTTACTGTAATTCTCACCCCATATTTATTTTTTTACTTCTCTTTCTGTTTCTCTCCTTTCTCCTCTCATTCTTTTTCTTTCTTTTCTTCTCCCTACCCCATCTTTTAGTTCCATACTTTTGAATTGCTATAGTGGACTCAAATCTAAGCAAGAGGTATATTAGTAAGTTGTTCAGTCTTTTAACAAAGTATCAGTCAGAGAAGCACAGCCCAGGGATAAACCAAAAGCAGAAATAAAACTGAGGAATTAATAATCTAATTCGTGTTGTTTTCTTTACATTATAGGTGGTTCATTTCATAGCCTACATCTTCAATTTCTCAATTCTCATTAGATCTTTCTTAACAGCATATAAGACCATTCTAAATAGCAAAAATAGCTGTATCCTTTTACTCACTGCCCATCAGTTCATAAAGCCACTTGAATTCAGCTTTTTGCCCACACAACTGCACTAAACATATGCCTGCCAAGATCATCAATATCTCTACATTGTCAAATCCAGTGGTCAATTTTCAGTCCACATTGTACTTAGCAACTTATGATACGTCTCTGATGCACATCTTCTGCCATCCACAATCTCTGACTTTCCTTCTACTTAAGAGCTGATTGTTCATTTTTGATTTCTTCAGTTTGTTCTTCTCCTGTTCCTCACCATTTTGAGTCTCCTTTTTCTGTTTTGTTTACCCTCATTTTCTTTGTTATCTCATCTGGTCTTATGGCTTTAAATACAATGTTTTTGCTGATAATTCCCTAATTCATATTTCCAGTCCAGACCTTTCTTCTGAACTCCAGGCTCAAATATTCAACTGCCTACTTAATGTCATGCTTGGATGTCTAGACAGCACCTGAAATCCAACGGATCTGATTAAAGTCCTGATCTTTAACAGCTCCTACCTAAGCTATTCTCCCTACAGTCTTCCATCTTCTTTTCCTGTAATTCCATTCTTCAGGTGCTCAAGCAAAGAACCTGTTGCTATCCTTGATTTCTCTATTTCTCTCACATCCTACAGGGATGACATGGGTTCATTTATGCCTGTCATGCCACTGATTAACATCCCTATCAAGAAAGTTTAGTCTGAGGTAAAAACATCCAATTTGTATGAGAAGGGCCAACATTGACATTCTTCGTACACAAAAAAGAATCCTGAGAAGAAACACAAAAGAGCTAAATAATACATTGCTGTTGCAGCTTAGGTAGGCTGGAGAAGAAACCCATACATAATCTCAAACCTTACTGTTATAAAGTCATTCTTTTTTTTTTTTTTTTTTTTTTTTGAGACGGAGTCTTGCTCTTTCGCCCAGGCCAGAGTGCAGTGGCGCTATCTCAGCTCACTGCAAGCTCCGCCTCCCGGGTTCATACCATTCTCCTGTTTCAGCCTCCCGAGTAGCTGGGACTACAGGCGCCCACCACCACACCCGGATAATTTTTTATATTTTTAGTAGAGACGGGGTTTCACTGTGTTAGCCAGGATGGTCTCGATCTCCTGACCTCATGATCCACCCGCCTTGGCCATTTTTTTTTTTTTTTTTTTAAGAGGGAGTCTTATTCTGTGGCCCAGGCTGGAGAGCAGTGGCACAATCTCGGCTCACTGCAACCTCTGCCTCCCGGGTTCAGGTGATTCTCCTGACTCAGCCTCCTGAGTAGCTGGGATTACAGGCGCCTGCCACCAAGCCCAGCTAATTTTTGTGTTTGTAGTAGAGGCGGGGTTTCACCTTGCTGTCCAGGCTGGTCTTAAACTCCTGACCTCAAGTGATTCATCCACCTCAGCCTCCCAAAGTGCTGGGATTACAGGCGTGAGCCACTGCGCCTGGCCTATAAAGTCATTCTTTTGCATCAAATAGTAAGACTCATTAAAGGCAGTGGTATTTTCTTTTACTGTCTACAAACCCTTATCCAAGAGCATTTTCTCTATATTCCTTTGTGAGCACACAATAAATGGTAATTCAATAAGTGAATTTTCAGTTTCCAAAATAATAACCTGGAGCTATAAACATTGCTTCAAGAAGTAAATGTGGGTCAGAGAAAAAGGCAATACCATTCAACTCTTCTGGCCACTTGGTCACTGTGTTATCCTGAAGAAGCATAAACTACTTTCAGCATTATAGATTTAAAAAGAAGCCCCAGAACAACATCCACTTTTCTGAACGACTCCTATGCCTCTGAAATGTGACATTTTGCTGTTGTTTCTTTTTACTGTTTTTAATTACTGAGTCTATCTGCATGAAATGAGGATCTGGGTTGCCTAGGAGTTCATCTGCTCCTATTGCATATTCCTCTTTTAACTACACATACTTCAATGCAGTTTTGCTTGCTGCCTCCAACATTTTGACAGACTTCCCCTCCTCTTCCTTCACTATCCTCCCATCACTCTCCAGGAGACAAGGTTATTTTTAAAGTGCATGATCAATGGGCATTGGGGAGCAGCTGAGGCATGAAGAGATCATACGATTGGGAATAAGGTACTAGGGACTGCTGAGAGAAGGAATGGCAACATGCCATCTCAGACATTGTCTGAGAAAGGAAAGGGTTTGTAGCTCCCATTCAAGTATTCTGAGCTATCTCTTCACACAGGTTTTTGTCTTGGAGGGAGTTCTTAACATAGTTCTTTAGCATTGCTTTAAGTTGAAGGAGATATAGGCCAGTGCTGATAGTTACTTTTCAGGCCAAATAATGTTCCATTAAAATCGAGCTTGCTCTGAGGATCTTGGTAGTGTCTTAAATCTCCTGGTCATAGTGCTGCTATTTGGTTCTTGATGCTTATGACACCTTTGCTGAGGGTTTGAATCAAGAACAAAACAAGTATTATCACAATGACTATAAAACATGACTGTTCCACGATCAGACAAAGGAATGCTGTTAAGCAAAGAAGGCACCTAAGGAGAATGTGGAGATGACCATGCACAGACCAGAATCACTATTGGAAAACCAACTCAAGAGGAGGGACTGGGTCATTTCTGCAGCAGTCTTCATTGCATCACTGAGAAATTGCAGCTCTGTTTTAGTTCTCTACTTGCCACCACAGGGAATATCTTCCCTTATGGACTTTTAGGTTTTATTTAATGGTTATTTATAAACTATTCCTTCTGTGCCGGAGAAGATGATTCATGACTCTAGCCCTGCTTTTTCTCTCCCGTGGTTATTAGAGGAAACTGAGTTGTTGCTTATCTCTTTAGCTTGGGATACCTTATTCTGCTCTTTTTATTTAATATATAATCTTTCCTAAAGATTTCCTTATATTTTTGTTCATTTAGTAGGTTTTTCTGTTTTATTTAATTAACTTTATATTATCACATTCTAGTGAAATAATCATCACAAATCATCCTAATACATCGTGCAAATGTTTTAAAAATGTGCTTTGGTTGTGCATATCGCAAAGTAGGCTGTGGGTCAGCATTTGCTATTTGTCCTCAGCTGTTTCTTCTTTATATATAACTGATAACACCCTGCTCCAATGTTAATCTTATATCATTAAAATTCTTTCCTAGAGAATCCTTCTTTGACTGAAGAAGCTTAGTGGTGACATTAATTGCAAATAAAAGACCATGACCTATTGTAGAATGTGGAATATCTCCTTAGAAGTGTCTGCCTTCATTATTGCAAACTTTCAGTAGTGACATAAAGATCTTTGTCCTGTGTAGTTTCAGTTGCAGCCAGCAACAGAAGGCATATGTTCACTTTGAACAAAAGAACATTTATTTTCACATTCTGTGGCTGATGTTGAGTGATAACATTTTTGCATATCCTAAAATTTTTTACCCAGATGCTGTTTAAAGGCAAAAAGTGCTTTTACAATAATATTCTTTGTGAATGGAATTTACACTCTTGGCATGTGTTGCCTTTTCAATATGCCCATCAAGTTCTGAATAATAACCTTTGACAGTGAGTGAACAGAAACAAAACCAGAGGTTGTTTCATCTGTTCACAGCAACACTGTTTGTCATCTTTGCTTTTTTGGAAAAATGTCATTCCACCTTAAATAAAAATATGATAAAATTCATGTTTTATAAGCAAGTTAATAGACTTCGATTATTAAGAAATATTTTAATTTTTCCAAGGCAAGAAACCTGTGATGAATGAACATTAAGTTGACAAAAGAAAAAAATATGCCAATAAATATATTTTTTCATATTACTGTAGTGTCAAAAATTTTATAAAACTTTTATATGCCTTTATAAAAATGAAGCAAAGCTAAGAAGAAGATGCTGTATGTGTTATGGGGTGAGGAATAAACAGAAAAAGTGTCCTTTGTCTTGGAAAGAACTGTAAAATCACCTATCTCCATGTTGCCAAAGGGAATCACATATTGGGAAATTTAGGCTATATTAATATAATACGTATAAAAATAATTGAAATAGAAAAGATCTGGCTTTAAGCATTTTTCTAAAGACTTTTTCATGCTTGGTAAAAGTGTTTGGAATAAATTATTCTCTATTTTTAAGTAGTTAATTTGGTTATTAACCTAATTGGTATGGGCATGTGGATATAGCTTTATTAACAATTCAATTTCTCATGAAATAAAATAACCCGACAAACCCCAAGTCTACTTATTGCAATACAGAATTTATTTTGGTTGAAGTTATTTTGAATTGAGCTGATAGCTTATAACTTTGAATTGGGCTTATAACTGTTATGTTTTGCAAATCCCTGAAGATTATGAAATAGAAAAATCTTTGCATGGCATTGTATAAGATGCTGTAGCTGTATATCTTTAATAAATCGTGCTCATTTTGGCAAGTTTATGGAAAAATTGTATTAACTGCACAAAAACATTATGATAAAAACAATAAAAGTAAAAACCACTTACTAACAATTGTACAGGCATTTAAATAATTGCTGTACTGTTTTCTTTCCTCAACAGTACAAATCAAAGTGGAGGAAAAAGAAGACGAGACTGAGGAAAGCTCAAGTAAGTGGTGATGGGCCACTTGGGATACATTTCCTATGGAATACCAGTAAACTCAAAGAATTTATCCTCTTGTGGACTTGAGCTACCATATGTAAGCAGAAGTGTGTGTGGATAACTTTTCATGGTCTCACAGGAGGAATCAAGTTCAGCAAACAGAATCCCCACTCTAGAGTCTATCCAGTTGGCACTATAAGGGCCAAGACTGTGTTCCCTTGATTGCTTGCTGAAAAATCAACAAGCAAAAGACATGTTAATAGGAGAAAAGGCATATAATTTCATAGAACTTGTATTCATTAAAGCCTTAGGATGAAGACCCAAAGATAGAGAAAATTGTCCATTTTTATGCTTAGGTTCAACAAAGTGTGGATAGCAGTGTAGAAATATGATTGGACGAAAAGGGTATAATCTAATGTTTACATAGAGTGGGGAAACACAACAAGGCCTGTCTGCCTAGATTCTTCTTGGCCTCTCTAAGCATGCATTTCTTTCTTCTGGGTATGGGGCAGGGACCCTCTTTGGAATGAGGGTCTTATGATCTACACTCAAACAAGGTAGGTCGGATGATTTCTTGATGACCAGTTTTTACACAGACAGGGCAGAGGGAATGTTAGAGTAGTATTTTTAGGTTTCATGCATTTGAGAAGAATGTTTATTCTGTTGTTATTGGGTAGAATGTTCTGTATATGTCTGCTAGGTCTGTTTGATCTATAATGTTGTTCATGACTGCTGTTTCCTTATTGATTTTCTGTCTAGATGTTCTATCCATTATGGAATGTAATGTAGGGTATTGAAGTTTCCTACTATAATTATATTGCTGTATATTTTCTCTCTTGAGTTTGGTTAATGTTTATATTTAGGTGCTCTGATGTTGGATGCATATATACTTATAATTGTGATATCTTCCTGGTAAATTGACCCTTTTATTACTATTTAATGCCCTTATTTGTTGCTTATGACAGTTTTATACTAAAAGCATATTTTGTCCGATGTAAGTATAGCCACCCCTGTTCTTTTTTAGCTACCATTTGCATGGCCTATCATTTTCCGTTCCTTCACTTTCACCCTATGTGTGTCCTTAAATCTAAAGTGAATCTTTTATAGTTAGCATACAGTTGTTTCTTTTCTTTGGTTTCTTTTTTAATTCATTCAGCCACTTTATGTCTTTTGATTGAGAAGTTCAATCCACTTAAATTTAAAGTTATTATTGATAGAGCAAGACTAACTTTTGCCATTTTGTTCATTGTTTTCTGTCTTAAAGCTCTTTTGTCCCTTTTTTATCTCATGTTATTCTCCTTCATATTTTATTGATTTTTATTATAGTGATATACTTTGATTCCTTTCTCTTTTCTTTTGTGTGTCTTCTATAGAAATTTTATTGTGGTTACCATGGGACTCATGTTCAACATCTTATAATTATAAAAGTCCTATTTTAAGTAGAAAACAATTTAACCTCAATTGCATACTAAAACTCTACACTTCTACTTTCCTTGACACTTAATATTATTGACATCTTGAGTTACATATTTTTATATTATGCATCCATTAACGTATTTTTATAGTTACTGTTAATACTTTTTTACTTTTATAATACAATTAAAAGTTACCAATATACTGTCATTAAAGTATTATAGTATCCTGTATTTGTCTACATATTTACCTTTACCAGACAGTTTTATATTTTCATGTGATTTTGTGTTGCTCTTTAGTGTCCTCTCTTTTCAACTTGAAGAACTTCCTTTAGCATTACTTGTAAGAAAAGTCTAGGGGTGATTAACTTAGGTTTTGTTTGTCTGAGAGTCTTTATTTCTCTGTCATTTATAAAGGACAAACTTGCTGAGCATAGCTTTCTTGGTTGGCAGGTTTCTTCTTTCCAACACTTTTAAAATATCATCCTACTTTCTTCTGGCCTGCATAATTTCTGCTAAGAAATGATAGTCTTATGAAGGTTTCCTTGTACATGACAAGTTGCTTTTCTGTTTCTTTCAAAATTCTGTCTTTGTCTTTGACTTCTGGCAATTTAAGTATAATATGTATTGGTGTGGATTTATTTGGGTTCACATAATTTAGGGTCTGTGGGCTTCCTGAATCTGAGGGTCCATTTTCTTTCCCAGATTTGGGAAGATTTTGGTTATTATTTTCTTTGAATAGTCTTTCTGGCCTTTTCTTTCTTTTATTCTCCTTCAGAACTCCCATAGTGTATATATTGGTCTGCTTGTTGATCCCTCATAAAACTTTCTTGACTTTTTCTTATTCTTTTTATGGTTTTGCTCTTCTAACTATAATTTCAAACATCCTATTTTTCAATTTGGTAATTCTTTCTTTTGCTTGATCGAGTCTGCTGTTAGACCTCTGTAGTGAATTTCTGTTACTCTATTCTTCAGTTATTGTGTTCAGTTATTGTCTTGTACTCTTCAATATTTATCTCTGGTTATTTTTATATTTTTATTTCTGTTGAAACTCATACTTTGTTCATGCATTTTTCTTCTGAATTTGTTGAGCATCTTTATGAGTTATTTTTAATAGTCTGTTAAGTAATTCATATATCTCCATTATATTAGGGCTGGTTTCTGGAGCTTTATCTTCTGTTGTTTGGGGTATGTTTTCCTGTTTCTTTATTTTTCTTGATTTTGTTTGTTTGTTTTGGTATCCATATATTAGAAAAAACAGATTCCTTTCCCAGCCTTCAGGAGAAGGATTAGCCTTGTACAGGAGAAGAGTTTCACCAATGAGGCAGGCCAGAGATTCTTGGGCCTCTCAAACATTTCCTGTGTATGCATCGTCTCTGGACTTGTGTGTGTAAATTCTCAATAAGAGGGATTTTTCAGTTGACTTTTTCTTTTTAAGAATTCATAATCTCTTGTTCCCTCCAGTGTCCTTCTGTCATAACATGTGTCTTCTGAGGAAGCAGCATGTCCTGAGTTCTTTTTTTTGTTTCCAGTAGTCCCCAGGCATCAACAGTATGCTGGGTCCTGTCCATGCCCTGAGACTGGTCATTCCCTTAGGCAGCCTCCTGAGAAGTCTGAACACAGGGTATATATTTCAGTCTTTTATTTCCCATTTCAGGGGCAAGTCAAGGGCTGGAATTCTTGCCAACTGTGTCATGCTGAACTGGGGGAAGGGGCTCTGGTGAATGAGTACAAACTAATTCAAAACTTCACCTTTGTTCTCCATGGCCCTGGGCCATTTAGAATATGCTGGGTCCTATTAGTGCTCTAGGAGACAAGTGGGACAGAAGCCAGTCCAGTCATTTTTTAGAAAAGTTGGAGTGTTAGATGCACTATCCAACTGTTTTTCTCCCCAGAGAGGTGCAGATTTGGTGTTTATCATCTGGTTATTCTGTGCTAAATTGGGGGAGTGGCTATTTGAGTGAGGCATACTATTCAAACGGCTATCTTTGCTCTCATTGGTTCCTAACCAGAGGTCTTTTCCTGTCAGTGCTCAGATTCTGGCAAGACAGAAACCAGTCCTTTGGGAACCTCCAGAAAAATCAGAATGTTGAACACATGGTTCAGTTGTTTTCTCCCCTCCCCAGGGAGAGACTGGGAGATGATGGTTTTCTCCCAGTTGTATGGTATTGTGTTAGCAGAGAGGGATTATGGTGTGAGGGTGTGTCAGATTTTTCTACCAGCTACCTAGCTGATTTTGTGTTCATCTAGGGTTCAGGCACCTTTCAACTAGTTTCCGAATTTCTCACGAAGGGAGCTTATCTCCACATTGTAGTTGAACTTTTATGTCCATGGAGGGAAGGCGGGTCCAGGGCTTCCTATTTTGTCATCTTGTTGATGTCATCCCAGTAGTTTAGTTTTAATACAAAAAATACTAAAATTCAGAGTACCAAGTAGCTGCTTGGGTTTGTGAGTTATTAGTGGGTAAATTGTTTCTTGCCTCCTGTCAAGTTTTTGTCCTTTCTTTAATTAGTGACTAATGTGGCTAATAAAAGCAGGGTAAATATTCAGAATGCCATGATGGGGTTCAAATAACATACATTTGCCACAATATTAAACAAACAGAAACTCGTTCTTGATTTGGATGACAGAATATATATACAGTTTTCCAAGCCCAGTTAGAAAAGTTATTATGGGCCGGGTGCGATACCTCACACCTGTAATCCCAGCACTTTGGGAGGCCAAGGCAGGTGAATCACTTGAGGCCAGGAGTTCACGACCAGCCTGGCCAACATGGTGAAACCCCATCTCTACTAAAAATACAAAAAATTAGCTGGGTATGATGGCGCACACCTGTATTCTCAACTACTCAGGAGGCTGAGACAAGAGAATCGTTTGAACTCTGGAGCTGGAGGTTGCAGTGAGCCGAGACTGTGCTATTGTACTCCAGCTTGGGTGATAGAACAAAATTGTGTCTCAAAAAAAAAAAAAAAGTGAAGTTATTCTGTTTTTTACTCTCTGCTACCTGACATTTAGTAATATATGTAATATTTAGATCTTATACCTGAAATATCAATAAAAAAGTTTTAACAAGTGGTAATTAAAGATAATTTTGAAAAAATAAAATGATGACTCACACGTATGTGAAAAGAACATATTTAACTAATAAAACAACTTGTGAGATGCTATAATCAGTTCAAAGGAACGTCCAAAGAATAGATACATTTATAGATAATAAATATTGAAATGATTGTACAAATGAAGGCAAAGTTGTTTTTGAAAGGGGGCTTGTCTCTCCTTTGGAAAGAGTTCATTTGGATGTCTACAGATAAAAAGTGTTTTGTATTGCTATATATGGTTATGTATAATTTTCAAAGTTGTCATATAGTTCTCATAAAATCAGAATCAGATAACACAGAAAGGTATGCTGCAGATAATTCATAGTTTTCCATTGAAATATAATTTTTTCTCTGGGGTAGCCTCTATTTAAGAGAGTAATGATAACTGTAATATTTAATTTTTTACAGTAGTTTATGCTAAATGTTAGAAGTTAGGAGCAATAGAAATGAAACTGGAATAGTAATGTTATGTTATAAACTTTGTGAAGGAAATTTTATCTTAATTATCTTAATTTATCTTAATTATCTCTCTATTCTTTACCTGGAAGCATCCTAAAAAGTTATGAACACATGAGGCATTCATTGTTGTTGATGATGAAACAAAATAATGCTGTCATTATTCTCAATTTTACATTAAATTTATGTTACCTATTTCTATTCATAAGAAATAAATGATCAAGCAAATGTGTATACTACTTTTTTTTTTAAAGAAAAGAACAAAAATATTGAGGAAAAAGGAGAAAAATATTTAGAATCAAGAATGAAGAAAATTTAAATTGAGAGGAACCTCAAGGGTTGAATGAATTTCTCCAAAATTATTCTAGTTTGTAGCACCTCTTTAACGTTCCTCTTCTTTGTTCTAAGATAGAAGTAGTAATAAATATGAAGTGGTTAATCACTCAACAATTATGTAATGGAATGGTAATCTCTAAACTTGGACTTATTTGAATGGTCTTAGAGGTCATGGTATGATATTAACCACCAAGCTATTTAGTTACTCAAGTAAATGAAGACCAGAACTTCTTCAAAAACTTATTAAAATTTGGGAATCCACATTCACCTATTTGAGTCGGTGAACCACAATGGAAATGGAAATCTAGATACATTTATTTAAATGATGGGCTATGAAATATGTATTCCATGATGCATCCCATCACGATGTGGAGAATTGCTAGACTGTGCTGTCAGATGTGTAATAATAGTTATTAAAAACTAAGAATAAGCTTGGTAGTGGGAGGAAGCACTTTCTGACATTACTCATTGAATCAAGTGCTATGTTTAGGTGAAGAGGAAGAGGAGGTGGAAGATAAGCTACCTCGAAGAGAGAGCTTGAGACCAAAGAGGAAACGGACCAGAGATGTTATCAATGAGGATGACCCAGAACCTGAACCAGAGGATGAAGAAACAAGGAAGGCAAGAGAAAAAGAGAGGAGGAGGAGGCTAAAGAGAGGAGCGTAAGTTAGTTCTGATATTCTTTCAAAAGTTCCAATGCTGAAGAAGATCACTCCTTTCAGATACTCTTTGACCTTAAAATTGGTAATTAAAGCTACTTTTAGAAAGAGAGCCTTAATCTGATGATGCTATTTTATTCTACTTAATTAAATGTATTTTAATGGTTAAAATAGAATTTTAAAATGAATATATATTAAAAATGGACCATGAGAAATTCTCTTATGAAGGATCTGAATTATCATAGGTCGTTGACATATTACAGTTAATTTAAAGATTTTAAAATTTCCCCACTAATTGTATGCATTGTTATCTAGGTTAAGTAGAAACTCCTAAATAGTGAGCAAACATCACTTTATCTTACAGAGCAGGGGTTGGAAAATTATGGCTAAATCCAGCCCAAGAGGTAAGAATGGTTTTTACAGCTTCAAAGGGTCATTAATAAAAAGCAACAAATATGGGACAGAGTTGTACATCTCACTCAAAGCTTAAAATATTAACTATTTGGCCCTTTATAGAAAGAAAGTGTGCTAGCCCTTGTTACAGAGGATTTGGGTTGTCATTTTCTTTTTAATACAACTCAATATCTTTTAGTTCCACCAGGAAAACATTTTAGTAAACGCTGACTTTGTGTAGAATAATGCATTAAATGCTGTTTAGGAAAAATCCAAGAAAATACTTTTCTTCTTTTTGCTTTTTGGAAATTTGCAGATAGCAGGCAGGTAGGAAAAATGTACGTGTAAAACACCTCTAATTAAAGAGAAAACCTAGACCCCTTGGAAAGAATGCAAGAGAACAGCCAACCTGTTCCACAACTCACAGGTAATAGGGCCATGCGAGTCGCCATCAGGTGGTGGAATCTCCTCCAAACACTCCTAGGACTTTGAAGCATGAGGAACTTTCTAAGATGTCCTCCCAAGATGACACACTTCTATACTCAATAGCTCTAACTATTGTGTTATTCCTTATAAATGATTGTCATTAAAAACAACTGAATGAAAAATTTGTCAAGTAGAGAAGCTTAGCATTAACAAAAAATGGTTTCTTTTAGAATAAGAATAACACCATCTACTTCATGTCTAAGTTTTCCTCCTCCTCTTCCCCAGCTTTTCCTTTCTCCCTTTTGAATACCAAGACAAAACTTGCTTTTAAATTTTGACTCTAGTATTTTTTATTTATATCTGCTTTTAAAGTTTCTTTATGCTTTATTCCTTTCAAAAATAAAATGCAACACATTTTATGTCCCATGTATTACTATGATTGTTAGTTCCATTATTATGTAGTAATAGTTCCTATTTAGCAAAGCTTATGCTTTCCAACAGTGGTATTTCATTGAGAAAACATCTCCAATTGATGTATGCATGATATAGGTTGTGTTCCAAAATTTGCTTTTCCTCTCTATTTATGCCGCAAAAAAATCCTTTTAAAAAGATGAGTTGGACAGGAATTCCTCTGCTCTCTTCGTCTGCTGATGGCCCTCATGGCAACTGCTCAACTTCTAGGAAATGGGGCCATGTGAAGCAACTGGATCCTGTGGCTATGACAGTGTCTCTTCCTAGCTGGCCTCACTTTCATTTTGATCTTGAGAATCAAGATCCCTTACCTCCCACTCTTCCACATAACCCAACTCTCTCCATAGGTTTTGCAAATTGTATTTTTGCTGCGACAATTTGTGCATCTATTATAAATAGTATCAGAAATTAGTTGTGATTATTGATAGTTCTGTTCTCTATTTTAGAGTCTATTTTCTATTGTTCATTTTGAAGATAAACATCTTTTTTTTAAAAGAAAATCTTAGATAATATTTTTGAGAAAGATTAGTAGCCAAATCAGGGCACATTTATGTAGGTTAATTAATTCAGGGTATTTTTTATTTAACTATTCAAGTAATGCCTCAGGGAATTTCCCTTGCATTGACACAACATTTGAAACCAACTAAAACCAAGGTTGTAATGCTAACTATCTTTGGAGGCAGTTAAAAAAACACTGCCTTGTTAGACATTTTGGAGTATTTCCAGTAATATTACAGGCTTTTCCTGACCCAGTTTTAAGTGGATAAGTAATATATTCATAGCAGTGAGAAATTCAGCATATTATGCCTTCTTCTTCCTAACAACTGTTGTTTAAATATATCAAACTTAAGATAGAAAACCATTCTTGCACAGATTAGCCTGAAAATTTAGATGAGGCATGCCTATGCCTTTTAATATGATTAGCCCTTTCTTTGAGTGATTCTAGAAAAGCAGGTTTCCTGTAATGCTGATTAGAAAAGTATTTTAATTACCTTCATATTTGAGGGTAACTTATGTGTCAACAACTGTACCCTGTAACACAGCCTGATCCTCCTGGTGAAATAAACAATTAACAACAGAGACTTAAAAGATATACCAATCTGGGGTCATTTAGTACAGGAATAAACGTCTTTCCATACCATAATAATCTCAGAGGTAGTTGTTATATTTTAGTGTACTTTGAGCACTGGGTTTATGATGATAACCCTGAGCAATCCAGAAAAGTTTTGTATACATATGTTCATTCAATAAGTTATTTACCCAGCTCTACTTTTGTGCAACCTAATTTGCTTATATCTTTGGGATACTTGGATATGAACATGTAATTGCCCACAATCTTGCAATCTTCAAAAGTCCATAATATAGTAAGGGATAGGCCACTTAGATACAAATTATTATGACATAAGAAAGTATATGTGTCCCAGAGAAATACAAACAAAGTAGCTTGGAGTCTCAGAGAAGTGAAAACTGTTCTCACAGGGATAGTTAGAAAAGGGATTCTTAAAGACATTTCATATGATTTTTAAAGGACTTGAAATTTGGACAAGCTGAACTTATAAACTATTTAATTAGTATTAGAATTGTTTCTATTAAAGGGTCTCTGAAAGTTGGCCTGTAGGTTTAGTTACCTGGCAAATCCACACATCAAATAGATAATTCTTTCATTCTTTGGTGATGTTGGATTAGAGATGCTGTTTTACATGTGATTCTTAATGGAAGTTCAGTAGTGTAAAGCTTTAAGGTAATTATATGTAAATATCATGAATTATTTTGAAATGGTTGGCAAGTTAAAGGCTTAACATATCAAGCAATTAAATTATTAATCATAAAGATTTTTTCTAATTGACTTTATTACTGATAATTTCTTGCCATCTGTTTTATTTTATTTTTGCTAGTTTCTGAAAATATTTCAATAAAACTGCTATCTATGTAATTTAAAGTTATTCCTATGTTTGCATGGAAACAATTGTGATCATTTTAATTAAAACACATCTTTACCTCCTAAGACAAACTAACCCACATATCATTCTAATTGGCAAATTAAAAAAAAAAATTGTGGATATAGATAGAGTAAAAAAAATCCTGAAATATTTTATGCCATGGCTACACAGCATCATAGGCTTTTATATGATAAACACCAAATAATGAAAATAGAAACAACCCAATGGCTATCAGAGATGTATCTTAGAAGAGTGTACTTCCCTGGTTCTCTTGAACCAAAATGATTATTCTAAGCAAAATGTTTGAATTGTCCAAAAAACAAACTGTCAATAGGAAGTGTTATTTTAAAGGGTTAATATGAATTTTTGTTTCAGTAATCATAGCATGATTAAAAACTATAAATTGGTGGCAAATAAAGGAGATTGAAAGTCATTTTGTAAGGTGAACTATAAAACTGTGGATATGTCCTTTTCCTCAACTAGAACTTTAAAAAGCAGCTTTTGCCTTATTTCTACTGTATCTAGTCATAAATTATTTTTCTGAGTAATACTGAATTGGATTACAATTTTTGTTATTGGTCAATATCTAGTGAGGGGAGAAACTTCAACAGTTAATTGAACAGAGAGAATTTAATAAGTGAATTGTTAGGAGGTATAAATGTTAATTAGACTGCAGAAAAGGTAAAAAGAGAACACTAAAGTATCATAGTGACGGTAACTACTGGAAGCAGCTACCATCCCAAGGGCTGGAGGAACAATGGAAAGGGTTGAAACGAAAACACTGTAGCGTAGAGGAAAGACCCTAGGAGCTAAAACTCAGGCCTCTGCAGAGGGGCTGATGCTCTGTGGTGCTGGTTTCTGTGGGAGAGGTGATGAAGCTGGTTCTGCTAGTGTTGGTAATATTGGTGATAAGGATTCACTTGCAGTATGGCAAGGACGCTCAGCTCCAGGAGTGAAGAAGAGATGCTAAGGAGGAAGTGTCACCCCACAAAGCAAATATGAAGCAGAGAGGAAGCCACAGGAAAGACGGAGACCCTCTTCAGTATCCCCTATTGTCAGAGTATATATTGACCCAGCTAACAAAGCAGAAATATGACTCACAAAATACCAGCCCCAGCACCACAATATTAAAGTGTAGGAGGGTGTGTTTGAAGTTGGGACAATAGCTTAAAAACTGAAATAATCTATTACCAAAAAGCTGATCTCTACAATGTGGTATTGCATGCCTCGATTTAAAATTATGTTGCTCTTGTTTAGATTTTGTTTCCTTTGAGTTCTGGACCGCATAGTGTTTTCGTAATACTAGGAACACAGAAAAGAAAAGCTACATCTCATGCTCAGTAGGAACTAAATTCCTTTGAAGATCTCTTCAAAGGATTCACTTCCACCAAATATATTTCAAGGTGAATTTTACCAAATGAAGTTATAAGTTTAATTAACAGATAACATTAAGTTACCTTTGAGAAATAGATTTTTATTTTTCCCGATTTCAATTTTTCTTTCTTTCTTTCTCTTGAGACAGGGCTAACAAAATTTTTAAGGGCAAAGACATCTTCACCCCTAATTTATTATCCTTATTGAGAAATAAAATATTTAAACGAAATGTAGAATTGAGGGAAGGTATTCAAGGGAACAAAGAAGAGAGGGAAATATCTTGATATATCTGTAATTATTCTTTCCACAGATTTTCTGGTTCAGAGAGTTTGAGGCTCTAGACATAAAAGAATTGCTTAGGGCGGGTGCGGTGGCTCACACCTGTAATCCCAGCACATTGGGAGGCCGGGGAGGGTGGATCACCTGAGGTCAGAAGTTCAAGACCAGCCTGGCCAACGTGGTGAAACTCTGTCTCTAATAAAAATACAAAAATTAGCCGGGCAAGATGGCAGATGCCTGTAATCCCAGCTACTGGGGAGCCTGAGGCAGGAGAATTGCTTGAACCTGAGAGGTGGAGGTTGCAGTGAGCCGAGATTGTCCCACTGCACTCCAGCCTGGGCAACAGAACGAGACTCTGTCTCAAAAAAAAAAAAAAAAAAAAAAAAGCCCGGCTTATGCCTGTAATCCCAGCACTTTGGGAGGCCGAGGTGGGCAGATCACCTGAGGTCAGGAGTTCGAGACCAGCCTGGCCAAGATGGTGAAACCCCCATCTCTATTAAAAATATAAAAATTAGCTGGGCTAGGTGGTGGGCGCCTGTAATCCCAGCTACTCGGGAGGCTGAGGTAGATTGCTTGAACCTGGGAGGCAGAGGTTGCAGTGAGCCAAGATCGCACCATTGCACTACAGCCTGGGTGACAAGAGCAAAACTCCATCTCAAAAAAAAAAAAAGAAAAGAAAAGAAAAAAACAGAATGGCTTAGATTCAGATTCAGGAAGGCAAACACTACTGCTTAAAGTTATAATAGTTCCAGTAATCCTGCATCAGTGTTCAGATTTGAGTTCTCATGCTTATGGGTCCTAATGTTGACTGCATATGGTTACATTTAAAAAAAATGAGCTAAATATCTGATACCTGCCTTCCTTAAGTTCCAAAGTCAAGCAAAGCTTAACTTTATTAAGGTGTTTCTTTTTTACTTTTAAAGAGAAGAAGAAGAAATTGATGAAGAGGAATTGGAAAGATTGAAGGCAGAGTTAGATGAGAAAAGACAAATAATTGCTACTGTCAAATGCAAACCATGGAAGATGGAGAAGAAAATTGAAGTTCTCAAGTATGGTGCCACTTTTTATAAGTAGAAACACTTTCCCTGATATTGATTTTCTAAATCCTCTGAATATTCCATATATATATATATATATATATATATATATACACACACACACACACATACACACACACACACACACATACACTGTATATATAGTATATGTAATACTATATATATCATTTATATATGACTCATTATATATAATGGTCACAGTCATAAACATGTATATCATATTTCTGCATATATACCCAAATATATGTATATTTACATATATCTGTTTCTTATCACTAGAGAGACTGGGCTAATGATTATAAATTGGAAGCAACTCTGAGAAATTATTTAGAGTCTTTTAAATTCTTTGGTCATCTTTAATCATTTGTTCCTTAAACTGGAGTTTCCTTAGCTTAATACATTTGTTACCATCTCTTTGAAAGAGATAATATATTTGAATTTTACAAGTTTGTGTGGATTGTGCACTCTTGTTTCTCTTCAGGGCCCTGGTCTCAAATGAACTTTTCATGTGACAGCTTACATTAAAGCACAGAGAAGATGCTAGGCCAACAGAATAGTAAATAGGATTCCAATTAAAGGTTATGCTAATAGCTATTCCCCGAACATGTCAGTGACCCAATTTCAGTCTTATGTTGATGCTAATGTGGACGCGAACGCAGTCAGAGCACACAGATTTATAAACTCTTCATATGAAAAGTCAAATGATTATCCTATTCTGGGGGATGGGAAGATTCACCCCTGAGGATCACACTATATTTCCCTGCCCTGGTGGTTGGGAGAGGAGGAAAGGGCAGGGAAAAGGGAAACTGTTTGTGATAACAGCCATGTTTGCATCTCCTAGTTTTGCCAAAGATTGCATTCTTCCATAAATCATTTTTATAAATAGTAGTAAGTTTTAAAAACTATCCCTTCACAAGCCTATTTAACTAGTAATGCTGTAAAAATGATAGTATAGTATTATTGTCTCTGATGATGAAAACAAGAACTGAAATAGCTATCAGGATAATTCACTTCTAGTCTTGGTTCTGCAAGAGCTTGTGTGCTATTTAAAGGTATCGCTTAATCTCCTGAAGCCTTAGTTACCTCATATCCAAAATAAAGAAAGATATTCTATATCTTCTCTGTGCGCTTGAAGCGTAGCCATCATTTATAGTATTTTTGTTTTGTTTTGTAGAGTAAGGTTTTCCAAGTTCTAAACAATGGTTTTCCCAGAAAACTTTTGCAACACCACAAAATTGCAGTCTGGGAACTCCCTTTGCATGCTCATGTACACATCCATCATAAATGAAGGCAAAGGCAAGCAGCATCCTACGTTCCACAGAGCTACAAATTTTGTGTATGCATGCTCATGTGTCTGTACATTAAAATAATTTTCATTTAGCGAAGTGATAATGATGCTAAATTATAGGTTTTAAAAATATTCTTACCTGGCAAAATAGAAGTTTGGCAACCCTATGTGGGCCTCTCAAATATATTTGAAATATTAATGACCCATAAAGTCCCCAAACTTGGGAACTTCAGATAACTATATATAGAAAGTTTAAAATTGGAGCAATATTGTGAACTTCCAAAATATATGATTGAATAAAAATTCCAAGGACTACCTTTCCTTTCCAACTGCATGGAGGTGTAGAAATACCCCCCTGGTCTTTGCCCGTATCTCTCGTGCAGGATCGTGGAGGAGACAGCAGCTTCAGATTTGAGTTAGGATCTCAGATCTTCCATTTAATAGCTGTGCACATTTGATCGAGTTGTGTAGTCTCTCTACACAACTCAGGTTCCTTATGAAATTGTACCTTATTGACAGAGTTTTTGGAATTATAAAATGAGATAATTTATGTAAAACATGTTGCCAGAACTTGGCACATAGCTGGGAAACCTAAGTTGTAGTTATTACTTCATCTCAGAACAGACTTGATGCCCAATTCCTGAAGGGTGACAAGAGAGATGGAGAGAATTTGGGACCTGGCAAGTCTAGGTGGGAGCAGACCTAGTCACAATCAGACCCCAGAAGCCTTGTGGGATGGTGACACATTGGTACCAGTTTGGATAAACAATAAGATTTTGAGGATGCAACAGAAGGAAGTAAGGCATTTGACAATTTAGCAAAATCCAGGACCAGACCGTTCTCAGATCTTCTAAAACATAGCCATAGTTCTGTGGCAGATTTCAAGGTCTCAGGCCTTGGTCTGGAGTCCAAGAGTTAAGCAAATTTTAGCAATGGGGAGAGATAGGCATTAGCATTGGAAAGAAGGACAATACGAGCCCTTAGTACGAAAGCAGACACTGACAATAAGGAGACCGCACCTGACTCTAATCTAGACATAGGTTTTTTTATTTGGCCCACATGTGTTTTGTTTCTTTTTCTTTTATTTTTTTTAACCGTGGCAATATATACAATACAAAATTCACCATTTTAACCATGAAATCGATTTTCTTTATCATAATTTTTTTCAATATTTTTAAAAATTTAAATTACTTTTTTTTTCTCGAGACAGGGTCTTAACTCTGTTGCCCATGCTGGAGTGCAGTGGTGCTATCTTAGCTCACTGCAGCCTCAATCTCCTGGGAGCAAGGGATCCTTCTGCCTCAGTCTACCACGTACCTGGGACTATATGTGCACACTACCATGTTTGGCTAATTTTTTCTTTTTGTGTAGGGATGGGGTCTTACTATGTCGCCCAGGCTGATCTCGAACTCCTGGCCTCAAGCCATCTTCCTACCTCAGCCTCCCAAAGTGCTGAGATTATAGGCATGAGCCACTGCACCCAGCCTCAATCTTTTAAAAGTGGGAGTAAAATATTCAGATGTTCAGCTTTTCATGAACAAGTGGAAGATTTGGTCCTACATTCTTCCATCACAGTAACAGCTAGGACTAAGCACCTGGCCTCTATTAATGGGGCATTCCTTTTTCAATTTGCACCATTCTCAAACAATCCATATTACTTGTTTATGCTGCTTGGCTGGACCCTGTAGACATTCAGATTTGCTGCCTCCTACCAGTGCAGCTGGGGAACAAGCTAGGCATGTTACCAAGACGGTGATTCAGATCTTCAAAGCCAAAGTCAGCTCACAGAATGGAAGCACAAATTTAGTCCCAGAAAAGAAACAACTGTGGCTTCTCACATGTCAGCAAGGCTCACAGTCTGGTGATGATTTTCCATGGCCAGAAGTGGTTTCTGCCTTGTGGCCGCACCTATGGGTTCCAGCTGGTGCCATGGCCGGGGCCAGCCTAATTCTTTTGGTTTCAGTCTCCGTGATGAAGTTGTTGGTACTTAAGTGCCTGACTTATCTCTCTTTGAATGCTCTATTGAGCTTTTTTTGAATGTTCTATTGAGCTTCTCCCCACCAGATTCCAACTACATTATTAGAACAAGTGGTCAGTACTTCACAGAACGTGCAGGTAAATGTTTCTCTACCCCAATGCCACCAATGCTTGGGAGTGAGGCAGCTTTCCCTCTACCCTTTATTTCTTTCAGAGACATCTAACTTTGAGAGCGTGTTTCTAAGGATTATGTTATTAATATTCCCCAAATTAGCCTGCATCATCGCTCCTGGCTAAGTCTGTGAAACCCAAGATACTAAGCTCAGTGTAACTGAAAGAGATGTTTTGATCACAGCTTTGAATCTGTGCCTGGGTTCGAAGCCTTCTTGTTCTGGACTTGGAGAAAGTTTTGAAACTTCTAAAAGATATTTTAGACAGTGTCAGGGTTTTAAGATATATTTTAGAGTAAGCCTCAGGAATGGCAACTTATGGTTCTGAGGGTGTTATGGGAGACTCAGAGATAGTTCCCACATTTTTAAAGAGCATCTACCATTAGGAACCCGAGCACACTCAGGGCTTAGGATCAAAAGATGGTTAATATAAGTGGTTGCTACATAGGCAGGCAGCTCTAGGAATTGGTTGTGAATCCATATTAATCCTCAAACATGGCTCAGGAGCTAGAGTTCAGCATTTTCAAGATAGCAGAATTGGCTCTATACAGCTGAAAGGAAGCCATCTCCTTTTCATCATCACTGTGGAAATTGTGATTTTCATTCTATGTTTTATTGTATATCAATACAATTTCACACATTCCTGTAGCCTTAAACCTACTGAATGATAATCTCTTGGTGGAAAGGCAGGTGTGTCTGGCCCAGACCAGAAATGTATATTTTTATTTTTTGATCTAAAAATTACTGATATATAGTCAGAATGAAAGCTGCTGTTTTCAATTCTGAGAGACAGAAAGCTCCACTAAACAGAATACTCAGCTCTACAGATGATTTATACAATGAGGAAGAGTGTGTGTAGGGAGTTGGAGGGGGGTAAGGGAAACAGTGTCATATTTTCCAATTATTTGAAAGTCAATTTCTATATTTTATTAATCACATCATTTAAAAATATCCATTAATGAGAATACTAAGTATAATCTGTTTTTAAGCTGTTCATGGGTTTAATTCAGAGGCTGTATGACTAGATCTTTCCTACCTATAAGAGGTCGCAGCACTTACCTGATAGCAGCCACCACAAGTGAAATAAAATACCCAGGTAGAAAGTAACAGGTCTACTTATTACTTGTCTTGAAACCTAAGACTTTTAACTGTATCAGAACATTATATGTGGTAGATTGAAAGTGCTCATGACTAAACCTAAATAAGCAACCACCTTATTTTGTTACAGTAGAATAGGTTTTAGACTGAAAATTGAGACTTGGACTTTGAGCTAAGTGCTTCCTATAACTTCTCTTTGAACCTCCATTTATTCATTTATAAAACAGATAAATTGGATTGTGGACCATGGTCTTCAAACTGCTATCCTCCAAAGTCAAGCAGTTTGGTGAAATCAAATCAGGGCAAAGGAGGCAGAGGTCGCAGGGAGAGCTACTGGGCCACAATGCCGGCTTCAAAAACAGACCTATGGTTTCTCTCTTCTACACAGTGTACTTCCATATAAAGCATTGATTGGAAGAAAGAATGCTTCTGTGGCTATTAAAATAAAAAACAGTTTTAAAAACCCACTTAGCTGGATATTTAAAGAAACTTATTTTGGAGAAGGGACAGTTCTAACATTTCATGAGTCTACAAATTAGGATACAGAAACACTCCAAGTATACTTTTGCAGGGAATTGGCTTTTGGATAGACACCATTTTAAAATGATTTATTTTGATAACAAAAATGTTTATTTAGCTATTATACTGACTACTTTAATTTCTGAGCTTTGTAGTACCCTGACCTATTGTTTCTGGGAGTTGTCCATTGGCTGGCTAGGCCTGGTGATTTATTAATGAGACACCCAGTAAAGCCAGGAAAGTTATCCTCAGATTTCATTCACACTTAAACAGGTGCTTCAAACTGTCAGCTGGCCATTAAGGTAACATTCCTCCTTACTCAATCTCCCTTGATCTTTTCACACTTCTTTTCATTTGTTTGTTTGTTTTTTATTTTGTTTTATTTTTTAGTTGGGAGAATGAATACATTTTTAGGAAAGTGAAAACAGACCATGGTTGATTTCCTCTAATGGAGCTGTTGGGAAAACTTTGGGAAAACTATTTATTTGGCTTCCATTCTCACCCTTTCTCTCCTGTTTTCTTGTAGCTTAAGATTTTCACAGGCAAGAATCATGGTTTATACTTTAGTTTTTCTCTCATCTGTCATTGTGAAGGAATAAAAGATGCTATACAAGAGGACATTTAAGCGTGTGAACACACCCACCAACATACCCTCAAACCATTCTGGATTATTTTCTTTTTTAAATTTTATATTTCCATAAGTTTTTGGGGAACAGGTGGTATTTGGTTAAATGAGTAAGTTCTTGGGGAACAGGTGGTATTTGGTTACATGAGTAAGTTCTTCTGTGATGATTTATTAGATTTTGGTGCACCCATCACCTGAGCAGTATACACTGAACCCAATTTGTAGTCTTTTATCCCTCATCCCAATCCCACCCTTTCCCCAGAGTCCCCAAAGACCACTGTATCATTCTTATGCATTTCCGTCCTCATAGCTTAGCTTCCACTTACGAATGAGAACATATGATATTTGGTTTTCCATTCCTGAATTACTTCACTTAGAATAATAGTCTCCAGTTGTATCCAGGTTGCTGTGAATGCCAATATTTCTTTCTTTTTCTTTTTCTTTCTTTCTTTTTTTTTTTTTTGAGATGGGATCTTGCTCTGTCACCCAGGCTGTAGTGCAGTGGCGTGATCTCGGCTCACTGCAACCTTTACCTGCCAGGTTCAAGCGATTTTCCTGCCTCAGCCTCCTGAGTAGCTGGGATTACAGGCATGTGCCACAACACCCAGCTAATTTTTGTATTTTTAGTAGAGATGGGGTTTTGCCATGTTGGCCAGGCTGGTCTTGAACTCCTGACTTCGGGTGATCTGCCCACCTTGGCCTCCCAAAGTGCTGGGATTACAGGCGTAAGCCACCATGCCAGGCCCAAATGCCAATATTTCACTCCTTTTTATGGCTGAGTAGTATTCCATCATGTATATATACCACAATTTCTTTATCCATTCATTGACTGATGGACATTTGGTCTGGATTCATATTTCTGCAATTGTGAATTCTGCTGCTATAAACATGCATGTGTAAGTATCCTTTTTGTTTAATGACTTCTTTTCCTCTGGGTAGATACCCTGTAGTGGGATTGCTGGGTCAAATGGTAGTTCTACTTTTAGTTCTTTAAGGAATCTCCACCCTGTTTTCCATATTGGTTGTACTAGTTTACATTCCCACCAGCAGTGTAGAAGTGTTCCCTTTTCACCACATCCATGCCAACATCTATTATTTTTTGATGTTTTGATTATGGCCATTCTTGCAGGTGTAAGGTGGTATTACATTGTGGTTTTGATTTCCATTTTCCTGATCATTAGTGATGTTGAGCATTTTTTCATAAGTTTTTTGGTCGTTTGTATATCTTCTTTTGAAAATTGTCTATTCATGACCTTAGCCCACTTTTTGATAGGACTGTTTGTATTTTTCTTGCTAATTTGTTTGAGTTCTTTGTAGATTCTGGATATTAGTCTTTGTCAGATGTAGAGATTGTGAAGACCTTCTCCCTCTCTGTGGGTTGTCTGTTTACTCTGCTGACTGTTCCCTTTGCTGTGCAGAAGCTCTTTAGTTTAATTAAGTCCCACTTATTTATCTTTGTTTTTGTTGCATTTGCTTTGGGGTTCTTGGTCATGAAGTCTTTGCCTAAGCCAATGTCTAGAAGGTTTTTTCTGATGTTATCTTCCAGAATTTTTATAGTTTCAAGTCTTAGATTTAAGTCCTTGATCCATTTTGAGTTGATTTTTGTATAAGGTGAGAGATGAAGATCCAGTTTTATTCTCCTGCATGTGGCTAGCCAATTATCCCAGCAACATTTGTTGAATGAATAGGGTGTCTTTTCCCCACATTATGTTTTTGTTTGCTTTGTCAAAGATCAGTTGGCTGTAAGTATTTGGATTTATTTCTGGGTTCTCTATTCTATTCCATTGGTCTATGTGCCTATTTTTATACCAGTAGCCTGCTGTTTTGGTGACCATAGCCTTATAGTATAGTTTGAAGGAAGGTAATTGGATGCTTCCAGATTTGTTCTTTTTGCTTAGTCTTGATTTGGCTATGTGGCCTCTTTTTTGGCTCCATATGAATTTTAGAATTTTTTTTCTAGTTCTATGAAGAATGATGGTGGTATTTTGATGAGAATTGCATTGAATTTGTAGATTACTTTAGGTAGTATGGTCATTTTCACAATAGTGATTCTACCCAACCACATTAGCATGGATGTATTTCCATTTGTTTGTGTCATCTGTGATTTATTTCAGCCATGTTTTGTAGTTTTCCTTGTAGAAGTATTTCACCTCCTTGGTTAGGTATAATCCCAAGTACTTTTTTTTTTTTCCTGTGGCTATTGTAAAAGGGGTTGAATAGTTGATTTGATTCTCAGCTTGGTCACTGTTGGTAAACAGCAGAGCTACTGATTTGTGTACATTAATTTTGTATCCTGAAACTTTGCTGAATTCATTTATTAGTTCCAGGAGCTTTTTGGAGGAGTCTTCAGGGTTTTCTGGGTATATGATCACATCATCAGCAAACAGTGACAGTTTCACCTCTTTACCAATCTGGATGCCCTTTATTTCTTTCTCGTGTCTGATTGGTCTGGCTAGTACTATGTTGAATAGTAGTGAGAGTGGGCATCCTCGTCTTGTTCCAGTTCTCAGAGGGAATGCTTTCAACTATTCCCTGTTCAGTATTATGTTGGCTGTATGTTTGTCATAGATGGCTTTTATTACATTGAGGTACGTCCCTTGTATGCCGATTTTGCTGAGGGTTTTAATCAAAATGGGATGCTGGTTTTTGTCAAATGCTTTTTCTGTGTCTATTTTTTTTTCGGGGGGGTGGGTGTTTAAGAGCAGAAAGTTTAATAGGCAAAAGAAAGAAGAGAAAACCACCCCCATGCAGAGGGAGGGGGATCCTCTCTTGCTGCATCTATTGAGATGATCATGTCATTTCTGTTTTAATTCTGTTTATGTGTTGTGTCACATTTATTTACAAGTGTATGTCAAACTATCCCTGCATCCATGGTATGAAATTCACTTGATCATAGTGGATTATCTTTTTGATATGGTGTTGGATTTGGTTAGCTAGTATTTTGTTAAGGATTTTTGCATCTATGTTCATCAGGGATATTGGTCTGTGGTTTTCTTTTTTTGTTTTGTTCTTTCCTGGTTTTGGTATTAGGGTGATACTGGTTTCATAGAATGATTTAGGGAGTACTCCCTCTTTCTCTTTCTTGTGGAATAGTGTCAATAGGATTGAATGTCTGATAGAATTCAGCTGTGAATCTGTCTGGTCCTGGACTTTTTTTTGTTGGTAATTTTTAAATTACTATTTCAATTTCATTGCTTGTTATTGGTCTGT
Organism: Homo sapiens; assembly: GCF_000001405.40. Taxonomy (NCBI): domain Eukaryota; kingdom Metazoa; phylum Chordata; class Mammalia; order Primates; family Hominidae; genus Homo; species Homo sapiens. The sequence goes on from NC_000009.12 coordinate 72,709,540, forward strand.
TCAGGGTTTCTAATTCTGATTCTAGCTAAATCCTCCTGATTTAAGCTAGGAGGATTGTATCTTTGCAGGAATTTATTCATCTCTTCTAGGTTTTCTAGTTTATGTGCATAAAGGTGTTCATAGTAGCCTTGAGTGATCTTTTGTATTTCTGTGGTGTTGGCTGTAATATCTCCTATTTCATGTCTAATAGAGCTTATTTGGATCTTCTCTCTTCTTTGCTTCATTAATCTTGCTAATCGTCTATCAATTTTATTTATCTTTTCGAAGAACCAGCTTTTTGTTCAATTTATCTTTTGTATTTTTGTTGTTGTTTCAATTTCATTTAGTTCTGCTCTGATCTTTGTTATTTCTTTTCTTCTACTATTTGGGTTTGGTTTGTTTTTCTAGTTCCTTGAGGTGTTACCTTAGGTTGTCTATTTGTGCTCTTTCAGACTTTTTGGTGTAGGCATTTAATGCTATGAACTTTTAGCACCACCTTTGATGTATCCCAGCAGTTTTGATAGGTTGTGTCACTATTATTGTTCAGTTCAAAGAATTTTTTCATTTCCATCTTGATTTCATTGTTGACCCAACAATCATTCAGGAGCATGTACTTTAATTTCCATGTATTTGCATGGATTGGAGGATTTCTTTTGATTTCCAATTTTATTCCACTGTGGTCTAAGAGAGTACTTGATACAATTTCAGTTTTCTTAAATTTATTGAAACTTGTTTTCTGGCCTGTCATATGGTTTATCTTGGAGAAAGTTCCATGCACTGATGAATGGAATGTATACTCTGTGGTTGTTGGGTAGAATATTCTGTAAATATCTGTTGGGTCCATTTGTTCTAGGTATAGTTTTAATCCATTGTTTCTTTGTTGACTTTCTGTCTTGATGACCTGTCTAGTGCTGTCAGTGGAGTATTGAAGTCCCCCACTATTATTGTGTTGCTGTCTATCTCATTTCTGAGGTCTAGTAGTAATTGTTTTATAAATTTGGGAGCTCCAGTGTTAGGTGCATATTTATTTAGGATTATGTTTTCCTGTTGAACAAAGCCTTTTATCATGATTTAGTGTCCCTCTTTGTATTTTTTAACTGCTGTTGCTTTAAAGTTTGTTTTGTCTGATATAAGAATAGCTACTCCTGGTCACTTTTGGTGTCCATTTGCATGGAATGTAATTTTCCACCCTTTTACCTCAACTTTATGTGAGTCCTTATGTGTTAGTTGAGTCTCTTGAAGACAGCAGATACTTAGTTGGTGAATACTTTTTTTTTAAATTATACTTTACATTCTGGGGTACATGTGTGGAATGTGCAGGTTTGTTACATAGGTATACACATGCCATGGTGGTTTGCTGCACCTGTCAACCCGTCATCCACATTGGGTATTTCTCCTAATGCTGTCCCTCCCTTAGCTCCGCATCCCCAAACAGGCCACAGTGTGTGTACATGTGTTCTCATTGTTCAACTCCCACTTATGAGTGAGAACATGTGGTGTTTAGTTTTCTGTTCTTGTGTTAGTTTGCTGAGAATGATGGTTTTCAGCTTCATCCGTGTCCCTGCAAAAGACATTAACTCATCCTTTTTTATGGCTGCATAGTATTCCATGGTGTATATGTGCCACATTTTCTTTATCTAGTCTATCATTGATGGGCATTTGGGTTGGTTCCAAGTCTTTGCTATTATGAATAGTGCTGCAGTAAACATACGTGTGCATGTGTCTTTACAGTAAAATGATTTATAATCCTTTGGGTATATACCCAGTAATGGGATGGCTGGGTCAAATGGTATTTCTAGTTTCAGATCCTTGAGGAATTGCCACACTGTCTTCCACAATGGTTGAACTGCTTTAGACTCCCACCAACAGTGTAAAAGCATTCCTATTTCTCCACATCCTCTCCAGCACCTGTTGTTTCCTGACTTTTTAATGATCACCATTCTAACTGGCGTGAGATGGTATCTCATTGTGGTTTTGATTTGCATTTCTCTAATAACCAGTGATGATGAGCCTTTTTTTCATATGTTGGTTGGCTGAATAAATGTCTTCTTTTGAGAAATGTCTGTTCATGTCCTTTGCCCACTTTTTGATGGGGTTGTTTGATATTTCTTGTAAATTTGTTTAAGTTCTTTGTAGATTCTGGATATTAGCCCTTTGTCAGATGGATAGATTGCAAATATTTTCTCCCATTCTGTAGATTGCCTGTCCAATCTGATAATAGTTTCTTTTCCTGTGCAGAAGCTCTTCAGTGTAATTAGATCCCATTTGTAAATTTTGGCTTTTGTTGCCATTGCTTTTGGTGTTTTAGTCATGAAGTCTTTGCCCATGCCTATGTCCTGAATGGTATTGCCTAGGTTTTCTTCTAGGGTTTTTACGGTTTTAGGTTTTAGGTTTAAGTCTTTAATACATCTTGAGTTAATTTTTGTATAAGGTGTAAGGAAGGAATCCAGTTTCAGCTTTCTGCATATGGCTAGCCAGTTTTCCCAACACCATTTATTGAATAGGGAATCCTTTCCCCATTGTTTGTTTTTGTCAGGTTTGTCAAAGATCAGATGGTTGTAGATGTATGGCGTTATTTCTGAGGCCTCTGTTCTGTTCCATTGGCCTATATATCTGTTTTGGTACCAGTACCATGCTGTTTTTGCTACTGTAGCCTTGTAGTATAAGTTTGAATCAGGTAGTGTGATGCCTCCAGCTTTGTTCTTTATGCTTAGGATTGTCTTGGCTATGCAGGATATTTTTTGGTTCCATATGAAATGTAAAGTAGTTTTTTTCAAGTCTGTGAAGAAAGTCAATGGTAGTTTGATGGGGATAGCATTGAACCTACAAATTACTTTGGGCAGTATAGCCATTTTCACGATATTGATTCTTCCTATCCATGAACATGGAATGTTTTTCCATGTTTGTGTCCTCTCTTATTTCCTTGAGCAGTGGTTTGTAGTTCTCCTTGAAGAGGTCCTTCACATCCCTTGTAAGTTAGATTCCTAGGTATTTTATTCACTTTGTAGCAATTGTGAATGGGAGTTCACTCATGATTTGGCTCTCTGTTTATCTGTTTTTGATGTATAGGAATACTTGTGATTTTTGTACATTGATTTTGTATCCTGAGACTTTGTTGAAGTTGCTAATCAGCTTAAGGAGATTTTGGGCTGAGACAATGGGGTTTTCTAAATATATAATCATGTCATCTGCAAACAGAGACAATGTGACTTCCTCTTTTCCTAACTGAATACCCTTTATTCCTTTCTCTTGCCTGATTGCCCTGGCCAGAACTTCCAATACTATGTTGAATAGGAGTGGTGAGAGAAGACATCCTTGTCTTATGCTGGTTTTCAAAGGGAATGCTTATGCTTCCAGTTTTTGCCCATTCAGTATGATATTGGCTGTGGATTTGTCATAAATAGCTCTTATTATTTTGAGATACATTCCTTCAATACCTAGTTTATTGAGAGTTTTTAGCATGAAGGGCTGTTGAATTTTGTTGAAGGCCTTTTCTGCATCTATTGAGATAATCATGTGGTTTTTGTGATTGGTTCTGTTTATGTGATGGATTACATTTATTGATTCGCATATGTTGAACCAGCCTTGCATCCCCAGGATGAAGCCAGCTTGATCATGTTGGATAAGCTTTTTGATATGCTACTGGATTCAGTTTGCCAGTATTTTATTGAAGATCTTTGCATTGATGTTCATCAGGGATATTGGCCTGAAATTTTCTTTTTTTGTTGTGTCTCTGCCAGGTTTTGCTATTAGGATGATGCTGGCCTCATAAAATAAGTTAAGGAGGATTCCCTCTTTTTATATTGTTTGGAATAGTTTCAGAAGGAATGATACCAGATCCTTTTAGTACTTCTGGTGGAATTCATCTGTGAATTTGTCTGGTCCTGGACTTTTTGGTTGGTAGGCTATTAATTGCTGCCTCAATTTCAGAACTTGTTATTGGTCTAGTCAGGGATTCAACTTCTTCCTGGTTCAGTTTTAGGAGGGTGTATGTGGCTAGAAACTTATCCATTTCTTCTAGATTTTCTAGTTTATTTGCATAGAGGTATTTATAGTATTCTCTGATGGTAGTTTGTATTTCTGTGGGATCGGCGGTGATATACCCTTTATCATTTTTTATTGCATCTACTTGATTTTTCTCTCTTTTCTTCTTTATTAGTCTGGCTAGTTGTTGATCTTTCAAAAAAGCCAGCTCCTGGATTCATTGATTTTTTTTTTTTTTGAAGGGCTTTTTGTATCTCTGTCTCCTTCAGTTCTGCTCTGCTCTTAGTTACTTCTTGCCTTCTGTTAGCTTTTAAATTTTTTTGCTCTTGCTTCTCTAGTTCTTTTAATTGTGATTTTAGGGTGTCGATTTTAGATCTTTCTTTCTTTCTCTTGTGGGCTTTTAGTGCTATAAATTTCCCTCAACATACTGCTTTCAATGTGTCCCAGAGATTCTGGTACATTGTTTCTTTGTTCTCATTGGCTTCAAAGAACATCTTTATTTGTGCCTTAATTTCATTATTTACCCAGTAGTCATTTAGGAACAGGTTGTTCAGTTTCGATGTAGTTGTGAAGTTTTGAGTGAGTTTCTTAATCCTGAGTTCTAATTTGATTGCACTGTGGTCTGAGAGACTGTTATGATTTCCATTCTTTTGCATTTGCTGAGGAGTGTTTTACTTCCAATTACGTGGTCAATTTTAGAATAAGTGCGATGTGGTGCTGAGAAGAGTGTATATTCTGTTTATTTCGGGTGGAGAGTTCTTTAGATATCCATTAGGTCTGCTTGGCCCAGAGCTAAGTTTAAGTCCTGGATATCCTTGTTAATTTTCTGTCTCGTTGATCTGTCTAATATTGACAGTGGGGTGTTAAAGTCTCATGCTATTATTGTGTGAGGGTCTAAGCCTCTTTGTAGGTCTCTAAGGACTTGCTTTATGAATCTGGGTGCTCCTGTATTGGGTGCATATATATTTAGGATAGTTAGCTCTTCTTGTTGCATTGATCCCTTTACCATTATGTAATGCTCTTCTTTGTCTTTTTTTGATGTTTGTTGGTTTAAAGTCTGTTTTGTCGGAGACTAGGATTGGAACCTCTGCTTTTTTTTGCTGTCCATTTGCTTGGTAAATATTCCTCCATCCCTTTATTTTGAGCCTATGTGTGTCTTTGCACGTCAGATGGGTCTCCTGAATACAGCACACCAATGGGTCTTGACTCTTAATCCAATTTGCCAGTCTGTGTCTTTTAATTGGGGCATTTGGCCCATTTACATTTAAGGTTAATATTGTTATGTGTGATTTGATCCTGCCATTATGATGCTGGATGGTTATTTTGCTCATTAGTTGATGCGATTTCTTCATAGCGTTGATGGTCTTTACAATTTAGTATGTTTTTGCAGCGGCTGGTACTAGTTGTTCCTTTCCATGTTTAGTGCTTCCTTCATGAGCTCTTGTAAGGCAGGCCTGGTGGTGACAAAATCTCTCAGCATTTCCTTGTCTGTAAAGGATTTTATTTCTCCTTCACTTATGAAGCTTAGTTTGGCTGGATATGAAATTCTGGGTTGAAAATTATTTTCTTTAAGAATGTTGAATATTGGCACTGTCTTCTGGCTTGTAGGGTTTCTGCAGAGAGATCTACTGTTAGTCTGATGGGCTTCCCTTTGTGGGTAACCCAACCTTTCTCTCTGGCTGCCCTTAATATTTTTTCTTTCATTTCAACCTTGGTAAATCTGATGATTACATGTATTGGGGTTGCTCTTCTTGAGCAGTATCTTTGTGGTGTTCTCTGTATTTCCTGAATTTGAATGTTGGCTTGCCTTGCTAGCTTGGGGAAGTTCTCCTGGATAATATCCTGAAGAATGTTTTCCAACTTGGTTCCATTCTCCCCATCACTTTCAGGTACACCAATCAAACATAGATTTGGTCTTTTCACATGATCCCATATTTCCTGGAGGTTTTGTTCATTTCTTTTCACTGTTTTTTATCTAATCTTGTCTTCTTGCTTTATATCATTGAATTGATCTCCAATCTCTGATAGCCTTTCTTCTGCTTGATCGATTCGGCTATTCATACTCGTGTATGTTTCATGAAGTTCTCGTGCTGTGTTTTTCAGCTCCATCAGGTCATTTATGTCCTCTAAACTGGTTATTTCAGTTAGCAATTTGTCTAACCTTTTTTCAAGGTTCTTAGCTTCTTTTCATTGGGTTAGAACATGGTCCTTTAGCTCGGAGGAGTTTGTTATTACCCACCTTCTAAAGCCTACTTCTGTCAATTCGTCAAACTCATTCTCCATCCAGTTTTGTTCGCTTGCTGGCAAGGAGTTGTGATCCTTTGGAGGAGAAGAGGCATTCTGGTTTTTGGAATGTTCAGCCTTTTCGCACTGGTTTCTCCCCATCTTCGTGGATTTATCTACCTTTGGTCTTTGAAGTTGGTGACCTTCGGCTGGGGTCTCTGAGTGGTCCTTTTTGTTGATGTTGATACTATTCCTTTCTGTTTGTTAGTTTTCCTTCTAACCATCAGGCCCCTCTGCTGCAGGTCTGCTGGAGTTTGCTGGAGGTCCACTCCAGACCCTGTTCACTTGGGTATCACCGGCAGAGGCTGCAGAACAGCAAAGATTGCTACCTGTTCCTTCCTCTGAAAGCTTTGTCCCAGAGGGACATCCACCAGATACCAGCCAGAGCTCTCCTGTATGAGGTGTCTGTCAGCCCCTACTGGGAGGTGTTTCCCAGTCAGTATACCTGGGGGTGAGGGACTCACTTGAGGAGTCACTGTGTCCCTTATCAGAGCTGGAACCCAGTGTTGGGAAATCTGCTGCTCTCTTCAGAGCTGCCACACAGGGCTGTTTAAGTCTGCTGAGGTTGCACCCACAAACTCCCCTTCCCCCAGGTGCTCTGTCCCAGGAAGGTGGGGGTTTTACCTATGAGTCCCTGACTGGGGCTGCTGGCTTTTTTTCAGAGATGCCCTGGCCACAGAGGAGGGAATCTAGAGAGGCAGTTTGGGTGCAGTGTCCTTACTGAGCTGTGGTGAGCTTCGTCCAGTTTGAACTTCCTGGCAACTTTGTGTACACTGTGAGGGTAAAACCCCCTACTCAAGCCTCAGCAATGGCAGACGTCCCTCCCCCCACCAAGCTCGAGCATGCCAGATCGAGCTCAGATTGCTGTGCTGGCAGCGAGAATTTCAAGCCAGTGGATCTTAGCTTGCTGGGCTCCGTGGGAGTGGGACCCACTGAGCCAGACCACTTGGCTCCCTGGCTTCAGCCCCCTTTCCAGGGGCGTGAATGGTTCTGTCTCACTGACATTCCAGGCACCACTGGGGTATGAAAAAACAACTCCTGCGGCTAGCTCTGTGTCTGCCCAAACGGCAGCCCAGTTTTGTGTTGGAAACCCAGCACCAGGGCCCTGGTGGCGTGGGAACTGGAGGGAATCTCCTGGTCTGCAGGTTGTGAAGACCATGGGAAAAGTGCAGTATCTGGGCCGGTGTATGTGGTACAGTCCATAGTGGCTTCCCTTGGCTAGGAGAGGGAGTTCCCTGATCCCTTGCACTTCCTGGGTGAGGCAACGCCCCACCCTACTTTGGCTTGCCCTCCTTGGGCTGCATCCACTGTCCAACCAGTCCCAATGAAATGAACTGGGTACCTCAGTTGGAAATGCAGAAATCACCCACCTTCTGCATCGATCTTGCTGAGAGCTGCAGACTGGAGCTGTTCTTGTTTTGCCATCTTGCCAGCAAATCGGTGAATTGTTATGTATTCTGCAATTCTATATCTTTTAAGTGGAGCATTTAGGCCATCTGCATTCAATGTTAGTATTGAGATGTGAGGTACTATTCTATTCATCATACTATCTGTTGCCTGAATACCTTGGTTTTTTATTTATTTACTTATTTATTGTATTTTTGTTTTAATGGGTCTTGTGAGACTCATGATTTAGAGATTCTGTTTTGATGTGTTTCCATGGTTCGTTTCAATATTTAGAGCTCCTTTCAGCAGTTCTTATAGTGCTGGCTTGGTAGTGGCAAATTCTCTTGGCCTTTGTCTGAAAAAGACTGTATCTTTCCTTCATTTATGAAGCTTAGGATACAAAACTGTTGGCTGATAATTGTTTTGTTTAAGGAGGATAAAAATAGGACCCCAGTCCCCTCTAGCCTGTAGGGTTTCTGCTGAGAAATCTGCTGTTACTCTGATAGATTTTCCTTTATAGGCTACCTGGTGCTTTTGCCTCACAGCTCTTAAGATTTTTCCCTCTGTCTTGACTTTAGATAACCTGATAACTATAGGTTTAGGCAATGATCTTTTTGCAATGAATTTCCCAGGTGTTCGTTGAACTTCTTGTATTTGGATGTCTACATCTCCAGCAAGGCTGAGGAAGTTTTCCTCTATTATTCCCCCAAATATGTTTTCCAAACTTAGATTTCTCTTCTTCCTTAGGGACTCCACTTATTCTTAGGTTTGGTCATTTAACATAATCCCAAACTTCTTGGAGGCTTTATTCATTTTTTAAAATTCTTTTACTTTCCAGTACATTTTGCATTTCTCTGTGTTCTTTACTTCCTGAAGTAGTGATTGTTTTATATTTATGCTATCTATTTCACTGAAGATTTCTCCCCTCATATCTTGTATCATATTTTTTTATTTCCTTAAGTTGGACTTCACCTTTTTCTGGTGCCTCCTTGATTAGCTTACTACTCGACCTTCTGAATTTTTTTTTCTGGCAATTCAGGGATTTCATATTGGTTTGGATCCATTGCTGGTGAGCTATTGTGATTTTTTGATGATGTTAAAGAACATTATTTTGTCATATTACCAGAACTGTGTTTCTGGCTCCTTCTTATTTGGGTAGGCTATTTCAGAGGAAAGATCTGAAGCTCAAGGCTGCTGTTCAGATTCTTTTGTCCCATGGGGTGTTCCCTTGATGTAGTACTCTCCCCCTTTTCTTAGGAATGTGGCTTCCTGAGAGCCAAACTGTAGTGATTGTTATTTGTCTTTTGGATCTAGCCACCCAGTGGAGCTACTGGTCTCTGGGCTGGCACTGGGGGATGTCTGCACAGAGTCCTGTGATGTGAACCATCTTTAGGTCTCTCAGCTGTGGATACCAGCATCTGGTCCAGTGGAGGTGGCAGAGGAGTAAAACAGACTCTGTGAGGTGCCTTAGTTGTAGTTGTTTAATGCACTAGTTTTGTGCTAGTTGGCCTCCTGCCAGGAGGTGGCGCTTTCAAGAGTACGTCAGCTGTGGTAGTATAGGGGAGGATCAGGTGGTGGGTGGGGGCCCTAGAACTCCCAAGAAAATATGAACTTTGTCTTTAGCTACCAGGGTGGGTAGGGAAGGACCATCAGGTGGGAGCAGGGTTAGGTACGAATGACCTCAGACTCTCCTTGTGTGGGGCTTGCTGTGGCTGCTGTGGGGATAGGGGTGTGGTTCTCAGGTCAATGGAGTTATGTTCCCAGGAGGATTATGGCTGCCTCTGCTGTGTCATGCAGGTTGTCAGGAAAGTGGAGAAAGCTGATAGCCTCACCCAGCTCCCATGCAACCCAAAAGGCTGGTCTCATTCCCACTGTGCCCCCTCCAACAGCACTGAGATTGTTTTCAGGCAGTGGGCAAGTAGGGCTGAGAACTTGCCCCAGGTTACCAGCCTCCTGGTTGAGAAAGCAAGCGGGGCTTTTGTGCCACCTCCCTGCCTGTCACCGGATTCACATCCTCCCCCAAGTTCTGGCCAGGAAACTTCACATTTGGTTGGAATCGTTACAGAGTTCAGCTGGAGGTTTCCTTCTCCCTGTGGTCTTTTCCCAGTTCCTCTGGCAGCCCTCCTCAAGGACTCCTGTGAGACAAGTCAGAAATTGCTTCTCTGGGGACCCGGAGAACCCACATGGCTTTTCCTGTGGCTTCTTCTACCCTTGTGTTTCACTCAGCTCTCTAAATTGTCTCAGCTCCAGGTAAGGTCAAATCTTTCTCTTGTGATCTGGACCTTTAGGTTCCCCAGTGAGTGTGTATATTCGGGGCAGGGGATGATCTCCCTTTCCCACTTTTGCAGTTTGGGCACTCACAGTATTTGGGCTGTCTCCCAAGTCCTGCAGGAGCAACCTGTTTCCTTCAAATGGTCTGTGGATTCTCTTGACTTTCCCAGTATATTTCTGCAGCAGTTCTTGGAACAAAAGTTCACAATGCAAGTCTCCACATTCTATTCTATCCATCCAAGTGGGGGCTGCAATTTAGTCCTGACTCCTATCTGCCATTTTTTCCTAGCAGTTCATTCTGGATTATTTTTAACCAATAACTCAACCAAAGCACAGGCCTTCAGTTCTTGTACTTTACAGGTATCTTGAGTATAGCAATTTTTCATCTGCAGAATGGAGAGTATATAGGCAATTAATGCATCTAGATTTTGTCCATCAAAAGGTAACATTGACATCCCATTTTTCTGCTATTTTATAAGTTCATACCAGGTGTCAAGCATTATGCTGTGGGCAAGTTTCTTAGTCTCTACATCCTTGAGTCTCCTTACTATGAATGGAGATAAAAGTACTACTGCATAAAGTTATTGAGATAATTAAATAAGCTCATAGATACAAGCATGTAACATGGTACCTAGCATAATAATTTTCTTTATCCCTCTTAACCCTCCTTCAAGGTAGGTTTTACTATTTTGACTTTACATATAAGGAAACTGAAACTCTGAGAGGATAAATAATTGTCAGACAATTAATAAGTGATAGATCCACAATTTAAGCTTGTTGTGTGGAAACTTACCTTGGTATGATGGAGGTCTCTAAGTACACTACCAAGCAAGCTCTCCCAGAAGTCACAAACCTGAAGTTCACATACCAAATTAAAATGCTCAAATCACATGGCTTAGTAAGCTTATTTAAAGCACAGTGAGAAGTAAGGGGAAAGAGATGGGTTATGGTAAGACATGGGATAAAGTAGCAATATCGTGAGATCATGGGCAACAGGACCACACTTCTGTATCCTGTGTTCTGCAGTGTTCGTGTGCCCTGTCTCTCTCATCCTGCTGATAGTGTGGCTAAGGGGACTGAGGTCCCAATGGGGGCCACATAATAAAGATTACTTGGGCCAATGATAGGTACAAGCTCCATTGGAATGAATGACACAGGACAAGTACGCCTGATCATAGCAGTAGCTTGTGATTAGCCTGCTGAAATTGCAGGAGTTGTGTCTGCATTTCTTGGACAGAGCAGATGCAAGAGGAACAAACTGGATGACACCAATGGCTGGTCAAGTTAGCAGTGACAGGTATCTCAGTCCCAAAGTGTCAGGATAATGATTTGGTCTTTTCATCTCTTTCTAACTGTAATGTTCTTGTTTGTTCATCATATATATTTTTAAAAATTTATTTTCTGTCTTTCTTTGGCAGATATTACAGGTTACTAATTTACCTGCTATCTGTAGTGAACACATCAAACATGCCTATGCATCATATGTACATGTTTACTTATTAGCTATATTTAACATATCCTATGTGCAGGACCAGCTACATAATTTGCATGATGTAATGTAAAATGCAAATGGGGGGCCCCTTGTTAAAAAATACTTAAGAATTTCTATTATTAAGAATTTTAAGATGATGAAAGAAACCAGAATATGCCAGCTCTAAATATGCCTCATTGACGTAAATATTTTTGAGCTGAAGGGAATTAAGAAGCACATGCAGAAAAGCTCTCTGCCTCTTCTATTTGCCTAAAAGCAGGACAGAGAATTACAAAAACAAAAGGTCTTTTATGTTCCTCCTCCCCTTTCCTGCCTAAAGACAAGATGTAAATTCTCCTTTACAACCTTTACCAGCTGAGAGCCTGCTTCAGAAAAATCTGGGAACAGACTTGACTCTTTCCCACAGTTCTCTGGCCTTTGGAAGCTTAGGGCTGTTTTCCTCTTTGTCCTGTCACTTCTCTACAATGTATTGATCTTGTTGAATACTTTGTATTAGCTGGGATTCTAAGCCACACTGCCTTGAGTTACTTTTCACCTGCGTGATGTTCATGTATTAATAGACTTGTTTGTTTTTCTCTTGTTAATCTGTCATTTGTTACAGGAGACTGTCTCAATTAAAAACTTACGAGGGTTCAGAAAAATTATAATTTCTTCCCAACAATGACAATAGCAGAGCATAAAACTAAGCACAGGGCCCATGTGAGTATGGGGTCCTGTAACAGTGCAGGTCACAGGCCTATGAAATTGCCCCTGCCTATGAATTTCACCTGACTATTCCAAGCCAAGAGCTACTTATTATCTATGCTGAACATTTCTAATGATTTCCATCTTTTCCAATAGCAGAATTCAGTGGTCTCAAATAATTCAGCCAACTCACATTATAGAACTCAAGTCTATGTAACTCCAAGTCACTGTTCATGCACTATAGTCATGGAGTTCTTTTTAAATACCTGTCATCCCCATGTTCAAACCCTTCAATGTCTCCCTAGTAATTAACAAAATTTAGTCAATTTTGCCTAAAAAATATCGGTGAGCTCCACAACCTGAATTCCAACTTACTTTCCAAAGCAAACTCTCATTAATTACTGATGATGACCATGAGGTTTTGGAGAGGGACAAAACCATCTCCAAATGTTTTTGAGTGTCTCCTGTGTATCGTGTCCTGTACTAGATGTTTTACACATCAACTCATTTAATCCTTATGAGAACATTGAAAACAAAGTTATCCCCATTTTACAGATGAGAAAATTGAGATTGATAGAGGTAAGGTCACCTTACACAGTTATTAACTGTGAGGGTGGATTAAAATCCAGATTTCTCTGTCTCTAAAACCTCAGGCTTTTTCTACTGTGCCATACTACTTCTAATTTGAACTGTATTTTCCAGTGAAATGAGATTAATCTTCCCTATAGACATGCCAGGTACCTGTTATCACTTTATTCTGGTATCCGCTCCATTTTTTGGCATCCTATGCTTCTTCCATGCCTGACTTTATCTCCCGTTTGAGCCTCTTTCTCTGCCAACGCCCATAGAAATAAAATTCAAATGAATTCTCTTGATTATTCATTTGGCTCTTCTGTTAGGCAGCATTGTGTTGCATTTTTAAAAATTATATGTAAATCTCCATTTCAGAAGAGATTTTGAGCTCCTCAGGGCACGAAACGTATCACATAGCTCTTTATTGTCTCAAGTACTAGCATAGTGCTTTGTATGCAATATTTAATTAATATTTTCTGTGTGGGTGAAAATGTTAATGTCTTTTTTGTTGGACATTCATTTCCAAAGCAGAACAATTAACATGACTGGATGTTTAAAGGGTCTGGATGAATAGGTGAGTGAAGGACAGAAATGTGCTGGTAAAAAGCCCTGATCTATAGTGCTTGCCAATTTCCGTGGTGTAAATACTTCCACTATAGCCAATTTTAAGCTACCAACAGTTAGAGCCAACTCACAAAATTCTTGAAAATTTCATAATCAGTGGTTTTGTGTGAGCCAGCATAAGTCAGCTTCGGTATCTCTTTGAGGGATTTAATAATGAACTCAACTAAGGTAAAACTGATCTGGAACAACTGAAAGCAGAGGTTAAAGTAAAATAACTCTGTTATTTAATCTATAATCAACTATGAAATGCTTGAATTAGAGCTGCCTGTGAGAAGGAAAAACAATGATTCCATAATGTGAAGGCTCCAGACAAAGGCCAAAAGTGCATCAATGACTTCTTATCCCAGTTTTTTAAACTAAAAAAACTGCTAGCTAAATGATTTTTGTTTTATATGACTTTTGTTTTATATGACTTTTGTTTATATGACTTTCCTCCCAAATCTGTTAGCATGCATAGAGTTTCAGTTTTTCTTTCATCTTCTCCTCTTCTGCTCATTTCTCTCTTTTTAAATTTTATCATAAAGTGGAACACTTTTTATTCAAGAGAAATCAATTCTTGATTGAGATCAGAAATCTCTTGCCATTCACATTAGAGTTGATCTACCACAATTGCCTGCTTCATCATTTTCATTCTATTGGAATAAGTATTTACAGCTATAAACTATCCTGCATCTTACATATTTCTATTAAACAAGAACAATGTCCGTGACAGTTTTCTGTCTCAGGATTTATCTTATTAATATTTATTGTATTGTTATGAGTGCTTAGCAAATTATTGTGGTTAACTTTACCAATGCCTTTCAAATAATATTTTGAAATTTTCCCTGAAAGGATATTGAGAAAAGCCAAATGTAAAAATTATTGTTTTTTTTCCTTGGGATTTGCATGTTTTGAAAACGTTCTCAATTGTTAGGGAAGTCAGCTGTAAAACACAGGCTAAATATACTTTTGTCTACCAAGAATTCCCTTTACTTGTCTGTTTCGTGATTTGTTTAATCTTTCTTAGTTATGCATGTACCATTTTACCATAGTTACCTGGAGATATTCTTGTCTCTGCCTTAGTTTGGCAGGCTTTTCAAGTGGCTCACTGAGCTACTGTTTCTATTTCTTTTAGAAAGTTGTGGAGGCATTTATTACTCTCATAACTGCCTCAAAATCTCAAGCACATGGCCTAGTTAAATCATCTTGAGGTTCTGCCCATATGGTTGCAGAAGGATATTAGTCATTGGAAAAAATGGGTCTAAAATGATAATATTCAAAGATGTTTTCCAATATTCTTGGCAATCTTATTCACTAATTTCCACGGACATTTAATTAGCAAGAATTTAAAGAACCTTGTTTTAGTTTCCTGCTGCTGTAATAGAATATCACAGACTGGATAATATATAAAGAAAGGAAATTTATTGGGCTTATGGTTCTGGAGGCTGGGAAGTCCAAGAGGCATGACACTGGCACCTGGCAAGGGTCATCCAATGGTGGAAGGCATCACATGGTGAGCAAGGACGAGAGACAGGGAGAAATGGGGCTGTATTTATCTTTTTATCAGGAGCCTACTCTGTGATACTAGCCCACTCTCATGGTAACCACATTAATACATTCATGAGGATAGAGCCCTCATGGCCGAATTATCTCTTAAAGGTCCCATCTCTTACTACTGTTACAATGGCAATTAAGTTTCCAATACATAAACTTTAGGAGACATAGTCAAACCATAGAAATCTTAAACTTCAAATAAACAGGGATTTTTTTTAGTAGCACAGTATAAAATGATAATAATAAATATCAGATATAAAAAATTTCTGAAGTTCTTTTTAGATAGATAAATCATGGTTACTATTATCTTCTTAGTTACATTTCATTGCACCCTATTTTCTGTGGTATTATCAGTCAACATATTATATATAGTAAGACACATTAAATTTTCTGAGCTTGCCAGGGCATCCTGTCCCCTAACAGTTTTTGATAATGATTTATCAAATGTGTACTCTTTAGAATTTTAGCTGTCAGTAACAGTTGATTTTCACAACTTTTATTAGACTATCCATGATGTTTTTTGGAAAGGTAGTTAAAAGGATAAATACATTAATTATCATAAAATTATCTAGGAATGCTTTTAAATACATTTGACATAATACATTAACACTAAAAGGAAAGCAAATATGCACCTAATAAGCACAAAATAAGATTAATCAGAGAAATGTGTCCTTGCTGTTTTGGGGAAGAGTTATCCAGATCTCAGGTAAGGTACTTTTTGTGGAGATAACCTTCTGTTTTATGAAGCTTGTAACAAGATAACAATCAAGGCATTTTTGTGGCCATGTTTATGTATATGAGCAAGCAATGGCAAGTGAGATACTAGTTTGGGGGCTTAAATAAGATAAAAGTAGTTAAACTTTATTAAAATGCACATATTAAAATAAATTTTGAAATACATTGTATTCAAATATTGTATTAGGGTTCTCTTAGACAACTCATAGGATACCCCCACACACACATTTTATGTGTGTATGTATATATATATATATATATATATATATATATATATATATATATGTATATACACACACACATGCGTACATATATATACAGGAGTTTATTAAGTATTAACTTACATGATCACAAGGTTCCACAACGGCTGTCTGCAAGCTGAGGAGCAAGGAGAGCCAGTCCCAAAATCAAAACTGAAGAACTTGGAGTCCGATATTCGAGGGCATGAAGCATCCAGCACAGGAGAAAGATGTTGTCGGGGAGGCTAGGCCAGTCTCTCATTTTCAGATTTTTCTGCTTGGTTTATAGTCACTGGCAGCTGATTAGATTGTGCCCACCAGATTAAGGGTGCATCTGCCTTCCCCAGCCCACTGACTCAAATGTTAATCTCTCTCTCTTTTTTTTTGAGACGGAGTCTGGCTCTGTCGCCCAGGCTGGAGTGCAGTGGCACGATCTCGGCTAACTGCAAGCTCTGCCTCCCGGGTTCAAGCCATTCTCCTGCCTCAGCCTCCCGAGTACCTGGGACTACAGGTGGCCGCCACCATGCCCGGCTAATTTTTTGTATTTTTAGTAGAGACAGGGTTTCACTGTGTTAGCCAGGATGGTCTCGATCTCCTGACCTCGTGATCCACCCGCCTCAGCCTCCCAAAGTGCTGGGATTACAGGCGTGAGCCACCACGCCCGGCCTCAAATGTTAATCTCTTTTGGCAGTACCCACACAGACATGCCTAGGATTAATTCTTTGTACCCCTCAATCCAATCAAGTTGACACTCAGTATTAACCATCACAAATATCATAACAAATCGTGTGAAAGGAGGAAAGGGGAATAGTTTTACATTTCAAATATAAGGGGTCCAAGATTCCCTTTTATAGTTATAAAAATTAGAAATTTTTAAATGGTATGAATCACTTATTTCAAATAGTTGTATTTATGATGCTTTTGTAATATATATGCATAAGTTTACCTATATATTTATATATGTGTGCATGTACATATAATGTATAAATACACAAAGGCACTCATATCTACATAATGATACATGATTCTTTGGATGAATTAACTTTTACATTTTATGCATACACTCTTATTGTGTTTCTTGACCAGTGCTTGGTCACAGGGATCAGGACAAGTTAGAAGGGAGGCTATGGGAGGACACTGTAAAATATTAACACAACTTAATTCTGCAGAAAGGCCAGTTCACATAGGAAGATGGTGTCCTCTGAGGGTGCACTTACCCAAGCTGTGTTCCCCAATTGCTTAGGACAGTCTTCCATGTCTAAGTTTGTCATGTGGCAAACAATCAAATTTACCTGGTAGTCCTAGTGATTTGCAGAGCTCACTGAAATGCCATCGTTTAAAAGCATCATTTTAAATTTATTGTCCACTGATAGATCAAAAGATAGAATACCCTATTCCAAGAGAAAAACTAAAGACTTCTATTAGAAAAATTTAGGTTTAGCACTTCTAAATATCACTATACAACATTTTGAAAAATGTTTTGAAAAAACAGTTATAATGCTTAGAAACATTTAGAAGAATATAAGCACACAGGTATTGTGTTGAAACACATTACCTACACTTTCAATGCAGGATGCTTCTTCTCACTATGGGGCAGCACTTTGTGAATTTTTCTGTTTCACAGTATTCAGAATTCATTAGAACATGTTTGATTAGAATGCACATGAGGCAAGCAAAATTAGCACAGTCTGTCTATCAAGCCACGTAGATGGCCTTGCAAAGAGCTGAATGCTAGTATATCTAAGAATATGAGATTATATGTATGATTCATGGTGGAAATGTCTCCTTTGTTAGATAAATTCCTGCAAACCAATGCCTGGAATGCCCTCTCTGCCTACTCGAATTCTATTAGCTCTTTAACATCCATTTGAATTCTTATCTCATCTACAATATCTTCAGCAACTCTGAAGCCTCCATTGTCCTCTCCCTTTTCACTTCAAGGCTGTCTTGCATTGTTATGTAACTATTTCATGGGCCTAGATCTCATTTTTCTTAATAAAGTTTAAGCTGTAGAAAGGAATTCATATATTTCCTTGATTTCTTTTAAACACTTAACACATTAAGAACATAAAACATACCCAGTAATTACTTAAAGAAAAAAAAGACTAAGTAAAAGGGACAATGAAAGAATAATAGAAATAAAATGAATTTGTTTATCAGCCAGAATTTTGGGTGGGTCCTCCTCATAGCTATGTATAGCAATCTATAATTTCAGTGCTATTTCTACCTACTTCTAATAAAAATATTCCCACAGTAAAGGGGCAAGGGGAAATTCCACCATTTTGCAACATTTTGGTGATTAGAATTGTTGAGATATGGTTTTAGACAGAGTTTCCTTCTTATTCTTGGGCTGGTGATTTTAAGATTCATTTGTGTGTTTTAGGTCACATTCTCCCCAAATCTCATTTTTGCTCAACACAAGAACAGTAAGAGTAAGCTGGGATGCCTTAGTGATATGGCCTGGAACTCTGCAGCCTACATAATACTATCCCTACCTTCAGGTATTAGTGTTGCTAATAACATGCTCAACTGATTCATTAAAACAAAGGACAAAAAAATAAACAAACATAAAATCATTTTCATAGAGCTTAAAGAGACTATCCAGAGAGACATTTATAAAGTTACCATTATAAAATGCTTCACACTAAAAAAGAATTCTTTACAATAATTTGGTTGTAAATTGTGTAAAATTCTTTTTCCCTCCATCAATTTTAGATTTATTGGTTGGAGCCTTGTAAGTCAGACTGACAAAAGACAGATTAACAAGAGAAAAACAAGCAGAAGTTTATTACCATGTATATCCCTCTTATTCATGGGAGATGAGTAACTGAAAGAGGAGGTTAGAACTTGAGCTCACATAGCATCTTAACAAAAGAACAGTACATTTTTAAAGAAGTGACAAGACAAAGGAAAAGGACTTTGAGTTTCTAGGATGGCAAATGATGGGAAAGCAAATATATGGGGGAACTAATGGAAAATAAGGACTATTTAGTAAAGCTTGTCATGCAGATTCCTCTGGTGCCCTCTCTTGACTGATAAGTCTGGAATAGTCTTCAGTGATTAACTTCTGTCCTTCCAGGTAAGAGGGGAATGAAAATAATACCTTTATATATTTATCTCCTGCTTTTAGGCAAAGGGGGAGAGCAGAGAGCTTTTCTTGTATCTGCTGCTTCTTGATTGCTTTCATCTTGAAATAATCTTTATACCATATTTTTGGCACATTTTGGCATAATATGGCACATAATCCTGACATGGCATATTTTGGGGTGCCATATTCTGCTACCCTCCAAATTGTCTCTACCCTTCTATTATCTTAGCAGATAATAGTACAACCTCCCAAATTTTGGTTTCCTTCTGTGAGGAAAACACAGTTTGTGCTGTGACCAGTATTGTAGCTCCTGGGGAAACCTGTGTGGTCTCCTCTCTCTTCTCCCTGCTACTGTAATACTAACAAAAAGAATGTTTAAACCATAAATTGAATCTTAAAGCAATCAAGTACAAATCAGAGTTAGGAAAAGTTTTAATCAGCAGGTAGAAAAAGGATCTAGTGTGCTTTTATTTTTAAATTTTTCATTAATCCACTAAAGCCCAGCTTGTTATTTTTACCTTGTTTCATCTAAAATTACCCTAAGATGCTGGCATGACCTCTAGGGTGTGACTAAAATGTGTTTGAGTCTTTATTTGACATTTAAGCCAGCCATGAAAATTAGCATTGGTTTAGAGCTCCAGGGAGCAAAGAAGTCATCCTGAGTCTGAAGAATTTCTGTGGCTGTAACTTGGAATTTCATACAAATTTGACCTGTCCAAGACTTGCTTTAATTATTCACTAACACCAGCATCTGGCTTTAACACATCTTCATGAGTATCATCAGAACTAGAGAAAAAAAATTCCCTTAAGAAATTTTTGTACATAGGTCACTCTCATGTTTGTTGCTAATAAAAATTTTAGAGGTCTTAGTAATCTAAAAAATATATATTTTACCTGTAAAGTGGTACTATCCAAAAGGAACTATACCAAAATACGTCAGACATAAAAGTTAAGAGGTTATGAAAATGTACATGCAATTCTCTTTTTGCTTGTTCTTAGTTTATTTACTGCTTGTTTTCAGATAGTCAGGTAGTTACTCTTTAGAGATGTAAAATAAAGTATGGACATGAAAAGTAGTTATTTACCAAAGGCAATTATCAAGTATCAAAACATGCAGAGTACTTACTGCCAGTTCAGGGAGACAACAAAACAATTATATATAATATAGTAGCTTTTTAGCCCAATCTTCCAATAATTGCTAGGCCAACATGCTAAATTTAAGAGTTCTTTACCTCTTAAATTTAGTAGTCTCAGTAAATAAAATTTGTTTAGTTCTGCAGGGGCAGAAAGATGTGATACTTTGTCCCTATCATAAGGTCAAGGACAACACTTCTCTAATGAAAGAGGGTTCACAAGAGAAAAACATAACACATTTCTTTAACCAAAGTTTTATATGACATGGAAGCCTTCAGAATGAAGATTTGAAGACCCAAGGAAAAACTGTCCATTTTTATGCTTAGATTCAATAAAGTGTGAACAGCCATGTAGAAGTGTTATTAGACAAACAGGGAATTATCTAATAGTAATGAACTGAGTGGGGAAACCCAGCAATACCTGTCCAGATTCTTCTTGGCCTCACTGTTGTAACATCTCTTCACCCTCCTGGCTTATTTGGTATAGTTCCTTTTAGACAGTACTACTTCATAGATAAAATATATATATTTTGATTACAAAGACTACAATTTTTGTCAGCAACAAACATGAGAGTGTTTCTTCCTCCCTTGACCTACTGTTGACCAAGACTAGGTCATAGAATTTCTTTATGGCCACCTTCTAGACAGAAAGGTAGAGAAGGTTAGAGTAATAATTCTTGTTTTTATGGCCGGCTTTGGGGAAAAGGGGGTTTTAGTTTCTACGGCCTGCCCTGGGGAAGGGGAATTCTGAATTCTATGGCTGGTTTTGGGGAAGAACAAGGGGTGAGAGGTAGGAGAGCAGGAGAAGGTCAGAGAGACCTTGGCTCTGATGCTGCTACTGAGGCCTTCCAGTGTCCTTTAGTTCAAGGTGCTCGGCATGCCAAAGCAGCACATTCAGGATATCATTTTCTGAGCCCAACAGTTCCATATTCTGCCCCCAACTTGTTGCACATTGGAATTGTTCATGGACTTACAAAAATATTGATGCCATATCCCAGCCCTAGAGATTGTGACTTAATTTAGCTGTCCCCAACCTTTCTGATACCAGGGACCAGTGTCATGGATGACAATTTTTCCATATACTGGGGCTGGGTGAGGAGATGGTTTCAGGATGATTCAAGTGCATTACATTTATTCTGCACATTGTAATATATAATGAAATAATTATACAACTCACCATAATGTGGAATCAGTGGGAGCCCTGAGCTTGTTTTCCTGCAACTATACGATCCCATCTGGGGGTGATGGGACACAGTGACAGATCATCAGGAATTAGATTCTCATAAGGAGTTCACAACCTAGATCTCTCGCATGTGCAGTTCACAATAGGGTTTGCACCCCTATGAAAATCTAATGTGACTGCTGATCTGACAGCAGGAGGAGCTCAGGTGGTAATATGAGTTAGCAATGGGTAGTGGCTGTAAATACAGATGAAGCTTCACTCACTCGCCCACCACTTGCCTGCTGTGTGGCCTGGTTCCTGACAATCATCTGGTCTTCTCACTGGTATTCATTTGTTCAATTAGCATTTGTTGAAATTCACATCTATGCCAGGTGCTAAACCCATATCTGTGCCAGTGGCCACGACCTGACAGTCATCTGGTCTTCTCACTGATGTCCATTCATTCAATTAGCATATGTTGAAATTCACATCTATGCCAGGTGCTATATTAAGTACTGGGAAATTAGTACAAAAAATATAGACCTTGGAGATTCCAGTGCAATGGTAAAAATGGACTAGAAAGCAACACACTGGGATAACTACTGCAGAAAGGTCAGAGGTTAAGTCACACTACCTAGGGGGTGGAGGAGATTGTTGGAAAGAAAGAAAGGATCAGGAAAGGTTTTGTGGAGAAGCTGTAGTGTTGGCCTAACTCTAGAACTGAAGATAAAGAAAAGGAAGAAAATAGGTGTAGGAGAAGAGAAAGGGTATCTTAGAGAAATGAAACAGCATATGTAAAAGCCTGGATGCATTAGAAATCAACTTGCAGCCAGCCTCTCATCTTATGTTTTCTCTAACTTATCTTGTATATCATTGTTGAAACATTTTTCTCACAGCACTGTATTACACCCATCAATTTCCTGCTCAAAAATACTCTGGATCCTTACTAATAACAGAATGAATTCTGCACTGCAGACGTGACATTAGGGCATGCCAGATCCTCCTCTAAAGCATTTAAACTGTCCTCTTCATTGTCTATCTGAAGACCCCAGGTATGTTTTCATCTCTTCATTTTTGCTTATATCATTCCCCTGCACCAGAATGTCCCTCCTACTCCTTTGACCATGTAACTGAATCCTCCCTTTGTTCAGGGTTCCTTGATACCACTCCATCTCTCATCTCAATCTTTTAGCATTTATGTTTACTTTTACTATTCTTGTTTGTTGGTAATTAGATGGTGCCCTAAATATTTATCTATATCTTTACTTTTTAATGAAATTGTAAATTCCTTACAGAAAAGCATAGGACCACATTCCTTTATCTCTCTTTCTGCATATGGTACAATGCCTTAAAATAAACAAAATTTATTTTTATTACTGATAACAAAACTGAATGACAATAATATAATGAGTTTGGAAAATGGAGAAACCAAGCATTTGCATAATTGCCTAGTCTTTGATCATTGATGCACACTACTTTTACATAATTATAATGAGAGTATACAAATTGTTCTGTATTCTGAAATTTTACTTGACATTGTATCATCAACATTTGCTATGAAAAATAATAAATATCAGCTGGGCAAGGTGGCTGACACCTATAATCCCAGCACTTTGAGAGGCCAAGGTGGGCGGATCACTTGAGGTCAGGAGTTCGAAAACAGCCTGGCCAAAAGGGTGAAACCCTGTTTCTACTAAAAATACACAAAAACTAGCTGGGTGTAGTGGCACAAGCCTGTAGTCTTAGCTACTTGGGAGGCTGAGACATGAGAATCTCTTGAACCCAGGAGGCAGAGGTTGATTTGAGCCAAGATTGCACCACTGCACTCCAGCCTGGGCAGACAGAGTGAGTCTCTGTCTCAAAAAAAAAAAAAAAAAGATAAATATCTTTGGATAATAACTAAAAGCATCATTTACCTGGTGTGCCAGGTACTGCTTTGCTTACACTGTTTCAACTTTTGTATGTATGTCCTTATTCCAATTCCATGAGGTAACACTGGTGTTATCCTGGGGAAACTGGGAGCACTGAGCTCAAAAAGAGTAGAGCTGTGCTACTTACTAGGTGACCTTGGATACTTATTTTACTTAGCGAATCCTCAGTTTCCTTATCTCTGAGATGGGGATAATAATGGTTCCCACCTTTCAAGATTTTGAGGGGATGAAGTGAGATGATGGACACGAATAGTGCCTGGCAGATGGCCAACACTCAGTGTGCTTTAGCTCTTGCTGCCGTCACTGTTGCTGGTCCCATTTTACAAGTCAGGAAACTGGATCAAAGGCATTTAATAACTCTCCCCAAATCACACACCTGGTGTGTGACAGAGCCAGGATTCAAACCCCTGTCCCAATTATGACATGAGATAGGGATCACAGAATTTAATACGATGTTGTCCAAGTGTAACATTTTACAATTTAGTGCTACAGAGAACATGTGCAGAGTTTTGAGAGAAAACACAGTTGGATATCTACAGATTATCTTCTGCTTGGAGAGAAAGAGAAATTGAGAGAGATAGAGAGAGAGAGATTCCCAGGGGCCCGAGCTCTCTACAGCAGCACAGCATGGCTGGGTCAGGGCTCAGGATAGAATTCCTGACTGCCTCCTCCCAGGCGGTGTCATAACTGGGGCTTCTGAAGCCCAACACCTGGGCCCTCTCCTTGGGTCTCAAATGGAGGGTTGAATCCTCTCATGCTCACTTACTAACAAGAACAATTCCCACTTTCAATGGGGTAACAGTCTGAGGGGAAATGGGCTAGGGTTTTGCCTGGAAGTACCTAGTTATTTCTTAACTTTGTAGTTTGGAGATTCAGCATAAAAACTGAAGTCAGCCCTGTTAGTAGTATTGCTGCTTATACAGCCGTCCACCCTTATCAGAGGGGAATACCTTCCAAGGCTCCCCGTGGATTCCTAAAACCAAGGATACTACTGAACCTGATTGCTGTCAATCAGAACATATTCCTGTTTATGTCTTCCACCACACATTTAATGCCTTTTCTATCTTAACTAACCACTTATCACACACTGTGGCCATAACTTTTGCAGTTTGAAGTACAACAGAAAAACTAGCAAGAATTTCTTTTCCCTTCTTCACAATTTCAGGAAGAGAAGACGTCTTACCATAGATCTTAGCAACCTCAGCATACTTTTTTTTTTCTGCCCTCATTAGGTTGAGAACTTTCCCTTATTCACTTAAAGGAGGCACTTTGTGGCTTCTCTTTGGCATATCCAAATTGCCAGCATCACTAAACTTATGCTTTGGGGGCATTATTAAGTAGAATAAGGGTTACTGGAACATAAGCATTGTGATACTGTGACAGTCAATCTGAGAACCCAGAGGGCTACTAACAGGAGGAGAGTGCAGACTGTGTGGATTTGCTGAACAAAGGGAAGATTCACTTCCCAGGCTGGACAGCACAGGATGGCATGAGATTTCATCATGCTACTCAGGACAGCACACAATTTAAAACTTATGAATTGTTTATTTCTGGAATTTTCCATTAAATATTTTTGGACTGCAGTTGACTACTTGTAACAAACTGTGGAAGGCAAAACTGCAGATAAGGGGGAACTACTGTAATAGTTACTGCTTATACTGCTCTTGCTATTTGCCATGGACTAAGCTAAACACATTACATACATTATTTTCTATAATGGATGTGACAATCCTACAGAGTAGCTACTATTATCTCCATTTTACAGATGAAGCAACTGGGCATCTTAACCATTCCAGCTACTGCCATCAGCATTTGCCTTAGGAAAAAAATGTGTTTTGAATAATCACTTCCAGTATTTGGGATGATTTTCAATAATTCTACCAGCCTAACTATGAAGTTATATTATCTAGGAGGCCTCTAGTTCTTATTTTTAATCTTTGTACCTTCGAGTAGCTTCTTACCTCTGTAACTCACTCCCACAGTAATATTTCATGAGAAGCCAGATTCTCTGGACTATTGGTTAAATTCTTTTAGATGGCAGTGTTTGTTATGAAAAGACTTTTCATTCTTCTGGTCCCTTCACTGGAAACAGCTAGAAAGTACAAGTTTTGATTACAGTTGCCTAAACACCAGTTTTGAAATGTCTTTCATTTGCTTGAGCAATAAATTTGTTGCTCAATCATACTATCAAATTGAAAACAAGAGGAAAGGAAAGTCAACCTAACCTAACCCAAAAGGGGAACATGTTTCCTGGGATGAGAATGTGTCAAAGGCAGCATAGCATGACCTAACACTTCTGTGTAATCGTGGTTGTATCATGTGTTATGGGTAAATTATCTATTCTGTAAGTTAGTCCAGTGTGTGCTTCTTCAACTAACTGTGAAAGCATTCTTGAAAGACCATGAAACCTTATTATTCTAATTACCAACACAACGGATTGATAAATGAATGATGAGGCCAGGTATTATTGTCATTAAATAGACCTCGCTCAATTATTTATCAATGAGTCTGGGGTTACAGCTCAGAGAGCTGTGCATATTGTAGCACGGTTTGCTTCAGCTCTGAGACCTGAAGACCAGATTACAGTCTTGGCAGGTGGCTTTTGTTGAATGCAATTCAAGGGGGTGGTACACATTTGTTTCAGTCAGACATTTGGATGGTTTGAGGCCAACAGATATTCAAAGTTTATCCACAAAAGCCTATTTCATTTTAACCATGTAGAAAAATCTCTTTAATTTATTCAGATAAATACAAATGAGTAGGAGAATGGATTAGCTGTAGAAAATCATACATGTAAAGATGTTTTCTTGCATCTTAGTGTTCTAAAGACTGTTCTTTATTTTCTTAGATTCTGCTATCTGTCATGGACACTTCACTGTTCTGTATTGATCAATGTTTATCTTCATATGAGATTTGTTTTTGTATCTTCTTTCTAATTGTACAATGAAATATGTTTTCTGGTTAAGAAATACGTTATCAAGGAGGATAGAATTGGGTGATACTAGTTTTTTTCCATCCTGAAATCATGCCAGCTCATTGCAAAGGTCAGCCCTCAAAATAGTATTAAGGCATGCCCTCTCCTTGAGTCTCTGATACCTTGCAGCCCAATGTCCCTTCTTGAAGGCCTGTCACCTGCAAGAGTACTTTCTTACATCCTATGAGCATCAGATATGGGGGAATGAAGAATCTCTTCTTGCTAAACAAATATTCTTGGTCCACCTTCTGCCCCCTGGCTTTATTTTAAACCCATCCCCAACATATCTGATGAGTTGAGTCTAGTAATTCTGTCTTCAGTGGGCTATGGGGAGCAGGGATTAGCTAAAATGGCTGTTCAGGGACCTCTTTGGTATAAAACTTGGTGGGGGTGCTGGCAGGGATCTCTCAGAGAATGAAGGAGGGGATAGAGCATTAGAGAAGAAAAGAAATTCATACCTGAGATTATGTAATAGATAATAGAGTCTGGACTTTGTTTAAAAACCAGAATCTAAGATATATATGTTGAGGCTAGGGCGGGGTAGTAATTGAAAGAGAAATATGAAACTATACCTAGCGTCAAGGAAAACTAACAGTAATTGAAGAGACAAAAATAAAACTTGTTTATATTGTTCAAAGGAAAATGATATTTATAACATCTGACAAAAACTTTATTAATGCCATGTAGACAGGGTTTTATATTATTAACTGAGTTTATAATTAATTTTGTACTGATTTTAATTTGACTGTTACCTTGGCTTCCTTCTCTGTTTCTTAAGTTTTGCTAGTTTAATGTTCACGAGCTCACAAAATTAAAAATCTTGGTAGAAATATGGAGTAGCTATTTCTTTACATCCTTTTTAGAACAAAGTTGTGCTTTCGAATTGACCACTTATCTAGAAAGTGATATAAATCTAATAAGCAAAACTGGATGTCTTTTAAATTATCTGTTAAATAACTAGAGCAGTGGAGATGTCCTGAAAGTGAGCACTTTATTACATATGAAAAACAAATTTTAATTTTACTACTAAGAAGAATTTCCATTTCTCTATTTATATGTGTTCATTATTCTAGAGATTAATATGATAACTCCTATGTATACTTAGTTTTGTGAATTTCAAAATTCTTGATGCCAAATAACTGAAGTATAGTAAATTCTGCCGTAACATGATGTATGGGTTCCTAAAAATCCCGACACTATGCAAAATTGGGCAATAAAAACACATTTTACTAAAAAAATGGGGATAGGCACACAATACCTAGAAATATCACTAGTGGCACATTACAAAAAATATGGGAATTTAGTAACAATGACAGCAATATTTTACACATGTTAATGGTTAAGAAATTTACAATAAATATGGCAGTTTACTTTGAAAAAGACCTAACGTTCCCTGTGGAAGTTGGCCTTCAAAAGGGTGCAGCTTGTGAGTTTTTGAGAAGTGTTGGGAGGAGAGTCGTTGTTGTCCCAGTTGTGAGCAGGTGGGGCTTTTCTACCTGTGTGGGGAAGTGTGGTAGCTGATGGATATGGTATGTGGATTTTGTGTATTCCTACGCTGCTTGGTTTAGCTGGGTGCAGTTTTCTGCATTTACCTGGCGTTTCTTGTGGATAGAATCACATATAAGCAAATCCCAGACTTGTGTTGTGATCAAATTGTTCCGTAATATATCAATCATGTTAGAACAAGGTCACGGTTTCAAAACCGGCATTGCCGTAGAATTGACTGTGTAATAATCCCTTCAACACGTTCACATCTATGATCCCACCTTGTTCTTGCCACCATCTTAGCAAGCAGGGGTGCGATTGCCTGACCATTTGTTTGTTTTCTGGGAAATCTTGACCTATTAAAAGCCACACAGTTACTGAGGAAACCTGTGTCAGACCTTGCCTAGGTCTGTGTGAGTCTGAGTCAGGTTTGCTTTCCTCTGAAAAATCAGACACTCATGTATGTGGGACAAAGAGCATCAGAAACATGGGCAAGGTCATAGAGACAGATCCCAGAGACTGGATTAGAACCCAACTTGCTTGATTTTCTGCTTAGAGGCTTCAGTTCACCATTTTAGAAAGTGCCTGCTGGCTGCCACCCTCCCTCCTGTCTTATCACCTCTAAAAGACATTGTTAATGCTTAGACAGGATGTGTTTTCTTCATTGCATGGATCTAAAAACCCAGCCATGAGAACTTAGTTTTTAATTTTTGCCATTGCTTTATTGGATATTTTAGAATGTGCAAAAGGTTTTAGAAATTGTTTTTCAACTAATTTTACCAGCACAGAGGTCATGTCAAATGTCAGGGTGTTTGACAACAAGGCCAATCTAGTCTATCAATTGAGTTTCAGAGAAGATTAATGATAAAGGGTGCAATCCCAAAGTCTGGGAATGACTTTGCTTTCAAGCATTAATTATTGTGGAAAATAAAATTATTAGATACTCCCTTGTCTACATCTACCCCAAACTATGTCAATCAGCTCTATTTCTAGAAGGTTTACATTTATTAAACACTCCCTGTGGTCAATGCAATGGTCAATGCTATGGAAGTTACAACAAGACAAGATATTGTGTCCGCTATCAGGAAACTGATTTGGGAGTTCTGTTTGATGACCGAAGAGAGTCTTTACCACTGTGCCTATATTTTTATGCCAGAATATGGGTGGGTGCACATGTACAGGTGAGTAATGAGGCCCCACTCCCTAGTATTAGTTAAGTTAGCAGGTGTGTGCTGTTTTTTTGGTCACTGTGTATTGCAAAATTCTGAGTTTGGCACTGATACTAAGGAACATCTTACAGAAAAAATTCCCCACTGACCCTTCTTTTTTTTTTCTTTTTGAAACAGAATCTCACTCTGTTGCCCCAGGCTAGAATGCAGTGGCACAATCACAGCTCACTGCAACCTCCGCCTCCCAGGTTCAAGTGATCCTCCTGCCTCAGCTTCCCCAGTAGCTGGGACTACAGGTACACACCACCACGCCTGGTCGATTTTTGTATTTTTAGTAGAGGCAGGGTTTCACCATGTTGGCCAGGGTGGTCTCGAACTCCTGACCTCAAGTGATCCACCCACCTTGGCTTCCCAAAGTGCTGGGATTACAGGTATGAGCCACTGTGCCTAGCCAGACCCTTCATTTTTAAAAGTTGACTTTATATGTTAATAGGAGTTTAATTATAGTCATATGTTGAAGGGTCTTTTCTGTAAAACCACATATTCCAGGAGCCATCCAACTGAGGACAGCATTGCACTTGTGGAACCACAATCCAGGCTTGGGTTATCTGTTTCTATCATGACAGAGGCTACTCCATCACTTAAACTATATGTTCTGCAGCCCCCGAGAGCTGAAGACAAGCCTGGATTGCCTCTATTTGTAATTTTCTTTTTTGTAAATTTTTTTTTGGTAAATTGTTTTTCAAACAAACAACAAAAATGACTGTCCCAGTCAGTTCAAGCTGATAGAACAAATGGCCATAGACCGGGTGGCTTAAACAACAGCCATTTATTTCTCACAGTGCTAGAGGCTGAAAGTCTAAAATCGAAGTGCCAGCATGGTCGGGCTCTGGCAAGGGCCTTCTCCCAGGTTGCAGATGGCTGGCTCCTTGTGTCTTCATGTAGTGGAAGCAGGGCTAGCTAGCTCTCTGGCCACTACTTACAAGGGCACTAATTCCATTCATGAGGGTTCTACCCCCATGGCCAATTACCTCCTAAATACCCCACCTCCAAATACCATCATGTTGGAGATTAGATTTCAACATACAGATTTTGATAGGGACAAAAACATTCAGTCTATAACAATGATCAAATAAGGTTACAAAAATTATAGTGTATGTAGCATGCTTGCATTATGTTTTGATGAATTAATGTTTTTTATTATGCATACCAAAGAAACTAATGCAACTGCTGTAAATGTATAAATATTTGGGAGTAATGTTAAAGTTTACATTTAAAGCCCTTTCTAAATGTGAGGCCGAAAGTATTCCTTTTCTCTCTCTTTCTCTTCTCAACCCCATTTACTTTACAGAATGATTTTTCTGTTTTAAGTCATAATTGCTTTTTTTTTACAGGATTAAGTACCAGGTCATTAAGTGTGTTCTATGTCAGTTTGACCTAACCTCTCTGCCCTTTTCTTTTTTCTAAAGGAATTCTTTAAAAAGAAGAAGAGGAAGTATTTTAAAATAAACATTTGACTGCCAGAATGTGATGTAAACTTCAGGTTCAATTCTACACTTGATAGAAAT
Organism: Homo sapiens; assembly: GCF_000001405.40. Classification (NCBI taxonomy): domain Eukaryota; kingdom Metazoa; phylum Chordata; class Mammalia; order Primates; family Hominidae; genus Homo; species Homo sapiens. Next base: position 72,739,833 of record NC_000009.12, read on the forward strand.
GAAAAGAACTAGTGTTCTCTATTTTGACATTTAGCATCAATTCCCTTTCAGTGATTCCAGCTGATTAGTAAGTGAGACTAAAATATCTTACTCTTCCTGGTCAGCATTTAAAAATTTAAACATGGATTGAAAATTTCTAGGTTATGAAATACAGTCTAGGTTCACCTGTGAAGGATCTAGAAGAAATAAGACTGCAGACCTGGTAAATTCAAATGTCCACTACTTCTGTATTCTAGTCATTGCAACTCACCTCCTTTTATCCCTTATGTTATTTTTATTTTCTCAGGGAGGCAAAAAAATTTGTGAGTGAAAATGAAGGGGCTCTTGGGAAAGGAAAAGGAAAACGGTGGTTTGCATTTAAGATGATGATGGCCAAGGTAGGTATTTTTATAGTTGTCTGGTTTATGGCATATTGCCTCTAAGAAGAACACTGGTTCTTTTCTAAAGGGGTGAAAAAAATCTTACATTTTGTATATATAAAACACAAATACTCATACAGTATATACACAGTATATCTGTGGTATTGAAATTTACAGGGGAGATTTAAAAAATTGTTCTTAGAAGAGTTAAAATGAAAAATAAGTCAAGAAATACAGATTTATGGCAAAAGACTTACTTGTGTGACTTTAGCACTTCCAAATATAAAAGATTGCATCCTTTTTCATTTTCATTCTCTGGAAGTGAAGGGGTTCTGGTCAAGTTGTTTTTCTCAAAGTATCTGTATAGTTTTTTTCTACCAGGAACATCAACTATACATTGGACAGAAAATAAGAAAACAATAAATGATATACTGATACAAATATAGATTTTGGGGAAAGACAGAAAAGCAACTAACATTTATTTAACACTTACTATGTGCCAAGCACTGAATTGAATTCTTTTATAAAGTTATATTTAATTCTTACAGTAAAGTAGGAACATAGATATTATTATCTCCTCTTTACAAATGTTATACCAACTGTAAGCTAAATGTATTCCCATAAAGTTTTGTGAATAAAGTTCATATATCCTAACTTTCATATATATATATACTCACATACAATAGATTAATTTTGTCTGTTTCTACAGTTTAAATAAATTGAATCATATAGTATCTATGCATTTGTTTCTGGCTTCTTTGATGCAATGTTATGTTCACAAGATATATCCACGTTGTTGTGGGAGTTATACTTCATTTTTATTCATGTGTTGTAGTCTATTGTATAAAGATGCTGTGACAATGTATTTACCCATTCTATTGTAGATGGACATTTGGGCTGTTTCTAGTTATGAGTAATCTTTTTTTTTTTTGTTCATTTTTAAAATTAACTCATACACAATTACTTGTCTTCTGGTTTGTTGAAACAATAATGCAGACATTTGCTACAACAATGACTGTTAAAATGGCTGGCCACAAAATCTCCAGCAATACATTAATCTGAAGGGCATTCTTGATGAAGTTGACTAATTTTGCCATTTTCATCCACCTTATAGTATTTCAGGACAGCCAGCTTAACCTTCCTTTTCTTATGCTTATTCTTCTTTGGAGTGGTGTAAGACTTCTTCCTTTTCTTAGCACCACCATGAAGTCTCAACACAAGATGAAGAGTAGACTCCTTTTGAATGTTGTACCCAGACAAAGCACATCCATCTTCCAGTTTCTTGCCAACAAAGATCAGTCTTTGCTGATCAGTAGAAATTCCTGTCTTATCCTAGATCTTGGACTTCGCATTTTCTATTGTATCCAAGGGTTCAAACTCCAGAGTGATGGTCTTTCCCATAAGGGTTTTTAAAGAAAATCTGTGTTTTGGTGGTGGTTCCACTGCAGAAGGCAGATGGGAAAAAAAGCGTGGGTGATCTTTTGAACTTCAGACTTGTCTCATGCTATTATTTAGACAATAGTGCCTGTCCAGCTCCCACTTCATCCCAGCATTTGCATACATGCAAAATTCTCTGCCACATTCTCATTCTTCCTGGTGGTCCTCTTGACTATGGATGACCCAACATTGGAGTTAAATAGAAAGAAGGCCTTTTGCAAAATGATTTTATGACTTGTTGTCTTCTCTTTCAATTAAGCTGACCAATCTGCCTCTACCAGAATGCAGTGTCTCATGTCATACAACTTACCATCTTGTATTGAACTCACCTATTTGTACACAGACTATCCTGGTAGATCAGAAGGCTTTCAAGACAGGACCTGGAAATAAAAGACAGAAAATAAAATTTATTTTGTTTATTATTTTTATTATTTATTTTATTTAATTATTCATATTGAGTCCTTCATACAATGAAAACTAATTAAACACATACTCTGTTCCAATCACCCTATTATGTGCTAATCCCCTGCTTTCTTATTGTGTTATATAATAAATAGCTGTTTCTGAGAGGCCAGCATATTTTCCATAAAACAGGGGATCGATAAACATTTTTTTGTTGAATTAAATTGGTCTGGGGTTAGTGGAGAACAGGGAAACAAGTGAAACCTACTGTTTCCCCCTTTGACTAGAAAGTAGTATTTGCTGCCAGAGAGACATTTCCAAGCTTACTGCATTGTAATGTTTTGAGGTGGGGGATAAACATCTTGACAAATCAAGAGGTTGGACTTTACTTTTGTATTTGACTTTCTTTTCAGAAATGGGCAAAATTCCTCCGTGATTTTGAGAACTTCAAAGCTGCGTGTGTCCCATGGGAAAATAAAATCAAGGCTATTGAAAGTAAGTCCTTATCAGATCTCAGGTGGAGAAGGTTGTCTTAGAGAAGTATCTCATAAGCTTATCAGATGCCTTTGTCAGTTTCTGGACTTTTGGGAAGACTAGAAACAAACAAACAAACAAACAAAAACCAAATCAACAAAAACTTTGTTTATGCCTGCTTTCGTCACTGTGAAGATTTGCTAGCACTTACCAAGGACAATACTGGGGACCCCACTCTCGTGTTCTACCTTAGTCCAAAACATTACCATTCTAACCTGGTTTTCTCTCCTATACAGGGAAGTCACTATTGTGCACAATGACATTGAATCATCTTACTTGGAAGGCAGAGATTTTATTTTGGCAATGAACATGACATTGAGAATATATACTCTCATGAATGTTAGACAGTAATCAAAATGAACAATGTTTTAACAAGTGAAGAAGTCTTAGTCTGGGCGCAGTGGTTCACGCCTGTAATCCCAGCACTTTGGGAGGTTGAGGTGTGCAGATCACTTGAGGTCAGGAGTTCGAGACCAGCCTGGCCAGCGTGGTGAATCCCCGTCTCTACTAAAAGTACAAAAGGCCGGGCGCGGTGGCTCACGCCTGTAATCCCAGCACTTTGGGAGGCCGAGGCGGGCGGATCACGAGGTCAGGAGATCGAGACCATCCCGGCTAAAACGGTGAAACCCCGTCTCTACTAAAAATACAAAAAATTAGCCGGGCGTAGTGGCGGGCGCCTGTAGTCCCAGCTACTTGGGAGGCTGAGGCAGGAGAATGGCGTGAACCCAGGAGGCGGAGCTTGCAGTGAGCCGAGATCCCGCCACTGCACTCCAGCCTGGGCGACAGAGCGAGACTCCGTCTCACAAAAAAAAAAAAATAAAAAAAATAAAAAATAAAAATAAAAGTACAAAAAATTAGCCAGGCCTGGTGCAAAAGCCTGTAGTCCCAGCTACTCAGGAAGCTGAAGCAAGAGAATCACTTGAACCCGAGAGGCGGAGGTTGCAGTGAGCCGAGATCACACTACTGCACTCCAACCTGGGTGACACAGCCAGACTCTGTTTCAAAAAAAAAAAAAAAGAAAGAAAGAAAGAAAAAAAACGAAGTCTTAAAACCTCATTTTCAAATCTCTGAAGTAGAATAAGCAATAGTCATCCAGGAGCTTGCTATCTGAATATTCACATTGTGCCTTTATTTTGTAGAATATTCATAGGAAGGAAGGAAGGAAGGAAGGAAGGAGAATATAGCCAATCAAAAACCTATTTAGTTTAGTGCTTTAGGCTTAGAATAAGGCAAGTAAACATTTTAAAATATTGTAAATAAAAATAGTAAATTGTTTTTTAAAATAATAATCTAAAAAAAGGGATAACATTTGAAACAATTTTGAGCACAATCTTTCCATATTCTGGTTTCTAACGGTTTCAACTAGGATCTGATTTCCATCCATTCCTCTCTAGATTGGAGGCAGGTTTTCCTGCTGGTTAAGTGTGGCGTTGTATAATTAAAATGGAGGCTCCATAGGGAGATAACACAGCTGATGGATAGCTTGCTGACATGATTGGGCATGTTTTAGGAGTGGCTAACCCTCGGTTCCCTGTCTCTCAATATCAGATGGGAATTATTAAGTGGCAATGAATTAAAATACATCAGCTCATTAATTGTATCCCCTTCCACACATTCCCAGTGCCATTTCTCTCTTGCTTTAATTTCCTCCTTAACACTTACCGCTATCTAAAATGCTATATCTTTAATTTAATTTTTTGATGTAATCTTAATTCATTTTATGTTCATTTCTCCCAATAGATGGGAAATTTAGTTTTGTTCACTCCTGCATTCCACTTGGCACTTAATAAATATGTATTGAATAAAATTACAGACAAACTCGCTAAATGTCTACCAATCTAGGAAAAAAAGAAAGGAATTTAGATACATCAAAAAAGAGAAGACATCATGGATTTCTTAGGTTTCAACTGTACAGCTCAAATGTGGTAGGTTGAGAGGCACTGAAAAACAAAAGGCCATTTGGAGCATTACGGTCCTGATACAATATATATAGTAAGAACTCTGAATTTGGTCTTTGCTTTGCTGCAGATTAGCTGTTTGACTTCTAGCCAGTCATTTAACTCCTCTGGACCTCAGTCTACTAATTTATAAAATTGTAGGGCTGAGTCTTGATCAGTTGTTAGATAAATCCCAAGAAATTTGTAATTAATGATAGGTAAATATATACATTTGAAAATTATTTTTAAAGCACACTAGAGCAGGTTCCAGCCTATCCTAATAGTAATATCATGCTCATTTGTGTTCCAATAGGCTATAGCCAGTGAAACAAAAACAGACAGAATTATTTTTATTGCCAGAAATTGCATGCAGCAAGAGTTACACATATGACCACCATCCATCATGAGTGTCACAGTAGAAAAGACAGATTGAGAGCTATCCAATAATAACCTTCAGTTATCTCCTCTCTTCTTCTCTTCTTCTAGTAAATTTGGAAAGCCACGCTGGAAAATTGAGGCAAATGTAGATTATTTTTCTTTCCATATATAATTTATGATTTGATTAGTTTGTCATGACTTCTTCACTGTTAATGGTGCTTTGTCTCAACTGTGAAGAACTGAGCTTTATTTTTTATTTTATCAATATTCACCACACCACCATTTATTGAGTACCACCATGAGTCAGATGCTCTACAAACATTGTTTCATTTAATCTTCAGTGTTCCTGCAATGTGCACATTAACCTTCCTATTTTATAGTTGTGATTAAATAACTGTCCCAGAATTAGTAGCAGAGCTGAAATATAAGGCAAAATCTGTCTGGGTTCAAAACGTATGCTTTTCCATGTGTTAGGCTGCTTTCTCCTTTAGGGAAGGTTTTACATACTTTTTCTTTTTAAATATGTTTTGCACCAGTTCATAAAAAGTATTCTACGAGGCCGATGGCAGGATGAGTAGTTATAGATTTTCTTGATCGTTATCAAGGAATTATTTTTCATTTTCTCATGTATTTACTTTTTAGTGAGTGATTTATTTAATTATATGTTTTGTATTCTATAGGATGCTTAATGTACTGATTTTAATGATAACCATGAGGCTTTGGGCTATAGTATTAGTTGAAAAAATATGAAACCTATGTAAGAATATATTATTAGAGCACTGGATTGGACTATCTTATAAAAAGTACCCTACTAAATATAGGTAAAGCATGTATCTGTGATCACCTTTGAAACTGAACTTAATGCAAAATGGGAAGAAATAGGACATGCAATGGATTTTCTGAGTTGAGGACTTTTTGACCCCTACCACCTCTGTAGTTTGGACAATCTGTTGAAATCTCTGGTTCTGTTTCCACATTTGGGGCTACTACAATATCTACAACATCTTGGGTTTAACTAGTCACTATACAAGATCATTTCCAGCTCAACATTCTATGATGTGTAAGTTACAGTCAGTTTTACATGTATATGTAGGCATGTGAAATTCATTAATCATACTTTTGATTGATAAATCCTCAAAAATTTGAATGCAAAACAGATTTATACTAAGAGGGGACTATATAATTGCCTTCTCAAATTCTTTTTGAAATAAAGTTGGTTAAGTGTGTACCCTACTTATAGAATACATATTTAATTATAAAACGGATATAAATGCTTTTCTCTTAAATAAATGGCCATTTAATCTTACAAAAGGTTCAGAAGTATCATTGTATTCCATTTCGACATCAGAATCATCTAATATATATCTTATTTAATCCTCAGAATAAGCCTGACATTATTGATTAACTGAGCAAATAGTGGATGCCTAACATGTTTCTAGGCACTATTGCTACTGCCAAAGACAGCAGAGACTCTACCCTCATTGATCTTACATCCAAATGTGTTAATGTATGTATGCTTGGATGGGGAAGACAGAATATAATATAAGCAAATAAATAATGACGGTAATTGTGGATTGTAGTAAGTGGCATGGTCAAAAGAGGAGCTGTTGCCTTCCATTCCCAACAGCCTTTCTAATCCACTTTTCCCCACTCTCTGCTCAGTATCTAGATAATACCAAATAAGTATTTTTAAAATGTGGCTAAAGGAGTCCAAAATTAACAGCCTTTACTGAGTTTTCCCAAAGCTCTGTCCAATAATTTGCAGAATCAAGAGCGGGACCCAAATTAGAGTCTAAAATTCATACTGTTTCCATCTTGATTCCAGTAAGACCTAGATCTCTTTATTAGTGTGAAGCGGATTCTCACCTGATGACTCCCAACTCTGTTTCACTTAAAAAATAGATTTGATAATTCCTGCCACAGAGGATACTGTGACGTTATGCATCACTTGGGAATACTGTGGGGTTTTACTGTCACGTCAGCCTTAAGGGGATCATGCCTAAAACTCGATGGTTGCTCCTGTGGACACATCTTATTCATCTCATTGAACTGTGTATTTTTCTGAAGCAACTGCATGTTTGTACCCCCAGGAAATATAATCTATACCCATTGTGATGCCAACATTATTATTAAGACCATAAATTAAATAATTGAATGTATTTCTAGCTGGGGATTACAAATTTTTCTCAGGATCAAAATCTACTTTTTCCTAATAGTAGATTGCATCATCAAAATTATAGTTTCAGAAACCTATTTTTTTTCAGACAGGAAATAGCTTTGGATAGGCAAGCCAAAGCACAGGGCTTAAACCTTATGTTTCCTTGCTGCCCTAAGGATTCTAGAAAATACAAATCAAATTTGTCACATTTAATTCCCTACCCCTAAATAGTTCGAAAAAATTGTGCTTCACATTCTAGCCTAACATGATGGTATTTATATTGTAGTCACACAGCAGGTCATTTAATTGGTCTTTTCCCATTTAGAAATACTCATATTTATCTGCTTGTCTTATTACCCATCTATTCAAGAGGAAATGATGTGTTATGACAGACTACAAATTACTTTGCCTTAATAATAAACAACCAGAAAGAGAGTTGAAATTTTAACTTTAATTTGAAAGAAACAAGAATATTCAGGAACAAGAATATGCTTAAGCATAAAGCCTCAGTTTAATACGTATCAGAGACTCTGTTTTTTGGTTGTTGTTGTTGTTTGTTTGTTTGTTTGTTTTTTGAGACAGAGTCTTGCTCTGTTGCCCAGGCTGGAGTGCAGTGGCGCAATCTCGGCTCACTGCAAACCTCTGCCTCCTGGGTTCAAGTGATTCTCCTGACTCAGCCTCCTGAGTAGGTGGGATTACAGGCTCCTGCCACTATGCCCAGCTAATTTTTGTATTTTTAGTAGAGACGGGGTTTCAACATGTTGACCAGGCAGGTCTTGAACTCCTGACCTCGTGATCCACCTGGCTCAGCCTCCCAAAGTGCTGGGATTACAGGAGTGAGCCACCGTGCCTGGCTGAGACTCTGTTTTTATACATTAATAATTTACTATGGAAGCAGCATTTATCAGTCTGATTAAAGAAATAAGAATTGGTCATTATGGGCATCAAATTTGTGAATCTGACTGGCTTTAGCTGATTGATGGATATTATCTATACCTATTGTTTCAGAAACACATATTCATTGCATGTTTATTGTATATATCATAGTCTTAAGAAAATTAATTGAACTATGTTTTACTTAAAGGGCCATATAGCAGTGTGGTTAAGAGAGATCTAGATTTGGAGTCAAACACCTGTAGCTCAAGACTGCCTGGTTTAGAAGCCTGGCTTCCTTGTTTACTAGCTATGTAGCCTATAGATCTAAGTCTCTGTAAAATGGGAAAACAATAGTTCCCATTTCGTAGGGATTTGATGATCATTAAATAAGTTAATACATATAGATCAAATTGGTGTTTGAAACAGTGATTCACTAAATGTTACCTATTATTAATCAACTTTTGATTCAGTCAACAACTGTGTTAAAGTTTTTGTTTCCTGATTCATAGTGGGACTAATAATACTTAACCTCATTAAGTTCTAGTGGCAGCATAATGAGTTGATGCTGATAAAGTTCTTGGAACACATAACTGACCATCAAGATATACTAGCTATTATTATTATTATTACTCATTTTGCTTCCTTACACTGAGAGATTAAGTATGTTAAAATTGCTATTCTTTTCATTTATGCTCTTTTAGTCACACTAATCAGGCATTTCTTTTTAGTGAACATCAGTTTTAGTTAACAACATCCGGTAGGATAGAACCACTAGATAAAAGGGATAAAGAGGGAAGATTTCTTCTTTTTTGTTTTTGTGTTGAGACAGGAAAAACTGGAGTTTTATGACAACTTGTTGTTTCATTTTCTCTACTTTAAGATCTTCATTTGTTTTGTTACTGTGTTTTCTCCTCTGCTATTGATAGGTCTAGTGTGGAAGAAACTTTGTCTTCTGGATTTCTTAGTCTCTTCCACCTGTGTCTGGGTCTTTCCTATAATCGTTCTAGTTTTAATGAAATCTATTGGCCTGCAATTCATTTTCTTTACACTTAAGATTCTGTAAAGACTCAACCTCCAAATAAAATAGTTGTGAAGCCACTCTCAAATCTGAGAACTGGAGTTTGGAAGTTTTGGACTCTAAAGTATATTTCATTATGATGCTTAAGCATGTTGGAGGAGGGGATACTTTCTGAAACATCTTAATTCACTTCTGTCTTTTGCATTTAAGTATATTTGTACCCTACACGCAAGAAATTCATTTGTCAGGGATTGTGTGTAGGTGCTGAGAGGATGGGCCGTGGCAATAATTAGAAAAACAAAAGCATAAAAAGTGAGGAAGGAAGAAAGGAATGGTGGGTTAGTATCCTATATGCGGGATTTCATACTGGAAGATCTTACATGCGATTCCAGGGAAAAACTTACATTGATACCTAGTGACCAAGGCTTTCCTCCAGTAAATGAGTAACTGTAATGAGTAACAAACTGTAAGTCCACTGCCTTCAATAAAACATGATGAGTGAACCTGGCTGAGCAGCCCTCAGGTAGTCGTTACCAGAGAATGTAGATAACGGCCATGAAATGGTATGAAGTCACTGGGAGCCAAGTGGGTGATCAGATGTCCTAGGAGAAGCAGACCAGTGCACCTGGTGACAGTGCTGGGCTGGGCTGAGGTAGGGTGGGGTGGGGTTGTGTATCAAAACCACACACCCTTAGAAACCTTATAGAACTCTGCACCCCTCGGCAATGTGAAATCAATCCAAATTCTCTTGTGAGCATAAAGAAAAATATTGACTTCAAAATCATTGATTTTTTCCAAAATATCCATTTAAAGATTGACTTCTTAAGTTTCTAAAAAAAAACCTGCCACTGTTTTACAGGAATAAGAAAGATGGTAGGTAAAGAATAGACAAAGGGGCCAGGTGCAGTGGCTCACTCCTGTAATCCCAGCACTTTGGGAGGCTGAGGCGGGTGGATCACGAGGTCAGGAGTTGAAGACTAGCCTGGCCAACATGGTGAAACCCTGTTTCCACTAAAATTACAAAAATTAGCCAGGTGTGGTGGTGGGTGCCTGTAATCCCAGCTACTCAGGAGGCTGAGGCAGGAGAATTGCTTGAAACTGTAAAGCAGAGGTTACAGTGAGCCAAGATTGCGCCACTGCACTCCAACCTGGGTGACAAGGGCAAAACTCCATCTCAAAACAAAACAAAAAAAGAATAGACAAAGGTCCAGAAATAGAGGTGTTACTGTCCTGTGAGGCCGGCCTCATCTAAGTAAGTAGAGGCTGGAATTTGCTACCCATGAACCTTCCTTTTCCATTGATAATGCTTCCCCACTGATAATGTTTCAAAGCCAGAAGGCTCCAGAAAATCATTGGTCAATAGAGATGTTTAGCTGAATGTTAGCTGAATGGGACAGAACACATGGGCTGATGCAGCCAGGGACTGAAGGTGTTTGTTGTTTTTTCTTGGGCAACTGACAATGATAATTTGGAAGATTGGGAAAGCTAGCAACTTGGTGCTGAATCTTAAATGACCGTCAAAGAAACTTTTGCTTTTGTAAATCTATGAAATCTGAACCTAAGACTTAACCTCTTCATTTTTCTTCTTCCACTCTCTGCTTTAAGAGGGTGCTTTTTTTTTCTCTCTCTCCCAATGAGAATTAACCAATCACTTTACTTTTCACTTCTGGGGGCAGGGGTGAGTTGACTGAACATTCTTGCCTATTGCCTATTCATTCCCCAAAGCTGAAGTGGTTTTTTAAAAGTCATGCTCATCACCCCTTCCTCTGGCCCTAATGCTTAACACCTGTCAATGACTTCTCCTTACATTTTAAATAAAATTCTCACTCTTTACCATGGGTTGAGAGGCCCCACACACTGTGGTTTGGCCTCTCCATCCTTATCTGTCACCACTTTCCCTCATTCATGTACTCCAACTGCACAGGCCTGAGTTTTATTCCTCAGTAGTCCCAAGCCCTTGCCCCTTAGGATCTTTGTTCTGGCTTTTTCCTCTGCTTGAGCTGCTCTTCCCCAGCTCAGCATGTTGCTGTCTTTTCTTCAAACTTCAGATCTCTGCTTAGATGACATCTCTGATGTTCTTTCCTTGACAAAACTTTCTAAAGCTACCCCTTTCAATACTTTCCCTTCCCTCCTGTAGGACCTGCTATTATCTCTATCTCTATCTCCTGTCATCTACATCTATAGCTAATGTCTATGTCTGTATCTCTATCTCTGTATCTTTCTATGTATCTTACATATTTGTTGTATCCATACCTCACTAAAATGTAAGTTCTATTATAGCAGCACCCGTATCTATGACATTGTGCTTCACATCTAAGATAATTTCTGGCATAAGATGTGTGGAGTGAATGAATGAATTTCAGCTTTTATACCATCCCTGTAAAATTCCAGTAATGGGGGAAACAGCACAGAACTGCTTGTAAGATAACTATCCGTAAAGGATGTGGTAAACTCTTTTTGAGAAGAACATTGTTTGCCTGAGAAAAGGAAGAGAAAATAGCAGTAATTATAATTATAGTGATAGCTAATTACTAGCTAGGCACTGTAGTTACCTTTACATATATTTGCTCAGTTATCAGTATTAACTCAAGAAATAAAATGCACTCTGCAGGTGGCAATCATGGCTGCTCAGCAAAAGGCAGCTTTCCCTTGGATGGACTATGATGGGGTAGGTCACATGCAGTCTGCATAACTGCATTCTACGTACCTTCTACATTCCACATGACAGGGAATGCTTCCATCATGATTAACATTTTCTCTTCCTGAATAGAGAGAAAAGAATGCTATAGCCTATAAATATAAAAAGGACCAATGCCTCACAATTAATGGATTCATTTTGAAGGCAACCAAGACAAAGCTCTTTTTGTTTGTTTGTTTGCTTTGATCTCTCTTCAAACTTTTTATTTTCTTTGTAATAGGTCAGTTTGGCTCCTCAGTGGCCTCATACTTCCTCTTCTTGAGATGGATGTATGGAGTCAATATGGTTCTCTTTATCCTGACATTTAGCCTCATCATGTTGCCAGAGGTGAGATCTGACTTCCAGTTTACAAAACATGCTGAAAAATGTTTCTCCTAGAAAAGTATTTATCTCTTCTTTAAAGTAGAATAATTAACTGGCTATTTTCACGTCTTAGAGTCATAGGATTTGTAATGAGATTAACCTTCAAAATGGTGCCCATGGGCCAAAGCTCCCAATCCTTGCACTAAAGGGGGTGTAAGCCTCTTGAAATTATATAACTTATGTATAATTTCACATGTATGTTTAAATGTGTATTTTTATGTGGAAAGTTTCATGGCTTCTTTCAGTTTCCCAAGGGGGTCCCTGTTCCTAAATGTTAAAAACTATTGTTCAAGAGGAAGACTTTGACACCTTGTGAGTTGTATTTCTTTATTTTGCCAAGTTAGCTTTGAAAGAAATGCTTCCTTAATGCAACTCAAAGCCTCCAGATTTTCTATACTGAAGAAACACAAAATGAACATTTTCCCCCTAAGATACAAAGTAAGATAATGCCCACAACACACACACACACACACACACACACAAATAGTGGGATGGGATGAGAGTGGGATGGGATGATGAGGTCCAAAGTCAGAAACTAAAACACATAGAGGGTCCAAATCAAAGAAGACAAAGCCCTGAGCTAATGTGGGGAAAGGGTCAGCTGAGGCCAAAAAGCTAGACTGAGGTCAGAGCCTTCACTCATATGAAGTTAAATGATTCTGACACCTTTGAATGCTTACCTTACAGAAGTTGGATTAGGTTTTAGTTAACCTACAAAGGACCTTTTAGGACCAGTATTTCAAAGCAAATTTGGTCCATACAGCATTGACAGTGGCCAAAATTTGGTGGTTTTGGGTGACTTTTTATCCCGATAGCTTCAAATCAGTGCCAGTTTCTATACTAAGACTCCTATTAACATAATAATAATAATAATGCTTTACATTCATAAAGAGATTTGAGCTTTTAATAGTACAAAGCACTTTCACTTCTTTTACTTACTGTGCGTCACAACAAATTTATGATGTAGACTGTAGAAGACATTTTCTTCACCCATTTAAAACATGTAAATGGAGTCACATAATGCTGATGTGACTTAGCTAACATCTTGGAATATATTTTTTTATTAAGCTGATCTAGGACTAGAACCCATGATTCAATCCCTTTCTCTAAGATTTTGCACTTTAATCCACTAGTTTTATAATCCTTGAGATAATTCCAGAGCTTCTAAAGTTGTCTGGCTCGTAGAAGACAGTGACCAAAGATCAGAGGTCCTGTGTAGTTTATTTCCCAAGTGCACACTTTCAGGTAATGAAGCTGAATGTGTGTATTTTATCTATTTCAAATTAACCCCAGCTTTTTTTTTTTTTTTTTTTTTTGCTTACCTTTCTAAGGAAATCTGAAACTCCTCCATTCCATCACTGGCTACTATGACGTTACTTAGTGTCAGATGCAGGTATAAATGGAGTTTTATCAGCAGCATTTATTCTTTCCCCCACACCATGCTGCCTCCATGTGGAGAAAATGAAAGGCTGTTGCTGATTTATTTGAATAATACGAAATTACAGAATGTCTGCTATGTAGTGGATGGAGTGCCTACGTGTTAGGTTGGATGTATTCCAAGAGCTAGGAAGCATTCTGTCTTTGGATACCCTTTTATAGGTTGTATTAGGTGCTGAGGGGCATCCTGTTTTCTGGGCAATGATTACCAACTCCAGCAAAAGAACAAGAGAATGGACACCCTGCATGCTGACTTTGCAGAACCACCAGAGGCCAGGGCAGTCATCTCCTGGCAGCAACGCTGTATTTTTCAGCTGCCTCTACCCGACGGGCTCACTCAGTATTCCTCCAAGGCAAATGCCCTTTTGCCCCAAGGTCCTGTGTCCCTGGGCAAGCCTGAGACCTTGATCTCCTTTGTCCTCTGTGCCCCCGAACTTTGGGGCGAGACAGTGTGTCTGGAACCCACCTTCTATTCTGTTCGGACCAGGAAGCCAGATGGGCCAAAGGCCTACTTTGGGAGGTTGTGCAGCTTGTGCACAGGGAGTGAGCAGAGATTGATGTCCAGCCCTTGTTCAGTCAAGCTCTGCACCCAGGCTTCAAGCCATATTCATCTTCTGTTCCCAGCTTTAGGAGGGAAGTTTCCATCTCACAGAAGAAGCAACATCTGCTTGGTAAGCTATGGGGGCTAGAAAGGTGCTCTTTCCAGTTCTCACCAAGGCACCTTCCTATGACCCTATTCTTGCCCTCTCACTGGCCCACTCTTCCCAGTACTATTCTCCCTACCGTTTTTCTCTTCCAATCTGGTAGCATGAATTTGAGGCAGCAGTCCTGAATTAGTGATGAAGCAGACACCATAATCAGGGTGCAAGTGTTCTCACGTTGCAGACACCCACAAATTACATGATTGGATTTCCTTGAGTTCTCTCTCTTGACATGAAGGACAGAATCTCCCTCCACCCTCACTCCTAAGGGGTATTCTCTTATGAAAGTGTGGGTAAGATTGTTTTGTTGAGTCCTATGTGACTCAAAAGGCTACCTCTCTCCTTTCCAGACTTCCAAGTCAGAACAGTTTGGTGGTGGTGGTGGCAATGGGGTCCTCAGAAAGCCCTCTGGGGAATGTGGTTGACCTGACTGCTGGTGGTCCCCTGAACTTGGAATGCAGGGTCCTTTGCACTCCCTTTGTTCTTACCTCTGGATTTAGTAGTCGATTCCCAGAAAATGGGACCCCACATGGAGACCCAAAGAGTCCCCATAAAAATGTTTCAGAAGGGCTTTTAAACAAAACCATTTGTGATCACATGTGTGGCTCAGACTTTGTTTCTAATTGTTCACTGCTTTCTTTGCTTCTTCATACAGTACCTCTGGGGTTTGCCATATGGCAGTTTACCTAGGAAAACCGTTCCCAGAGCCGAAGAGGCATCGGCAGCAAACTTTGGTGTGTTGTACGACTTCAATGTAAGTGTCTCCACACAAGTGTATTGGTGGGAGGATGGATTTTTATTTAGTTTATTTTATTCTGAAACCCACGGCCTCCTCTCCTGGGTCAGGCTGAATGTCTTAAGAAAGACGTCCCTGCTCCCTTTAAGAAAGAAAGGAAAGAAAGAAAGAAAGAGAGAGAGAGAGAGGGAGGGAGGGAGGGAGGGAGAGAGAGAGAGAGAGAGAGAGAGAAAGAAAGAAAGAAAGAGAAAGAAAGAAAGAAAGAAAGAAACATGTCCCTTTATATAAATGTGACTATGATTTAGGACAATGGTAATATGATTATATGGGAATATAGACTACTGGATAAAGGTGAGCTCAGAGTTCAAAGACTTGAAGCAAATATTCTTATCACTGACTTTGGAAAAGAATAAAGGAAGAGTTTGCAAATGTGCTTTTTGGAAAATCTTGTTGGATTCCTAGGGAATTAAAACTTTTACACTTCCTATTAACCTCTTTACTTCCTAAACAAGCCTCCTATTTAGTATTACTCAATAGTTAGTACTAAATAAAGCTAAATATTGAAAACTAAGAAATACTAAATTCTAACTTTTAAATAATACTAAAATTAGTATTATTCCATTGTAGTATTCAAATGAGCATTACTCCTTGAGCTCCCTTAGGTAGAGATTATTACTATGGAAAGGAGTTATTTCTGTCCATTGAAAAACCATTTTGGACTATATGATTCAAGTCTTCGACAACAATGTAATTCCACATATTCTTTTTTTAAGTAGTGACTAGACTAGAAATGTCTGGAAGCATATGCGTGGGAAAGTAGCCAGGTTGAAATTGAGGAATTGATAATTCAAGTAATTTTTGGAGGCTAGACAATGAGAATAAAATTTTATACAGATTGCAGAATGAAGGAGGGAAAAGCAGACTGCCTGTTTATAGTGTTAATATGTATATCTCACAAACATTTTGATTTCTACTTTTAACCTCCTTAAATTGTGAGTTTCCCAAAGAAGAGATCAGGTCTGCTACATCTTTTCAGCCCGTAATCTAGTCCTCATCCACTACAGGCTAAATGAATCTCATTGACTGAAAATCCTGAGTGAGGGGGATGATTCATAGAGCCTTGAAGTAAGAACCACAGGACCAGTTTATGTGAGGAGTACCAGAACATGCAAACCTTAAGAAAAGTTTCCCATCTCCGAATGAACAAAGCAAGCTATTGAGTTAGCATGAGGCACAATGATAGCAACAAATATGTGGCATTTGTAATCTTCAATCACCCCTGTCAGTTGGACTTTCCATTTCAATTCAGCATTTTTTAAACTGAATTATAAACTTGCATAGGTTTTACAAAGATGAATGTGACATGATTCTTGACTTCAGGGTACTCGTGATATTAGAAGGAAGACACGTAAGCAACCAGTATACAAGATGCTGTGCACAAAGTTAGCAAAATTTAAAAAAAGGAAAAAAGATCCTGGGGAACTGAGCAAGTGGTTCTTATTTCTTCTTAGGCGGGTCTGGGTTTTACAGAAGAGATGGCCTCTGAGTTGGATTTTACCTCTCTTTTCTATCACTTCTAGATTTTATTTCTCTTTTCTACCACTTCTAACTTCTTCCACCTCTTCCTCCTCCCCTCCCTTTATCCCTCCCTTTATTTATCTCTCTCACTTTCAAATTTCAAATAATGCATTACTATGTCCCTTTACCACTGTTTTAATTTCTCATTCTCTTCCTCTGATTAGCAAAATGACAAACTTCCAGTCTGCTTAATAAGAACAAGGACGAAGATCACTGACTTTTTCTGTTTTTTAAGGCATAGCAGAGAAAGGAAGGACTAAAAATATGAACAAAAGGTCTTTTGATTTTTATATATAGATTTCTGAAGTTTAAATACTTCTGAATTTCCCAATGCACTGAAATGGAAAATTTTGGGCAAAAATGTCCATTTGAGATTTGAAAGTTAGTGACTCAGTTGAGGAAGACAAACAGAAAAGTTGCTGTAAGAGAGTTACTAATGAGTGGACAAGAGGGTCTGAGAGGCAAATTCAGGGGAAAGTAGAGGGAAAGGGTTTGGATGATGAGTGTGCTTCCCAAGATTGTATCACTGCCCTTGACAGCTCTCTCACATCCAGTTTGGTGAAATATGATTTGTCGGTCAGCAGGGGATACAGAAACCAGAGTGTTCTATGATAGTTATTTCAAGGCCTGCCTGAAAACAATACTAAGGCAATGAGAGAAATTTTAAAGGTCAAGAAAATATAAGAAAGCCATTACACTGATTTTATTCACTTACAGGCTTGCTGCATGCTGGTATCAGTCATTAATTTGGTATGCATCATTGCTGGGGTTAGTAGTGATTTTAATAGCTGTATTTCTCCAATGTCTGCATCATGCAGTGAACTGTGATTGGTAAGTAAGGTCCCTCACTTCACAACCCACTTCATGGTGGGTATTTATATCTGAGACTAAGCTCGAGTGTTCTTATATGTGAAATGGAGAAAATAATAGTATCTACCTCAAAAAGCATCAAGTGAGATAATGCATGAAATAGCAGATAGCTCAGAGTATGTAGCACACAGTACAGGCTGAGTATTCCTTATCCAAAATGCTTGAGACCAGAAGTGTTTCATATTTCAAATTTTTTCAGATTTTGGCATATTTCCGTATACATAATGAGATATCTTGAAGATGACATTGAAGTCTAAACACAACATTCATTTAGTTTCATATACACCTGTACATATAGCCTGAAAGTGATTTTATCCAATATTTTAAGTAGCCTTGTTCATGAAACAAAGATTTGATGGTGTTTTGACTGTGACCTGTCACGTGAGGTGAGGTGTGGAATTTTTCACTTGTGGCATCATATCGGTGCTCGAAACATTTCATATCTTGGAGCATTTAAGAGTTTAGATTTTTTTTTATTAGGAATGCTCAATTTCTAAATATTCCTTATTACAAGAACCATAACTTGACCAAAGGCAAACAGCTATTAGGAAACCGAATTGGGATGCAGGGCTGGTGGTATTACACACGGTAATGTATGTGGATAGTGGCAAGCTAGTAAAAGGACTTTTATTATAACAAAGAAGTAAATACATAAGTAAATAAAAGTATTCTGACCTTAATGAGGAGTTCTTGAAAGATTCAAGGAAAGGAAGCAATAGGATTATATAGTCATTATCAAATTGTTCATTGAATAACATTATTATTTAAAAGAAAATAATACTGCTTTAAGGAATTTTATATGATATACAAGTTTTCATGACTTTTGAAGTTTGAAAGATTTGTCTTTTGTTTTGGCAATGATTATATTCTAAATTCAGCAGGAAAGATAGGTTGATTCATATTAAGGGACACTTTGCTTTTACATTTTTGTAAGAAAAAGGAATTCAGCCCATCCTACAATAAGCTAATAATTGAGCACATTCTCTATACTAGGGTCAAAATAATTTCACAAGTACATCAATAAGAGAGAGGGAAGGACCTTTAATTATTAAACTGAAGATAACAACAAGAAAAAAATGTACAAAGCTTAATTTAAAATATAGGAGATTTGGTTTCACAGTAAAAATCCAAAAGAATAAAGCCAAGTAGTCACTGGTAATAAGACATTATAGATTCAAATGAGATGCTGTCTTGGTCAGGACGTGGTGTCCTCCACGGCAGAAGGGAAGAGGCTGCCTGAGCACAGATTGTCTTGAGTATCGTGCATAGATGGTAGAGATCAGACGCCACAGACAGCCGTGGGCTGTCCCTTTAAGAACTCCCATAGAATGGGCAGAGATGTCCTAGAATTGGACAATAAGGAAAGAGTACAAGGAAGGAAAAATAAAATCTAGCCAAGCTCAAGGACCTGTATGTGTTACCTCAGGTTAACCAGACGTTTCTCAGAAGACAGAATCTAAATTTCTACTTACATTGCTTTTGTTTTTATTATCATTTTTGTGAATAATACCAAAATTAATGTAGACTAAGTACTTATATGGGCAGGCACTGTGCTTAGTGCTATGATATTTCTATTTATTTATGAATATTATACTCATATATTTATAGTGATTTATACTACTTGTTTCAGTATGCATCAAGAAATGGAAGGCACAGATATCTTGACAGAGATAATTTAATATAAGAAATTAAACAGGTATTGGGTGACTAAAAAGGCAAAAGGGGACATTGAGGTAACATAGAAATGGTAACAGGTAACACAGACCAGTTTTTACCCCTACTGTTGGGAGAACAAAAGAGGAAGTGGGGTTATTAGAATCTAGGGGCTTGGAGGAAGGGCGCTGCATGGCCCCAAGAGGTGTGATGAGATTGGTTTTGAGTGTGCTCGAACAGACTGGAAATGGAACCAAATACCGTTACCAGAGTGAAGAGGCATTGCTGGAGCCATGCATTCAGGAGAGAGCAAATCCCTTCTCCTGACTTTTTGTCTAAGTGCCTCCTATAGGAAAAATCTGCAAGGAATCCGATCTCAAAGGAAAAAAGTAGCTCCCCAAGTCCCGTCTCCAGCATCACAAAGCAGCATATACAAGGATGGGTCTGAAGCTGAAACAGCTTACTAACTGGCACATTATTCTATTTATATTATGACCTATTCCTCTTCCTAGTCCAGTAAGGTAGATATGACTATTCCTAATTTACAGATGGAGAGACTGAGTTTTAGTAGGATTTGGTATTTTCCTCCAAGTTCCGTGGATGGCAAGTGGAGAGGCTGGGATGCTCATCTGGTCTGCCTGACATCTCTGTCTGACTCTGAAGCCTAGGACAAGCTGCCTCTACATAGGCTACTAGGAGCCACTGAGATGGCTACAGGTTTATACTGGAAATTCACAAAAATAAGAGAATTTTAGAAATAGAGGTGCTCTTCGATATCTTCCATCCTATATCTTACCTTATAAAGTTACAGAAATTTTGAGTTACTGAAGCATGTTCAGGGTCTTATAGTTGTTAAGAGGCTCCTAATCTAGTGTTCTCTTCATGTCCTGTATTCCGCCCGTAATTTTCCTGTTGTAATTTCCAGCAACATTCTCACTGACTGCTCCTGGAACATTTACTGACTCTGTTTCATGATATATCTATTTCACAAGGGGAAATGGAGTTGAAGCATTTGGGCCCCATTTTAATCTTTCATAATAATCTTGTAATTCCCAAATCAGCTTCTCAAATAGAATGAGAGCTTTCATGTTTTTTTTTCCTAAATTCTTTTTGTATCATTTAAATATTATGCTTTATTAAAATATT
The DNA here is from genome assembly GCF_000001405.40 of Homo sapiens. Taxonomy (NCBI): domain Eukaryota; kingdom Metazoa; phylum Chordata; class Mammalia; order Primates; family Hominidae; genus Homo; species Homo sapiens. The sequence continues at coordinate 72,760,114 of NC_000009.12, forward strand.
CATAATGGAAAATCATACTTTGAAAATTGTTATTATTAATTTTGCTTTGGTTGGTTAGCAAAGTTCTATCTTTAGTTTTTAAAATTAATTTATTTTTGAAATAGACAATAAAAATCGTATATTTGCATGAGTTCTTTGCTTGATCCTCTGAACAATGACTTCATAGAGGTGCTCACTCTGTATTGTCAGATGATCTAAGTATACAACCCAGTATACAACCCAGTATTCCATCTATCATGGCACCATGGAGGAAATCATTGACAAAATGTTTTTAAACTCCTTAAAAATTCATAATCCTGACTTTTGCAAAGCCCAGGGGTGCCAAAGCAGGCATCCCTGGGCTTTTGAAAAATGCCATTATTTAAGCTAGAGCCGTTATCTAGGCTATCATTATCTAGGTAGAGTTTGGGGTGTGTGTGACCTCAATATGAAAACATTTGGATCCACTCTCTTGGATCCAAAGAGATGGCATCTGGAGGCTGTCTCTCAAAGGAGATCTGAGCAGCACACCCAGCAACAGGATCAGCTGACCTTGGACAGACTATATAGAGGTAAGTTATTCCACATAGAGGCAGGTGAACAGAAGCAGAATAGATTTAAGATCTGCACTTACAGAATAATGTAAGATAAACACAAGCATGATCTCTTATGGTACAGGAGCCTATTGGATGGGAAGGATCAGAAAATCTTTGGGGTAAGGTAGGGGAGGTTGTGAGGAACTACCAATCTGTAGAGCTTCATCTGGGAACCTTGGAACCTCCTCTCCATACCCATGAAAGCGCAGTGCTCTGTGACTTAGATGTATATATCACAACTCATCCAAATTCTCTTCAGTTAATAGTAGACAAACACCATACACAACATGCATGATCAGCTAGTCTCAGGGCTTTTCAAAGTCAGAATTTACCATTTATGAAACACTGTATTTTTAAAATATTCTTATTGAGTGCATAATGATACATCTTACTGATGGTGCTGGAAATCTGTTTTATTAAAATAGTAAGAAACAGAGAGATTATTATGTATGCAATGAATCAAATAAGCAGAAATTGTATCATGTAAATTAATAGAAGCAGAAGAATGAGTTTAAGTCAGTAGGAAGAGGATGTCTTTGTTGGCAAGATACCTGGAGAGACAAGGGTGATATAGAAATGATAAAGAAGAAAAGGCTACACAGTTTTAATATTCTTGTGAGGAGAAAGAAGGAGGAACTAAAGTGGAATTTGGAAGGAGCTTCAGCTGATATCAGACAGTGAGATCATATGGGTAAAGGTTTAAGTTGTGAGTAAAGGGAAATGCATTCTGCTTTTCACCTTGAGAGCATCTTGTACATTGCTGATGGATAAATGGTATGTCTACTTTGCCTCCCCTTTTCTGCTGATTATCATAGATGTGGGAGATAGAAGATATCCTACAATGGGCAGGAGAGGAGACTTAACACCTATTATGTGTTAAGTAGGTACATACATTAAATTTTATCCTCATAACAACTGTTTAAGATGGAATATATCATCCCAGATTATTCCTTCTGCCCTGCCTGCCTCACATCCCATCTTGGAGGTTTGTCCTTAAAGGAGACAGGTTAGACACATATAGAATGTTAATAAAAAGGAGATAAGTTCTTTAATCAACATCAACAACTCTTTTCAGTAATAATGTTCCAAAGTAAAGGTGTCTTCTCTCAAACATATCTCAGTTCTCTTAAGTTCCTTCATCTCTTATTGCACTGGACACAGGTAGAGGAGATATTTTGTGATTCACACGTGGAATAACACATCTTTTGTTTTAGAACTATTTCAGTGGTTCGAATGCATCTTTATTTGAAAAGGTGAATCATTTTAGGTTTCCTGAGGTGTAGACATCAAAATTATGTTACATGCAGGAGATATTGGGGGAGGGAGGCGTGTGAAGGATAAAGGAGAGAGTGAACAAGAGTAGACAGGAAGAGCTTTTAGATGGTAATGCAGGCCCTATACCTGTGAAAGGAGAGAGAAAAGGAAGGATTTAGGAAGAGTCTCAGATTGTACTACAGTTTTGAAAGAGTCTTGGCCAGGCTAACGGTGAGTCTCTAAACAAAGTATGTCCATTAGATAAATTCCATATTGGTTAGCAATAACCCAGCTCCAGTATTTCCCATCATGCTCAGTCATTATCTAGGTAGTGGTTGGGGTTTGTGTGACCTCAATGTGAAAACAGTTTGGTCCACTCTGGTGGGTCCAAGGAGGTGGCATCTGGAGGCTCTCTCTCAAAGGAGAGCTGAGCAGCACGCCCAGCTGCTACCTTGAAAATGTGACTGGGCTCCTCCACTTTAGATCATAGCTGTTCATATTGCTGTTGTTGCTGTTATTTAGTTTCAACAGGTTTCAAATGCAGCCAGAATGACCTGTTTCCCACATCCATCGTCTGGGCCTACCTCCGTGCTGGGTCAGCAGAGGCTGAACTTCTAGATCATGAATAATTCTTCGGTGGCATGACCCCAAGCGAGACTGCTAAGCCTCTTGTGGACAAATTTAGAGTTATAAATTTTCAAATCCACCTAGAGATACGTCTCTTTCCCTAGTAGCAGAGATCATAACTTTGGAGGGGGTGAGGACCCTCTCATCTGTGGATGTAGTGAGATTCCTCCAATGGCTTTGCTGAGCAGGGTGGGCTGCTGCTCAGGCATGTAACGCTGGGACTGGCAGTATCAAAGGGCTCTGTCCCTTATTTACTTCACTTCCTCAATGTCCAGTGTGGGTCTCTTTGGTTCAACAGGCTTATTAAGTTTGATTAAAAGAAGATGCATTTCATGTTCTATTCTAGGTCCTAGATCACTTCTTTTGCTTTGTAAGCTTCTTAATTTGCTACTCCTGAGTGACTTTATGACACAGCTCTAGCTTGTGACGAGAGAGATTCCTGGGTCTGCTTTTAGCTTCCTTGGTATTTTAAACTTGGGGAACTGATTTCTTAAGGTCTGAAGTCCTAGCGATGCCTTTTTTTTTTTTTTTTTTTTTTGCTTTAGTAACACATTTTAGTTTTCATCACCTCCCTCAGGCTACACTTGGCCAAACCAAAAGTGAGCTTTTCTTTTGCAAATATTAGGGATGCATATGATCCTAATGCTATACTTACAATATGAAAACAGCATTCCTTCTTTGGAAGTGACCATAGAAATGAGTCTTCTTTTCATTAACATAGTAAACATTTGTTGGGCATTTGCCAGGTGCCAGGCATTAAGCAAAGATGAGAAAACCCAAGGTCTCTGTCCTCAGGAACATAAAGTCCGAGGGAGTAGTCAAATAATCACAAAAATAAATCCAACTGTAATTGTGCCAAGTGCTATGAAGGAAAGCTATATAGTGTTAAGAGAACTTATAGAAGACAACCTGATGTGGTTTAGGAGCTAAAGGAAGGAGACAGATAAAAGAAAATATTTTTCTCTGAGAAAGTAATGTTCAAATTGGGCTCTAAGGAGTCAGGACAACCTCTGAATTTGAAAGAAGGGAGAGATATTCTCAGCAGTAAGAACATCAATTACAGAGAACGTGTGATGATAAGAGGTGGCCTTATTCAGGGGACTGAGTAAAACGAGAGAGCTCAGAATGTGAAGGGACATCAGAACACAAGGCATTGGAGAGACAGAAGGGAACCAAAGCACGTGGGATCCTCTAAAATCTAGACTGCACTAATTATTTTTTTTTTTTCTCAGAGCAATTAAAAGTAACTTAAGTGGGGGGTAGGTGGGTAGTAACATATCAGACTTGGATTTTGAGGTAATCAACAGACTGTAGACGGGCAAGATGGCTGTGAGGAGATCAAGGAAGAATCTTTCGATATGACTAGGTTAGAGACTAAGGTTGGAAGAGCTAAATTTACCTGGCAGGAATTTTCTATATCTAAATATTGGCTGCCAAACTAATAGATTAAAGGATGAGCCATTGAGTTAGGTTAGAACTTCACAATGCATTAAATTATAGTCAATAATTTAAACACATAGCACCAAATCATAAATCTAATACATCTGTGGTGACAAGTAGATTATGTAAATCTACATTCATTTTTTTCCAAGTAGCTGCAATATATTCTTTACATTTTAAATTATTTTATTTGTTCAAAAACTCCTTTTTAAATACATAATACCAAGGCATCTCCCAGTATAGGCTGTGTCCAGATGACCACACACGTCTCGTTTCATGTATGAATTCACAAAGCTTCACTCTGAATATTTTAAAGAACCAGCAGCAAATTTATAACTCCAGAAGTCAACCAGCCAACAAAACCCTCTAATATGCTTTTAATCTCCTCCTTGCGAAATGAAAGAAGACAACTTTTTTTTCTTTGTGGAAAGAAATTATACATAAAAGCTCATTTTATAGCACTGAGACTGTCTCATTTTGTTAAGAGTTTTATGCAATTAGACAGTAGGAAAAATTAAAGAGTTTTTCCAGTTTCAGTGTCTCTCAGACACTTCTTTGGTGTTTTGATTCATTAAATCCCAACATAAGATTATTATTGCCACGTTACTGTCTTGGATGATTTACTCTATTTTATTAAAATGGGTAGCAGAGAGCAGAAGAATAAAAAAAGTTGGTGTACATGACAATTTAAAGGAGCTTATTCTAACTGAGGATTGCTAATGATTACCAGAAGCAATTTTTTTTTGTTCATTCAATCACTCCACAAATATAAATTGAAGTCAGATGTTGGGAATACAAAGACAACTAACATATATTCCCTGCCCACAGGGACATTATGATCTAATTGGATATGCAAACAAACAATTGCCATGCAAAATGACAATCTGAGGCTGATGTACATATGTCTTAGGCACTTGGGAACATAATGGAATAAGGGTTCAGTGTCCGGGTTAACTGGCATTCAGATACTGGACTCTTGAGAGAGCCCAGTAAAGAGAACCTCTATTTCCCATGTGAGTTCTGAATAATTTGTTTAAAAAGAAGAGGCAGATGGGCAAAAAATTTTTCCACATTCATTATTAATGGAAATCGAATTGGAGGAACAATCCGGAATTCTTAGCCAAATGGTCTTGCTGATTTAGAACCCCAAATTAGCCATTTTACCTCTAGGGCAACTTATTTCCTAGAAGAAGAAAGATATGTTTGGGCTGGGCCAGCCCAGTTAATTCTTTCCCAGTTTACCAACAGAAATCACTATGCCTTTCCTGGTGTGCAGTGAGTATAGGGACAGAGAAAAGCTGAGGCATATTGCATCAAGTGAAGCTCCGTGCCTCTGAAGGAAATGCTGAGAGAAAGGAAGGGGCATTCATTACCCCTATCACAACTGGCTGTGGTTGAGAGGTCAACAAAGGCTTTACAAGTATCTTGAACCAGCTTTAAAGAAAGAGTAGGAATAGAGCAGGCTCTAGAATGGGGCAGGCAATTGGGAAGCGAATTCCAAGCAGAGAGATCGGCATGCACAAAGGCATGGAGGCATGAGATAGTGCTATGCTCTCAACACCCAAGAGTGATTCAGCAAAGTTCATATTTAGGGAGAAAGGAGGGCAGCAAGAGGTGAGCCTGTCATACTAAAAAAAAAAAAAAAAATTCAAAAAAGAGCCTGATCAGGGAGAGAATTTCATTATGCTCAAGTCAGACTTTATCCTATAGGCAGCGGAGCGCACCTGAGATAGGAGGAAGGAGCAGGTTTGGGGAATTTTCTTGAATGTGCTATGTTCATGCTTCCTATGAGACATGCAAGTGGAGTGAGATGTGTAATGGCATTGGGCATAGGGTCTAGAATTCCCACTGTTAGTGTCAGTCGTGGGCCATGGCACAAAAGGCAAATGGAAGTACTTTCTATAGAAGCCAGAAGAGTTAAAAATGCAGTGTAGCATAATGACAAAAACTAGGCATGAGATTCCAACAAACCTGGGTTTGAATCCTGCCACATACGACCTATGAGATATTAGACAATCATCCTGAACCTTGTAGTTGCCATGTATAAAACAGCAGTATTAATACCTAGCTACCAGGCTTGTATAAAAAATACATGAGATTATGTGTGTAAAGTATTAGCACATCTCGGCTGGGCGTGGTGGCTCACACCTGTAATCCCAGCACTTTGGGAGGCCGAGGTGGGTGGATCACAAGGTCAGGAGATCGAGACCATCCTGGCTAACATGGTGAAACCCCGTCTCTACTAAAAATACAAAAAATTAGCTGGGCGTGGTGGCGGGTGCCTGTAGTCCCAGCTACTCGGGAGGCTGAGTCAGAAGAATGGCATGAACCCAGGAGGCGGAGCTTGCAGTGAGCCGAAATTGCGCCACTGCACTCCAGCCTGGGTGACACGGTGAGACTCTGTCTCAAAAAAAAAAAAAAAAAAGTATTAGCATGGCTCTGGCACATAGTAGATTCTTCTTTAAATGCCTCTTCAGGATACTTAGCTCATGAAAATTCCCATTTGTTGGAGGGACAAGGAAACAGAAGGAAGGAACTTGTAGCCAGAGCAAGAAAGTGGAAGTGGGGCAGCAGCCATGTCCCCTGTGTAGGCAGGAGGCAGGGGGACAAGAGTACCAATGCAAGGATGGAGGGATGGATACCCAAAGGAACTGCCTCATTCACAGCTGCTTGAGGGGCAGAGATCACTGTCTACAGTCCTTAACACAACTTGATTCCCTCTGCTGAAAATTAGATCTGCCTAGGCTCAGCTCAGCTTCCTCTTTGTACTCCACACTGTCTCTGTTAAGAACCATAGAGCACCTGTTTCATGTCTATGAATCTGGGTTGGAGCAAAAGGAAAATAAAATAAAAAAAACTCAGAGATGAGCAAAGTATTAGGCAGAAGCCTAATGGGTCTGGCTGGAGAGGAGGAGTGTGGCCATGCGCTGCTGTCAGCATGCAGCTCACAAGGCCCGGGCTGGCTGCTGTTCTTGTGACGTTAGTTGAGGTTTATTCTGGGCATAATTAGCCTTTTCACTCCTTGTTTCTTTCCTGTGTTGCGTCCTACTCCATGAAATGTTGAGTGCCAGTCCTTGTCTTTCATCCACACTTGAAACCTTCGTTCATGCTAAGGTGTAAATAACCAGCAACAACTCAGAGAAAAGTAGAAATACACCCAGACTTGAATCTTGCAGTGTCACCTCCCCTCACATACCCTCAGCAGATATGCTTAAAAAATTATATCTTCCTTTCCTACCAGTTTTACTTTATACATTCTTTCAAAATAATGGTCTGGCAGCTATTACAAATTAAAAAGAGTTACTAAGAATGAAGAAATTCAATGATCATCCTGGGGATAGAGTGTTATCTTTCATGGTGAACATTTCTTGGTAATCATGAGAAACACCAAAGGGATGCAGTTTTAATATAATTTCAGGCAACAAATAATTATGAAGGAGATGTTTTGCATGCAGAGCCTTTTGGGGACCTCTGAAATCCTGTCTCCTAATCCATCTATGTATATTGGGCAAATAGTAAGTTCTCAATAAGTGTTAGTTAGAAAAGTAAATGCATGAATTGAGTCCTGGTAACCATAATAAAAACAGTCTTTCTTGTGGAAATGTGTTGGTGATTATGGACTGGACCAGCTGCAGCAATCAAACAGAAATTAGAGTCTTAATAGACAACACACGAGCATGGCACCCCAGAGTTGGACAGAAATTTTCTGTGCTCACTGGGAACTTGGCTCTGACTCTGGTTTCTCTGTCACAGATTTTGGGGTGGGAGAGTGCTCCCATGGGGAAAGCAGCACGTGCTGATATCGAAATTGAATAGAACCTTGGCTGGGCTAGGAGTCATTGCTATTTTAGTCACTTCCAGATGTCTGCTGCTGTAGTTTTAAGGGACAGGGAAAGATGAGTGGAGTGTGGCATGCCACTGGGTAAAAGATGAGGAGCGTTCTCCTTCTAAGCCCTTCAAGTTGTATTTAAAGCCATCCCTCAATATGCTACAAAGATGGATTGGATAAAGCCTTTAAAAACTGTGTTCTTCTATTCACAATAGCAAAGACTTGGAACCAACCCAAATGCCCATCAATGATAGACTGGATAAAGAAAATGTGGCACATATACACCATGGCATACTATGTAGCCATAAAAAAGGATGGGTTCATGTCCTTTGCAGGGACATGGATGAAGCTGGAAACCATCATTCTCAGCAAACTAACACAGGAACAGAAAACCAAACACCACATGTTCTCACTCATAAGTGGGAGTTGAACAATGAGAACGCATGGACACAAGGAAGGGAACATCACACACTGGGGCCTGTTGGGGGGTTGGGGGCTAGGGGAGGGATAGCATTAGAAGGAATACCTAATGTAGTGACAGGTTGATGGGTGCAGCAAACCACCATGGCATATGTATACCTATGTAACAAACCTGCACATTCTGCACATGTACCCCAGAACTTAAAGTATAATAAAAAGTTAATTAATTAAAAATAAATAAACAAAAACTGTGCTTTTTAACATTCATTTATAGATTTGACTTCATATATATCAAATAGGCAAACTGCAGAAACCTTTGTGAACTAATCATGACTCTGCCTGCCCCAACTAGAAAAACAAAACAACACAAAACAAAACAAAACCAGAACCATTCTTGGGCTTTGGTTATGATCTAGTATTTATGAAGTGCCAGCCATTAAACATATGTTGAATGGTACCTATGCCAGATGAGCTGGCTGCCCCCAGTAGCTATTGTGCTAACCTAACAAGCTCACCAGATGCTTGTTCTATATCTGCTTTCTCCTTTTATGATATTTTCGGTGTGTCTTTTAATCCCAAAATTGTCATTATGAATTAGATAAAAGATATCAGGTGGGGGGTGACCCCCTCTGAAATATTCTCAAAAGGGATGCCTGGGGTTCTTTCCAAGAGGCCCTGTCACCACCAGGGACCAGTCTAGGGTATAGATCAAAGTCTGTGATGGGTTCATAGAGTTTCTTGTTTCTTTCCTTTCTTTCACTGAGAAGGTATGGCACTAGCATGATATAACTCTTGCTGGATAAAGAAAGCACAGGAGAAGCAGTATAGTGCAGTGGTTAAGCATATAGGATTTGGATTAGACTCAGGTCAAGTTCAGACACTGTCACTCATTAGTCATGTGAACTTGGACAAATTACTTAACCTCTCTAAGGCTCAGTTTCTTCATCTGTAAAATAGGTATAGTGATAGCAGCTATTGAATTTTTGTGTGTGCAGGAGAGGGGAAAATTATGGTAAATAATAATTCCTCCCTTGTCCAACAAGATTGTGAGCTCACCGGAAATATAACAAAGGGTAAGACCAGTGAAGGTCAACATGCCGCCTTTATTATTGTTAAAGCTGACATAAAAGAATGTAGTGTCTTTATGGACAAGTGAACTTCACAGCCAGACCTCTCTGCCAGGACAGGCCTCTCCTTGCAGGAGCAGAGCACAGCATGTTCCCTCTCAAGAGAAGGAAGAGATGTCCGCATGTCTCCATCCATGCTCTACTGTCAAATCAGTCACTTTTCCCCGAGGCTAGAGTGAGGCAGTGGAGGGTGGCTGGGAGTGTTATGTTAATGGGTCTTCACTTGGAAGGGAACGTCAAGAGTTGGAGATACGATTACCCTAGTAGCAGCAACTTCATAGTGTTCTCCTGAGGATTCTGTGAGATAAAATAAGGTGTTTGGCAAGTGCTAAATGTTCACGAAATGTATACGGTGATGTTACTTGTCACAGCAACCATTATCACTGAGTGTCACATCTGTGGCAAGGAAATAGGGCAATGAAAAACAGAGACATTTGGAAGTTGTGGTGTTGTCCCATGAGGGTTAAATAAAGAGTTCAGGATATAATCTTTAAACCAAACAAGAGATTAAGTGTCTATACTTAGCATGTTCTGTTATTGTCACCCTGGGACAGAGGAACAAGCATGAAGGTTTAAGACATGATAGAAGGAGATTGGATTTAACACAAGTGGGAAGAAGCAGAGATCTTAACTAGATAAATGTGAAACAAGAAGATGTCATGCACCTGGGAGCTGGGAGATCCTCCCAAGCATATTCTCCTGGGATGAAGATTTCTGGGTCTTGGGGAGTTGGTCAATCCATGTCTTATCTTAGACATGAGATTAGCTCACCCACTCCCTCTGCTTGAGGTTTCTACTAGCTGTTTATCCCCAAATGTTCTGTTGGATGGCATCCTAGTCAGGGTTCTCCAGAGAAATATAACCAGTAGAAGATATGTATACACACATACACACATATACATATATATATATATAAAATTTATTATATCAATCTAGTATTTATATAATAAATTTATTTTGATTTATCATTATTATTACTTAAATTTATTATATAAATCTTTATATATATATATATGCATATAAAATTTGTTGGGTTTTTTTTTTTTTTTTTGAGACGGGGTCTCACTTTGTCACCTAGGCTGCAGTGCAATGGTGTGATCTTGGGACACTGCAACCTCCACCTCCTGGGTTCTAGCAATTCTCCTGCCTCAGCCTCCCAAAGTGCTAGAATTACAGGTGTGAGTCACCATGTCTGGCTGATATATATAATTTATAAGTTAATATAAATAATAGATTTACTACAGATATAAAAGGAGATTCATTTTGAGGAATAGGCTCACACAACCATGGAGGCTGAGAAATCTTCTAACCTGACATCTGCAAGCTGGAGATCCAGAGAAACCAGTGCTGTAATTCAGTCTGAATCTGAAGGCCTGAGAACCAGGGGAGCCAATGGTGTGAATCCCACTCTGAGGGCAGGAGGAGATGAGATGTCCCAGCTCAAGCAGTGAGTGAGGCAGGAGAAAAAGGAGCAAATCCCTCCTTCTTCCTTTTGTTCTTCCTCTTTTTGTCCTCAGTGGATTAAATGATGTCCAGCCATGCTGGGGAGGGCAATCTACTTTACTGAGTCCACCTATTTAACTGCTCATCTTATCCAGGGACACCCTCCCGGGCATACCCAGAAACAGTGTTTGATATGGACACCCCATGGCCCACTCAAGTTGGCACATACAATTAAACATCACAAGTTGGCTTTATTTTTTCTTAAACTGAAAAATGCAGATACAGGCCTGTGTGGCCCAGGGAAACCCAGACCTTTGGTATTTACCTGTGATTCATTCCGTGCAGTCCCGAGTTAAGCACACAAGTTCCTCTGAGATTATTTGGAGATTTTATTTTGTTCTAGTTCTTAAAGAGTACAATATTTAAGAAAATTTGCCCCATATTTTGAAAGCAATAGTTTTTCAGATCTCTGTTGGCCTCTGATTTGAGTTAGGCATGATGTTTGTTTAAGGCAATTTTCTAAATTACTTCTCTTAATTCTTCCTCTAGGAATTAGCATCTACGACATTTCTACTTTCTTTTCCACACCTCCACTCTCCCCCACTTCACTTCCCTTCTTCAGCTGTGAGTGTCAAAGTCCCTGGGTTCGTATAAATGATGTCAAAGGCAACCAATTGGGTTTTCTAAGATTCAGGGTTGACTCACCTGATCTCAAGAGGAAGCCCCATATTGACAAGTGATTATCTTCTCATTTCACAAAACATAGTTATTGTCAGAGAGAAGTAAGAGGGGAGCTGGGGAGTGGATAGCTGTAGTGATACAGTAACAGTGCTTCAATGCTGAAAGTGAAAAACACAGTGAATGTGAGGAAGAGAAAAGGTGCATATTATAAAGGAAGCAGCATCAGAATATGCCAATGTTCTGAGAATAAAGAGGGAGTTATTCAGGTGGCTTTGAGAGAGGGTGATTTCAACCCTGGCAGATAATTTTTAGGAACGAGAATCTAATGCACAAGTAAACATGCTTGTTATATGGGAATGCTGTGATAGTCTTGATGAATGGGAAGTGTGCAGATGAGTTCCAATGTCATCCCACCTGCTCTTTGATATTTGTGAAGTGAGAGCTGAGACATAACCTCTGTGGTTTAAGAAGAACTGATCTAATTATGGTCAGGTGATTGGAAATGGAAATCTGCCACAGCACTTTGAGGAAGCATTTTTCAGATCCCCATCCCCTAGTATTAAGCAAACTCTTAAAATCGTAAATCTAATGATACCACGAAATGTGTTTTGATGTTTAAATCAAAGGGCATTTCACGGTAATGGCTCCACAGCTGAGCAAGCCTGTATTTGCTTAAAAATTTTATCTATTTAGAAGTCACTGATTTTCAAATAAACTGAAAAGCTGCCAATCAACATGGCAGCTGAAACATTCACTTTATGGAGCAAAACAATAGGGCTCATGTCAGAGCTGTGACCCAAGTTTGAAAATTAATGTCATTTTGTTATTTCTCTTAAGAGTTGATCTTTTCCTTTGAGTTGCTCTTCACGACAACTGCTAAGTGGCTTTGTTGTTGGATTTCAGGGTTTGGCACAATATTCCGTTCTCTTTTATGGCTATTATGACAATAAACGAACAATTGGATGGATGAATTTCAGGTTGCCGCTCTCCTATTTTCTAGTGGGGATTATGTGCATTGGATACAGCTTTCTGGTTGTCCTCAAAGCGTAAGTTTCATTTGTCTTTTGGGAAGCAAATAATGATTTCTGGAATCAAATGGAGGGATTAATTTGGGGATTGGATATAATTTTGTTGCTATTTTATGTCTAAAGGAAACAGAGTCTGTAAGAGATGAAATGTAGTTTTAATACCAACACTAATGTTAGACTATTACATCTTCAAAAGAACTGAACATAAACACAGGCCTTTGAGTCATCTCATGGGGTCAGACCAATGCTTGCATGCCTATCTTGTGTTTAAACATATTTTTTAAATGTGTATTTTTGTACTTGAAGGTGTGAATTAATGTTGCCAGCAAGACAGGAAAACAGCTGCTGGTCTCTCTTTTGCGTGCAGAGAGGTTTGTAACTTGCAGAATCAGCTCAATAGGCAGAATCTATTGTTCTCTGCTCATTTTTTAAAAAAACCAGAATAATCACTCATTCAAAAAATTTTAGCTGTGTAAGACAGCAAAAATGAATGGTCCCCAATGAAACCATCACAATCAACTGTATAATCATGGTTTGTCTTGGGAAAAGATTTATTGGAGTATGGGGAAGAATTTCACTGGAGAACTGATATTACTGCAGTTCATTTTTCTCCCTGCCTAAAATTATTTATAATACTCCACTTAAAGACTGCAGAAGCCTAGCAGAGTTATTTGGGTTTATATATTAAAAAAATGACCCTTTAGCCAATTTTTTTTGAACTAGTTTACGAGAAGAGTTGAAACATCTCAAGTAAGGTTGCCATTCTTTTATTTGACTATGTGCAAGTTGAATGAGCTTTTCCCCTCATTGTAGGAGGTCCCTCAGCCTGAGGGTCTAAGAGGGGAAAAGTGCAAAGTCACCCTAAGCAGGAGCTCTCTGAAGCAGTCTGTGACACACTTTGTGTCCTAAACCTGCCTCACTTACTTGTTCCTCCAGAGAAAACTGCCATATTTCATTTTTAAGCTCTTTTAGGACTTAAAACCTTATAGGAAATCCTATATCTAAGATATTTATCAACCTGCTAAAGTGTAATCAGAGACCTCAAATATAAGAGACTGTCCATCAGATAAACTACTATCACATTCCAAAAATCGAAGATATTTTCTAGTCTTTTGACTATATTGCTCTGGTTGGGCTGAAGTCAGAGGTATCATTTACATTACTGAGGCCTCATGAGTATCATTTCTGTGTTGCTCCTTTAGTTTCTGTGGTCAGTGGAGAAGAATAGTTTCTCATGTCTGATGACTCAGCTTTTATTCCGGTAACTGTGCAGGCTGTGTACCCCACAGCCATTCTGCCTAGGTTCAAATCCCAGCTCTACCATGTATGTATTTATACAATCATTAACAGATGGCTCAACTGCTTTGTTCTCCTGTTTCCCCTTGGTAATAGAGGTGTAATGGATGTGAGGACTAAATGAATTAATACAAACAAAGCACTTAGAATATGCCTGGATGAGAAAATTATTCAACAAATGTTAACAATTTTATTAGGCTATATTTTATTAGGCTATATTATATTTTATTAGCCTATAATTCATAGGCTTATTTAAGAAAAAAAGCCAGCATGGTAGGAGTTGAGGCCACATTATAGATCCCCAAAACAAGGCAGTCATGTATGGTTATGCAGTTGTACATCAGTAGATTTGTATATTTAATAAATGATTTTCTGGCAGATGAATTTAAAGTATCTAGAGCAGCATTGTGCCAGGCAAGCCACATATATAAGTTTAAAACTTCTAGTAGTCATTAAATAAATAGACAGGTACATTTAATTTTAATAATAAATATATTTGCTTTAACTCAATATATCAAAAGTATTATCATTTTAACGAACAATCAATATAAAATTATTATTGAGATATTCTCTGCCTTTCGAAAGGTATCAAGTCTTTGAAATCTGGTGTGTATTTTATACCAGTCGCATTTCAATTGTTCAGTAGCCAGATGTTGCTGGTGGAACACTCTGTTGGGTAGAGTGGCTCTAGAGGAAGTAGTGGCTTTTTCAAAGTTGCTCGAAGATGCCATTTGGGATAGCTGCAGGGCATCAAATCCACATTTTCCCCCTCAAAGTCATTCATGTTATATCATCCAAACCAGTGTGGCCTTGAACCTTCCCTCTGGCATGGACCTTTGGCTGCTCCTTACCTGGTTAACAAGTAGTTCAAACTCATTGCCCAAACAGCAAGACAACTCAAAAACAATACACCACTCTCACTCCACCACCAGCCCATGGGAGAATATTCAGTAGAAAAAGAATTGATGAGATATAAATCTTTGTACAGAATCATTAATCATCTCTTCCTACTCCTATCCCAGTCAAATATTCTCTTGGAATAAGTTTGAGCGGATTTATGACATACATTACTCAAATGGAATAGAAGGTAACCTAAGTTCTAAAATCGACTAGGCTACATCAAGATTTTTTCACTGTACTCATTCTGTTAGCGTCTGCATACTCATCCACAAAATGGGAGCAAATATCTATTTTTAGTTACTTAATAGCAAAATCAGAAAATAAAAAGATAGAAATCCAAGAAAATAGTTTGAAATTTTAAGATAAGATGACTAACTTTGTTGGCCCAGGATTCTCCTGGTTTTAGAACTGAAAGTCTTGCATTTGAGAACCTTTCAGTCCCCAACAAACATGGATGGTTGGTCACCTTGGTTTTAAGTCCTTCCCTTTTCTTCTTCCTCCCTTCATTCATTTCTTTTATCCTTTTTTTTTTTCCTTTTCTTTCCAGGTCAGTGTACATTTTCAACCACATCATATGCTTAGAAATCTTCATGATAAATATAGTTACATAAGTATTAAAAGCAAATTAAAACAGTATAACATAAAGTTACACAACATGGAAACCATCAGCTCATTTAAATATTGTCCTCATTAGTTTGAAGTTTTATATCATAAAATAAAGGTGGCTTGACATCAGAACCCAACTGTTCCCGTTAAAAACAATTCTCTAAGCTAAAAATTTGGGGTTTTACTGGTCTATTTTACAGCAGCTAAACTACTGGAAGCAGTTGAATCATTTTGAGAATGCATGTCTTAATAAGAAACTCATAGCTATTTTATCCTTGTAGGCTTTTTCAAGACTTTTTCCTGTTTGTAGGATGTTTTAGTCCATTTCGTGTTGCTATAAAGGAATACCTGAGGCTTGGTAATTTGTAAAGAAAAGAGGTTTATTTGGCTCACAGTCTACAGACTGTACAAGAAGCATGGAGTCAGCTTCTGCATCAAGTGAGTGATTCAGCTGTTTCCACTCCTGGTGGAAGGCAAAGGGGAACCAGCATGTGCAGAGATCACGATGGTGAGATAGGAAGCAAAAGAGAGATGGGGAGGTGCTGGGCTCTTTTAAACAGCCAGCTCTCGTGGGAGCTAATAGAATAAGAACTCACTTACTATCCCCTGCAAAAGAAGGCATTAATCTGTTCATAAAGAATCTTCCCCTATGACCCAAACACCTTTCATTAGGCTCTACCTCCAACATTGAGATCAAATCTCTACATGACATTTGGGGAGACAAACAGCGAAAACTCAGCACAGGGCTCCCTGGGATTAGATATAATTTTTCTGTTTATGATCCTGGCTATAATAATACTCATAGAATGGACTAACAAATATTCTTGGATACTTAAATCATGTGCTATACGTAACCCTTAAATGGTGTCAAAATTTTTGTCTACATAGACTATAATATAGATTATATATATATGAGATATATATTATAAACTACATATATCACAAACCAACCTCAACACATGCAGATAAATATTTTTAAATTTGGCAAAATGACAGTATGTTCATCCATATTTCTGGAGCTGCAACAATAATTATAAATTATACTTGAAATAATAATAATTAACATCTGTTGAGCATCTCTCATGAATCAGTTTAAATTACATTACTTCTAATCCCTAAACATTGCAAAGTAGCTATTAGTTTTATAATTTTACAGATAATGAAATAAAACTCAGAGATCCTAAATGAACTGCACAAGGTCATTTGACTATAAGACCTCTTTGAATTTAGAGTTTTCTAGTTCAAAAGATATCTTCTACCCCTTACACCTTGCCACCTCTCTGTACTGTGCTTCTCCTTACGTAGGCCAAGGTGTTCCTCCCACCAATCTTATATACTGTGTTGAGTACCCATTAGTTATTCCTATTGGATGGATGGAGAAATTAAGGCTCAGCAGAGTTTGAGGATTTCACTAAGTTCAAATGCCCAGTAATTTGCATAACTGAACTTTGAACACCTTGCTTTAATTTCAGCACTTAGCTTTTCTAATTTCTGATGTGGATTCATCTATATTGATGATAACAATCATCAATATAGACTGATGTCTCTGTCTCGTCCTGGGTAGCCTTTTTATTTTTAAAAATTCTGTATTAAAATAGTTTCTTGTCTGTTGTTAAATTCCCTTAGAGTTTTATGGCCTTGATGTGACTCATGTGACCAAACGTTTTGTTAAAAAAAAAATTAAACTTATCAAAACCAAGTCCTTGTTCTACAAGACTCTTGCATATTCCAAGATAAATCATGGCCAGCTTCACACACACCATTTCTAAATCAACGAGACTTTATTTTCTTCCTTCTACTTAGATGTCAGTGCCTTTGTCCATTTTCTTTTCACTTCTTTGGTACATGTTTACCCAGACAGTTATGACCTACCTGATACTCTGCCTAAATATCTTCCATGTCTCTTGACATCCTTAATTTCTTAACATTGAAATTGTTTCTTTTTCCTCCCCATTTTCCCACCCCCAATTAATTTTTTTCTTTGTCGAAGGAATTTCTCCTTATCTATTTAGTAGAAAGCAGTCAGAGTGCCTCATAGACCCCAGTCTAATATTTTACTTCTCAGAGATATTTTCATTGGAGATCATAATGTTTGATGTATGTAATGATGAATTTCAGACCCTAGAGAAAGTTATGGAAGGGTAAGTGGACCTGGCCTACAGGGCATGATATTCTGGCAAATCCCACAAAACATATGGTTATCTCATCTTCCTCAAACTATAGTTGACCTTATTTCAAAAATGCTTGGAGCAGAAAAGCAACGAGGTATGAAAGACATGAAGTCACCACCTTCCATTTTATATTACTACTCTATGAATTGCATCTAGATTTTAAAACTCAACATAAAAAACTGTCTTCTTGCAAGCATGGACTAATAAGGATAGTAGTAGTTCACAAAGAATGGCAGCTATTTACAAAGTGAGGTGATATTGTCAAAACCTATCATAATGACAAAGACAGAACTAAACAGTGATAGAATAACAAGCATATGTGGTATGCATTTATTATATGTATTGTGCCATGCAAAAAAGCAATTTATGCTGTATGTATTTACTTGGTGAGGCTCTTTCCAGTGCTAAGTTTACTTCTAGAATGACAATTCATGTATTCATTCATTTGATTACTATTTGTGGAACACCTAGAATGGGTAATCTAAGAGAACTATCCAGTACCTGGGTATTTCATGGTGAGCAAAATAAAGTCCTTGCCTCTGTGGTGCTCAGTTGGGGAAATATTGTAAACAAAGAAATGACCAGTGGTTTTGGCCAATGTAGTATAATTTTATGTTGTTGTTATCCTCTGCAGTCAAATATTTGCTACAGCTTCTTCATCCTCAAGAATTTTAAATAGTTGAGAAGAGCCAAGATGGCTAACAAGATGCAGCCAGGAAGAGCTTCTCCCAATGAGAAACCAGGGTATTAAGAAGATTGGCACACTCCAAGTAGATCTTCAGAAGGGAGGCATTGAGAGTGGATGGAGGAAGGATGTAGACTCTGTGCTGAAGTTAGAGGAAGCTTGGAATGCTATGCTCAGGAATGAGTTCTAGGACTCATTCCTGGCTCCGAGTGTCTCCTAAGGAAGGGAGAGTTAAATAGGCGTGGAGTAGCCCACTCTCACCATGGACCTCCATAATTCTAGCTGCAGGAGTCTCAATGACCCCCATGGATATTTGAACTGATAGGGGGAGCTGCTTGAAGAGTTGACAGGGACAGGACTGCAGACTGTGTGGAGTTCAGAGGATTTGGCAAAGGAAGGACTGCAGTAGAGCACAGCCAAGGACACCCATCCCTGAAGACTCACCATGCCCCTGTAGGCTTTGGCCTTTGTTGACTGTCAGACCAATACAGAGCAGGGCTGTCTTGCCCATGGAATGAGGCCATTCTGATCTGAGTGCCTCCCTTGTCTGCCAGCCTTTCCTGAGGTTCATGCCAGGCTGTGCCCACTTGCAGCACAGGCTTGGATGTCCAACTGGGGCACTTCCTAAAGGCCATCATCATAGCTTCTTTGTTGGCAGACCCCACCCAACTGTTGGAGAGCTTCTGAAGACAAGCCTCCACCCGCACACAACCACCTGCAGCCTCCCCCCTCTGCTTTGCCAACACGCAGGTATGCATGGACCCTGCTGCTCTGCTGCCACCAACACATGAGCACAGACCCCACTGCCACTGCCCCGACAAAGCACTGTTGCCAGCAACCCTCATGGAGCATTGTTGTTAACAGACTGGAAACACCTCAGCTCCTTCAGCACAGCAGGTGTTTAACCTTGAGAGGCCAGAGAACAAAGCTGTGTGCCTGGTCCTATACCACTGGGTTACAGCACACAGTCCAGGAGTGCTGAGCTGAGCCCAGGTCCCCTGAAATCAGCCAGAAATGAAGCCAGTTGACTAGACCTAACTTATATCACAGTCAAAACCTCAAAGGCATCAAAGAATTGCAACTTTAAAGATTAAAGAAACATCAGCTCACACAGATGAGAAAAAACCAGCAAAAGAACTGGGGCAACTCAAAAAGCCGGAGTGTGTTCTCACTTCCAAATGACCATGCTAGCTCCCCAGCAATGGTTCTTAATCAGACTGAGATGGCTGAAATGACAGACATAGAATTCAGAGTCTGGATGGCAATGAAGATTGTTGAGATTTAGTAGGAAGTTAAAACCCAATACGATGAACCTAAGAATCCAGTAAAACAATACAAGAGCTGAAAGACAAAATAGTCATTTTAAGAACCAAGCTGATCTGATAGAGCTGAAAACCCCATTACAATAATTTCATAATACAATTGGAAGTATCAGGAGCAGAACAGCCCAAGCTGAGGAAAGAATCTCAGAGCTCAAAAGTGGTTCTTCAAATTGACTCAGTCAGACAAGAATAAAAAAGAAAGAATAAAAAGGAATGAACAAAGCCTCCAAGAAATACAGAATTATGTAAAAAGACCAATCCTATGACTCACTGACATCCCTGAAAGAGAGGGGGAGAGAGAAAGCAAGTTAGACAACATATTTGAGGGTACTGCCTATGAAAATTTCCCCATCCTCACTAGAGAGGTCAACATTCAGATTCAGAAAATTCAGAGAACCCCTGCAAGATCCTATAAAAGATGACCATCCCCAAGACACATAGCCCACAGATTCTTTAAGGTCAATGCAAAAGAAAAAATATTAAAGGCAGCTGGAGAGAAGGGAAAGACATCTATAAAAAGAACCCATCACACTAATGGCAGACCTTTCAGCAGAAGCAGTACAACCAAGAAGAGATTAGGGCCTATATTCACCATCCTAAAAGAAAAGAAATTTCAACTAAGAATTTCATATCGAGCCTAACTAAGCTTCATAAGCAAAGGAGAAATAAAATCCTTTTCAGACATGCAAATGCTAAAGGAATTCATTACTATCACACTTGCCTTACAAGAGGTCCTTAAGGAAGTGCTAACATGGAAATAAAAAACTGTTACCAACTACCACAAAAACACACATAAGTACATAGACCACTGACACTATAAAGCAACTACACAATCAAGTCCACATAACAACCAACTAACAACACTATGACAGGATCAAATCTTCACATATGAATATTAACCTTAAATGTAAACGGGCTAAATGCCACATTCAAAAGGCACAGAATGGCAAGTTGGATCAAGAAGCAAGAACCAACTGTATGTTGTCTTCAAGGGACCCATCTCACATGCAGTGACACCCACAGGCTCAAAATAAAGAGATTGATAAAAATCCATCAAGCCATAAAGAGATTGATAAAAATCTATCAAGCCATAAAGAAATTGATAAAAATCTATCAAGCAAACAGAAAACAAAAAGAGAAGAGCCTGTTATTTTTATTTTAAACCAAACAGACTTTAACCTAACAATAATCAAAAAGGGACAAAGAAGAGGATTACATAAAGATAAAAGATTCAATTCAGCAAGAAGACTTAACTGTCCTAAATGTATATGTACCCAACACTGGAACACCCAGGTTCATAAAATAAGTTCTTGACCCACAAAAAGACTTAGATAACTACACAATAATAGCAAGAGAGTTCTGCACCTTACTGACAGTATTAGACAGATTATTGAGGCAGAAAACTAACAAAGGTATTTGGGACCTGAACTCAACACATGACCAAATGGACCTAACAGACATCTACAGAACACTCCACCCAACAACAACAGAATATACATTCTTCTTATCTGCAAATGACACAAACTATAAAATCAACCACATGCTCACTCATAAAGCAATTCTCAGCAAATTAAGAAAAACTGAAGTCACACCAACAACATTCTTGGATCACAGTGCAATAAAAATAGAAATCAATACCAAGAGGATCTCTAAAAATCACATGATTACATGGAAATTAAATAGCCTGCTCCTGAATGACTTTTGGGTAAACAATGAAATTAAGGCAAAAATTAAGAAATTATTTGAAACTAGTGAGAACAAAGACATGACATACCAGAATCTTTGGGACCCAGTTAAAGCAGTTTAAAAGGGAAGTTATAGCACTAAACACCCACATCAAAAAGTTAGAAAGATCTCAAATTAACAACTTAACATCACATGTAGAGAAACCAGAGAAACAAGAGCACACCAACCCCAAAGCTAGCAGAAGATAAGAAATAACCAAAATCAGACCTGAACTGAATGAAATTGAGACACAAAAAGCCATACAAAAGGTACATAAATCCAAGAGTTGTCTATTTGAAAGTATAAATAAGATTGATAGACCACTAGCTAGATTAATAAAGAAAAAAGAAGATTCAAATAAACACAATCAGAAATGACAAAAGGGACATTACCAACAACTCAAAAGAAACACAAAAAACCCTCAGAGATTATTACAAACACCTCTATGCACACAAACTAGAACACTTAGAAGAAATGGATAAATTCCTGAAAACATATAACCTCCCAAGATTGAACCAGGAAGAAATTGAAACCCTGAACAGACCAATAACAAATTCTAGAATTGAATCAGTAATAAAAAGCCTATCAACCAGAAAAAGTCCTGGACCAGACAAATTCACAGCCAAATTCTACCAGATGTATAAAGAAGAGTTGGTGCCAATCCTACTGAAACTATTTCAAAAACTTGAGGAGGAGGGATGCCTCTTTAACTCATTCCATGAGACCAGCATCATTCTGATACCAAATCCTGGCAGAGACACAATGAGAAAATAAAACTTCAGGCCAATATCCTTGATAAACATACATGCAAAAATCCTCAACAAAATAATAGCAAACCAAATCCACCAGCACTCCCAAAAGTAATTTACCATGATCAAGTAGGCTTTATTCCTGGGATGCAAGGTTGGTTCAACATACACAAATAAATAAATGTGATTTATCACATAAACAGAATGAAAAACAGAAACTACGTGATCATCTCAATAGACGCAGAAAAGGCTTTGGATAAAATTCAACATCCTTTCATGTTAAAAACTCTGAACAAACTAGGCATTGAAGGAACATACCTCAAAATAATGAGCCATCTATGTTAAACTCACAGCCAACATCATACTGAACAGGCAAAAGCTGGAAGCATTATCCTTGAGAACTGGAACAAGACAAGGATACCCACCCTCACTATTCTTATTCAACATAGTACGGGAAGTCCTAGCCAGAGCAATTAGGCAAGAGAAAGAAATAAAAGGCACGCAAATAGGAAGAGAGGAAGTCAAACTATCTCTCTTTGTGGACAATATAATTCTAAACCTAGAAAACCACATAGTCTCTGCCCAAAGGTTCCTAGATCTGATAAATAACTTCTGCAAAGTTTCAGAATAAAAAACCAATGTACATTTCTATACAGCAATATTGTCCAAGCCAAACCAGGAATGCAATTTCATTCATAATAGCCACAAAAAGAATATAATATCTAGGAATATAGCTAACCAGGGAGGTGAAAGATCTCTACAATGAGAATTACAGAACATAGCTTAAAGAAATCAGAAATGACACAAACAAATGGAAAAATTCCATGCTCATAGATGGGAAGAATTAATATTGTTAAAATGGCCATATTACCCAAAACACTTTACAGATTCAATGCTATTCCTATCAAAATACAAATAACAGTTTTTAGAGTTAGAAGAAACTATTTAACATTCATATGGAACCCAAACACCCTGAATATCCAAAGCTATCACAAGCTAAAAATTAAAAAAAATTTAAAAAGCTGGAGGCATCAGAATCACACTACCTGACTTCAGACTATGCTACAAGGCTACAGTAACTAAAATCTCATGATACTGATAGAAAAACAGGCACATAGACCGTATTAGTCAGGGCTCTCTAGAGAGACAGAACTAATAGGAGATATATATATATATATGGGAGCTTATTAGGGAGAAAGGCTCACATGATCACAAGGTGAAGTTTCGTGTTAGGCCGTCTGCAAGCTGAGGAAGGAAGAAGCCAAGAGTGGCTCAGTCTGAGTCCAAAAGCCTCTAAAACAGGGAAACCGACAGTGTAGCCTTCAATCTGTGGCTGAAGGCCTGAGAGCCCCTGGCAAACCACTGGTGTAAGTCCCAGAGTCCAGATGCTGAAGAACCTGGAGTCTGATATCCAAGAGCAGGAGGATGAAAGGAAGCATCTAGTACAGCAAAAAGATGAAAGCCAGAAGACTCAGCAAGCCAGCTTACCCCACTTTCTTCCACCTCCTTTGTTTTAGCCACTGTGGCAGCTGATTAGATGATGCCCACCCACATTAAGGGTGGGTCTTCCCCTCCCAGTCCACTGACTCAACTGTCAGTCTCCTCTGGCAACACCTTCACAGACACACCAAGAAACAATATTTTACCAGCTATCTAGGCATCCTTCAATCCAATCAAGTTGACACCTAATATTAACCACCACATAGACCAATGGAATAAGTTAGAGAATCTAGAAATAAAGCTGCACATGTACAAGAACCTGATTTTTGACAAAGTTAACAAAAACAAGCAATGGGGAAAGGACTCCCTGGGTCATACACAGCATTGGAATAACTGGATAGCCCTATCCAGAAGATCAAAGCTGGACTCTTTCCTTTCACCAGATACAAAAATCAACTCAAGGTGGGTTAAAGACTTAAATGTAAAATCGAAAACTATAAATTTTTAGTTTTTAAAACTAATCTATAAAAACTCTTGAAGAAATCCTAGGAAATACTATTCTGGATATCGGCCCTGGCAAATCCTTCATTAAGAAGACTCCAAAAGCAATTGCAATAAAAACCAAAATTGATAGGTGGGACCTAATTAAACTAAAGAACTTCTGCACAGCAAAAGAATTTATCAACAGACTAAACAGACAACCAACAGAATGAGAAAAATATTTGCAAACTATGCATCCAAGAAAAGTCTAATATCCAGAATCTATAAGGAACTTAAACTAACCAGCAAAAACAAAACAAAACAAAACCCTAAAAAACCATTAAAATGGGCAAAAGACATGAACAGACACTTCTCAAAAGAAGGCACACACGGCCATTAAGCATATAAAGAATTACTCAACATTACTAATCATTAGAGAAATGCAAAGTAAAGCCACAATGAGATACTATCTCACACCAGTCAAAATGACTATTGTTAAAAACAAACAAACAAACAAACAAACAAAAAACAGATGCTGGCATGACTGTGGAGAAAAGGGAACACTTAGATGCTGTTGGTGGGAATGTAAATTAGTTCAGCCACTGTGGCAAGCAATTTGAAAATTTCTCAAAGAACTCAAAACAGAACTACCATTTAGCCAAGCAATCCAATTACTGGGTAAATATCAAAGGAGTAGAAATCATTGTACTATAAAGACACATGTACTCATATGTTCACCACAGCACTATTCAAAACAGCAAAAACATGGCATCAACCTAGATGTCCGTCAACAGTGTACTGGATGAAGAAAATGTAGTATATATACACCATGCAATGCTATGCAGCCATAAAAAAGAATTAAATTATGTCTTTGCAGCAACATTGATGAAGCTGGAGGCCATTATCCTAAGTGAATTAATGCAGGAACAGAAAACCAAATAACCTCATATTCTCACTTGTAAATGGAAGCTAAACATTGAGTACACATGGATGCAAAGAAGAGAACAATAGACACCAGGGCCTATGTGAGGGTGGAGAGTGGGAGCAAGGTGAGGATTGAAAAACTACCTATTGGTTACTACGCTCATCATCTGAGTAATGAAATAATTGATACACCAAACCCCCACAACATGCAATTTACCCATGTAAGCAACCTGCACATGCATTCCCTGAACCTAAAATAAAAATTAGAAAGAAAAAAATAATAATTAAAAAAATTATCTGGGGGAAAAATAATTTACATTAGTAGCACCCTCTTGTCTTCAGGGGATATGTTCTAAGACCCCCAGTGGATGCCTAAAACTAAGGATAGCAAATTCTATTGCTGTCAGTTGGAACATGTTTCTTTTCATGTCTTCAGTCCACATATTTAATGACTTTTCCACTTTAACTAAATTTTAATCACACACTGTGACCATCACTTTTACAGTTTGAGGTACAACAGCAAAACTATCATTAATTTCTTTTTTCTTCTTCACAATTTCATGGATAGAAGATTTGTTCTTACTGTAGATCTTAGCAACCTCAGTGTATGATTTTCTTTTCCTTCCTTATTAGGTCAAAAACTTTTGCCTTTTCACTTAAAGGAAGCACTTTAAGTCTTATCTGTGGCATATCTGAATTGCCAGCATCACTGCTCTTGCACTTTGAGAGTATTACATGAAATAAGGGTTACTTGAACCCAAGCATTGCCTTACTGTAATAGTAAGTCTGATAACTGAGAGGACTATTAACAACATGGGTATACTATTGTATCCACAGGATGCATCCACACTAAACAAAGGGAGAATTCACATCCTGGGCAGGGTGAAGTGGGAAGGTGAGGAATTTCATCACAGTACTCGAAACATCATAAAACTTAAAACATGAATTGTTTATTTCTAGAATTTTCCATTTAATATTTTTGGAACCATGAATTGATCACAAGTAACTAAAACCATGGAAAAGAGAGAACTAGTCCACATGTTGTTTAGTATCGCTATTACAGTAATTTTCTTTTTCTTGTGTGGTCTTATCCTGTGGGCTTCTAGAAAATTGTTTCCTACCTGCCTCTCAATCCCCTTCCTCTTCTCAACTTTCATTTTAGCAGAGGCTACATTATAGTGACCCTGTTGGTTTAGGATTTAAAGAGGCATTTATTTGATTTGTTAAAAACCTCCACATGCACCCATGAAATAACCAAATGACCTCAGGGTATAAATGGAGCTGCAAACTTGTCCAAGTCAAGAAATTCAGTATAAAAACCTTAGGCAGGCCAGGCGCGGTGGCTCACGCCTGTAATCCTAGCACTTTGGGAGGCCGAGGTGGGTGGATCACGAGGCAGAATATCGAGACAATCCTGGCTAACATGGTGAAACCTCGTCTCTACTAAAAATACAAAAAATTAGCCAGGCATGGTGGCGGGCGCCTGTAGTCCCAGCTACTCAGGAGGCTGAGGCAGGAGAATGGCGTGATCCCGGGAGGCGGAGCTTGCATTGAGCCGAGATCGCGCCACTGCACTCTAGCCTGGGCGACAGAGAAGACTCCTCCTCAAACAAAAACAAAACAAAAACAAAAACAAAACAAACAAAAAGAAACACCTTAGGCAACAACATATATGCTAGAATTGCCTTTGCTAACTCCCCTGGCAAAGCAAATGATGTATTGAGATTGCTTCTCAGATAAGGTGGTTGAAAATGATAGCAATCTTAAAAAATGAGCAGTTTTCATAAATTTGTATACATTTTGCTCTATAGACAAAGAGTAGAGCTTATAGCTATCATGGCCATATCTCAATAAAAATGTGTTGCAAGCAGGTTTGCCTTGGGCATCTTTCCTTATTCCTTTCAGTATTCCACTTCTTTTCACACCCTTTCCCACATGTTAGATGTTCCCAGTCTGCTCATTCAGTTCGGGCTCCCTTCCCTGGGAGGCTGTCTTCAGCTCAAAACTTTGCCAGTGATAAAACTCCATTCAAAACTTATCTGCCAAGTGGCCATTTTTACTTGAAGCCCTGCCCTTGGTCAATGACAGTGCAAAAACTGGATAGTGGCATATTAATCAAATAAGTCATTTTCTCCCTAGGTTAAACCATAGGGAATATCTGCTTTCAACCCTTTTGGCCTCCAAAAAAAAAAAAAAAAGCATTTTGTATGGCTTTTCATACCTCATGGTGTCCTAGCTTGAGCACTGGAGCAAAGTCAGAAAATCTGAGCCCTTGACTTATCTCTGTGGTTCACTGCTGGATAATGTCCAGAAAATTATTTCATGCCTTTGAGCTTCAGCTTCCTTATCTGTAAAAAGGAGAGTAACTACCTTGACTTCTTGCTGAGATTTTAAAGAGAACAAATGTGAAAGCACACACAATCACCATTTGCAAAGGGTAAAGTGGTAGATGGATGAAAGGAATAATGATCTGTAATTTTTCCTTACATGCTAGCCTATTTAAAATGTATGAGCCTCCATGATAAGTGTGGCTAATAGTGGGGGAATGTAGATGATCTAGAGATACCGGTCAACCTACAATGTCAGCTTTATGTCATTGTGCCCCTTTCTTCTTTGGGGTTTATATGACTATAATATTTTAAAAACCAAAACCTTATGGGACCATTTTATAATTTGTGTCATATGAAATTTTAATTTTGCTATTTATAGTGAAAGGGAAAAAAGGAAGTGGAGTATATAGGATATAGATCTCTAACCACTAAAATAAACCT
The DNA here is from genome assembly GCF_000001405.40 of Homo sapiens. NCBI lineage: Eukaryota > Metazoa > Chordata > Mammalia > Primates > Hominidae > Homo > Homo sapiens. The sequence continues at coordinate 72,787,607 of NC_000009.12, forward strand.
GTGAGTAAATGCATTTTAAGCTCTTCATGCAAATACATATATATATATATATACACACATATATATACACACACACACATATAATTACTGATTAAAAATATATATAAAATCACATATATATACATATAAAACCACTTGGCATTCAGGTTGTATAAAAATGTTGATTTTTATTCAAGAATTGTAGAGTAGATGGAAATTTAATGTACTCAATGTAATCTCTATTTGGGATGAGATTCTAGGGGGAATTAAAATTTACATAGGAGTTTCTTTGCCTGGTTTAGTCCATCCAGAGGCTTCAGATGGTCTGGGAACCAACTAAAGTTGTGTGGAGCAATGTAAAAGTCAGTATATATGTTTCTTTTCCCCTGGGGAGGGATTCAATAGATTTCATCGTATTCTTAAAGAAATTCTTGTCCTACCAAAGGTTAAGAACTAATTATCTCAGTTAAACAAAACACATAAAAATATGTTTTTATATACATGTTGAATTATTCAAATCTTCAGTGCTTAGTAGTTTATTAATCTTGAAGGCCTAGAAAGTGAATAATTTCAACAACTGAACAAAAATAAAATTTAAAAAGAAACTATTTTCTGGTCATTAGAACAAACTTGTTATAAAATATATGTCTTTTTGCTATTGCTTCTCCACTTCAACACTCATGATCATGTTTTGTTGCTATTTCCCCTATCTCATTTTTTCTGGCTGCTGGGTTAAACTTCCTGTTTTTGCAGAATGACCAAAAACATTGGTGATGATGGAGGTGGAGATGACAACACTTTCAATTTCAGCTGGAAGGTCTTTACCAGCTGGGACTACCTGATCGGCAATCCTGAAACAGCAGACAACAAATTTAATTCTATCACAATGAACTTTAAGGTAGAGGCACCAACTTCAAAAACCTGCTGTTTGTATTTCTAAGAGTAAAATTGGAGGCATTCCATCTGGTCCAGTAGTGCAGTATCTTGACAATTTACATGAAAGATTAACTCATGGTTTCTGCCTACCAAGATCTTGCCATGGTTCTGATTATAACTGGAAAATCTTCCATGACCCACAACAGCACTATTATTCCTTAAACACTTCTCTTCTCTAAATCTGGTAATAAAATAATGTTACTGGATTGAAATAGGACCATGAGTAATCAGAATAAGATATTTTAAAAACTAGAACAATGTTCACTAATTATTTACAGGAATAAGCATAATATTGAAGTGACCCTAAAACATTATTTTGTAGTTTTTTTTTTAATTCACTGGAATGAAGATTTTTAGAGTGAAGACTATCCTAATATCAGAGCAATCACAGTTTGTTTGCAAGAATTCTTCCTTCTGTCTTACTTGCCATCGTTTGTTGGCAATATTCACCTGGTTTGTGGAATCTCAGATTTAGTTTACATTGTCATTCCTCACATTCTGATGATTGTAAAAATAACTTTTGAGGTTTTGATACTTTTAAAATGTAGCTAAGATATTCTATTTTGGGTTTTTGTTTGTTTGTTTGTTTTCATGGATACAGGAAGCTATCACAGAAGAAAAAGCAGCCCAAGTAGAAGAAAACGTCCACTTGATCAGATTCCTGAGGTTTCTGGCTAACTTCTTCGTGTTTCTAACACTTGGAGGGAGTGGATACCTCATCTTTTGGGCTGTGAAGCGATCCCAGGAATTTGCACAGCAAGATCCTGACACCCTTGGGTGGTGGGAAAAAAATGAAGTTCGTCTCTGCATGCTTTTTATGTGCTTAGAACCTGACATTTGTTTCTTTTGTGGGTTATGTTTCTTTGATGGAACATTTAAAAAGGCCACCCTTTACCTATCCCCTATCCTGCCCTTACAGTTAACCAACCCTGTTGCTCATTTTCCATTCTATTCTAGTCTTATTTCTAAATCTGGACTGTCTGTTTTTCATTTTGTGACATGATGGAAAGTTAGAGTCAGAAAAGATATTAAAAAACACATAGTCTAATCATTATGTTTTACAGATGGGAATGATAAATCTCAAGAGATTGCATTATATGTTTATGGTCACAGAGTTAGGAGAAGAGTCAGGGTGAGAACCTAGGAATCTTGACTTCGAGTCCAAGGCTCTTGCTGCTTTCTCTGCAAATCCTTCATCTGTCATTAAAAGATCAAATTGTTGCCTGAACTTTTTGAAGCAGCCATGATAAAGCCACTGATTCCTATGTTGATCTCACTGGAAACACTCAGATTGCTTCTCCACCTTTGGGCATGTCTGGGCTTCCCTCTGTTTTCATTAGAAGCCTAACTGCAGCATCTCCATCTCCATTTCCTCCTGTCCTGTACCTTACTTTCTCTCCCTCTAAATGCTATTCAAATGAAGAAGGCCAGCTCTTTTCCAGGAATTAAACATTATGACCGTAATTTGCCTTTAGAGTATCTGCCCATTTAGTGAATCAGAGAAAGGAGGTTAGACATAGATCATTTAGAATCAGAAAATCATTGGTCATGAGTTGTTGCTAGAGTCTGTTCCCGTTCATAAAATGCTTATGTGTATGATGTGACGTCATTTTGAGCTTGGGCATTTTCAAAGTATGTGCAGATTTAGGCTGTGGGAAGTGTAGACTTCCCACACTGAAACTTTTGCAGAACAGTATAGATCAAAAGAATTAAAATATGTCTTTATAAGCATAGAATTTTCTAAAAAATCTTGGACAGCAAATGATATAATCTACTTACAGAAAAAGGTTCCAAATAACATTCTGAGTATTTCAGAAGTGGTACCAATAGAGACGGGACTAGATATTTTAAAGACTTTAATATACAGTCATGTCATAAAAACTTGTAAAATATAAGTAATTTAGCAGAGGGCTTTTATTTATTTAAAATGAAAAATGTAGGAACACCTCAAAGCATTTACTAAGTTTGCTTTCAAAATGGTCTCATAATTGTAATAGTACATAGAGGTAACATTATCATGCAGCTTTGGTCCATTATTTATATTGGTTATGTTTTTGTATAAATAAACCATATTAAAGGATGGGTAGTTGATTATCAATAAAATAACTATTCTTTGTAAGAACCTCTTTAACATATATTTTAGGGACCCTCTGAGTCCTAGGGGCCAATGAAGGTAATAATGGAGATTCATGAGTAACTTTACAAATTTGATAAAACCAAATTTAAATTTGCCTTGCATAAGTTTGCACAGGATAAGCCAAATTTTCTTTACATTAGTCTAAAATTATAGCATGCTGATTTTGTATTATGTCATGCTGAGATTTGGATCCTGTTGGTCATACTTATATAATGTTTTAATAAAAATGACAAAAATCTAATAGCAATTGTTTTCTAAATATAGTCTGGTAGTTATTATAATTATTCACACCACGAAGTCCACAGGAGAAAATAGGAAATGTTTAGTGGTGACAGTTTGAGCCGGGTATTTGGGAAAGGAGATAGTCACCAGAGTTACCTAAAATCGGTATTTCCCTATTAGAAAATTAGTACATGTTTTGGATTCTTTTTATTGACTTCCTTTAGCCAAATAATATCATCATAAGGTTGCCAAACATCCAGGAAATAAAAAGCACATGTTTCCTACTTTTCATGTTTCTATTCCTTCTTCTTTCTCTCTCCCCCCTCTCCCCACCCCTGCATTATTCTCTTGTCTCTGAAATTATAGCCCATTCTTTCACTTTTGAAACTTTTCTACGTTGGCTTCCATAACATTATGTCATGTGTTCTCCATTTGTTTCTCTGAGTTCCTTCTGTTTCCTTTAATAAAACTCATTGTATGTGTTTATGTTTTCGGCCTTAAAAGTTTACATTTGCCAAAATTCAATATTTAGGCCTAGGCCCATCTCAGGGAATTCATCCATTCTAACTGATTAAACTAGCCCATATGCTGATGATTGTCAGATTAGAATTTTCAGTTTGAACCTCCTCCTCAAGCAGATTATTTTCCATTTCTTTTGGAAATCTTGTTGTGAAGTGCATCACCATATCAGAATCAGTTACCACATAGAACAATATGTGTTCTCTGTGTAGAGACTGATGTAAATTGCCACCTTCACTATACCAGGAAACAGACTGTTACTACTGGCACATACACACACTCAGTCACATGCCTCTCTTGAGAATGTGAATTGAATATTTTCCCTGTCATTTTATTGAGATCAAATTCTAAACGTGCATAAAATAGTCATTTTTAGTCTTAAAAAAGATCAAAGAAGCCTAGCTCAGAATCTTCCAAAATTCTGGCAAAAAGCAATAATAACTTTAAACACCATTAACCTAGTTTCTCCCTTGTGCCTCCTTGTAGATGAACATGGTTATGTCCCTCCTAGGGATGTTCTGTCCAACATTGTTTGACTTATTTGCTGAATTAGAAGACTACCATCCTCTCATCGCTTTGAAATGGCTACTGGGACGCATTTTTGCTCTTCTTTTAGGCAATTTATACGTATTTATTCTTGCATTAATGGATGAGATTAACAACAAGGTAAGCCTTGTTTCTGGATTGTCCTTGCCATAAGAGTGTTGTTCAATTCCCAGTCTCAAGTTTGCCAGAAATGCCTTTGAAATCTCTGTTGTCTTCATTTTAGTTTCTATCTCTTTGCTTTCTAGATTGAAGAGGAGAAGCTAGTAAAGGCCAATATTACCCTTTGGGAAGCCAATATGATCAAGGCCTACAATGCATCATTCTCTGAAAATAGCACTGGACCACCCTTTTTTGTTCACCCTGCAGATGTACCTCGAGGACCTTGCTGGGAAACAATGGTGGGACAGGTAATGCCACCAACAGAAGTGTATGGCAATTAGTAGATTAAAAAAAGAGAGTCAATATCTCTTCCATAAGATTGGCTTTTAAAAAATTGCTTATTAGTAAAAATAGCTAAGATTTGTTGAATGTTGACTGTGTGCTGGCTCTGAATTTCATGTATATTATCTCACACTGTTTGCAAATCTATCCCTTGAGGTAAATACTATTTGTATGTCCCCTTTACAGTTGCATATAAAGGAAGGATAGTTGAAAATGGTGCAAAGAGATGTTTACTATCTGTATTATAATAAAGCACTCGATTTAGATACAGGCCAAAGCAAATATTTAAATGGAACTCTATTTAGTGTTACTTGTTTGCTGTAAAACAAAACAAAACAAAACAAACAAACAAACAAAAACAGAGTCTTGGGGGTGGCCAAGACAGCCAACTAGAGGCAGCTAGTGTGCATGGCTCTCATGGAGAGAAATAGAGGGGTTGAGTAAATATAGCACCTTCAACCGAAACATCCAGGTACATGCATTGGATCTAATCAAGGAAACAACTTGACCCATGGAGAGCAGAGAAAAGCAAGGCAGGGTGACAGCCCACCTGGTAGTGACATGAAGCCAAGGGATCCTTCTATGCCCAGGGAAGTGGTGAGTGAATGCACGACCTTGGGAACCCATACTTCTCCCGTGGATCTTTGGAACCCTTGTGTCAGGAGATATCCTCATGAACCCACTCCACCTGGGCCTTCAGTCCGACACACAGAGCTATGTGGAGTCTCAGCAGAGCAGCCACTTAAGCACATGCAGAGACCCGGGAGCCTTAGATACCTGGGCTTTTCTTTTTGGGCTTCCTGTCAAAAGTAGCTATACCTCTGGCAAAGCAGGAGGTTAGACCCCCAACCACACCCCTTAGAAAAGGGGCTGAATCCAGTGACAGTCTGCAGGCCCCACTTCACAGCACCTCACAGAATGAAACCCACTGGCTTGGAACTCCAGCCAGTTACCGGTAGAAATGTTGCACCTCCCTGAGACAGAGCTCCTGGGGGAAAGTGTGGGCCATCATCTTTGCTGTTTGGTTGACTTGGCCATTCCATCATTCAGGCTTCAGAGAGTCCAAGCCAACCAGCGGCTGAAGCAGACCCTGAGCACAGCATAGCTGTTCTATGAAAATGTGGCTAGACTACTTTTTCAAATGGGTCTCCTATCCCTTTCCTCCTCACTGGGTAGGACCTCCTAACTGGGGTCTCCAACCACCTCCTACAGGTGCGTTTGGGCCAGCAACGGGTCTGTACATTTCTGGGATGGAGCTTCCAGAGGTGGGGGCAGGCTGCCATCTTTGCTGTTTCACAGCCTTCACTGTTGCTACCTCCAGATAATAAAACATCTGAGGTGACCAGGGACGGATGTGGGGTCCCAATATACTGCAGCAGCCCTATGAAAAAGTGACCAGACTTTTACATGGGTGCCCATCCCCATATCGGCTCACCAGACACATCCTCCAGGCCTAGGCCTCCAGCTACCCTCTGCTAGAATTATCGATCAAGTAGCAGCTCTGTAACTCCCTGGACAGGATCCCCAGGGGCAACTGAAAGTTCCTCTGCCACTACCTCTGCAGTAGAACTGCCCTTGCTACCCTTGGACTAACAAAGGAACAAAGACCCTAAGCGCCTCATCCATACCTCCAATAAGCTGCAGTTGACTCCAGGAGAGAAGGCCAGTCTGTCTCTCACAGGTCCTACCTACCCCCACCCCCCTCCTTGTCACCAGACAGGGAACCCCCAGCTCGGACCCACAACATAGAACATCCATCCTGGGCTAATTGCAAGGAGTAATTGCTGACCTGCATCTCAATGGGGTGGAGCCCCCAGGAGATAAGCAAAAGACCCTTGGCCATAACCATGCCAAGGTATCTTCCTCTGCTGCTGCCAAGTTGGAGAAGAAACATAACGCTGAGATTGCCCCAGAGCTGAAGGGGCAGCCCAGGAGTGCCAAGCCGTAATCTACAGCCAGCTCTCAAGGGGGAAAGAAATCTACACTTTCAGAGCATTGAGAGGGAACATGGCTGCAACTGTGCGGCAACACAGGGGAGCCTCACAACCAAGCAAGAGTCTACCAACTGACCAATATGCCGAAGTGCCACCTACTGGATCACATTCCCCAAAGCATCAACACCAAAAATATCTCACTAACATACCCCCCTCTGAAACCAAAGACAAGTACTCAGCTTCAAATAAAGACCCTGTGCAAAGCCTTGGCCCAATGAAAACTTCCAGGAAAGATGCCTATTGACTGTATTCAATCTACATTGCAGTTAAAGGAACACCTACACACTGAGATGAGAAAGAACCAATGCAAGAACTCTGGTAACTCAAATGACCAGAGTATTGTATGTCCTCCAAACAACCACACCAGTTCTCCAACAAGAGTTCTTAACGAGGCTGAGCTAGCTGAAATGACTGAAATAGAATTCAGACTGTGGAGAGGAATGAAGATCATTGAGATTCAGAAGAATGGCAAAACCCAATCCAAGGAAAATAAGAATCACAATAACACGACACTGGAGCTGAAGGACAAAGTAGCTGTTATAAAAAAGAAGCTAATAGGTCTCATAAGGCTGAATAACACAATACAGGAATTTCACAATGCAATCACAAGCATTAACAGTAGAATAAACCAAGCTGAGGAAAGAATCTTAGAACTTGAAGACTGGCTCTCTGAAATAAGACAGTCAGATAAAAATAAAGGAAAAAGAATAAAACGGGAAGAACAAAACCTCCAAGAAGTATGGGATTATGTAAATGCCAAAGCTATGAATCACTGGCATCCCTGAAAGGGATGGGGAAAAAGCAAACAACTTGGAAAACATATTTTAGGATATTATCCATGAAAACTTCCCCAACCTTACTAGAGAGGCAAATTTGCTGCCAGTCTTTGCTAACAGTCAAATTTAGGAAATACAGAGAATTCCTGCAAGATTCTACACAGGAAGATCATCCCCAAAACACACAATTGTCAGGTTTTCTCAGGTCAAAATGAAAAAATGTTAAAGACAGCCAGAGAGAAAGGGCAGGTCACCTACAGAGAGAACACCATTAGGCTAACAGCAGATGTCTCAGCTGAAACCCTACAAGCCAGAAGCAGTCAGGGTCCTATATTCAACATTCTTAAAGAAAAAAAATCTTCAACCAAGAATTTCATATCAGGCCAAACTAAGCTTCCTAAGCAAAGGAGAAATAAGATAATTTTTGGGCAAGCAAATGTTGAGGGAGTTTGTTACCACCAGACCTGCTTTACAAGACATCTTGAAAGGAGCACTAAATGGAGTAAGGAAAGACTATTTGCAGCTAATACAAAAGCATACTTAAATACACAGACCAGTGACACTGTAAAGCAACCATACAAACAAGCCAGCATAATAATCAGTGAACAACACAATGACAGGATTAAATCCATACATATTAATACTAATCTTGAATGTAAATGGGCTAAATGCTCCATTTAAAAGGCACAGAGTAGCAAGCTGTATTAAAAAAAAAGCAAGACCCAATGGTATGCTGTCTTCAAGAGACCCATCTCATGCTTAATAACACCCACACGCTAAAAATAAAGGGATGGAAGAAAATCTACCAACCAAGAGAAAACAGAAAAAAACATGGGTTATTGAAATTAAAATTCCCAATTTCAAAAAAAAAATGCAAAAAACAAAACACACACATGCACACACAAATACACTTCAAACCAACAAAGATAAAAAAAAGGCAAAGAAGGGCATTACATAATGGTAAAGGGTTCAATGCAACAAGAAGACCTAACTATCCTAAATATATATGCACTCAATACAAGAGTACCCAGATTCATAAAGCAAGTTCTTAGAGACCTACAAAGAGACATAGGCTACCACCACCCAATAATAGCCCAGGCCCTGATGAATTCACAGCTGAATTCTACCAGATGTACAAAGAAGAACTGGTAACATTCCTACTGAAGCTATTTCACGAAATTGAGGAGGAGGAGGAACTTCTTCCCAGCTCATCCTATGAGGCCAGTATCATTCTGCTACCAAAACCTGGCAGAGACACAACAAAAAAAGAAATCTTCAGGCCAATATCATGAGGCCCATCAATTCAAAAATCTTCAACAAAATACTTGCAAACCGAATTCAGCAGCACATCAAATGGCTAATCCACCACAATCAAGTAGGCGTCATCCTTGGGATGGAAGGTTAGTTCAACATATGCAAAACAATAAATGTGATTCATCATGTAAAAAGAAATAAAGAGAAAAACCACATGATTATCTCCATAGATGCAGAAAAAGCTTTCAATAAAATTCAACACCCGTTCATGTTAAAAACTCTCAATAAACTAGGTATTGAAGGAACATACCTCAAAATAATAAGAGCCTTCTATGACAAACCCACAGCCAAAATCATAATGAACGGACAAAAGCTGAAAGCATTCCCCTTGAAAACCAGCACGAGACAAGGATGCCCTCTCTCACCACTCCTATTCAACATAGTATTTGAAGTTCTGGCCAGGGCAATCAGGCAAGAGAAAGAAATGAAGGGTATCAAAATAGGAAAAGAGGGAGTCAAATTATCTTTGTTTGCAGATGACATGATCCTATATCTAGAAAACCCCATTACCCCGGCCCAAAAGCTTCTTAAGCGGATAAGCAACTTCAGCAGTCTCAGGATATATCAATGTGCAAAATTGCTCGCATTCTTATACACCAACAACAGGCAAGCAGAGAGCCAAATCATGAATGAACTCACATCTACAATTGCTACAAAGATAATAAAATACTTAAGAATGCAGCTAACAAGGGAAGTGAAGGACCTCTTCATGGAGAACTACAAACTACTGCTCAAGGAAATCAGAGAGGACACACACAAATGGGAAAACATTCAATGCTCATACATGGGAAGAATCAATTTTGTTAAAATGGCCATACTGCCCAAAGTAATTTATAGATTCAATGCTATTCCCATTAAACCACAACTGAAATTCTTCACAGAATTAGAAAAAAACTATTTTAAAATTCCTATGGAACCAAAAAAGAGCTCGTATAGCCAAGACAATCCAAAGAAAAAAGAATAAAGCTGGAGGAATCACACTACCTGACTTCAAACTATACTACAGGGCCACAGTACTCAAAACAGCATGGTACTGGTGCAAGAACAGACACATAGACCAATGGAACAGAATAGATAACTTAGAAATAAAACCACACAACTACAACCATCTGATCTTTGACAAACCTGACAAAAACAAGCAATGGGGAAAATATTTCCTATTTAATAAATGTTACTGGGAGAACTGGTAGCCATATGCAGAAAATTGAAACTGGACCTCTTCTTTACACCATGTATAAAAATTAACTCAAGATGGATTAAAGGCTTAAATGTAAAACCCAAAACTATGAAAACTCTAGGAGAAAATCTAGGCAATATCATTCAGGACATAGGCACAAGCAAAGATTTCATGACAAAAATGCCAGAAGCGATTGCAGTGAAAGCAAAAATTAACAAATGGGATCTAACTAAACTAAAGAGCTCCAGCACAGCAAAAGAAACTATCATCAGAGTGAACAGACAACCTACAGAATGGGAGAACATTTTTGCAATCTATCCATCTGACAAAGGTCTAATATGCAGAGTCTACAAGGAAATTAAACAAATTTACAAGAAAAAAACTGGATCCCATTAAAAAGTGGGCAAAGGACATGAACAGACACTTCTCAAAAGAAGACATACATGCGGCAAACAAGCATGTGAAATAAAACTTCATATCACTGATCATTAGAGAAATGCAAATCAAAACCACAATGGGATACCAGCTCTCACCAGTCAGAGTGATTAGTAGTAAAAAGTGAAAAAATAATATGCTGGCAAGGTCGCAGAGAAAAAGGAACATTTATACACTGTTAGTGGGAATGTAAAATAGTTCAACCATTGTGGAAAGCAGTATGGCGATTCCTCAAAGAGCTAAAAGCAGAACTATCATTCAACCCAGTCATCCCATTACTGGGTATATACCCAGAGGTATATAAATCATAAAGACACAGGCATGTGAATGTTCATTGCAGCACTATTCACAATAGCAAATACACGGAATCAACCTAAATGTCCATCAATGACAGATTGGATAGGGAAAATGTGATATACCATGGAATATTATGCAGCCATAAAAAAGAATGAGATCATGTCTGTTGCAGAAAAATGGATCTATTATCCTTAGCAAACTCATGTAGGAACACCAAATACTGCATGTTCTTACTTATATGGGAGCTAAATTATGATAACTCATGAACGCAAAGAAGGAAACAACAGACACTGGGGTCTACTTGAGGGTGGAGGGTGAGAGGAGGGAGAAGAGCAGAAAAGATAACTATTGGGTACTGGGTTTAATACCTGGGTGATAAAATAATCTGTACAACAAACTCCCATGACACAAATTTACCTATGTAACAAAGCTTCACATGTACTACTAAACCTAAAATAAAAGTTTTTTTTTAATGGATAATTTGGGGAGCACACACTAAGAAATTTTAATAATGTCAATTTTTGTTAAATAATTTTCCCTTAAAAGAAAAAAAATACTATTTTAAGTTATTTGTTTTCATGATGATTTTGTAAATAACCCCAGCCCAAGACTAGCCATACCTTACCAGAGAAAAGAAATAATGTTTCATATGGCTTTCTATCCCTTAAGGGAAACCAAGACAAATAAAACCAAACAAAACCCAAGAAAAATCTACTTCAGATCTCGTATTTTTATACAAATCCAATTTATATTTTGAAAAGCTTTTATGATTTCATTTAGTTAGAATTGATATTCCTAACGTGCAGTCCATAAATTGATTTTGGGGCTTCAGATTATCATTGAGAACAGCTTTTGTCATAAAGCTTCTGTATGTTAGACAACAGTTGAGTTTAGCACTGAATGTAGTGTTTGTGAAATTATTTGAACAATTTTTTACTGCATTATTTGGTAAGATAACATAAAAATTGAAGGACTAGCATTAGTCTTATAAAATTCATATAATTTAAACAAATATGTAAAAATATATCTTAGGCTTCAATCAGATGCTCATCAAACTTAAGCCAATCAAGATTTCAACTGTGAAAGAAAAAAATAAGATAAATGTGTAAAATGCTAGACATGTATCATTAATGATTGAGTACAAAAATTATGGTATAATTGAAAATTCTATTTTATTTTATTTGTTAAGCTTTCGGGAACCAGATAAATCCCCCCTTTGATGATATATGCTATTAATTTGATTTTCAGACATGCACATTTCATACAACTTACAGGAACATATTACATATGAAATAATAAAATCAAAGTCATCTGCACTTAATACAGGAGTGCTTGTGATTCAGGATGTGGTAGACAGAATAATGGCCCTCTATAACAGTACACATTCTAATCTCTGGAACGATAAATATGTTACATGGCAAAATGGACTTTGCAGATGAAATTAAGTTAAAGATCTCAGCTTGAAAGAATTATTGTGGATTATGTGAGCAGGCTTAATGAAATCATAAGGATCTTTATAAGCAGGAGATAAAGGGAAAAAGTCAGAAAATTGAGATGTAACAGCAGAAGCAGAGGTTGGAATGATGTGCTTTAAAGATGGAGGAAGGAGATTAAGAGCCAAGGAATGCAGGTGGCCTCAGAAACTGAAAAAGAAAGGAAACATATTCTCTTCCCAAGTCTGCACTTTGAATTTAGACTTCTGACTTCCAGAACTGTAAGAAGATAAATTTGCATTGTTTTAAACCACTACATTTATGGCAATTTGTTACAGCAACAATAGGAAATGAGTACATCATGGTACTTGGGTCTCCCTGTTCCATGGCTTTTTGAAGTGAAGTCTGGTTGTGGTGCTTAACACGAGTCTGTTTTATCACAACTAAGCCGCTCCCTAAATCTTCAGCATACGATTCAAGAAAGGAAAATATAGGAAGTACAGTTTTAGAAACTGAAGGAATTTGAGACGTTCTCTTCTGCACATCCTAGAACACAGGTTGGCCTGAAAGCTAAGAAACCTGCACTTTAACAAGCAAAAACATCTACTGAATGGGATTAATAGAATTAGCTGTAAAGAGTAGGATCTGGGCTGGCCACTTCTGGAGTGAAGGAATGGATTAATTAGATAGGAATGCGAATGCAATCTAGGAGAATATTCATGTTTCAGATGCAGATGGTTCTGCGATAGTCCCACACATACTGACTTAAAAGAGAAGAAATACCATTTAGTTAATCCTCCACCTTGGAAGCCCGTGGATTATGCTGCTTGTCTTTTTTTTTTTTTAAACCTGTCTGTAGTGATTTTCCTTGCTTCATCATATTTTCTTACTGCCATTTTAGTTGGATTTCCCCCTTATCTTTCACCTTCCTTTCTCCAAGGAAGCATTAAGCTCTAGTGGGAAAGTCTGCAGAAGCGGGCCAAGGGAAAAGGGGTTGTGGTTCTGACTGGAATGTTGATTAGGCAGATGGAATCTCTGGGAACAAAAAGAACATATAGGACATAACAAATCTGAGTGCTGGCAAGGTCTGGCCTTTAAGAGATCAATATCTGTATCCATGCATCTAAAATTTCTATTCTTTAATTGCTTAAAAAATATGCCTCCAAAAATAGTAAAGGCAGCTGCTCTGTATGTAATGTTAGATATGCACCCTCATTCATTGTTCTATGAGAGCATTACAGATGTTTCCTCTTCTCCTCCATGGATACCCTCTGCTTTGATTTTCTCCAAGGATGCTATGAGACTCAAAGCACTTATTGTTTTGAATATAGGATAATGTGATTGCTCCTTTACTTCTGCAGATTCCCAAGCAATCATTTAGTTTCATCCCCAATGGATTTGATAGGTGGGCAGCAGAGCCATTCCTCTTTGAAGCTATATCCTGAGGTCTTCACTTTGGGGAAGGGGAGAAAGCAACAGCTGAAGATAAAATGGCTAATGTGCCAAGTATTTCCTCCTCAAATTTTTACGTTTCATTCTGAGATACGTTATATTATTATTTCCGTTTTATAGATGAGAAGACTGAGACTTAGGTAATTTGCTCAAGATCTCTGAGAAAGTCAATGACAGGAGCCCCAGTTCAGCCTACATAGTCTGCTTACAGAGTTTGTGTCTTTGTTCACAGTGCTAAATTGTCCCCCAGTTAGCATCAACACACACTCCCCAAACTCCTGCCTGCAATGTCTATATTTGGTGGCCTTTTATGATGTTCCTTGCCTATTGTTTTCCCTTCACCTATTAATAAATTATTTCTTTAGCTTTATTGATCAAAGCTGCCCAGGCATTTTAACTAACATCACGTGTGCAAAGTTTTTAGGTGTGGAGTGTGGGGTTTAGCAGGAGGCCTGTGTGGGGGCTGTGCTCCCCATCCTGACAAGCACACAAGGAACTAGGATGATATCCTTGAGATTGGCTGGGCTACCATTGTTTGGATTCTCTTTCTTTTAAAATATATTTTTCCTATGGTATATGAATAAACATTTAAAATTTTTAATACAATGTTTGAATCTTCTTCAGATATTTTATGTGAAAGTTAGGTCACTGCTTGGGAAGGAATAGAATTTCAACCTTTGGGATGAGGATGCTTAAGAGGATGTGGAGGACTTCCAAACCACTCTGAAATGTTTTCTTACCTGAGGAAGTCTTCTAGACCTGGCAGTAGAAACCTAAAAATATCCCTCATAGCCTTCCTCTAATTGATGCTAGTTATTAGAATCTGAGCTCAACATTGCCTGGAAAGGGTGGGCATGGAGGCATGTGTCTGTAGTCCCAGCTACTCAGGTGGCTGAGACAGGAGGATTGCTTGAGTCCAGGAGTTCCAGGTCAGCCTGGGCAACATAGCAAGACCCCTGTCTCTACATACATACATACATACATACATATATACATACATACATACATACATACATACATACAAAGAACTGCCTTAGGAAAGGAAAGGAGACAAAGAGTAGGAAGGAGAAAAATTATGTCCAAAAATAACCACAGGAATACTATCATTCATTCATTTTTTATTTATGAGTGTACAGAAATTGCTGGGCATTGTGTGATTATATAATTGGAAGTAAAACACTTCTCAGCAAATGCAAAATAACTGAAATCATAACAAACAGTATCTCAGACAACAGAACAATTAGATTAGAAATCAAAATTAAGAAACTCACTCAAAACCACACAACTACATGGAAATTGAACAATTTGCTCCTGAACGACTCCTGAGTAAATAATGGAATGAAGGCAGAAATCAAGATGTTCCTTGAAACTAATGAGAATAAAGAGACCATGTACCAGAATCTCTGGGACATACTTGAAGGAACTCTTCAAGGAGAACTACAAACCACTGCTCAGTGAAATCAGAGAGGACACAAACATATGTGAAAACATTCCATGCTCATGGATAGGAAAAATCAATATTGTGAAAACGGCCATACTGCCCAAAATAATTTATAGATTCAATGCTATTTCCATTAAACCACCATTGACATTCTTCACAGAATTAGAAAAAAAACATTTTTAAATTCATATGGAACCAAAAAAGAGTCCTTATAACTGAGAAAATCCAAAGCAAATAGAACAAAACAGGAGGTGTCACACTACCTGACTTCAAACCATACTACAAGGCTATAGTAATCAAAACAGCATAGTACTGGTGCAAAAACAGGCAGACAGACCAGTGGAACAGAATAGGGAACACAGAAATAAGATCACAGACCTACAGTCATCTGATCTTTGACAAACTTGACAAAAACAAGCAATGGGGAAAGGATTCGCTATTTAATAAATGATGCTAAGAAAACTGGCTAGCCTATGCAGAAAATTGAAATGGGACCCCGTCTATACACCTTATACAAAAATTAACTTAGGATGGATTAAATGCTTATATATAAAAGCCAAAACTATAAAAACCATAGAAGAAAATCTAGGCAATACCATTTAGGACATAGGCATGGGCAAAGATTTCAAGACGAAAACATCAAAAGCAATTGCAACAAAAACAAAAATTGACAAATGGGAACTAATTAAACTAAAGAGCTTCTGTACAGCAAAAGAAACTCTCATCAGAGTGAACAGACAACCTACAGAATGGGAGAAAATTTTTGCAATCTATCCATTTGACAAAGATCTAATATCCAGAATCTACAAAGAACTTAAACAAATTTACGAGAAAAAAACATACAACCCCATTAAAAAGTGGGTGAAGGACATGAACAGACACTTCTCAAAGAAGAGATTCACGTGGCCAACAACCATATGAAAAAACACTCAACATCACTGATGATTAGAGAAATGCAAATCAAAACCACAATGAGATACCATCTCACACCAGTCAGAATGGTGATTATTAAAAAGTCAGGAAACAACAGATGCTGGTGAGGCTGCAGAGAGATAGGAAGGCTTTTACACAGTTAGTGGGAATGTAAATTAATTCAAACATTGTGGAAGACAGTGTGGCAATTCCTTAAAGACCTAGAACCAGAAATACCATTTGACCCAGCAATCCCATTACTGGGTACATACCCAAAGGAAAATAAATCATTCTGTTACAAAGATACATGCCCACGTATATTCATTGCAGCACTATTCACAATAGCAGAGACATGGAATCAATCCAAATGCCTATCAATGATAGACTGGATAAAGAAAATGTGCTATATGTACACCATAGAATACTACGCAGCAATAAAAAGGAATGAGATCATGTCCTTTGCAGAGACATGGATGGAGCTGAAAGCCATTATCCTCAGCACACTAACACAGGAACAGAAAACCAAACACCATATGTTCTCACTCATAAGTGAGAGCTGAACAGTGAGAAAACATGGACACAGGGAGGGGAACAACACACACTGGAGCCTGGTCGGGGGTAAGGGAGAAATGAGAACATCAGGAAAAATAGCTAATGATTGCAGGACTTAATAATTAGGTGATGGATTGATAGGTGCAGCAAACCACCATGGCATGTGTTTACCTATGTAATAAAACTGCACGTGTACCCCAGAACTTAAAATAAAAAAAGAAGACATAAAAAATTTAAAAAAATACACAATTCAATGGTTTCTAATATATTCACATAGTTATGCATCCAGCATCACGATAGCATTTTGTTTTAGGGGCTTACAATATACCATTGTGCAGACATTTAATTTGTTTTATTTAATTAGTCTCCCAAGCATATTCAAATTTTTCCGTTTTTAATCTGGAAGAAGCAGTACTTTCATGATTGTATGTATAGATTTGTGCACATGTGCAAATATTGCTGTCATAGGCATTTCTAAAAGTGGATTTTCTTGATCAAGCTCCAAACACTTTAAAATGTGATGGATCTTAACAAATTTCTTCCCAACGTTGTGCCCGGTTTAACTTCCCCATCAGTTTATGCTCATGCTAGTTCACCACACTCACCAATATGAAGAAGCATGGATTTTACATTTGTCATTCGTGAGGCAACAACTCATTGTTTTCATTTGTATTTTTATTATGTGGGGTTTCGGTATTTTTCAATTTTAACGGACCGTTTGTATATGTTCTTCTGTGAATTTTTAATTTGTGACTTTTGCTGGTTTCTTTCTTTATTGGATTGCCAATCTATATTCATACTGATTTGTAAAATCTTTTAATGTGTTAGCAATACTCACCCTCTATCATATACGTTGCAAGCACTTTTTCCACATTTGTCTTTCAAGTCTGTAAATAGTGCTATTCACCACATAAAATTTTAAACTGCTGTGTGGCCAATATTTTCCTGTTTTTGGCTCTCGTATCATGTTTATGAAATTTCTCAGTAAGAAGAAAACTTTTGATTTAGTAAACGGGAAATAATTATTTTTTAAGTAATAAAGTCAGGGTGAAATATTTTTTATTTACTTGATATGACTAGTTGTTTTCTTCTTTTGCCATTAATTGCAGTCTTCAAGCCAATACTTCTTTAGAAATATGACAGATTTAATACCAACACTAGGACCATTTGAAGACAGAACTGTGTGTTTTAATAGAGATAATATCTCAACAGGAGTTTGTGAGGCTGACAGTCTCTGATGTTCTGACCACCTACGTCACAATCCTCATTGGGGACTTTCTAAGGGCATGTTTTGTGAGGTTTTGCAATTATTGCTGGTGCTGGGACTTGGAGTATGGATATGTAAGTATGATGTTAATTTTGCTTTTTTTTTTTTTTAAATTTATTTATTTTTTATTGATAATTCTTGGGTGTTTCTCACAGAGGGGGATTTGGCAGGGTCATAGGACAATAGTGGAGGGAAGGTCAGCAGATAAACAAGTGAACAAAGGTCTCTGGTTTTCCTAGGCAGAGGACCCTGCGGCCTTCCGCAGTGTTTGTGTCCCTGGGTACTTGAGATTAGGGAGTGGTGATGACTCTTAAGGAGCATGCTGCCTTCAAGCATCTGTTTAACAAAGCACATCTTGCACCACCCTTAATCCATTTAACCCTGAGTGGACACAGCACATGTTTCAGAGAGCACAGGGTTGGGGGCAAGGTCACAGATCAACAGGATCCCACGGCAGAAGAAGTTTTCTTAGTACAGAACAAAATGAAAAGTCTCCCATGTCTACTTCTTTCTACACAGACACGGCAACCATCCGATTTCTCAATCTTTTCCCCACCTTTCCCGCCTTTCTATTCCACAAAGCCGCCATTGTCATCCGGGCCCATTCTCAATGAGCTGTTGGGCACACCTCCCAGACGGGGTGGTGGCCGGGCAGAGGGGCTCCTCACTTCCCAGTAGGGGCGGCCGGGCAGAGGCGCCCCTCACCTCCCGGGCGGGGCGGCTGGCCGGGCGGGGGGCTGACCCCCCACCTCCCCTCCCGGACGGGGCGGCTGGCCGGGCAGGGGGCTGACCACCCCACCTCCCTCCCGGATGGGGCGGCTGGCCGGGCAGAGGGGCTCCTCACTTCCCAGTAGGGGCAGCCGGGCAGAGGCGCCCCTCACCTCCTGGACGGGGCGGCTGGCCGGGTGGGGGGCTGACCCCCCCACCTCCCTCCCGGACGGGGCGGCTGGCCGGGCGGGGGGCTGACGCCCCCACCTCCCTCCCGGACGGGGTGGCTGCCGGGCGGAGACGCTCCTCAGTTCCCAGACTGGGTGGCTGCCGGGCGGAGAGGCTCCTCATTTCTCAGACGGGGCGGCTGCCGGGCGGAGGGGCTCCTCACTTCTCAGACGGGGCAGTTGCCGGGCAGAGGGTCTCCTCACTTCTCAGATGGGGCGGCCGGGCAGAGATGCTCCTCACCTCCCAGACGGGGTCGCAGCCGGGCAGAGGTGCTCCTCACATCCCAGATGATGGGCGGCCGGGCAGAGGCGCTCCTCACTTCCTAGATGTGATGGTGGCCGGGAAGAGGTGCTCCTCACTTCCTAGGTGGGATGGCGGCCGGGCGGAGACGCTCCTCACTTTCCAGACTGGGCAGCCAGGCAGAGGGGCTCCTCACATCCCAGACGATGGGCGGCCAGGCAGAGACGCTCCTCACTTCCCAGACGGGGTGGCAGCCGAGCAGAGGCTGCAATCTCGGCACTTTGGGAGGCCAAGGCAGGCGGCTGGGAGGTGGAGGTTGTAGCGAGCCGAGATCACGCCACTGCACTCCAGCCTGGGCACCATTGAGCACTGAGTGAACGAGACTCCGTCTGCAATCCCGGCACCTCGGGAGGCTGAGGCTGGCGGATCACTTGCGGTTTGGGGCTGGAGACTGGCCTGGCCAACACAGCGAAACCCCGTCTCCACCAAAACCAGTCAGGCGTGTCGGCGCGAGCCTGCAATCGCAGGCACTCGGCATGCTCAGTCAGGAGAATCAGGCAGGGAGGTTGCAGTGAGCCGAGATGGCAGCAGTACAGTCCAGCTTCGGCTCAGCATGAGAGGGAGACCGTGGAAAGAGAGGGAGAGGGAGACCATGGGGAGAGGGAGAGGGAGTAATTTTGCGCTTATAAGGTTTTTCCTTTGTAATTCGTCATTTACACACACTATATAAGAGAAAGGCATCATAGAGTTTAGTGGATGGGATCACCGTTTTAGGTGCAATAAATGAAGACCAATGAGTACATTTATAATGCAGAGAAGTTCAGACTCGAGTATCATGGTTTACAATATTCTAGTAAAATTAGCACAAGATAGCAAAAGCAATGGACCTCAACTTGTCAGCTGAAATGTTGAACTCAGTAAATCTTGGCCCTGTAGCCCACCTTCTCCCTATAAGTTTACTAGCATTTCTAGAAGCAGGGAAAGATGGCTAATATCAACTGCATATTCTATTTATGCCTTTGAATTCTACTAAACTCCTGGATACTATCATATGCCAGTCACTGTGCAGTAGATGGGGTGGATAAAAGGATTTGATAAATATGGTACTTGCTTCACAAAGTTCACAGTCTAATAAGAGCTCGAAAGAGACACACACAAGAGGCTGCAGAAGGTTCAAGGAAGGCCTAGTTTGCTGTCATGCATCTGGCAAGTGGTGGAGCTGAATTCTGGCAGGGGCGGCTTCTTTTCCTGAAACAATGGCTCAGGTCTCTCAGAACCACACTGGTGCTGACTCCATCACCAGCTTTCCTTCTATGGTCATCCTCAGGTCCCCCAACAAAGTCTGAGGGCAACAGCACACTCATCACCCTGTGATTAGCACATTGCCTGGTTTCCACTGTCCTCCTTTGAGTCAAACTGGTCTCAGTCATCCTGGAAAATATGACCTGGGGGGTTGGTAGTACTCATTTGCTTAAAATCTTCCAGTGGCTTCTCAAGTACTTAGAATGATTTCCAAATCCCTTTCTAGGCCTTCAGTACCCTGGATGATCTGCTCCTTTTCTTTCTCTCTCAAGTCATTTGCTACCTCTTTTGCTCTTGCTTTGTAAAGTTCACATGGGCTTCTTTTTATGCTCAAACATGGGCTGCTTTTTATGCTCAAACACAAGATGGTCCTTGCATTTGTAATTGCTGTTTCTCCCGCAAGGGGTGCTGTTGCCCTAGAGCTAGGAATGGCTGGTTTCTTCTTGTCATTAAAGACTCAGCTATTATGTTACCTCCTTAGTGCTCTTCTCTGACCACCTATTCTAATGTAGCCAATCAGGCACTGTTTATATCAACACACTGTTCTGTTTTCTTCATAAGATGTGCATCTATTTGACATTACTCTTGTAAAATGTACTCATGGTCTATCTCCCTCTGTTAGAAAGAATACTCTATGAAAATAGAGGCCCTGACCTCTCTTATTTGAACTGTGTGAGTCACGTAGCAGGCAGCATGTGTTGGCTGGCTGTTTGAATGTTGAACCTTCTCATTTTTGCACCATCAAGGCAGCACTGTCTATTGCCAGAACTCTGCCTCCTTCGAAGCATGTGCCCATGGAGTCTCAGTGTTTGTAATGTTTTTGAGTTATTGAGCCAGTAATGCTTCTCTCCTCACCAGTGAGGGAATATCCTTTATAGCTGATCTTCTATCTCTTTTATCTCCTGCCCTCTAGTCTCTGGATGAGTCCAACAGTTAGGACTGTTTTCAAGATTTCAGGCTAGATCTGTCTGGCTGTCTGACTTTGAGATGGTACCTTTTATAAGGTCGTCTCCATCACCCTCATTGAAAGTGCCTCCTCGGACTGGCCAAAAGCAGTTAGGTAATGCTCTTCGGTGAACGACAGTGAGGTAATGGCTACAGATACAGGATGCTCTTGTGTTGCTTTCCCATTCTTTGCTATGAGGTATTCAGCTGGCTTGGTTTCATTTCTATTTTCCTTACCTGATTCAGCTCCTCTGAGGCAGACATAAAAATTGCCATTTCTTCCTTAGACCATTGCTTGGCTTGTACTTACCTTTTATCCCTTGGCTGCCTTCTTCTTAAGTGGCAGAAAATCTGAGTGCAAATATGAAGTCAATATTACATGACCTGGATGCATAAAAGCTGTAATTAAATGACTGTAATTTATTATTTATTGACTGCTGACAGTGTTCCTGGGTTAGTAGAAAGTACAGGAAAAAAGACAAGTTCCTGTTTTAGGTCACAGAGAAGGAATTTTCTCCCACGTTACCTTTGGAAGGCTCAAAAAAGCTCTGTCAGAATCAAAACAAGTTTTAAAACATTAATGATGGATGACGAATCTTTGATGTAGATCCCATTGTCATTGACTTACCAAATGGATAGCTTACACGGGTGAGGGCCTACTAGGTGCAAGCCATTATGAACAAACTCTGTGCTAGGTGATAAAGGAATACAGGGATGTAGAAGATGTAGACTTACGTAGAGGTTGCAAATTTGGCCTGCAGGGTAGATTCAGCTAATGGATATTTTTGTTTGGTATGCCCAGTGGTGGTGTTTGTTTTTGTTTCATTTTTTATGAGCTAATATTTTAAAATGAGAGCTCTTACATAAAAACACATGGATTTATTGTTTTTCTTGAAAGGCTGGCAACATTAAATCTGTATTCCCACTAGGGAGAAATTGGCTGGAGTTGAGAAACCACTGCCATCTGCAGTTGGGATATTCATTCTCCAGTTCCTCATACTCTTCACCACTCTTTTCTCTTACAAGCTCCCGATATAAATAGAGAAATCAATTGTATGGCCCTTGAAGAGAAAGTGTGTGTGTGTTTGTGTGTGTGTGTGAGAGAGAGAGAGACAGGCGTGCATCAGTAGAAATGCAGACACAGAGGAGGAGACATTTGAACTAAGTCTTGAAGAATGATCAGGATTTCAAGAGATGAAAGAAAGAATTCCCGGTGGAGGGACAAGTGTAAGACAGAGCACCAGAGATAGATAGTGTGGGCAATCCAGGCATAGATTAAAAAAAAAAAAAAAAAAAACTAAAATGAGGCTGTTTTAGAGCAGAAAAGGCTAATAAGAATGTTTCTCTGCTATTCTCCTAGACCTGCTAATCAATAATATGGTTTCAGAAAGTACCTGTCATGAAGGGAAGGACAACCTGAGATAGGCAGAGGACATACTTGAGAATTCTGTCAGAAATAAAAGATAAAATCATGGTCCTTTCTACTGTATGCATGCATGTGCATGTATACACACACACAAAGCACATGATTTTTTTCTTCTGAATTCCAAAAATAATGCCAGTTTATTGTAGAAAATTTGGAAAATATAACAAAGCTAATATGAAAGTAAAAATCATAGGTAATCTCTGCCACTAATGAGATTAATTATTTGGATTGTTGAATCAAATAGTGTTAGATAACAAGTGCTACATATTTATATATAGTAACAGATTTTTATAAATATACACATATATACTTTTGTATACGTATATATGTGTGTAAACAGGTAGTAGAGTAGACTGGTTACTTGCTTTTATTTGTTTTACCTAACACTGATCATTTCCCAATGCTATTAACTGTTGTTTTGTAACATACCTTTTAAATGGTTGTATAATATTCTGTATGCAAATGTAGTATAATTAATCTAATTAGTTTTTAATTTGCTTTAAGTTGAACTGTCTAATTATTCTTATGATAATAAGTGTTGTGATGACATTTAATTATATCCATGTACATAAGTATCTTCATAGATAAATCATAGTGGATGTACAAATTATTTTCTTATGATAAATTTCTCTGAGTTGAATTGCTCAGTCACAGTAGAGGGCTTTAAAAAAGTCTATTCACTTTTATTACAACAGCCTCTGTAGAGACTCTGCAGATTTCAGCATTAGATTCAGAGATCTATAGAATGCTAAAGTTAGGTGGATTTTGACACAACCAGTTGTAATGCATGTATTTAACATATGAAAAATTGCATCTGTGAATTGAAATGAGGTTCCTAAGTTTATGTAGCCAGAGAATAATAAGGACAATGAAGTACACTTCTGGACGAAAATGTTATGTTAAATGTATTGATTTCTGTACTGGCTCTATCTGAGTAAGCTGGGTTAAAAGGGATTGTGAATATTTTTCAAGACACAAATTTATGGTCATAATGTTATCACAACAAACCTATGAAGATTAACTAAGGTGGAAAAATTACTGGCTTGGAGCAGATTACCAGACCAATGTAAGTTAATGTAATGTAAGTTAATGTCTCCAAAGGCTTCTCTGAGCACAGTTCTCAGTGTTTCAGAAGAGTTCATGAGGAGTAGAATAGTTTGTCCCTAGGAAGGATTTTAACTGCTCTAATTTAATACAAAGTGTGCCCTCTTGTAAACTTTGGGTTTTCTTTGGCAGTTCAATGCAGAATATCTTTATCTTCACTTCAGTTTTCATTGACACCATTCTTACTATTTACCAGCAAAGCAAGTAAAGAATATTCAAGAAGAAATAGAATTAGATTCAGGGCATGATGGGGTAAGGGAATGTTCAATAAACTCAGCATGGTGTTCACAGTTGTATTTTTAAGGTGATCATTGCTCACTCGTAAGTGAGAGCCGAACAGCGATGGGAGACTTCTTTAAAGTCTGATGAAGGATGCTCAGGATTATCCATAAATAAGAGGCATATAATTGACTGACTACCTTAGTGGATTCCCAATCATATTATATTGTATTATGTCACATCTCAATGTACTGCTTATTTTGTATCAGAAACTCTACAAAATACTTTACATGTATTATTCCATGTGATCGTACCAGCAATGCTGTGAGGTGGTATTATTGTTCCTACTTTACAGTAAACTGAGGCTTAGAGGATGTTAAATAATTGCTCAAAGACACATTAATGGTTAGTGGTAGAGTTAGGCCTGAAACTCGAGTCTCATCACCTTCAAAGCCATCAACCAAATTTCCATCATGTTGAATTTACACCGTAATGCTTGACTCTAGAAATTTTAAAAATTCTGCCAAAACTTGAATAATTCATACACTAAACCTATGGCTTTTGGAACTCAAAGTGCTCATAGGCTTAGGCAGGCTACCTGTGGTAGAATGGAGTTAGCAAATGAACTGGGATACAGAATTAGAAGATCAACTGTTCTCTAGCTGGGAACGTGGAGATATTATATATCAGTTCGGGAAGGTAGAATGATAAAGAATCAGGAAGAAATCATCAGCATCCCATAAGGGGTTGAGAACATGGGAACAGGGACAATGCAGACTGTATTTTAAGTGTTCCTTGAATATGTGGACAGGATCTGTCTGCAGTTAACAGGATCCTATTCTCAACTAGGGTTGAAGTACAAAGCCTCAAGTGCTCAATCATCCTAGCAGACGAGGCTAGAGTTTGTCCTAGATCAGTGCTTCTGGAATTTGAGCATACATCAGAATCCCCTGAGGACCTGTGAAAACAGCATTTCTGATTCAGTAGATCTGAGGCCAGGCCCGAGAATGTGCTTTTCTGACAAGTTCCCAGGTGATGCTGCTGACTCTCGTCTGAGGACCACACTCAAAAGCCACTGCTCTGGAGCCACAGCCCAGACTAGCTTGCAGCTCTAAGCAGAGTGATTCCAGCTGTGAGAAATGGGATTTATGTGCAGAAGGTCAGGCAACTCATTCCACAACAGAATTAATTCTCTCTGAGATCCTGAATTGCATTTCATATTATCCACAGGTTGGCAATCTGCCTCAAATAATGAAACTTGCAGAGAGAGAAGAGATCTTCCCAGGCTTTTTCTTTGTCAAGTGAGCACCATATGTCTTCCCTCTGGGTGGATGACTGACTTAGCACATCACAAGCAAAGGTCCAAAAATTAAACAACATCATTTCCAATCCCTCAACTATGATGGACTTTAGCCCAAATCCACATGGGCTTTTCTGATGCTGGCCCCCAACAGTCTTACCAGGAATGAGCAGTCATTAGTGAGTTTATTACACTTAGCTCATTCAAATAATTTTATGATCTCAAAGTTCAAGAGAATCTGTTTTTTTTTCTTTTTCCCTAACCGTTTTTTACCTTTGAGCTTTTTCTATTTTAGAGACAAACAAAATATATTGCAAATTGATTTATATTTATTAAAGTATTGCTTTAAAAATTTAAAATATAATATAACCTAATGTTTATAAAAGCCTACCTCTAAAACAATGAGCACTGACTTTTATACTACATATGTGTAGTTTTTCTGCCTTCTCTTTTGTTTTAGTTTTAAAGTGAGAGCTTCTGTGTTTATTGCATAAGTTAAATTCCATTTCTAAGGTGTTTACAGAGAAGCAATTCTTTCATAACTGGTTCTAATTTTCAACCAATAACGTATTTTTAGACTAGAAAGGGATCTTAGAAATGAACTAGTTCAGAGGTTGGCAAACTTTTGCTGTAAAGGGCTAGATAGTAAGTATTTTAGCTTTTGCAAGCCATGGTGTCTCTATTATAACTGCTAAATGCTGTTGTTTTAGTACCAGTCATAGATAATATATAAATGAATGAATATAGCTGTATTCCAATAAAATTTATTTGTTAAAACAGGTGGCAGTCCAGATTTGGCACATGGGCCATAGTATGCTGACCTTTGGTCTAGTTCATTTTTGATTTATGTGTCAGGAAACTAAGCCTAATGAGATAAGTGACCTGCCCAGCTTACCTAGCTAAGAAATGGTAGAGTGAAGTCTAAAATGCAGGTTTGAATCCCAGTCAAATGTCTGTTCTACAAATCCACTTGGTCCAGTATGGCCACCCTGTATCCTTTCTGTGCATCAGGCCAATTTATAGATCAAGGGGGTTGTTCCTCCAGCTGTCCCTGCTGCAAACACAGCAGGAAGCTAGGGACCCTAGGGTGTCCTTTATGCTTTTCTAGTCAACTAGTTATAAAATGTCTCATCTCTAATGACCCTCAGGAGCTCTATGTGCTTGTGAGAGAGTGAAGAAAACAGGCATTTAAAACGTTGAGTTTTCTCCACGTTCAGTAGTTTGGTGGGCCACCTCATGATACCATTCTAAGGAGGCGAAGGCTTAAGATTTGATTTTTAAACAGAGACAGAGAAAGGCTGTTCCAAGGCAACAGATGGGTACGGGCCAACCGAGTAAGCATTTTTCAGATGTGTTCTGTGATCACACAGGGCTCCAGGGGAAAAGTGCTGAAGATCATCCAGAGCAGGGCACTCCCCCAGAAGGAAAAAGACTCAGAGTTAATGTTCTCCAGATAAGAAGCAGTTCATTTTTCTCCATGAAGGACACATTTTTTTTCCATTGATGATTTCAGCACAAAAACTGTCAACCAAACCTTTTTGCCTCTTGTGAACATTGCCCTTCTAGAAAGTCGGCAAACTAACGAAACACTTTGTAGCTGTCCTTCAACAGTATCTAGAGTGATACTGCAGTTATCCAGGTCATCTTTGTTCTGTTTAATACACAGGACTCTTTATTATTTCATTATGTATCATCCTATCATTTTACCTTGAGGGTTAACCATTCCTGTTATGCCATACTTGCTCTTCTTTCCCTGAATCTGTTACAAGGGAGATTGTCCCTATGTTTCAGTTGAATAGGAGAGTAATACTGCCTTTTAGGAAAGTGATGAAGTTGAGGCCTGGATTCATGAGACTCTTGAGGCCAAGCATTTGAAAATTGAGAATGGTTTTGTTGGAGTTCCAAATCAGGAACCAATTCTATCTTTTTACAAATATATTTTTGAGTTCTTGGGTTTGGGAGGAACAGAGGCTCTCTTGGATCATCTTTGTGTGTGTGTGTGTGTGTGTGTGTGTGTGTGTGTGTGTGTGTGTGTGTGTTGGGGAGGGAGCTGTTATGGGGATATGTGTGGTCTGAAGCACACCTGGAGATAATAAGATCTGAGCAGTGCTAGGAACCTGCCAATGTCTTGGTGTCTTTTTCGTGGTCTTCTTGGCCCTCTCATTTCGTATTTACTGCATTCTTATTCCCTTATTACCAGTTGGTCAGTCTCCTCTGATTCTCTATCCCAAATTAAATAAGAGCCAGTTTTATTGCCCTTGCTAATTAGCATTTACTCCATTGTTAGAATCTCCTGTTAGGATGCCTAATGCATCACCAGGAAGCCTTTAGATGGGCCACCCTATCACAGTTAACCACTTCCATTCTATTGGTTTTTTGTGGCTCCTCTGTACAAAAAACAGCCTAGTGTTGCTGCCCTGAGCATGAAGGTTAATATCCAAGACATGGAGACTGGACATTGAATTGAGTAACTTCTTAAGCTTTTTTTATATTTCTTTTGCTGTATTTACTTTATGTTAAAGTTAATTCACATTTTCATTGAAAAAATTTTTAATATGCAAAACTTGAAAAAGAAAAGGAAAACTATAGTTCATCACCCGCATATAAAGTATGACTATCTTGCTGATTATTTTCCAGTCTTTGTGCATAGTTTCATATAGTTGATTAATGTGTGGCTTTATATTTTTTGTTTAACATTAGAGCACAGTTTTCCTCATGTACATAAATATTCTTTCAAAATGATTGTAATTCATTGCAATATATCATAGTATAAATATACTGTATATACATAACTAATGTTCAACACTTAGATGGTTTCATCATTGCTTGTTAAAGTTTATCATCACATCAGATAATTTTATTAAGACAGATTCTAGAAGTTTTCTTACAGAATCAAAAAGAATAAGATTTTTAAAGCTTTTAATATGTACTGTCAAATTGTTTTTCTGAAAGGTTGCTACAGTTTTTACTGTCACCAGCAGTGTATAAGGGAGCCTGTCTTGCTGTACTTTCATAGCATTGGATGACAGCATTTAAAAATGAGTCTCACTGTGTTTAAAAAAAAAAAGGTGCTTTCTTTGTTTTATTTATATCTGGTTACTTATCCTAGTGATTATTCTGCTATTGTTGCTGAAGGGAAGTAATTGAAACCCTAGCCATGCCTATGCAGAACAATTTGCCTTTCAGTTTTGACCATGTGAGACGCTAATCCAATGAACATTGTGTCTCCTCTAGCCTTCATACACCGAATTCGACATCAGTGGCAACGTCCTCGCTCTGATCTTCAACCAAGGCATGATCTGGTAGGCCAGCTGTTGGACAGCTTATCACTTACAGAAAAGCCTCCCAGGTTATTTTTGCATACAGCATTGAATCCTGGTGTTAGAGGAGAATACAATCGGTGTCTAACTCCATATTTACTTTTGCAAAGTGGATGCCTGTATATAGTTTCCTTTTCTTTCATATCTTAAATGTCAGTCATCAAAGGTGTCTCTCTGTTTTGCAAAGCACTTCTTCATCAAATAATGGGAGTCTGTGTTCTGGTTAGCAGATTTATTTGAGGACTATATTTTTATATTTTGTGACGCCAGGATCTAATATTAAAACATTAATAATTACATTACCACATGATAAGTATGAAATAAATTAACATAAGGCCTTTCCGAGAGACCGAGTTTATTTTGTTGTCACTACTAAATATATTTAAAATGTAACTTATAGCTACTTTTAAAAATAATACCTTATCAAATCCAATAGTTTATCGAGATGAAACGCATGTTTTAGGAAGGTCGAGTTAAAATATGATCTTCATTTTGTAACTTGTTTTATAGGGCCATGGCACATCAGAATTATTTTTTTTGATGTGTGAAGGGTTGTCATATCTTTTATCAAATTAGAGCATTCTCACTGTAAACTTGACAGGTTAAGATGAGTCGATACAGTAGAAATCGTTTTTGAGTTTAAAAACTGAATCACGACATCCGATTCATCTGGGGACCATGTGTCTTGGAAATCTGTCACTTCAGATTTCCAGCCTACAAGCAGTTACAATAAGGCTACTTTATCCTGGGGACATGTGCCTAAGACAATATTATGCTGCCAACCATACCATTGTCCTATTCACAAGTGCCGGTATAGACTCAGTTTTTGAACAAGTTTCATATATTGTACCAATAGATCTGTCCTGAATTATTAAACCTTTGGGTGCTGACAGACACCGGACCCCTCTGCAAATGCTAAAACCGTCTTGCTTCTGTCACACAAAGACAACTCTCCAGGGCTCCATCGTCCTGCCATGGGATGACTGTTAAATTCCTGTGCCTGACTAGGTGAATCAATATGGAAAAGATATTATAAAAATATTGTTTCCTCCTTTGTCAGGTAGGTTTAAAAATCTAATTTTTATTCCCTTCCTTTCTAAATTTTCCAAGTATGACTCACATGTCCAGACTCACTAAGGAAGGAAATGCATCCTACATTTTCCAAGCAGGGAGGAAAGTCAAGGTGGCCCGAGGAACGTCTACTGACACAGAAGTAAAGGGAGCAGCTTCTGTGGGTTCTGAGCTTTCATTTCCTGGAGTTCAATTTGCTGTTATGGCAGAAAATGGCTAACACGGCTATGGGAGTAATGAGAAACCACTGTTCTATCAGTGGCTTTTACACAAAGTGTCATAAATCCTTCAGGCCTCATGGGTACCATTCACGCAGACATATGCTGCACGTCGATTGTGTTCTTTCAGAGTTAAGACAACAGATTGGTCTAGAAATTTGTTTTTATTGTCAGAAAAGCTGTTATAATGGCTGTCCTGCTTGGTTTCACTACTGATTTTGCAACTATGTTAGTCCACTATTGTTCATATTGAAATTCTTAAATATCTAACATGTTTTTCCAGTTCTCTCGTGGGCAGATCCATTATCAAAATCTCTGCACTGTCTTTTTCTGTTTATTAATTCTTCAGACAGTGGTCAAGCTTGCTTCTGGCTAATTTGAAGAGAATATTGAGTTTTTTGAGCATACAAAGATATTCACACACTTTCCAAAGTTCCAGAAGCAAACTGACCATTATTCTATTATTCACCTTCACGTCAATGCTTGGCACAAATATTCTTTTCCTAACCCTAGGAGGCTGATGAGGGAGGGGGATGTCATGTAGAGGGAGGTGTGGGGCAGGTGTAATGTAAAATTAGTAGGCTGACTCTGCACAAAGGTCCTCACACACAATCGTTCCATTATTTTATGAAGCATGAGGATATAATGCCTGAGCTTAACCATTTTCTACAGAAACAATTAAAAATGTACGGGGATGTTTTATTCAATTCCATTGGCTTGTGACTGGAGATATTGAATTACTCCTTTAGGAATCGCTGAGTAGTGGAGGTTATTTACGCAGATGTTGTTAACATCAACATTTATAGATAAAATCCATTTTGCTATGATTTGGTTGAATGATTAGTAACCTTTATTTACGCACTTATTTTTTGAAATACACATGATAGTTTCTGTGCTAATATTTTTAAATGATGAAAGCACAGAATATCTTTATCATAGCAGGATATTGAGAAATGGCAGAGAACACACAGTGAGAGAGAAAATGAGTTTTGGACATTGCTCCAACACTGCTTCACTGGGTACTCTCCCGCCAGGTTTATCACCTTTTTTTCTTCACTTTCTCAGTTGATCAGATGTGAATAATTTACCTGACATGTACATGTCGCTGATGTAATAAGGAGAGTTAAATAAAAGAAGCTTTCATTTTCTTTGATCTTCCAGGAAGAAAAGAATTTTATAAGGCTAAAGTGTTACAATGATTTTTACTGACAGATGATGGGATCATGCCTGGGTAAGGGACTTAGTGAGCCGAGCTGATTAGTAATGCATGAGTAAAGATAGGATGAGCATTAACATTCGGATATTATTATGCCAGGACTTATTTTTCTAGCTTATGGCTCTTGAGTTATTTGTTTAAAATGTCTTTGTGATACTTATTTTGAAATTTTGAAATTTATTTATAGATGTATACACAAATAATAAGCATATACATACAAACAATGTGCACGTATATAGGTACAAATATATGTGGTTTTAGGCAAGTCTCGATTTTGAATTACGTGCAAAATTATATTTTAGAATTGATCAGGTTATGCAGCAATGAAACAACCTCAAAATCGTAGCAGCTCATAAAAGGAACATGTTCAATGTGGGGTGGAAGAAGAGCTTTGCTCTTAGAACTTACCTTCACTTTAGAGACCCAGACTGATGGAATAGGATCCATCTGAAACATTGCTATCACACTAGCAGAGAATGAAGAGAAGGAAAACCACACAGGACTTTTAAAGTTTCTACCCAGCAGTAAGGACCTAATTTCTATTCATACTTTATTGGCCAAAACAAGTGATGTCACCACCTGATTTTTAGGAAGACTCAAAGTGTATTACATCAACATGTATTGGTATTGGGGAGTATAATCTAGTGCTTTGCAATTCTAACCCATTAGCTGGGACTATCACTTGCTTACTTGCTCACTTTTTTGGCGTTCCCTCTCTCTTGCTGTCCTGTAACAAAAGTATACTGTATTGTTTTAAAATCTGTCTTCTCATTAGAAAAAAATAGTTTAACTTCCTACAAAGTCTTTGTTCAATTCATTATGGTAAAATATCATTCGTATCTATTGTCCGAAATCTTGTCAACAAGACAGCCCAAATTGTGACAATATTCCACTTTTCAAATAAATGAGTTAACTTTGGGTTGGCAAAAGTTCAATTATAGTGGAAACTAATTTCTTCATCTAAATTAAAAATGTCTCTATAATGAACCAAATTTACGTTGGATTGGCTAAACAACTATTCAGGGAGTACAAAATGCTAAACCTAGCTATAAATGTTGAGGGCTTCATTATAGATAGGACAGTTTAAAAGACAGGGCTCCCCTTACATTTTTAAAATAAGTGCACATATATCTTCTTTTTGATTTTGAAATAATAAATTGCTATTTATATTGATTTATGGTGCTAATGAATTTTCTCATCCAAGAAGAGTGAAACTTATTTTGTTGAAATAATCAACTAAGCCATCAAGTAAAAGTGACCACACCTAAGTTGTTCCCACCTAAAAGTAGTATTTTAAAATGCTTATAAAAACTCAGATGCACAAAGCAGAGAATTCCCAAGACAAGCTAAAGTAAGAAAGTAAACAGATAAACTAAATTTAAATAAATGTGTGGAATTTTCATCTCAAAAACCTATAAGCTAGTTATAAATTTTCAATAAAACCCTATTTTAGGAGGCACAAACACATCATTGCAATTGGCTTTAAAACACCATATCACCTACAAAGAGAAAATGATCAACATCAGAAAGAGAAAATTTATTTTAATTTTTTTCTTTCATTAAGCAAAAAACTTTTTTCATTTGTACAGTCGTGGCCCACTGCAACCTTGACCTCCTGTCATTAAGCAAAAACTAATTATTCATGACAGAAGTGATTAATGCAAATGTACAGTTTTTTTGAGTAGAAGAAGTGACTTTAAGGGTTAATTATTTTTAACAAGTTATATTTATAGGTGTATTAGTCAATGATATAAGTGTTGGGGAAAGTTTATTTTAGAATTAGAAGAAAGAAGTAAAACAATTGTAAATATTGTTTACTCTGTTGTAGTTTAAATTCACTAATGATAGTAGGTATAGTTAGTTACAGCATCCTTTCTATGAAATAATTATGATATGCAATTCCTACAATAATGGGGAAAGTGGCAAAATGTGTTTAGAAGTTGGAAATAGATAAGTGCAGTTTCTTTATGAAAAGGGTTTGTCTGGTTGAAAGTGGCAGTGTATTTTCTGCCTTTGGAAAAGAAGCATGATGTCAAATAAACAGGTGCAGTGTGACTTTGTTATGGAGTAAAGACTCAAAACTGAGCAGAGTTCTGTTTTCTTTCTAGGATGGGCTCCTTCTTTGCTCCCAGCCTCCCAGGCATCAATATCCTTCGACTCCATACATCCATGTACTTCCAGTGCTGGGCCGTTATGTGCTGCAATGTTCCTGAGGCCAGGGTCTTCAAAGCTTCCAGATCAAATAACTTCTACCTGGGCATGCTACTGCTCATCCTCTTCCTGTCCACAATGCCTGTCTTGTACATGATCGTGTCCCTCCCACCATCTTTTGATTGTGGTCCATTCAGGTCTCTTGCTTTTGAAATTTGACTCAGGCATCGTGTTCTTTCGGGGGTGGAGGTGGGAATGGTCATTCATTGTATAAGCTATTTTTTCCCCCCAAACAATGACATTTTTGGTTGGTGGAAATGAGATCCCGGCTGGGCGCAGTGGCTCATGCCTGTAATCCCAGCACTTTGGGAGGCTGAGGCAGGCAGATTACCTGAGGTCAGGAGTTCGAGACAAGCCTGGCCAACACGGTGAAACCTCGTCTCTACTAAAAATACAAAGAAAAAAAAATTAGTCGCGTGTGGTGGTGGGTGCCTGTAATCCCTGCTACTTGAGAGGCTGAGGCAGGAGAATCACTTGAGCTCAGGAGGCGGAGGTTGCAGTGAGCTGAGATGGTGCCATTGCACTCCAGCCTGGAGGACAAGAGCAAAACTCTGTCTCAAAAAAAAAAAAAAAGAAAGAAATGAGATCCTTTGGGTATTCAGGTTCAATAGGTGACATGGAGATTCTTAGGCAAGTTCTGTCTATTTCCTCATTTGGGAATCATAAAAGAGAAAATACTTTATACTTTTCCAGGCTCTGCCTGGGTAAAATATGTATGGTGAATCTGAGCTGTTTCCATGTTAGAGGATAGCTAAGAGCAAGGTCTGATGACAGTGGTCTGGATGTGAGTTTGCCTGACTCTGGGCCGTCACATCCAGACGTGGTCAGCTATCACTACTTCTCTTGTGCATTACTACCTTAAAAAGAGAGAGAGAGAGACAGACAGAGAGAGAGAGAATACCCCACACTTTACCTAGGAAAGAGAATTATTACTAAATACTAATGAGCATAAGGAGGGCCACCCAATTTGTTATCCAAAATATCACATGCTAGTGAAAAAAATTAAGGCTGTTCCACATATATATTCTCTCCTAATTATCATTCAAGTCAGGAATCGAGAGTCACAACGGCTCCTTGATCCAATTTAGAGATACACATTTCTACAGTTCTCTATGACAGAGCTCTCTTCTCTCTATGACACATATCAGAAACCTAAGTCCCTGGGATCTGGAGGATGAAGTTTCTTTCCCTAAAGGGCCTTAGAAATGAATCTACTACAAGTTCTCCCAAGAATCTCTGCATGTTGATTCACTGGCCAGCATGCACTTGAGCTGTTTCTCCTTTTCAGTGAAGGAAATGAGACTGTAAAAAGCCATGTGAATGATATGCATGATGCTGTAATGCCCACATATAATTCCTCCATTATGTTGTCAGACCCAAGTTATTTAATTAAAGTCAAAAGGTTCATTGCTGACAGACTAAGTATATAAGAGACATTTTCACTCTTAACAGTAGTCTGAGTTATTGCTTTGCTGGAAAACAAGAAAATGTTAAGCCAGCTGATCGAGTTAAACTAGCTGGACCTCTGTCTACTCAGAGAACTGATGTTGAGAAGCTCTGTTAATTCCGTTGTGTGTGTGTGTGTGTGTGTGTGTGTGTGTGTGTGTGTGTGTGTGTTTCCAAGTGGGCTGAAATAAATAATGCAGACAGTGACATCTGGAGACTAAATATGAAATTACAGTCTTGATGAGACATTCGTCTCAATAAATTCCGAACCAATCTCAGAGTACAAAGTTCAAGGAATATGCCATTCAAAGGCTTTAGTTAATTGCAAATTATTCACACTACTTATTATCCAGGATAAGTTTAGGTGTGCATTAAGCTATTAATTGGAAGTTGATCCTTCTCAGTAAAACATAGCAAAGGACCCTAGCTGCCTGTAAGGGAAACCACACAATGTAAACATGGATCTCCACAGATGCATTCAGATTTACAATACGTCTTAGACATGAACAATAGTTGCACAATTTCAGCTTCTTAAGCCCTAACTCTTCTGGCTTTCCTAATTGGCAAACTTAGGCAAAATTATGGCATGTAAATCACTATTTTGAAATCAGGGAAATTTATTTTTTATTTTTAAAATTATTTATTTGTTTTTTAATTTCCATAGGTTATTGGGGAACAAGTAGTGTTTGGTTACTTGAGTCAGTTCTTTAGGGTGATTTGTGAGAAATCAGGGAATTTTAAATATTTTCAATGGAGTACTGGGAAGGGTTATCTCTATGCTATTTAGATTTTTTTTTTCATGTCAGTTTCCTCACTTTAGAGCCAAAGGATGTTTGCATTGTTTATTTGTCTGGACTTAAAAGTTTGAAAGGATTGTCCTGCTCTAGAAATGAGGTGAGAATGCTTGTATGCTTGTACTAGTGGGTGCCTCATAGCTTGTCATCTTTATGAACCCCAAGTTTTAGGTGATTTGCTTAACCTTCCTGGTGAAGGTTGTCTGACTCTATCTAGATCCTGGGCAAGCAGGAATTTAGGAAATATAAATTTGAACTAGGTTACTGGAGGTATCACAGTGATGGCTAGTTGCTCTCCAGTGTAGGGAAGTTTTCAGGTAAGATGGCTATAGTATATTTATCCATTCAGTA
Organism: Homo sapiens; assembly: GCF_000001405.40. Taxonomy (NCBI): domain Eukaryota; kingdom Metazoa; phylum Chordata; class Mammalia; order Primates; family Hominidae; genus Homo; species Homo sapiens. The sequence goes on from NC_000009.12 coordinate 72,823,536, forward strand.
AAGCAATTTGATGAGATATTCTAGCTTGTCTGGTTTTATAAGACCTGGCTAGAGAGGGTAAATTTTCCAAGAAATTATTCCAATAGGCTAGTAAGTGGATTTATCGTAAATAGTTGACAATTTAAAGATGTCCAGATGAAGGCAATTCTAATTGTTCTATAGCATTTCCTGACACCTGATGTTTCCTCCCATCTATGTCAATAATTCTGAACAATTTATAGTTCTCTAGGTTTTTATATACATCCCTGCTTACATTATGACAATTTTATTTTTCATATATTTTCATCTTACTGCAAAGATAATATGTGTTTATGCTAGAAAACCTAAACATTGTAGAAATATTTTTACATGAAAAGAAACATGGCCCATAATCTTGAAAACCTGAAATAACAACTTTTTAGCATTTTATATTCTGTTTTGCCTTTCATGCATGATTTTTCATAACTGAGCTTGTACTGACACAGGATGTTTCTCAGCCTCTTCACTGGACTCACAGAGGGGCACCCTGTCTACTCGGCCTGCTGTGCTTAACCCCTTGTGGGAGGAAGCACGTGGGCAAGTGAGTGCGGGATCTGGCGAGACACACTGGGCACTGACACAGGAGCAAGCTCCATGTGGGGCCCGTGGCCAGACCAGGTGTGTCACCTTGAGGAGAATGCAATGGTGCCCAAGTGCCTATGACCCTAAAGCCCCAGAGGGGGTGTTACAATGCTTCCTGAGTTCCACCATCCTCAGCCTGATGGATGGCAGTGTCTTAGCAGCTCAGTTGGCCCCTTGCCTCATCATGTGGGGCAGCTGCCCTCCACTGGAGAGGGCAAAGGGCCAGTGTGACAGTCTTTCCTGGGTTCCCACAATCGGTGGGTCCCAAGCTCTTGTCCAGCATCCAAGAAGAATGAGGTCACATGGATTATTGAAGGATGGTGAAGGAGGAGAATTTTATTGAGTAATGAAATTGGCTCTCAGCAGAGAGGGCAGTTGGAGAGGGGCCAGGAAGGGCAGGTCATCTTCCCCAAAGTCAGGTTGTCTCTTCTCCAAAGTCAGGCCGACTCTTCCCCAAAGTCAGGCCGTCTCTCCCCTCTACCAACTGAGTCTGTGGTCTTTATAGGCACAGGATGGAAGTGTGTGCTGACTGGTTTGTGAGTATGCAAAAAAGGCTAAAGTGAAGGTGTCACTCAAAGGTAGACACGACAGTATAGAAACCCAACTAGGAAAGGGTAGGTATATGTAAAATAGGTGAAGGGTGGGGATGAATCAGAGGAAAGTGCGCCAAACAGGAAGACAAGTTCTCAATCCGGTCTGAGGATTTAACTTGGACCTTGGCTTTCAGGCTTTAAACTGTCTTTGGCTTGGAGGTGGCATTTCACCAGGTACCTGCCCCTATCTGCCTAGGCATTTGGCTGCCTCCTGTTGCTATCAGTATACTAGGTGCAGGTTTTTTAGTATTAAAAGTTAAAATTATATTGTGAGACTGCTATTATATTGGTCATTTGCAATCATGCTTTATGCATCTATTTTTCTTAATAGTTTAGCTGACTTCTAGAGATTGGGGATAGAGAAGTTTCCTCTCTGTGGATCTAGGACACAGTAAAGTGCTGGTCAATAATTTGAATGAATGAATGAATAATGACTGCTTATTGTGCACTAAGCACTAGAAGAGACACAGGGTTAAGTCCATGCATTAAGCATTGATTCTGGTCCTGTGGCACTTATCACCCAGCTGGGAAGACAGGCCTCCTCATAAACTGTTCTAATCTAGAGTGGCGCTATGCCTACAGCAGGACTATGGATAGACACAGACAACTGGAAAACAATTCTGAGAATATTGTATGATAGCATACTTTGGCTAACCTGGCAGGAGAAGGCATTGCCAGGGACATGTAGATGCGTCCATAATTTGTACGTAATTAAGATATCTGGACTCCTTTCTTTGGTAAAAGACCTGACCTGAAAAAGGTACACAGGAATCCCCAGGGACTTAGCAACTTTGCTTTGGGTCACACTGGATGCTGAGAAGGCCTTTGTGTGTAGGGATAATTTCATAAAATTTGAATGCCCCCACTCTAACTACGTTCATCAGCTATGACCTGAGGTGCTGGAGAAGGGAGGATAGATGGTCTTATCTTTTTTGGTACTTTTAATTTATCTGCTTATCCTGTATTCCATCTGGCTGGGGCTGCATTGGGGGGTATGAACAATTTGGAATGGTGAAAAATAAAACATATTGGAATAGGGAGTTATAATCTTATATTGCTTGTAAGCTTCATTCCCTCTTATGTATCATAAGTCTTGAAAATTAGAGTGTAGATCTTTAATTTGTGAAGCAAAACTTGTACCTCTGTAGTCCAATGACTACTGACAAAATATATGGAGTCACTATGTCTGCTGGAAGATAGTATTGGTTAGACCAGGAGAAAAAAACCATAATCTGGGACTTGCGTGTCATTGTTATTTAGTAGTTGAAAATGCTTAAAGATTAAAATACAAAAGCAAAACTAAACATTGTATTAAATGTTGCACCAACATTTATTCTGATGATGCATACAATTTGGTGAAACCCAACCCAAATCTCTTCTGAAAATTACATCTTTTCGTAGTACAATCAGTATGCATATACAGAGAAAATAATGATGTAATGAATATTTTGAATATTATGGTACAATTCTAGCTATTCCTTAGTAAGTCAAGACATCCTGTTCTCAGTTTTCTAGTTTATAGGAGCTGATACTTGCCTTCATGGAGCTTAGCAGTGGAGCTAAGCTGGTATTCATTAGGGCCTGTCCAGGAGAAGAAACTGAGAGGGAAAAAACCCATGATTCGGTGTGGTTACCTTACCTATTAACATATCTGATGAAGGAAGTCTGGTGGAAAATGAGGTGGAAGCTATTGCGTGGAAAGAGATATTGGATTATATGTGGATTTTATTCCACTGGGCTATTCCTTGCTCTCATTTCCAAGGCTAATTAAAAATACTTAGCTCAAAGAGAGTGTTCTCCTACAAGAGCAGCTGACTGAGAGGCAGACTTATGAGCTATTTACAAAATATATTTCAATCAAAATCTTAGAAATACAGTTTTTAAAAATCTTCTCCTAAATATGTGGTTAATTTTCTAACTGCTTTGACTATATGTTTATACTGGGATCATATTTCTCGTATCTTACCCATATATTGACTACATGAGGTCAAAGTGTCAGCAAGTTGTAGCTAAACATCAGATTCCTACCCTGAAAGAGGACCTAAGCAGTAATTGAGAAAGATTTCCAGTTTTCTTGCTTTAACCATGGTTTTTCCATATGTTCTTAATAAACTTATCTCCCCCTTTTTAATTCCCCCAGTGGCAAAAATAGAATGTTTGAAGTCATTGGAGAGACCCTGGAGCACGATTTCCCAAGCTGGATGGCGAAGATCTTGAGACAGCTTTCAAACCCTGGGCTGGTCATTGCTGTCATTTTGGTGATGGTGTATGTGCTTTTCCTCCTCATAGAAAGAGCCTCTGTGATGTTCTTCCTGGCTGTTTTTACATTTCAGCTTTTTCAGCTCTCTCACTCTCCCTAAGGGTTCTGCTGTAACCTATCCAAATTCAACACTGATTACATGGTGGTGAGAGGCTAAAATTCATGAGCCATATTCTGATCCTATTGGATGTAATTCACAGGCATCTGCATCTGTCTTTGCTTCCCCAGGATTATAAGATTTGTTCCCAAGTAACCACAATAATTATCCATAAACAGCTAAAGCAAGGGAAACATAAATGCTAAATGCTAAATCTAATCAGTACATTGAGCTTCCCCCCAACAACCCGGCCTCCACCTCTCGTTCCATAAAGCAGATGGCAATGAATATACAGAAATAATGATCCTCTAAGTTAATATTCCCCTTGGGGGCCCTATAGACTATATTTTAGGGGCAAGGGCTTCAAGGGTCTTAAAAATTTCACTGTCCTTGTTGTTAGAGGGCCGCCAATAACTGTGTGTTCACGATAATAGAATCAGAGGACCAGAGGATCTTGGGAAGTTCCTGTAGTCTGTCCCTTCAAAGTCAGAAGTGATTTCCAAAGGGGAACTTGTCAGATGACTTTTGTTTTCACATAACTTTCATTGGCTTCTGACTCTTGGCCATCACAGATAAACTTAGATTCTAAGTAAAAGTACAGATTTGCTGTGGAAGAGCCAAAAGCAGCGTCCATCTCTTCCTTTCAGTCCCTGAGTGCCTCCTACATAGAATGTCTGGAGCTGCCACGACTCTCAGTCAGTGGGTAAATATTAAACAGCCCCAGGGACACTTTAAGAACAAAGTTGATGCAAAGGATTTGGTTCATTTAAATAAAGGTAAAACAAGGAAATCTCAGGGAGAAAACTCCCAGTGGTTTGCAGTAAATGAGCAGGGATTGTGACCCAGTTATTGTCGTGATCACAAGCCACATAAAGTAGTGAGGGCAGGTTTATCTTCTTCAATTTTATAACCTAAGAAATTGATTTACACAAAGAAAGTGATTTTCCCTAGACAAGAGAGAGAGTAAAATGGTCATAGAAGGACCTGAAGCAGATCCTTTCACAGTAAATCCAGTGCTCACTTCTTTATACTGCGAGGCTTTCTGTGAGGGAGAGCTAATAACCTGTAGGGATAATTAAACAGTAAATCAGATTACCATTATATATTACATAACCTTGATAATGGGGTGCTATTAAGAATCTGATAGTAAATCTCTGGCACAGATGCATTAGAAAATGACCTACTGAATGCAGCATGTTTCACCAGATGGCCTTTGAAACAATTTTCTTTCTCTACATGTCCATGATACAGTGGCTTCTGAGAGCATGTTAATCAGTATCCTGTGGCCTTTGAGAGTCAAGGCCCTTTAGTGGTATGAATGAGGTGTTGTTTAAAACACACACACACACACACACACAATGTAAATGTCAGATTTCGTTACCATATTCTTACTTGATTAGGAGACATGTTTATTTTTAAGTGAAGGAGTGGCATTGTTCAAATGCCTTAATCCAAAGATTTAGTAATCAGTCCTAAGAGGGTTTAAAAGGAATTCACACTGCCTTTGTTTCAGGTACTATTTACACACTGACTCATTTAATTCCCATAACAGCTTTGAGAAGCTGGCTTCATTAATCATACTATCAATAACACATTGAAATTCTGCCCCAAGTCAAGTGACTAAGTGGAACTGAAACTCATGTCTTCTCCTTATTTCCTACACTCACTTGCAGCACCAAACAGGGATCAGAATCAGTGGGAATTTCAGATGGGCTGAAAGCCACTTGTCCGAGGTGGTATAGACCCAGGGTCAGCACACTTTTCCTAATTCGAGGGCCAGAGGCAAATTAGGCCAAGAGGCAAAATTGAGGCTCTTAATTAAGTAATTACTAATAATAACCGTTTAAAAGACAGAAAAACCATTCTTAATTCATGGGCCATACAAAACAGTCTGGCAGTCATCTTCATCCTGCAGGACCTAGTTTGCTTTGATCTGGACAGCCTGGAGGAAAGCTGGCCCCATGCAAATGTCAAATAGATGTACTGAAAGGTTGATTGTGGCTCTGAGGTTCTGATTTAAAACCCAGATTTTAGCTTATTACTGAGTATATTTTTTCAAATTCTGAGATCTCATCTTCTATTTTTGGGGCCCATACAATTGGCTTAGCTTTTTATTACCTTTAATTAGAGAATTGTACTAGTATGTTGAATTTCCCCCAATGGATTATATTAAATCAACCTGGATGGCTTTCGGGTATCTAAGCAGAGTTCAGGTTAGTTCTCTGCAGGCAGTTTCATTCCTTTGGAGACTAGAAAAAGATTTGTGAGGAATACTTATTTAACGTGCATTACAAGGTAGAAAATCATGGTGGATAAATAGAGAATTCCAGAACTTGAAAGGACTTGTGAAATCTTTGAGTTCATCTTCCAAATCCAGGAACTTTTCTAAGAAAATCCTTATAATACACACCACACACAAACACACACACACACAAACATTTATTGAGCACCTATTTCATGCCAGATATTGCCCTGCATGCATTTATGTATGTAATTTTAGTAAAACTCCCATCACTCATGTAAGAGATAAACAAACTCAGCCAAACCGTATCAATAATTGTGTTGCTAGCACCAGATGGTTCATAAAGGATACTGTCTTTCATTTTGGGGAGTAGAGGAAATGTGTTCAATATCCAGTTATTTGCAGCAAAGAGTAATATAAGTTACCTTTTTTACTGCATTTCTTCTTTGTTTGTTTGTTCGTTTTGCCTTAAGTGAAGATAAGCATATTTATTTTTACAGAATTGTCTGGCTAGAATTTGCCCTTTCTAGAATGTAAATGTCATTTAAAATCCAATAATATTCCTTTATACAACGTTTTCTTTTTGAGGGAGAAAGAAATGCAAACAATACATTCTACGGAAAAAATTCCATGTTCATTATCTATGCCTATGAGGATTACATTCTTAGCTGCAAAGGCCAAAGGACGAAATTTAAGGCAGAAAGTCGTTTTCCTTTTTGTTCGGCATGTTCCCTAAGCTGCAGTAGGTTTTCCATTCTCTGGGATGCCATTGCCATCCATTTAAAATGCTACTTTCAATTATAATTTAAACTTATGTGAATACATTTCCAGGAAAAAGCTAATATTAGGCAGTGTGAAATAGCAGACAGAACAGGCTGTGGATCAGGAGCCTTGGGCCCCAACTTTCCAACTTCACCCCAGCTTCATCCCTATGTCATCCTGAATGTATCTCTTTACCTCTCTGGACCTCAGCTTTTATCTATAAGACAAGAGATTTAGAGTAGAAGATAGCTTAATGTTCATTCCCATGCTGATATTTCATAATTTACTTAATGTAAATTTAAGAAGTATCTTGGGGAACTGAAATATACCTTACACTGTATTTTTTTTCTTTTTAATTTAGTTTGGCCATCTATTATCTCAATGCTACTGCCAAGGGCCAGAAGGCAGCGAATCTGGATCTCAAAAAGAAGATGAAAATGGTATGATACAATTTATTTCATAGAAATATTATCTTTATTAATGTCAAGCAGTAGAAAACACTGAGAAATCTACTTTTTTCCCCTTATTTTTTATTGTGTAGCAAGCTTTGGAGAACAAAATGCGAAACAAGAAAATGGCAGCTGCACGAGCAGGTTGGAGATACGTTTATGTTTGTAATGTTTGTAATTTTTCTTTTTCTTTTTCTTTCTTTTTTTTTTTTTTTTGCTTTTTCTCCATTGGATGGTGAGTGGCATTATTGCTGTGAGCGAGTCATTCCACAATCCTTACCTTCCACCTTTTTAGCCCTTCTCAGGCATCACATCCAGGGTATTTGGTTGTTTTCTAGTGGGAGGAAAAAAAGAGAAATGAAAATGTGGGCATATAAACTTGGCAGTAGTGATTTTTAAAAGTGACCTTGAAAATGCGCAGAAAATGAAGAAATCCCCCATATAGTCGTCTACAAACAGCAGATACAAATGCAGATGCTCTCCTGCCCATGTTGACTATTTTCATACATGGAAGGATATGGCAAGAAGATCCCAAGAGGGTCCTCTGGGCTTTCCACCACTGATTGCCAGAAGCCCTTTCTAATCCATTAAACTTTCTTTTTTTAAAAACCTCTTTATTTTTTAAAGTATTAGAGTAAAGCCAACTTCTAGTTGCCAAAATTAATAATATGCTTTGAGTTCCCCACGGAAAGGTGATACCTAAGACCTTTAGTGAAAATCTTTTCCAACTTTGTCCTTACTCCTAACTTTAAAACTCTTTACATTAGTAGGACTGTTTCCCCACTGTAAGTAATAAAACACTCAAATTGGTTTAATTGAGAAAGAGTAATTTATTCGACCACACAAATGCAGGGAAATGGTATGTATGGCTTCAGGCCACTTTCTTTTTTCTATATATATATATATTTTTTAATTATACTTTAAGTTCTAGGGTACATGTGCACAACGTGCAGGTTAGTTACATATGTATACATGTGCCATGTTGGTGTGCTGCACCCATTAACTCATCATTTACATTAGGTATATGTCCTAATGCTAGCCCTCCCTGCTCCCCCCACCGCACGACAGGCCCCGGTATGTGATGTTCCCCTTCCTGTGTCCAAGTGTTCTCATTGTTCAATTTCCACCTATGAGTAAGAACATGCGGTGTTTGGTTTTTTGTCCTTGCGATAGTTTGCTGAGAATGATGGTTTCCAGCTTCATCTATGTCCCTACAAAGGACATGAACTCATCATTTTTTATGGCTGCATAGTATTCCATGGTGTATATGTGCCACATTTTCTTAATCCAGTCTATCATTGTTGGACATTTGGGTTGGTTCCAAGTCTTTGCTATTGTGAATAGTGCCGCAATAAACATACGTGTGCATGTGTCTTTATAGCAGCATGATTTATAATCCTTTGGGTATATACCCAAAGGATTTTTTTTCTTTTTTGAGACCTGGTCTGGCTCTGTGGCCCAGGCTGGAGGGCAGTGGTATGATCTCGGCTCACTGCAGCTCCAACTTCCCAGGCTGAAGTGATCCTTCCTCCTCAGCCTCCTGAGTAGTGGGGACAGCGCACACCACCATGCCTGGATAATTTTTAATTTTTTTTTTGAAGTGAGGTCTTGCTAAGTTGCCCAGGCTGCTCTCAAAGTCTTGGGCTCAGGTGATCTTCTCTTTTTGGCCTCCCAAAGTGTTGGGATTAAAAGCATGAACCACTGTGCCCAGCATTCAGGGCACTTTTTATCCTAAGTTTAGAACAGAGTCAGGTCTGAGCCCACCTCTCTGTGAATCTCTGAAGCTAAACTCCTTTCACATTGGCTGACCTTTATGGCAGCAGGAATGGATGCAGCAACTTCCAATGCCATGTCCTTAGACTGTAAAACTTCTTTCCTAGAAATTCCTCAACCTCTCCTCCTTTCAGATTGGCCCCATATGGGTCATGTATCCATCCTTGTGCCAGTCACTGTGTCTGAGTATGGTAAGTTACTGAAGTCAGTCAGGACCCATCCTTGAAGCTGGGATTGGTCTGTTTTCCTGACACATGTGAAATGCACTGGGGAGGTCACACCTACCTAAGAGAAGGAGAAAAGGATGCTGGGTGTCCCCAAACAACAAATGTTCAAGACTTGGTTTTGTTGCCTTCTTTATGCTTAGCCTTTTTTCTTTTCCCTCTCTCTATCTAGCATGCATAAATGTAAAGTTGAATGCTGGGTGCTGAATTAGATGATTACAGTGATGTACAGTTATCAGACTAGTTTTTAATGAAATTTTTAATTTTTTAAATCAATACTACATGTGTGCATAATTTAGAGTTCCATTTAGAATTTCATAATTCTATAAGGCTTATCATGAAAAACAGCATCTTCTTCTGCCTCCTACACCAGTTTTGCTCTCTTCTCCTCCCCTGCACTCAAATACCCTAAGACAAACACTTTCAATTTGTTAGTTGATTTTTAGATATTTATCTCCAAATTACCTAATTTTGTTGTAATTTCTTGACTTTTTAGTTTTAAGTATTATCTCTTAAAATTATTAACTACAATGGATATAATAATTTTAATAGATAATATTTAAACGATTTTTATACTCTTGCCCCAGTCTTTCTATGCATTCTACCTATGTAGTTATATTATTATTTTGGTTAGGCCAGTATACATTATTATGGACACACAGTCTTCACAGCTAAGCCAAGTAGTAAACTATGATACTTGTGCATACTTTAAAATTTTCTCAGGATTCATAATTCATAATTTCTCTTTTTAAACATTTTCTTATTTTTATATATGTTTCAGTGATGCATTTAATTTCCAAATCTCTGCTATTTATTGAGTTATACTCTCAATATATTCAGACATATTGGGTTATCTGTCCATTTCATTTCCTTAGAGAAATCTTTCCCAGAATCTTCTGCACTTCTCCAATTTCAACTAGTGTGTGTCTGGGATACAGCTGTCATCCTTTCATTTTTCTTCACTGTCATTCAACAGGATCTCTGTCACTTTATCCTGTTTTGGATACTGTGTTTTCCATTTTCCCCAACTTCCTCTCTTTTGGTCTGCTCACATTTTGCCAGTAAGAAAGGGTATGTGAGAGGCAAATTTTCTGAGACCATGCCTATCTGAAATTGTTCTTCTCTTACTCTCCCTTTTGACTGATAGTTTGGGGGTCAAAAATACTCATCTAATTATATTAGAAATAATATCCCTTCAAAATAGTATTTTTTCAGAGGTTTCCCATGCCTTTTAGATTCCACAATTGCTCTTGAGTAGTTTAAAGCCATTGTGATTCTTAGTCTTTCTTGAGCAACTTGTATTTTTGATTATCTGTTTGGTTTTCCAATCTGGAAAGTTCTAGGGTCTCCTTATCTGCATGTTCAGAATTTCATGATGGTGTATCTTGCATGGATCTATTTTTATTCCTTGTGTACTCATCAATGGACTTTTGCTCTTTGGTTGAAGGGAATTTTCTTGAATTGTTTACAAATTCTTTCCATCCATTTTCTGTTTTTTTTTTTTTCATGTAGAATTTCTAATTTATTTTTCATCCTTAAATTCCCTTTGTCTCTTTGCTTTACCTATGAACATTTCCTTATCTTTAAATTTTAACATTTCTCTTGGCCTTTTCACTTTTGCTATCATAATTTTAGTTTCTGCAAGCTGTTTTGTTCTTTAATTCTTCTTTTTTAAACAGCATGCTGTTTTTGTTTAATGGCTGCAATGGCTTGTTTTGTCTTTATGAGAATATTAATAACTCTTTTTGATGTTTCTTTGCCTTTGATAGTCTGTTTTCTCTAAGCTGTTTTGTTCTTCTTTCTCCCCTGCTTGGTAATTCCCCTGCTTTGTGACCCTCAGCTCATATTTCAGGGTAGGATGCAAAGGTGGGTTTCGAAGCTTTAAGCACATGGATGGGGCTTGTGGGCAGATCCTCATTGGGGGACTCTGCCTGGGCTGCCGCTGAACCCCCATGTCAGTATTTTTAGGCTTCTCCTCTTAAGCTGATCAGATTCCTCAGAAAAATTACTTCCGAACTCCTGCCCAGAGAGTAAAGATTTGCCTGGCAAATCTGTAGCACCTGAGTGGGAAAAACAACACGGGTGGGGCTCAGCTTTCAACCTACAAATGCTCACTTAGCCCCCTCTTTTTACTGCGGCACTCCTTGTGGTCTTCTAACCCAGAAGCATCTCTGTTTTACTCTTTTTAGAAAAAATTATTCCAGTCTTCTGCCAGATTAAAGGTAGTGGGGGTTGGGGAGCAATTATTCATTTGTACCAAGTGAAGCCGATCTCAGACTCTAACTGCTGCTGTTTCGTTTTTTAATAACCCCCACCCCTTTGCCCCACCAAGCTTGACTGCTTCTTAACAGCTAAAACATCCTCTTTGTATTGGTTCCTTACTTCCAGAGGTACCTGTTGCTGCAAATTACTGAACGTTTCAGAGATTTTATGTGTAAATTATGTTGCTTACTGTCTTTTTCCTCCCCTGGCTTAGCTTTTCAGTTTGTTAGAATTGATAAGTCATTATCATTAATCTGTCTGCTTTCCAGCTTCTAAAATTTTGTCATTGATGTCTCTTCCCCTATTCTCCCCCTCCTTGCAGGTTTATGCAACCTTCTCCATCTTCCTCCCCAACCCCCTCAAAATTTCTTGACTGTCATGTTTGTGAAAGGGTGAAAGTTCAATTCAATGTATTTACCTCCGCAGTTTAGGCAAACCTTTGTATTTCCTACACTAGGAGAACAATGGTTTTATGTCCATCTTCACTCTGTTCATCCCACAGTGCTTACCTGAGGTATTATTTTGAAATAGAGTCTGGGATGGAGTCTACCTTAGTGAGAATTTATTAGAATTGTTTAGTCTCTGCAGAAGATGAGGTGGTTGAAGCACATACATCACATATACTAGCAGTGCTTTTGTATAATTTAATATTATCAAATTAGTACTTAAGAATGGAAAATTCTGACTTATAAGATCTAAATTCTAATTAAGGCTTATTGTTATCTTTATTGTTTTAAATGATAATATAATGCTATAGCATGCTATTCATCTGATATTTTTTCCATAATGTGTATGGCCACCCAGTAAACACCTACTGAATATCTACTGAAAAATGAGGAACTCTTTTGTTGGAAAAATATAAAATATTCATCACATAAGCAATAATGTATAAATGTTACAAAAAAGTAGTACATTCATTCTGCCTTGTTTAGAATATGTGAAGCCTTTGCAAACTAAGAAACATGGAAATATTTTGAACATTAAAATGGTAAATATTATGGGAAAGTAGAGCACATTTGGACAATACAGATTTCTGGCCACCTCATTCAGAACCATTAAGCACACTGAAAGCTACGTTTTTATTTGCCTCCTGTTCATCTTCTCTCTCTCTCTCCTTGTTTTTTTTTTTTTTTTTTTTCTGTTTTGTGAACAGCTGCAGCTGCTGGTCGCCAGTAATAAGTATCCTGAGAGCCCAGAAAAGGTACACTTTGCCTTGCTGTTTAAAAGTAATGCAATATGTGAACGCCCAGAGAACAAGCACTGTGGAACTGCTATTTTCCTGTTCTACCCTTGATGGATTTTCAAGGTCATGCTGGCCAATTAAGGCATCATCAGTCCTACCTGAGCAACAAGAATCTAAACTTTATTCCAAGTCAGAAACTGTTTCTGCAGAGCCACTCTCTCCCCTGCTCCATTTCGTGACTTTTTTTTTTTTTTTAACAAATTGAGTTTAGAAGTGAGTGTAATCCAGCAATACAGTTTACTGGTTTAGTTGGTGGGTTAATTAAAAAAAATTTGCTCATATGAACTTTCATTTTATATGTTTCTTTTGCCTGAGTTTCCTTAAACTGAGAGCAGAAATATTTCACCCTTTTTCCTCTAAGTTCAGAAATATTTGCAAAAAGTACTCATTGTAATCATTCATTAACTCACTTTTTGAAACCAATACCTTATTTTCTCTTTTTTTCTACCTGTCTCCCCAACCACGCGCCCCACAAATATATTCCTAAAACCTTTGTATTTGGTGCTGGATTCAGTATGAAAAGAAATAGGGTTTTTAGAAGAAAAAAAAATCCTATATGAATTGGGGCCTGGATAGCACTGAGTTGAAGATCTTGAAGATCTCTTACTTTGAGAAGGTACATGAGTCTTACACAACCTAGCTTTTTATGAGATAAAATTAAAAAAAAAAGGAAAGACATCATAAATGACTGTTGTTCTCTCACAGTCTGCTCATTTGTCTTCCAATGATCATGTTATCAGTGGTGAATCCATACAGGTCTGCATCAAACTCGATACAATTCTTGCCTCCTTGGAGGGAAGAATTCAGCTGAGGGGCAGAAGTAGGTTTATGGCAGAGGGAGAGAATGAGGCAAGTTTTAGAGCAGGAGTGTAGGTTTATTAAAAAGTTTTACAGCAGGAACAAAAGGAAATAAAATATACTTGGAAGAGAGCCAAGTGGGCAAATTGAGAGTTCCAAGTGCCCTGTTCAGCTTTGACCTGGGTTTCTATACACTGGCATGGTTCTGGAGTTTGCATCTCTCCCCGCTTGATTTTTTTGGCGGATGGGCTGTCCGTGTGGATGGTGGCCTGCCGGCAGTTGGAAGGAGCTATGTGTACAATGTGTTACTGAAGTTGTGTGCCTGCTCACTTGTGACGTTTTCCCTTACCATCCAGCGTTCCTGGAGGAAGGTCATATACTAGTTAAACTCTGCCATTTTGCTTAGTGGGCATGCTTGAGCCCACTTGCCCAACTCCTAAGATCTCCGGCTCAGGTGTTTTCTATCTATTGGGAGACTGTCTTTCCCTAGCACTGGTTGCCACTAATTATTATTTTAGAGAGATAGTTTAACCACCACCTGACCATCACCAAATGGTCACCTGACATTCCTGTGGGATGGGTGGTGGGGGGCCTCTCTTGCCCTGCTTATGTTTTTATGTTTGCCTAACTACCTACTCTAACAATCATATCCTGTAAGCTTGGATTCTAATGTTCTATAATTTTTTTCTTTGCTTTTTTTGTTAAGGTCAGGAAAACACACTTCTGTTGGGGGCCTTAATTTATAGATATGTTTAAGCATTATTATGGATTTACAGTTTGAATTGACTTTAAGTAGTAACACTCAGTGCCCTCACTAGCCTTGTTGTGCGACTTTAATTGCATAGCTTAACTCAGTGTGCCTTTCCAAAACTAAGCCAATTTGCTTGCCATTCCCTGCAGTTGACTTACTGATTTCTATTATCCTGTCTCTGAGTTTCTCATTCTTTTTGATCACCAAAAGGCAGCCATAGAATAATCGCACTGTTTCCCTGCCAGTTCTAAACTTTATTCCTCTGGTTGTCTTTTTCAGATTGACTTCCATTCTCAATCTTATCACTCCCTTTTTAGGATTCCTTGGGCTCTTATGTCTGTAATTCAGAGTCTATTATTTATATTGATTTTCATGTGACTTGTAATGGTTCCTTATTATTTTTTGATGCATGGATTATCTTTCTTGTCCTTATTGTAAATTCTCTGTGAGCAGGGGTTGTATCTTCTAACTCTTTTGTATGCCTAGTATAGTGCTGTGCACAAGTAGGCGCTGAATAAATGCTTGCTAATTAAATTGAATCAATTTAACTTACAGCAATTGTGTTATGAGACAAAAACTTCTGTTACCTGCATGAAAACATTTTACTATGATGTAAGAAATGGATTATCTGTTGATAGGCTGAGTTTATTGTTTAATTAGATTATAATGCAGATGAGTAAATAAAGCTAGTGTTTATTTCTACTTGGATCATTTTTGCACTGTGTAGTAGTAAGATTAGCAAATTGATTTATTGTTTTGCCACATTTACAATGTGGATTGCACTTCCTTCTCTTGATCTATGTCACAAAGATGATGAAAGATGACAAACTGTTCCCCAAAGACATTCATCTCCTAAAGGCAATGTACTTTTAGGACGAATGTTCATGTTATAGACATTCAGACATGATATGCCGAGTTTCAATATTTCCATAAATTAAAAAATATGTTGGATTTTTATAGCACCTAAATAGTCACCTGATTTAAGTTAAGCAGCTTTTGACATTTTAACCCTTTCGGTCTCCAGAGAATTGTTGAAAATATTTTCATATTACTATATGGACAAGAATCTGAAACATGAAGACCAGTTCCAAAGCTGTTTTATGGCTATTCAGAGAATAGCCTTCCACTAGGATGATCTGATTGCTATTATTTATTTCTGTATCTTCATTTCCATATATAATAATCAAAGCTATTGGAGAAATTTAGAAGGTAAAGAAGCAAACAAAAATCTAGACTTCGCCTTTTATTCCTTCTGAGAACAATAAAAAAGCTCCGAGAAATATGTGCAAAAACTAGATTTACTTATCTAAAGAGCTTTGCCGTTCACTTGAAAAACAAAGAACTGCATTTCAACACATTCTTTGAATTATTTATTTAGGCTTCTCAGAGGAACACATAGTTTAAGCTTTATCAAGGGGTTTATATTAACAAAATTTTGACCTGAGCTATGTTTTCCTATCTTGATGGATCTCTACAAGTATGAGAGCCAGAAATATAACCAAAAGAATAAGTAAGCAGGATTTCAAAAACAAGAGACTCAAGAATGAGATTTGCATGTGTTCGCAGCTCTCAGTGCACATATGCACTCGCATTCTTGGAGGAGACTTTGAGACCTAACGTTGATGTTAAAAAAAAAAAAAACCCACAAAACTGTAGTCATAGCCTTCATTCCCATATAACTCCTGTAAGAAGGAAATGCCATTACATGATGGCATCAGGAATTCTTAAGCCCCTTCATGAGCTATCTTTTTCTTGAAGTTCTTTTGTAACAGATCACTTTGGCTATTTGGCCTCAAATGGTCTGGTTGCCTTTTCCAGGACTGATTTTGATGACTCAGCAGTTATGAATAATGAAAAAATGTGTACATAAAATGCTTGTCCTCTTCTGACAAGTTAGATGTTGTATTACACACATTTTCTTCATATATACCACAAAGAAGTTTCCATACAAATCCTATGGTTATTTAAAAATTTATAAAATGGTATATATATATATTTTTTTTTTTTTAATTTATTTTTTTATTGATAATTCTTGGGTGTTTCTCACAGAGGGGGATTTGGCAGGGTCATGGGACAATAGTGGAGGGAAGGTCAGCAGATAAACAAGTGAACAAAGGTCTCTGGTTTTCCTAGGCAGAGGACCCTGCGGCCTTCCGCAGTGTTTGTGTCCCTGATTACTTGAGATTAGGGAGTGGTGATGACTCTTAAGGAGCATGCTGCCTTCAAGCATCTGTTTAACAAAGCACATCTTGCACCGCCCTTAATCCATTTAACCCTGAGTGGACACAGCACAGGTTTCAGAGAGCACAGGGTTGGGGGTAAGGTCACAGATCAACAGGATCCCAAGGCAGAAGAATTTTTCTTAGTGCAGAACAAAATGAAAAGTCTCCCATGTCTACTTCTTTCTACACAGACACGGCAACCATCCGATTTCTCAATCTTTTCCCCACCTTTCCCGCCTTTCTATTCCACAAAGCTGCCATTGTCATCCTGGCCCGTTCTCAATGAGCTGTTGGGCACACCTCCCAGACGGGGTGGTGGCCGGGCAGAGGGGCTCCTCACTTCCCAGTAGGGGCGGCCGGGCAGAGGCACCCCTCACCTCCCGGACCGGGCGGCTGGCCGGGCGGGGGGCTGACCCCCCCACCTCCCTCCCGGACGGGGCGGCTGGCCGGGCAGAGGGGCTCCTCACTTCCCAGTAGGGGCGGCCGGGCAGAGGCGCCCCTCACCTCCCGGACGGGGCGGCTGACCGGGCGGGGGGGGCTGACCCCCCCCACCTCCCTCCCGGACGGGGCGGCTGGCCAGGCAGAGGGGCTCCTCACTTCCCAGTAGGGGCGGCCAGGCAGAGGCACCCCTCACCTCCCGGATGGGGCGGCTGGCCGGGCAGGGGGCTGACCCCCCCCCCCACCTCCCTCCCGGACGGGGCGGCTGGCCGGGCAGAGGGGCTCCTCACTTCCCAGTAGGGGCGGCCGGGCAGAGGCGCCCCTCACCTCCCGGACGGGGCGGCTGGCCAGGCGGGGGGCTGACCCCCCCACCTCCCTCCCGGACGGGGCGGCTGGCCGGGCGGGGGGCTGACCTCCCCACCTCCCTCCCGGACCGGGCGGCTGGCCGGGCAGAGGGGCTCCTCACTTCCCAGTAGGGGCGGCCGGGCAGAGGCGCCCCTCACCTCCCAGATGGGGCGGCTGGCCGGGCGGAGGGCTGACCCCCCCACCTCCCTCCCGGACAGGGCGGCTGGCCGGGCGGGGGGCTGACCCCCCCACCTCCCTCCCGGACGGGGCGGCTGGCCGGGCGGGGGGCTGACCCCCCCACCTCCCTCCCGGATGGGGCGGCTGGCCGGGCGGGGGGGCTGACCCCCCCACCTCCCTCCCGGACGGGGCGGCTGGCCGGGCAGAGGGGCTCCTCACTTCCCAGTAGGGGCGGCCGGGCAGAGGCGCCCCTCACCTCCCGGACGGGGCGGCTGGCCGGGCGGGGGGCTGACCCCCCCACCTCCCTCCTGGACGGGGCGGCTGGCTGGGCAGGGGGCTGACCCCCCACCTCCCTCCCGGACCGGGCGGCTGGCCGGGCAGAGGAGCTCCTCACTTCCCAGTAGGGGCGGCCGGGCAGAGGCGCCCCTCACCTCCCAGACGGGGCGGCTGGCCGGGCGGAGGGCTGACCCCCCACCTCCCTCCCGGATGGGGCGGCTGGCCAGGCGGGGGGCTGACCCCCCCACCTCCCTCCCGGACGGGGCGGCTGGCCGGGTGTGGGGGCTGACCCCCCCATCTCCCTCCCGGACGGGGTGGCTGGCCAGGCTGAGGGGCTCCTCACTTCCCAGTAGGGGCGGCCGGGCAGAGGCACCCCTCACCTCCCGGACGGGGCGGCTGGCCGGGCGGGGGGCTGACCCCCCAACCTCCCTCCCGGATGGCACGGCTGGCCGGGCGGGGGGGCTGACCCCCCCACCTCCCTCCCGGACGGGGTGGCTGCCGGGCGGAGACGTTCCTCACTTCCCAGATGGGGTGGCTGCCGGGCGGAGAGGCTCCTCACTTCTCAGACGGGGCAGCTGCCGGGCGGAGGGTCTCCTCACTTCTCAGACGGGGCGGCCGGGCAGAGACGCTCCTCACCTCCCAGACGGGGTCTCGGCCGGGCAGAGGCGCTCCTCACATCCCAGATGGGGCGGCGGGGCAGAGGCGCTCCCCACATCTCAGACGGTGGGCGGCCGGGCAGAGACGCTCCTCACTTCCTAGATGTGATGGCGGCTGGGAAGAGGCGCTCCTCACTTCCTAGATGGGATGGCGGCCGGGCGCAGACGCTCCTCACTTTCCAGACTGGGCAGCCAGGCAGAGGGGCTCCTCACATCCCAGACGATGGGCGGCCAGGCAGAGACACTCCTCACTTCCCAGACGGGGTGGCGGCCGGGCAGAGGCTGCAATCTCGGCACTTTGGGAGGCCAAGGCAGGCGGCTGGGAGGTGTAGGTTGTAGTGAGCCGAGATCACGCCACTGCACTCCTGCCTGGGCACCATTGAGCACCGAGTGAACGAGACTCCGTCTGCAATCCCGGCACCTCGGGAGGCCAAGGCTGGCGGATCACTCGCGGCTAGGGGCTGGAGACCGGCCCGGCCAACACAGCAAAACCCCGTCTCCACCAAAACCAGTCAGGCGTGGCGGCGCGTGCCTGCAATCGCAGGCACTCGGCAGGCTGAGGCAGGAGAATCAGGCAGGGAGGTTGCAGTGAGCCGAGATGGCAGCAGTACAGTCCAGCTTCGGCTCCACATGAGAGGGAGACCGTGGGGAGAGGGAGAGGGAGAGGGAGACGGAGAGGGAGAGGGAGAGGGAGAGGGAGAGGGAGAGGGAGAGGGAGAGGGAGAGGGACGGCTTCTCAGATTTTTAAATTTTTTTATTTTTCCTCATTGTTGCAAGATGGCTGCTACAGCACCAACAGTCACATTCACATTCCTAAAATGGTATATATTAATGACAGCACATTTGGAAAATGTTAATAAAATAAAAATGTAGAAGTCCCACATTTCCACCACTCAAAATAACGTCTGTTAACATTTTGTTTTAGATTTGCAATTATATATGCACAGACTCAATAAAAAAGTGTGGACCATAAGATATATCTAGTTTTATCCCACTTTTTAATTAAACATTTTCCTATGTCACAAAAATTACTTCAGGAAATCTTAATAGGTATCAAATATTCCTCTACATTAATATAGCATAATTATTTTAATTATTCTACTTTGTACACTTAATTTAAAGATTAAATTGCAAAGATTAACTTTACATTAAAATAGAAGGATTAACTTTAAATTTGACTCCTTTTAGAACACATTTTTGTGTCAAGGCATTGATGGTCAATATAGACTTTCAAATCAATATATACACATTTTAACGCAGCTTGATCAACATATGGATCAATTATATTACTTACTACCACTTAATATGTTTCCTATTTCATAGCAATGAGCCTTAGAAGTCACTAAATTTTTCTCTTTATACTATTTTATTTGTGGTTACATAAACTCTCTATAGGAATTATCTCTGTTTCTTTTAAAGACATTTTAAGGTTAAGGAAAATATTTAAAACCATTATTTGGAAGCCAAATCTCACATGATGCATAAAATCAAGTGTCATCTACATCTGATAACCAATCCAAAGTGCCACGTGTGAAATTAACTTTTTTCTGTTTGATTTAGAAATCTTTGGTATTAGTTATATTTATGTTTTGATTTTATTAAAAATAACTGGTCCAAAATTATTCTCTCACTCAATGAAAACAGATAGTGTCACTGATATTTTATTATGATTTGAATTTTTGTATTGTCACTTTCATGAAGGTCATGTTTTTCAGGTTATTATCATGGTTCAGACATAAAGCCCATGGGACAATAGGGGAAAATGCCAGATAGGAGGCACGACTAACTTGCAGCTCCCACTCAGACAAACAGAACAGCGTGTGGAGATTCACATTGTGAACTTTTGCTCCAAGAAATACTGCAGGAACATACCAGGAAAGCCAAGAAAATCCACACACTCTTTGGAGGAAGCAGCTTCCCTCTGCAGGCTCTGCGAGACAGCCAAAAAACTGTGAGTGCGCAAAGTGTGAGGTGTAACATCCGCCCCCAAACACACATACTGGAGAACCTGAAGGTCCAGATCACGGGAGAAGGATTAGCCTTACTTGGAGATGAGATAAATTTAGAAATCAAGTGAAATACAGGGGGTAGAGGAAGCAGTGGGAAGAGCCCTGTGGGCACTCTTGGTCCCACGGGAAGCCATTTCTGACTTTGTCTTGCAGGGGCTCCTGGGGAGGACTGCCAGTAAAATTGAGGAAAGACCACAGGGAAAAGGAAATTCCCAGCTGCACTTTGTAACAATTTTGACTGAACACAAAGTTCCTCGGACATAATCTGGGGGAGGGGGTGAACTGGGAGTGCAGATACTAGTAAAGTTGCAGCAAGCAGGGAGGTGTGAAACCTGAAAGTCCTGCTTGCATTCTCACCAGGGAGGCTTGTATCCTAGGGCAAATTCTCAGCCTTGCTCACCAGCTACCTCAAAATAAACTCAGTGCTATTGGTGGGGTACAGTGGGAGAGAGACTGGCCACTCAAACTGCATGAGATCTGGGTGAGACCTATCACTGCTGTCTTTCCTCCACTTCCCTGGTGACCCATATGATACAGCAGAGGGAGCTATAATCCCCCTGAAAACATAACTTCAGTGGCCTGGGAACCACACCTCCATCCCCTACAGCAGCCGCAGCAAGCCTCACCCAAGGAGAGTCTGAGCTCAGACATACCTAATCCTGTCCCCACCTGAGGGTCTTTCTCTAATCCCGCTGGTAGCCAAAGACAAAGGATATCATCTCTTGGGAGCTCTATGGTCCCGCCCACAGCCTGAGAAACCCAAATACTTATCTAGGCCACCTTAGGGCAAACTTGTTTTCTCCCTATACTACCACAGCTGTTGCTCTCTTGAAAATGCCACCTCCTGGCCAGAGGCCAACTAACACAAAACCAGCACACTAAACAAAACCACAACTAAGGACCTCCACAGAGTCCACTTCACTCCCCTGCTACCTCCACCACAGCAGGTGCTGATATCCATGGCTAAGAAACCTGAAGATGAATCACATCACAGGACTCTTTGCAGACACCCTCCAGTACCAGCCTAGAGCCCAGTAGCTCTGCTGGGTGGCTAGACCCAGAAGAGAAATAACAATCACTGCAGTTTGGCTCTCAGTAAGCCCATCCCTAGGGAAAGTGGGAGAGCACCACATCAAGGGAGCACCCTGTGGGACAAAAGAATCAGATCAGCAGCCCAAGAGCCCCAGATCTTCCCTCTGACATAATCTCAAATGAGAAAGAACAAGAAAAACAATTTTGATAATATGACAAAACAAGGTTCTTTAACATCCCCCAAAGAGCACTCTAGCTCATCAGCAGTGGATCCAAACCAAGAAGAAATCTCCGAATTGCCAGAAAAAGAATTCAAAAGGTCTGTTATTAAGCTAATTAAGGAGGCACCAGGGAAAGGTGAAGTCCAACTTAAAGAAATTAAAAAAAAATACAGGATATGAATGGAAAAATCTCCAGTGAAATAGATAGCATAAATAAAAAACAATCACAACTTCTGGAAATGAAAAACACACTTATAGAAATGCAAAATGCACTGGAAAGTCTCAGCAATAGAATTGAGCAAGTAGAAGAAAGAACTTCAGAGCTCAAAGATCGGCTTTTTAATTAACCCAATGTGACAAAAGACGAAGAAAAAGGATTAAAAATGACAAAGCCTCCAAGAAGTTTGGGATTATGTTAAATGACTAAACCTAAGAATAAGTGGTGTTCCCGATGAAGAAGAGAAATCTAAAACTTTGGAAAACATATTTGAGAAAATAATTGAGGAAAATTCCCTGGCCTTGCTAGAGATCTAGATATCCAAATACAAGAAGCTCATAAAACACCCAGGAAATTCCTTGCATAAAGATTATTGCCTAGGCACATAGTCATCAGGTTTCTACAGTCAAGATGAAGGAAACAATCTTAAGAGCTGTGTGGCAAAAGCATCAGTTAACCTATAAAGGAAAACCTGTTGGATTAGCAGCAGATTTCTCAGCAGAAACCCTGCAAGCGAGAAGGATTCCTACAAGCTACAAGAAGGGATCACCTACAAGCTAGATGGGGTCTCATCTTTAGCCTCCTTAAATAAAACATTTACCATACAAGAATTTTGTGTCCAGCAAAACTAAGATTCATAAATGAAGAAAAGATACAGTGTTTTCCAGATAAATGAATGCTGACAGAATTCACCATTACCAAGCCAATACTACAAGAACTGCTAAAAGAAGCTCTAAATCTTGAAACAAATCCTAGAAATACACCAAAACAGGACTTTCTTAAAGGATAAGTCTCACAGGATCTATAAAACAATAACACAATAATAATAAAAAAAAACCCAAGGTATTTAGGCAACAACTAGCATGACGAATAGAATAATACCTCACATCTCAATATTAACATTGAATATAAATGGCCTAAATGCTCCACTTAAAAGATACAGAATGGCAGAAGAGGTAAGAATTTACCAACCAAGTATTTGCTGTCTTCAAGAGACTCACGTAACACAGGACTCACATAAACTTAAGGTAAAGGGGTAGGAAAAGATATTCCATGCAATTGAACATCAAAGGTGAGCAGGAGTAGCTATTTTTATATCAAACAAAACAGACTTTAAAGTAACAACAGTTAAAAAAGACAAAGACGGACATTATGCAATGATAAAAGGCTAGTCAAACAGGAAAATGACACAATCCTAAATATATGTGCACCTAACACTGGAACTCCCAAATTTATAAAACAATTACTACTAGACCTAAGAAATGAGATAGACAGCAACTCAATAATTGTGGGGGACTTTAATACTCCACTGACAGCACTAGACGTCATCAAGACAGAGAATCAACAAAGTAACAATGGATTTAAAACTATACCCTAGAACAAATAGACTTAACAGACATATACGGAACGTTCTATCCAACAACTGCAGAATATACATTCTACTCCTCACCATGTGGAGCATTTTCTAAGATAGACCGTATGATAAGCCACAAAACAAGCTTCAATAAATTTAAGAAAATCAAAATTATACCAAGTATTCTCTCAGGCCACAGTGGAATAAAATTGGAAATCAACTCCAGAAGGAACCTTCAAAACCATGCAAATACATGGGAATTATACAACATGCTCCTGACTGATTGTTGGGTCAAGAATAAAATCAAGATGGAAATGAAAAAATTCTTTAAACTGAACAATAATAGTGACACAACCTATCAAAACCTCTGGGATACAGCAAAAGTAGTGCTAAGAGGAAAGTTCATAGCATTAAATGCCTACATCAAAAAGTCTAAAAGAGCATAAATAGATATTCTAAGGTCATACCTCAAGGAACTAGAGAAACAAGAACAAACCAAATCCAAATCCTGCAAAAGAGAAGAAATAACAAAGATCAGAGCAAACTAAAGGAATCTAAAACAAAAAATACAAAACATAAATAAAACAAAAAGCTGGTCCTTTGAAGAGATAAACAAAATTGATAGACTATTAGCAAGATTAACCAAGAAAAGAAGAGAGAAGATACAAACAAGCTCAATTAGAAATGAAACAGGAGACACTACAACCAATACCACAGAAATACAAAAGATTATTCAAGGTTACTGTGAATACTTTTATGCACACCAACTAGAAAACCTAAAGGAGATGGATAAATTCCTGGAAATATAGAACCCTCCTAGATTAAACCATGAAGAAATAGAAACTCTGAACAGACCAATAATAGGCAGTGAGATTGAAATGTTATTTTAAAAAATTACAACAAAACAGAGTCCGGGACCAGAGGGATTCGCAGTTGAATTCTATCAGACATTCAAAGAAGAATTGGTACCAATCCTATTGACACTATTTCACAAGATAGAGAAAGAGAATCCTCTCTGAATCATTCTGTGAAGCCATTATCACCCTAGTATCAAAACCAGGAAAGGGTATCACAAAAAAGAAAACTACAGACCAATATCCTTGATGAACATAGATGTAAAAATCTTCAACAAAATACTAACTAACAGAGTCCAACAGCATATCAAAAAGATAATCCATCATGATCAAGGTGGTTTCATACCAGGGATGCAGGGATGGTTTAGTAATGTAAGTCAATAAATGTGATCCACCACATAAACAGAATTAAAAACAAAAGTCACATGATCATCTCAATAGATGCAGAAAAGCATTTGTCAAAATCCAGCATCCCTTTATGATTAAAACACTCAGCAAATTCAGCATAGAAGGGACATACCTTAAAGTAATAAAAGCCATCTACAACAAACCCAAAGCCAACATATACTGAGTGGGGAAAAATTGAAAGCATTCCCCTTGAGAACTGGAACAAGAAAAGGATGTCCATTTTCATCACTTTTTTTTTTTTTTTTTTTTTTTGAGATGGAGTCTCACTCTGTCACCCAGGCTGGAGTGCAGTGGCATGATCTCGGCTCACTGTAAGCTCTGCCTCCCAGGTTCATGCCATTCTCCTGCCTCAGCCTTCTGAGTAGCTGGGACTACAGGTGCCTGCCACCATGCCCAGCTAATTTTTTGTATTTTTAGTAGAGACGGGGTTTCACTGTGTTAGCTAGGATGGTCTCGATCTTCTGACCTCGTGATCTGCCCACCTCAGCCTCCCAAAGTGCTGGGATTACAGGTGTGAGCCACTGCGGCTGGCCCACTTTTATCACTTTTATTCAACATAGTACTAGAAGTCCTAGCCAGAGCAATCAGATAAGAGAAAGAAATAAAGGGCATTCAGATTGATAAAGAAGAAGTCAAACTGTTGCAAAGTTTCAGGATACAAAATTAATGTACACAAATCAGTAGTACTGCCATATATCAACAGAAACCAAGCTGAGATTTAAATCAATAACTCAAACTCTTTTACAATAGCCACAAAAAACATAAAATACTTAGGAATATACCAAACCAAGGAGATGAAATACCTCTACAAGGAAAACTCCAAAATGCTACTGAAAGAAATAATAGACAACACTCCAACAAATGAAAACACATCCCATGGTCATCGATGGGTAGAATCAATATTGTGAAAATGACCATATTGCCAAAAGCAATCTACCAATTTAGTGCAATTCCCATCAAAATACCACTATCATTTTTCAGAGAACAGCAACAACAACAACAAATCCAAAATTGCATATGGAACTAAAAAAGGGCCTGCATAGCCAAGGGAAGACTAAGCAAAACAAACAAACAAACAAACAAAAAATCAAAAGCAAAAACCACATCTGGAGGAATCACATTCCTCCACTTCTAAGAATACCAGAAGGCTATAGTCACCAAAACAACATAGCACTAGTATAAAAATAGGCACATAAACCAATGGAACAGAATAGAGAACCCAGAAATAAGTCCAAACACTTATAGCCAACTGATCTTCAACAAAGCAAACAAAAACATAAAATGGGGAAAGGACATCTTATTCAGCAAATAGTGCTGGAATAATTGACAAGCCACATGTAGAAGAATGAAACTGGATCCACGTCTCTCACCTTATACAAAAATCAACTCAAGATAGATGAAAAACTTAAATCTAAGACTCAAAACAATAAAAATTCTAGAGGATAACATTGGGAAAACCTTTCTGGAAATTGGCTTAGGCAAAGAATTCATGACCAAGAACCCAAAAGCAAATTCAACAAAACAAGGATAAATTGTTTTTAAGGTGGGACTTAATTAAACTAAAAAGCTTCTGCACAGCAAGGAAATAATCAGCAGAATAAACAGACAACCCACACAGTGGGAGAAAATCTTCACAAAATATGCATCTGACAAAGGACTAATATCCAGAATCTATGGGAAACTCAAACAAATCAGCGAGAAAAAAAAAAAACAAAAGAACCAAAAAAAAAAACAATAAAAACAATCCCATCAAAAAGTGGGCTAAGGATGTGAACAGGCAGTTCTCAAAAGAAAATATACAAATGGCCAACAAACATATGAAAAGATGTTCAACATCACTATCAGGGAAATGCAAATCAAAACGACAATCGATACCACCTTACTCCTGAAAGAATGGCCTAAATAAAAATAAAAATAAAAATAAAAAAATAATAGATGTTGGCAGGGATGTGGTGAAAGGGGAACACTTCTACACTGCTGGTGGGAATGTAAACTAGCACAACCACTATGGAAAACAGTGTGGAGATTCCTTAAAGAACTGCAAGTAGATCTACCATTTGATACAGCAATTTCACTAGTGGGTATCTACCCAGAAGAAAAGAAGTCATACAAAAAAGATACCTGCGCATGCATGCCTATAGCAGCACAATTTGCAACTGCAAAATTATGGAACCAGCACAAATGCCCATCAATCAACCAGTGGATAAAGAAAATTAGGTGTACATACACCATGGAATACTATTCAGCCATAAAAAGAAATGACATATGGGATGGAATTGGAGACCAATAATGGTTATATTCTAACACCATTATTCTAACTCAGGAATGGAAAATCAAACATCGTATATTCTCACTCATAAGGGGAAGCTAAGTTACGAAGACACAAAGTAATAAAAATGATACAATGGACTTTGGGGACTCAGGGGAAAGGGTGGGAGGGGGTTGAGGGATAAAGGACTACACATTGGGTACAGTGTACACTGCTTGAGTGATAGGTGCACCAAAATCTCAGAAATCACCGCTAAAGAACTTATCCTTGTAACTAAACTCCACCTGTGCCTCAAAACCTATTGAAATAAAAAAGAATAATATATATATATATTTTTAATTTTATTTTATTATTATTATTATTATTATTATTTTAATTGATCATTCTTGGGTATTTCTCGCAGAGGGGGATTTGGCAGGGACACAGGACAATAGTGGAGGGAAGGTCAGCAGATAAACAAGTGAACAAAGGTCTCTGGTTTTCCTAGGCAGAGGACCCTGCGGCCTTCCGCAGTGTTTGTGTCCCTGGGTACTTGAGATTAGGGAGTGGTGATGACTCTTAAGGAGCATGCTGCCTTCAAGCATCTGTTTAACAAAGCACATCTTGCACCGCCCTTAATCCATTCAACCCTGAGTGGATACAGCACATGTTTCAGAGAGCACAGGGTTGGGGGTAAGGTCACCGATTAACAGGATCCCACGGCAGAAGAATTTTTCTTAGTACAGAACAAAATGAAAAGTCTCCCATGTCTACTTCTTTCTACACAGACACGGCAACCATCCGATTTCTCAATCTTTTCCCCACCTTTCCCGCCTTTCTATTCTACAAAACCGCCATTGTCATCATGGCCCGTTCTCAATGAGCTGTTGGGTACACCTCCCATACGGGGTGGTGGCCGGGCAGAGGGGCACCTCACTTCCCAGTAGGGGCGGCCGGGCAGAGGCGCCCCTCACCTCCCGGACAGGGCGGCTGGCCGGGCGGGGGGCTGAGCCCCCCACCTCCCTCCCTCCCGGACGGGGCGGCTGGCCGGGCGGGGGGCTGACCCCCCCACCTCCCTCCCGGACAGGCGGCTGGCCGGGCAGAGGGGCTCCTCACTTCCCAGTAGGGGCGGCCGGGCAGAGGTGCCCCTCACCTCCCAGACGGGGCGGCTGGCCAGGCGGGGGGCTGACCCCCCCACCTCCCTCCCGGACAGGCGGCTGGCCGGGCAGAGGGGCTCCTCACTTCCCAGTAGGGGCGGCCGGGCAGAGGTGCCCCTCACCTCCCGGACGGGGCGGCTGGCCAGGCGGGGGGCTGATCCCCCCACCTCCCTCCCGGACGGGGCGGCTGGCCGGGCGGGGGGCTGACCCCCCCACCTCCCTCCCGGACAAGGTGGCTGCCGGGCGGAGACGCTCCTCACTTCCCAGACGGGGTGGCTGCTGGGCGGAGGGGCTCCTCACTTCCCAGACGGGGCGGCTGCCGGGCGGAGGGGCTCCTCACTTCTCAGACGGGGCGGTTGCCAGGCAGAGGGTCTCCTCACTTCTCAGACGGGGCATCCGGGCAGAGACGCTCCTCACATCCCGGACGGGGCGGCAGGGCAGAGGTGCTCCCCACATCTCAGACGATGGGCGGCCGGGCAGAGACACTCCTCACTTCCCAGATGTGATGGCGGCCGGGAAGAGGCGCTCCTCACTTCCTAGATGGGATGGCCGCCGGGCAGAGACGCTCCTCACTTTCCAGACTGGGCAGCCAGGCAGAGGGGCTCCTCACATCCCAGACGATGGGTGGCCAGGCGGAGACGCTCCTCACTTCCCAGACGGGGTGGCATGACCTTGGCATCTTTTCTATCACTGGTAAGATTCCAGTCAATTCTTTTCTGGATCATTCACTTTGCATCATATATAAACTAATAGAAACCTAAATTCAAATACAGCCATAGAATCATCCATAATGTATCAAATTAGTAATTGATAATGTCAAGTGGATCATGACATATTCAATGTATCCAGCTTGAATTCACAGGGTGATTTAGCTGCTGAAAGCCTTAACTGGCCATCTTCAGATTTTGCCAACATTAAGGGAATTTTAAGGGAAAAATACCGTCACGAAAGCAGATTAGAATATCCATGTTCCCTGAAAACTCTAAAATTGTGACTCTTCATAAATCATCCGAGAATAACTGATCAGGTTCAATTATTTCCTTATCACCAAAACCATCACTGAGGGAATATTTAAGAGTAGTGAATGAAAAGGTATAGACAGTATAAGACCACATTATTATAGTCCATCTTCTGAGTTGACTTTCCTTTAGTTACACCAAAATATTCTGTAACAGCCAACACATTATATCTAAGGAGTGATGACGATAAACTGGAAGGAGAATTAAGAGATTGTTTAGTGCTCCAGACAGGAAAAACACTTTCTCCAATTTGCCAAATAATTATTGGTAGCTATTTTAGATGCATTATCTTTAAAGACAAAGCAAGTTCTAAATTTATGATCTCCATTAAGATAGAATATAATTATGCTTATTTTATATAGAAAGAAATGGAAGCAGGCACAAATTAGTTGACCTTCCCATTGCTGCAGGCGGAAAAACCATGGATGAGAATTTGGAAGATCCTAGAGTTACTTTTCAGCTCAGAACCTGGAGAGGAGGATAACATTGTACTCAACAGAACACTAGGTCAAAAGTTAGAGCTTCCTAGCTTTATTATCTGTGTGGTATTGTTTCTACTGAAAGTAGGAACAAAATATTTGCAACTAAAAAAGAAATTGTCCAATACAACTGCTGGGGTCTCTGAAAACCTTTGGGCCTTTTGGAGCTAGATGCTGTATAAACTTATCCGGCTCATTCTCATTTAGCATAGGTTTATAGCAACATATCTGATTGGCTCAGCTGGGCTTGGGGCTCAGTGCTAGCCTGCAATATTAGTGGACAATGTGTTCAAATGGAGCTGCAGAAGTTATCTATTGTTTTCTTCAATATTGCAGCTTAGAAGTTGCCAGAATATTATTCATTTTGTTATTTGTTTCCTCTTTCTTGTATTGAGTATGCCTGGATTTTTTGTATGCTTGGATTTTTTGGTTTATATATTAGCCAATCACACGTCCTCCAAAATGGGAATGTTCATGATCATTTAAAGCAGGCAAAAACTGACATGTGACTTTAAGAAAATTACTCAACCTTTCAAAATCTTGTGTTTCTTGCCTCTAAACATGGGGATAATAACAGTCCTACCTCATAAAGTTTTCATTTGGGATTAAATGAGATAATGCATGCAAAGTACATAGCACTATGCCTGGCACATAGTGCTCAATAATAGTTAAAGTTGTCATCCTTGTTTTTATGGAGTTCTAAATATTTGCATTGTGATGTAATTAATTTCTCTGCTTGGTCATACATATAAACTCTGTGAAGCACTTGAAAATACCATTGAAATGAGAATCAGGCAAAGCCTGATCATGACTTTTACAGGACTGAACACTGCAAATATCATGGTACTCTCCAACATCTAATTTAAAACAAAGTATATTAGCAAGCTGGGTGCAGTGGCTCATGCCTCTAATCCCAGCTCTTTGGGAGGCCAAGGTGTGAAGATCACTTGAGGCCAGGAGTTTGAGACCAGTGTGGTCAATAAAGCAAGACCCCATTTCTATTTTTTTTTAAAAGCCTAACAACACTAAACATACATGCATACTGAAGTCAGATGTTTCTTTCCGGAAAAAAAAAAAAAACTGCTTTGCTGATTCTCTAAACAACTGCTTACTTATTCTATTATGTAATCCAGCCATGGAATTAGCAATTTGTAATGATTATATTTTCATAATTAGAGTGTAGGGTTCTATAGCCATGGTTAGTATCTTGCAGTAATTATATACATGGGCTAAATGCATAAGAACTGTGAGTCAACAGTGTCATTGAACTGAATGCTAAAATCCTAAATCTTTTTTTTTTCTTTTGGAATCAAACCTTTTTTCCAGTATTGATATAGGTCAGATTTAATGGCAGAAGTAAATGGGGAAAATTAATTTGGTACAAATTTTTAGGAATAAATCTATGTGTTAAGGCGGTCAAACTGTATAACATTCATGAAGAAAAATTTGATGTGATGTCACATTGCTGTGCATGGTGTGAGGATAACCCTGAAAAATAGAGTAACAGGTCTGAAGGGCAAGGTGGCCGTGGAATTAATAAATACATTTGTAGTGGAATTCAATATTGCATAAATGACCATGGAATAGCCCCTCAGCAGATG
The DNA here is from genome assembly GCF_000001405.40 of Homo sapiens. Taxonomy (NCBI): domain Eukaryota; kingdom Metazoa; phylum Chordata; class Mammalia; order Primates; family Hominidae; genus Homo; species Homo sapiens. The sequence continues at coordinate 72,854,303 of NC_000009.12, forward strand.
ACAAATGAGCCTACTGCAAAAGGAACCATGGGCTGGAATTACAACTGGTCTTGACAAAATATGCAATGAGTTGATTCCATGGGCGATGTTTGTCGCTAGTGGAATAACAGATAATACTGAGTGAAAATACTCAGCCTATTGCATTTGCGTCACAGAAAATGCTCCATATACCTCAGCTTAATAGACTACAAGGTAATTGTGGTGGCTAAGTGGTGGGGGAAGGAGCATTGGCTTGAGAGTCACAGCCAAGGTACGAGTATGGGTTCTGTTCCTGACTGCAAGTGTCACTTGCTAGCCATGTGATGTTTGTATTACAACTATTATCCTTTTGACATGGGCTAATTGCACTCACCAAGCTTCATTGACCTCATCTTTAAAATGGACTATAATCATCTCCACTGCAGTTTCTGAAGGGATTACATGAGATGATGCTGAAAACCACTGAGCAGTGCATTTAGCACGTATTTAAAGGCTAGATACACATTACCCACAATTCCACTTTTCTGTCAATCAAATATTTTTATTTAAAAAAATTTAGTCACACTGTAGTTAAACATTTAGAATTATTTTAATTGATCTGGCCAGGCGCCGTGGCTCACACATGTAATCCCAGCATTTTGGGAGGCCAAGGCGGGCGGATCATCTGAGGTCAGGAGTTCAAGACCAGCCTGGCCAACATGGTGAAACCTCATCTCTACTAAAACTACCAAAAAAAAGTAGCCAGGCATGGTGGTGGGTGCCTATAGTCCCAGCTACTTGGGGGGCTGAGGCAGAAGAATTGCTTGAACCCGGGAGACGAAGGTTGCAGTGAGCTCAGATCGTGCCACTATACCACTACACTCCAGCCTGGGTGACAAAACAAGACTCTGTCTCCAAAAAAAAAAAAAAAAAAAAAAAAGAATTACTTTAATTGATCTAATTCAGAAAGTTATTAATGAAAAATTATTTTAATTATTTTTAAAGAAGGTTTCCCCCAACTGGAAAAACCTAATCATTTATATATCCAATAAAAACAACTCTTTGGATTATTTTGGTACATTCTTAGTTGTTTCTAGATGGTAATGTCTTAATAGTAGACTGGCTTCACAAATTTAAGATAAGCAGGATTAAATGAATAGAAATGCATGTGATTGAGCATTAATGGCCCAGTGTTTCAGGCCTGTCTCTGCTACTGATTAGTTGTTTGACCTGTTGGAAATTATGTAACCTCTCCAAGTCTCAATTATTTGTAAGACAAGGAGGTTGCATAACATGATTCTAAAATTTCTTCCTGTGCTGTAAACCTGAGCTGTCCAATATGGCAGCCACTAGCCATATGTGACTATTGAGCACATGCAACATGGCTGGAAATGGAGATGTAAAATATACGCTGGATTTGGAAGACTCCATAGGAAAAAGCTAATGTAAAATGTATCATTAATATCTTTTCATTGTGCTTACATGTTAAAAAAATACTATTTTGAATATATTTGGCTAAGTAAAATATATTACTAATACTAATTGACCTGTTTCTTTTTTAATGTGGTCACTAGGAAAGTTAAGATGCCATGTGGCTTGCATTTGTCGTGTGCATTTCATCTCTATTGGGCAGTGTTGTTCTAAGAATTCTCTGAGTTTATGAAATAAGTTTTAGTGAGAGTTCCAATTAAATCATACCCAGATCTAGAATTCAGATCTTCTGGGAAATTTCTGATAAGTAGATAGTGTTGGTGGCTCCCCCTCCATCTGACTGCAGCAGTTGATTTGCATGGCTATGCAGAGATGTAGCCTTTGAGGAAGTAGGAGAAGGGAAGGGGAATGGATGAGATTAGAGTACAGTGGGGACAGATAGAGACTGCAGCCAGAATCCAGTGGAGCTGTTCATGGAGTGGGGATTCTGAGACGGTGGAGTACATGTAGCGCACTTTTGGTTCTCGGGAAATAAAGCCCTGCAAGTCCACCTGCGAATGGGGTAGAAAAACACTGTGATACTACCATCAGCTGTCTGTTTGGGGAGCACTGGTGATAGCCCACTTCAAAGGAGTCTGCTAAACTCATGACAGGCACAGCAGGCACTTCTCAGGTATTGGCTTGAAGGAGTGAAATAAGAGAACAGAGCAGGCCACACAGTGAGACAGCCTGAATAGATCAATTCATAAACTATGGACTCTCAGACATAATCAGATGAGATTTTGCATAGTACCAATGTCTAGGACTCAAAATGTGGGTGCGATAACATTTGGGATCTTAATGTTGATAAGGCCAGTGAGATCAAGGAAAGTTTTTATTTTACTTTTTTAGCAAAGCAACATAAAGGTCTTTAAAAATAAAAGTTGTTTGAGAGCAATGACACACCAGGTTTTCTGTGTTGTTTCAAACAGCAGGCAGTGTGCTCATGGTGTCTTGCCTAGGTCGTCTGGGTGAGGTTATGGGGTACAGTGAAGATGGAGAAGTATTGACAGATATGCACGTTGCCACTTCTGTGTTGCCTCCTCTGTCGGTTTATAGCCAATAAAATGTAGACAACATTCACTATCTTTAGGGGGCATCCAATGCTCAGTTCTAGCTAATTATTGCAGACGCAGGGCTCCCAGATCTTCTGGTGTCTAAAGAGAAGCTGGAAACCTTGATTTTTATGTCACATACTATAATATTTAAATGTTAGTAATTAGCACAAATTAATACGCGCGCGCGCACATACACACACACACACACACACACACACACACCATCTGTTGGCAGGATGCTGTCCCAGGGCCATCAGTGTACACTGTGATATTTCTAATATTAGAAACCCTATAAATAAGCAGCCCTTATTTGCACATTCTGGAACAATTTTTCAAAGCTTTCCTAGTCTTCTTCTTCTTTAAATAATGCAGGGTTTTTTTGCGGGCTCACTAAGACATGCTTTTCCTGCACAAAGAACCTGAGACATGAGCTTGGCTCAGATATGCTACCACAAGGTGGAGCTCAAACGTTTTTCTTTTTTGTCGAGTTTTACATGAAGTTAATGCTGATTAATGCAATAACTGAAACTATGATTCTATGACAGCTTAGTTTATCTCCTGCTGAGATTGCTTATGTGCTTTGGTTTTGTTCAGAATTATTAGCTGTAAAAACAAACAGCAAACAAACACCGCACACCCTGAAAACATAACAGCCTACCCGTCTAATTTTTATTTTATTTTTATTGTATAGATTTAGGTTAATTTACATTTTACCATGACATATGCTGAAGGCAGAGTTAAAGGAGTAAGAAAAATATAGAGTTTGGAACTCTTGGGATCCTATAGGCTTACAATTCAAATTTTAAATTTAAAATAGAAAATAAACCGAAAAGAAAACATAATTCTCTAAGACAAGAAACATGTTTCCGTTTAGGTAAAAGGAAAACCGATGATTTGTCCCTATGGGCTGAGGTACTTAAAGAATCTCTCTCTGCCTTAGGGCCTAGTCCTTCCTTAGGTTTCCAGCTTTATTTCCTGCCATTCACTTGGAATTTCCCTGAACCTCACTTTCCAAGTACATGAGTCCATACAACATGCCCTGTTCTGAGATGTGGCTTTGCCTTGTTTGTTTGTTGTTTCATTTCCCAGCTGCTTCTGTTGTCTGGAAGGTGCTTTGTTGGCTGCATCCAGACTATTGGAGTTTTTCCTTTTTGTTTCTGTTTTAAAATAACAACTCTTGTTTCAAGGCTCAGCTGAAATCTAAAGCCCTTCAAGAAGTCTTTCCAGTTCTTCTAAGTCAGCTTCAATAATCTACTCTTCCATGATCATGATAGTACTGACTTAGGCTTTCTGGGCTACAGGACTGCTCTGAATACCTGACATGCCCATTCTCTGAGTTCCCACGAAGAGCATTCTTGTTTTACAGCTAAGACCCCTGAAGAGCAGAGAGACTGATGCAGCTGAGCCTCTGCAGCTGGCACTGGAGTGAGACTCATCTCAGTCCTGAGTCTGTGCTCTTATCTGCTAAGCTATGGCATCTCCCTGAATTGTTACACCACATGCTTCATGGTCTTATCTTGCCATTTTTAACTTTTTATTATTATTATTATCATCACAGTGGCTTATTTATCTATTTACTCCATTAGAGTTTGAGCTGTTCAAGGCCAGAGGGTAAGTCTTGTCACTGTGACTCAGCAGTGCCGGCTCTGGGGCTGTCCAGGCAGGAGGGGAGGGGTTATGGTTCAATGACTCTGAAGGCCAACGTCCAAGTTGACCTAGCTTTGCCATGTGTTAGCCATGGGGCCTGGAAAAAATGCATGTCCCTGATACTTAGTGTCCTCCCCTGTAAAATATGGAAGGTAATTGCACTTCTTCCACAAAAAACAAGGTTTTGTGAAAAGTGGTTGAGTTAAAATCTCTGAAGAGCTTGAGATGCAGAGTCTGGCTCATAGAACTCCCTATGTGCTAGGAATTATTATAGCAGACATTTGGCACTTTGAATCGACAGTCCTGGCATTCAAACTGATCTATCACAGTTTTCAAGGCAGGTTTTAAAGCTTTAAACACGTTGTCCAGCTAACTTGTTGATGTTTTACTCCCAATTATTTTTAGAATAAAAAAAGTTTAAGGATTAGTTGGTGACCAGAAGTGATAAGGCAGGCCTTGACTTAGATGTGTGATCTACACTTGTAAACCTGGTAAATACTCTGCTGAGTAATACACACAAAACACACTGATTTTGAATAACTGGATCCCAATTTTATACACAGTAAGATGAGCAGGCAACTTTACAATGAGAAAATAAGACTATTAACTTCAATTTGTTTTTCTTATATTTAAATTCTAGGAGGTATTCTTATGCTTCTGAGTCTCCTATTGACTTCTGCTGAGATTATTCTCACGATATTGCTGAAGAAATTTGAAATTTCCCATTAAAGCAGATGCTTCACTCTCCAATTCATTGAAGCTAAAAAAAGACACAATCTTTTAAAATTTTACAGAGGTTGTATGGATTTCAAGGTTATGATAAAGAATCTAAAATTCAATCACAATATTTTCTTTATGGAAAATTTGATTGGATTTGCATAATTTTGACTTACAGGAAACTGGCCAGTCCCAAGTAAAAGGATTCTCTGTTCCTCTGTGAATTGCATTATCCAGTAATTAGTTTAACACATTGTATTAGTCCTTCTTGCATTGCTATAAAGAAATACCTGACACTGGGTAATTTATAAAGAAAAGAGGTTTAATTGGTTCATGGATCTGCAGGCTGTACAAGAGGCATGGTTCTGGCATCTGCTCCATTTCCGGGGAGGCCTCAGGAAACATACAATAACAGTGAAAGGTGAAGGGGAAGCTGGCACATATTACATGGCCAGGGCAGATGCCAGAGAGAGAGAGGGAGGTGCTACACACTTTTAAACAATCAGTTCTCATGAAAACTCTACCATGAGAACAGCACCAAAGGCAGAAATCTGTCCCCATGATCCAACCACCTTCCACCAGACCCACCTCCAACATTGGGGATTACAATTCGACAAGAAATTTGGGCAGGGACTCAGATCAACCCATATCACACATGTTTTCTGAGTGCCTGCTACATACCACTCACTGTTCTAGTGACTGGCATGCTTTCCTCTTTGAAAATAACATGGCTATAATACTTATATTTTCTTGGTGACCAATCAAAGTCAAGTGAAAAGCTGAATCTTTGAAATAGGTAAATTCAAGCAGTTGAAAATTTAACTGCCTTAATAGTTTACAAGGAAACTAAGGAGGATTAACCAAAGTGGGCCCGAGTGTGGGTCTTCCCACGTTCTCTTCTTGTCCTTTCTCTAATTGAAGGTCTCATCCTCACTGCTGCTCCCTTCGACTACCCCAGGCACTGCCGCCTGGCCAGGATAGGAAGGTGCCACACAAGAGTGACCCTTCCATCTCTTCCTTTGGGCTCCATCTGCCTCCTGGTTTTCACTGTCGCTGGGTTTAGATTATTATAGGGTTTCCAAATTCCCAGCAGATAGTAATCTTTGAAATTTCAGAACAAATAATCAGAATTCCTGAAATGGTATTATTCTCTATTTTTAAGAATACATATTTACATATTTTTAATTAGTAACAAGTGACCATAATATTAAACTATGAATCATTTTTCTACTATAAGATTTTACAGAAAGTTGATTTAAAATTATTATTATAAATCAATATATTGGGACAAAATGATATGTTTTAAAATGATATGTTAAAATGATCTTTAACTGACATTGACATTTTATAGTAGAAAACATTGAAAGAAGGGGTGTTAAAACAAAACAATTGCTGAATAAAAATAATTTTAAAATGTAAACTTTATATTATGTATATTTAATGTTTAGAAGTTAACTTTTTTATTTTTAAAAATTTTAATAGTTTTGGGGGTACAGGTGGTTTTTGGTTACATGGATGAGTTCTTTAGTGGTGAATTCTGAGATTTTAGTGCACCTGTCACTAAAGCAGTGTACACTGTACCCACTCAATATGTAATCTTTTATCCCTCACCCCACTCCCAGCTCCCCACCCTGCAGTCATCAAAGTCCATTATATCACTTTGTATGTGTTTGTGTCCTCACAGCTTAGCTCCCACTGATAAGTGAGAACATGCGGCATTTGGTTTTTTATTCCTGGGTTACCTCATTTAGAATAATGGCCTCCAGCTCCATCCAAGTTGCTGCAAAAGAAATTATTTCGTTCTTTTTTATGGCCTAGTAGTATTCCATGTTGTATATATACACATTTTCTTTATCCACTCATTGGTTGATGGGCATTTAGGCCGGTTCCATATCTTTGCAACTGTGAATTGTGCTGCTATAAACATGCGTGTACATGTGTCTTTTTCATGTAATGACTTCTTTTCCTTTGGGTAGATACCCAGTAGTGGGATTGCTGGATCAAATGGTAGATCTACTTTCAGTTCTTTAAGGAATCACCATACTGTTTTTCATAGAGGTTGTACTAATTTACATTCACACCAGCAGTGTGTAAGTGTTCCCTTTTCATCACATCCACACCAACATCTATGGTTTTAACTTTTGAATTATAGCCATTCTTGCAGGAGTTACGTGGTATCTCATCGTGGTTTTAATTTGTATTTCACTGATGTTGAACATTTCTCATTCATTTGTTGGCTGTTTGTATATCTTCTTTTGAAAAATGGCTGTTCATGTCTTTTGCCCACTTTTTGATGGAATTGTCATTTTCTTGCTGATTTGTTTGAGTTTCTTGTAGATTCTGGATACTAGTCCTTTGTCAGATGCATACTTTGTGAATATTTTCTTCCACTCTGTGGGTTTTCTCTTTAATGTGCTGATTATTTCTTTTGCTCTGCAGAAGCTTTTCAGTTTAATTAGCTCTAATTTATTCAATTTATTTATTTTTGTCTTTGTTGCATTTGCTTTTGGGGTCTTTGTCATGAATTTGCCTAAGCCAATGTCCAGAAGAGTTTTTCCAATGTTATCTTTTCAAGGCTGGGCGTTGTGGCGCATGCCTATAATCCCAGCACTTGAGGTCAGGAGTACAAAACTAGCCTGGCCAACATGGTCAAACCCCATCTCTACTAAAAGTACAAAAATTAGCTGGGCGTGGTGGCAGACGCCTGTAATCCCAGCTAATCAGGAGGCTGAGGCAGGAGAATCGCTTGAACGCAGGAGGTAGAGGTTGCAGTGATCCTTGTTCGCTCCATTGCACTCCAGCTTGGGGCGACAGCGCAAACTCCCTTTCCAAAAAAAAGAAAAAGAAAAAGAAAAAAAAAAACAGAAGAAGAAAAAAGGGAAAAAACAATGTTATCTTTTAGAATTTCTTATAGTTTCAGCTCTTAGATTTACGTCTTTGATCCATCTTGAGTTGATTTTTGTATAAGGTGAGAGATGAGGATCTAGTTTCATTCTTCTACATGTGGCTTGCCAGCTTTTCCAGCACCATTTGTTGAATAGGGTATCCTTTCCCCAATTTATGTTCTTGTATGCTTTGTCAAAGATTAGCTGGCTGTAAGTATTTGGCTTTATTTCTGAATTTTCTACTGAATTTTAAAACACAAAGCACTAGCCATCTTATCCAACAGTCTCGATCTTTGTTTTGTGACAAAAACTGCTGCTTTTATTTCACATTGATGTTTTCTCATTTATTAAGAATGCATCCAAAACTATATTCAAGCCAGGCATTAGGATACATGTAGCTTCATATAAGCTCATTTCCTTTTTTAATAATTTTAGTTTTTTTCTATTGAAATCAATATTGCTTTTACTAATTCAGATTTTAGAACAGTTTTTTGATTTCCCAAGGGAGACCACTTCGATAATATTCACATCTTCTTCTTCTTTCATTTCCTCTCTTCACGTATTTGCAAAGAACCGTAACCTACAGCAAATAATCAGACCTGAAAAACACCAGAAAATATTCCTGGGTAATATTCAAATATTGTAATTCCACCCTGTATGGTGGCTCATGCCTGTAATCCCAGCACTTTGGGAGGCTGAGGTGGGCAGAGCACTTGAGGTCAGGAGTTTGAGATCACCCTGGCCAACATGGTGAAACCCTGTCTCTACTAAAAATACAAAAAAATTAGCCAGACGTGGTGGTGGGCGCCTGTAATCCCAGCTACTCAGGAGGCTGAGGCAGGAGAATCGCTTGAACCTGGGAAATGGAGGTTCCAGTGAGCCGAGATCGCACCACTGCACTTTAGCCTGGGGGGAAATATCTATCTATCTATCTATCTATCTATCTATCTATCTATCTATCTATCTATCTACCTATCCATCTATCTATCTATCTATCGATTGATCAAAATAGTAGAATTGGCTAGCAAGGTTAACAATACTGCACAGAATCACCGTTTGAAGTTGTTAATTAAAGGACTTATTTTGCTTTCCAAAACTTGTTATTTCTGGGCACATCAGTCATAGGATTTGTTTAAAGTACACTATACAAATGAACTTGTTAGTATTTATTTGCAAAAACAACTTACCAGTAGCAGCAGACAGGGCCATGAGCAACTGTTCATAACAAGACAACAGTTATAGCAAGACTGACTGATGAGATGGTTCTTGCTTTTCTCCTCTATGTCTTGTTTAGGTTCCTGGAAATGTTGGCCTTAACCTCCAGCCACCAAATGTCTTGCTTTCAACTAGACATCAGTGAACTCCTTCTAACCAGTAATGCCTCCACGTTGATTGTTAGTCTTTAATAATTATGGGAGAAGTAAACAGTTTTTCTTTTTTTCTTAGTTTCTCAACTTGGTTTCTTGATTTTTCTTAAGATCCTGAAAAACATAAATTTCCCAAGAAAGACCAGGCAAGAATTTTCACATTGAAATACTCATGTAGAAAACCCTTGTGGCTGCTCCCACCTTCTCTGCTGGAACTTTCTCACACTTATCTTGAGCTATGAGTTTCCTCATAAATCCAATCTGTTGGCCTCTTGTGTTTCCAGTATTTCTCACAGTTTCTTATCTAAGTTCTCCTTTTTAATCTTTCAGCATGGCTGAATATCTCTTAAAATATGTTTTCTGTTATTGTTAGGGTTTTGGTATGAGAGGAAAAAATCATGTCCTTTCTGCTATCTTGAAATGAAAGTTTAGCATTTCCATTTTAAAACTCCATTACTGCAATAACGAGATAAGAAGAAGCCCTTTATCAATACAGTGTTGAGAAGAAGGAGCCGCAGGATTCTCACCTGCTTTAGAGATAAACGGTGTTATATTGAGCTGTTTCTTTAGTCCGTGCCAGGGGGGTAAGTAATTTGATAAGAAATGGTTTGGTTTTTCATTTTTTTAATCTGTATATAAATGAACCATTCTTATTGCAATAATGGCTTTAATATATTAATCAGTGCTTTCTGATTAAATGCTACATTTCATTATACTGTGCTATTGAAATGACAGTCTGTATGATTAGAGACAAATGTCCTATGATGAGCAAATCTTACTTCAAATCTGTTAACTGCTTATACCTGCCTCCCTCCTGATCTGGACTCCTCCAATTAACAGGTAATTGTTAGAATATTCAACTTAAGCTTCAATCCTAATGCTCTTATGATACTTACTTCTTTGTTATTATGTTTGTATTTGTGCAATGAAGGCTTTGCAGGAAAAGGAACAGAATTAGTGAGAAAGAAGAATCTCCCTCCACGCCCCTCCTCCACCCCCAATAGCAGTTTCCATTAGTCTTGGTTTACAGCAGCTATAAATTAACTTCCCCATGAGAAAGGGGAGGGGACACCAGAAGTCCTTGACTTTAGTATATTCACACTGGAATTTGTTAATGGAAAAACCAAACCCTGTAAAATATATAAAGAGGTTTATACTGAGCCAATTATGAGTAACCATGGCCCTGGGGAACAGTCTCTAGAAGTCCTGAGAAAGTTTGCCTGAGGCAGTCAGGCTACATTTTGGTTTTACACATTTTTAGAGAGGCAGGAATTTTAGGTAAAATCATAAATCAACACATGGAAGATGTACATTGGTTCAGACTAAAGAGGTGAGATGTCTTGAAGCAGAGGGCTTAGCAGGTCATAGCTGTTTTCAAAGATTTTCTGGTGGCTCTTGCCTGTAATCCCAGCACTTAGGGAGGCCAAGGTGGGAGAATTGCTTGAGCCTGGGAGTTCGAGACCAGCCTGGGCAACATGGAAAAACCCTGTCTATACTAAAAATACAAAAATTAGCCAGGCATGGCAGTGCACGCCTTTAATCCCAGCTACTTGGGAGGCTGAGGCAGAAGAATTGCTTGAATCTGGAAGGTGGTTGCAATGAGCAGAGATTGCACCACTGTACTCCAGCCTGGGTGACAGAGCAAGACCCTGTTTCAAAGAAAAAGAAAGAAAGAAGGAAAGAAAGAAAGAAGGAAAGAAAGAAAGAAAGAAGGAAGGAAGGAAGGAAGGAAAGAAAGAAGGAAGGAAGGAAGGAAGGAAGGAAGGAAGGAAGGAAGGAAGGAAAAATAAAAAAAATACGCTGATGGTAATAAGCAAGAAAATATTTCTTAAGAAAAATACAAGAACAAATATTGATAAAACTGACTACATTTAAAGATTTCTGATATCAGAAGATATTTAGAACAAAGTTAAAAGACAAGCTAACAATGAGAGATGTATGCAAGTTACATACTCATCAAGTATTACTTTCCAGAATTTATAAGCATTTCTGTAAATTACATCACTGAAAAATATATTTATCTTTTCTTATTCCAGTGGCAGAAAAATTTTACATAGAAACTTATTAGCAATAATATAAAAAGTTACAGTAATAAGTTGATCACTTCACTGATCCTTTCAAGAAAAATTTTTATTGTGGTAAAATATACATAAAAAAATTTACCATTTTAACTATTTTCAAGTGTCTTCAAGGTTCAACCATTTTGTAGGATGTGTCAGAATGTCTTTCCTTTTCAAGGCTAAATAATATTATATATATATTTGTTTGTTTGTTTGTTTATCTACTCATCCATGAAGGGACACAGATCACAGATTGCTTTCACATTTTGGCTATTGCGAATAATGCTGCTACGAAAATGAGTATACAAATGTATACTACAGTCTCTGCTTTCAGTTCTTTTGGGTATATACCCAGGAGTGGAGTTGCTAGATCATATGGTACTTTTATGTTTAATTTTTGAAGAATCACCATACAGTTTTTCCCTAGTGACTGCACCATTTTACATTTCCAAAGCAGCACACATGGTGGAAATTTCTCTGTATCTCCACAGACCATTATTTTCTATTTCATTTTTGTCTTTTTAAATAGTAGCTATACTAATGGGTGAGAAGTGGTTTCTCATTGTGGGTTTGATTTTCATTTCTCTAATGATTAGTAATGTTGAACATTATTAATCATATGCTTTTCAGAAATTTTTATCTCTTTTTTTGGAGAAATATCTATTCAAGTGCTTTGACTATTAATCAGGTTGTTCTTTTGTTTGTGGTTGAGTGTAGGAGTTCTTTGTATATTCTGAGTATTATATGCTTATCAGATATATGGTTTGTGATATTTTCTCCCATTTTGTGGGAGAAAATTTTCATTCTGTTAGTAGTGTCTCTTGATGCACAGTAGTTTTTAATGTTGACGTTGTCCAACTTATTTTTTTTTGTTATCTGAGCTTTTGATGTGATACCCAATAAATCATTGTCAAATCTAATCTTAGATTAACCAAGATTAATGTAATCTTAGATGAGATTTCCCTATATTTCTTTCTAAAAGTTTTATCATTTTGGCTCTTACATTTAGGTTTTTGGTCCATTTTGTATTGATATGTAATATGTATACGTATTTATGTGTTACCTGTGATATTTTATTACCTGCATAGATTGTGTAATGATCAAGTCCAGGTATTTAGGGTATCCATCACCACAAGTATTTATCATTTCTATGTATTGAGAACATTTCAAGTCCTGTCTATTAGCTATTTTGAAATACACAATACATTGCTGTTAACTAGTCCATTCTGAGTTAACTTTTGTATATGGTAGAAGATGAGGATCCAAATCCATTCATTTGCATGTGAATAACCATCTTCCCAAAAGTATTTTGTTTAAAAAGCCCATCTTTTTCTCACTGAATGGTCTTGGCACCCTTGTTGAAATTCATTTGACCATATGTGTGATGGTTTATGTCTTGACTCTCTATTCTATTCCACTGCTCTGTATGTCTTTCTTTATGCCAGTACTATACAGTTTTGGTTACTGTAGCTTTGTAGTAAGTTTTAAAATAAAAAAGGATCTTCAAGTTTGTTCTTCTTTTTCAGGACTGTTTTGGCTTTTCTGGGGTCCCTTTAGATCCCATATAAGTTTTAGGATTGATTCTTCTATTTCTGCAAAAATCGTCATTGGGATTTTGATAGGGATTGCATTAAATCTGTAAATTGATTTTGGTAGTATTAATATCTTAACAATATTAAGTGTTCTGATCCATGAACATGGGACATATTTCTACTTATTTGCTCCTTATTTAGTTTCTTTTGGCAATATTGTGTAGTTTTCAGGGCATATTTTTTCCCTCCTTGACTAAATTAGTTTCTAACTATTTTATTCTTTTTGATGCTATGGTAAATGGAATTGTTTTCTTAATTTTCTTTTTGGATTATTAATTGCTAGTGTATAGAAATACAGCTGATATTTGCATGTTGATTTTGCATGCTGCAACTTTGCTGAATTTATTAATTAATTCTAATGGGGTTTTTTTTGGTGGAATCTTCAGGTTTTCTACATACAAGATCAAGTAGTCTGAACAGAGATAATTTCACTTCTTCCTTTCCAATTTTGATGCCTTTTATTTCTTCCTCTTCCTTTGATATAAGTTGGCTCTGTGTCCCCACCCAAATCTCTTATTGAATTATGATTCTCAGTGTTGGAGGAGAGGCCTGGTGGGAGGTGATTGGATCATGGGGGTGGATTTTCCCCTTGCTGTTCTTATGATATATTAAGTGATTTATCATGAGATATAGTTGTTTAAAAGTGTGTAGCGGCCGGGCGTGGTGGCTCACGCCTGTAATCCCAGCACTTTGGGAGGCCGAAGTGGGCAGATCACGAGGTCAGGAGATTGAGACCATCCAGGCTAACATGGTGAAACCCCGTCTCTACTAAAAATACAAAAAATTAGCTGGACGAGGTGGCGGGGCCTGTAGTCCTAGCTACTCTGGAGGCTGAGGCAGGAGAATGGCTTGAACCCAGGAGGCGGAGCTTGCAGTGAGCCGAGATCTTGCCACTGCACTCCAGCCTGGGCAATAGGGCAAGACTCTGTCTCAAAAAAAAAGAAAAATGTGTAGCACTTCCCCCTTCATGCTCTCTCCTGCTCTACCATGTGAAGGTCTTCCTTCCCCTTCAGCCTTCTGCCATGATTGTAAGCTTTCTGAGGCCTCCCAACCTTGCTTCCTGTACAGCCTGTGGAACTGTGAGTTAAACATTTTTTTTTTTTTTTTTTGTAAATTACCCAGTCTCAGGTAGTTCTTCATAGCACTGTGAGAACGGACTAATCCTTTCTCCCCCCTTCCCCTTCCCCATACTCTTCCCCTTCCTCTTTCCTTTTCCTTTCCCTTTTCCTTTTCCTTTCCTTTCGTTTTTTTCTTTTCTCTCCCCAGATTGCTTTGGCTAGAACTTCTACTACTGTGTCAAAAGCAGGAGGCATTTTTGCCTTGTTCCTGAGCATAGAGAAAGACTTTCAGTTTGTTATCATTGAGTATGATGTTAGCTGTGGATTTTTCATATATGGCCTTTATTATGTTGAGGTAGTTTCCTTTTATTCCTAATTTGTTTAGTACTTTTATAATGAAAAGAAATTTAATTTTGTCAAGCGCTTTTTCTGCACCAATTAAGAAAATCATGTTTTTTTTCTCATTCATTCTGTTAATGTGGTGTCTTGCATTAATTGATTTTTATACGTTGACCCATCCTTGCATTTCATTAATAAATTCCACTTGGCATGGTATATGATGCATTTAACATGCTGTTGGAGTTAGTTTGCTAGTATTTTGTTCAAGATTTTTGCATCAATATTCATCAGTGATACTGGTCTGCTTTTTTTTTTTCTTGTAGTGTTTTTGTCTGATTTTGGTATTGGGTAATGTTGCCTTTACAGAATGATTTAAAAATGTTTCTTCCTCTTAATTTTTTTTGAAAGAGTTTGAGGAGGATTGGTGTTAATTTTTCTTTAAATGTCTGATAGAATTCACCAGTGAAGCCATCAAGTTCTGGGCTTTCATCTTGGGGTTTTTTGACTACTGATTCAGTTACTAGTTACAATTCTATTCAAAATTTATATTTCTTACTGATTCGGTCTTGGCAGATTCTGTGTTTCTAGAAATGTGTCCATTTTGTCTATGTTATTCAATTTGCTGGAGTACAATTGTTCCGCTCTTATAATCCTTTTATTTATGTAAATAGGTAGTAATGTCACACTTCTGATTTTAGTTATTTGAGACTTTTCTCTCCTTTTATCAATCTAGTTAAAGATTTGTCATTTAAAAATATTTTCAATGAATCCATTTTTGTTTTCATTAATTTTCTCTATTTTTTATTCTCTATTTTGTTTATTTAGAATATTGTTTTATTTCTAAAGGATTTGCCATAATTTCCTTCATTTTTAAAAAAGTTTTTATTTTATAATTTCAACTTTTATTTTAGATTCAAGGGGTAAATGTGTAGCTTTGTTACCTGCATATATTGTGTGACAGTGAGATTTAGGGATTCAAAAGATCCCATCATCCAGGTAGTGAGCATAGTACCAAATAGGTAGTTTTTCAGCTCTAACCCCCACCCTCTCTCCTCTTTCTAGTAGTCCCCAGTGTTTACTCTTCCCACCTCTATGTCCATATGTACTTACTGTTTAGCTCCCACTTATAAGTGAGAATATGCGGTATTTGGTTTTCTATTCCTGTGTTAACTCACTTAGGATAATGGCCTTCAGCTTCATCCGTGTTGCTGCAAAGGACATGATTAGAATATTGTTTTTAAAATTGCTATAACTGGCCAGGCGCAGTGGCTCACGCCTGTAATACCAGCACTTTGGGAGGCCGAGGTGGGCGGATCATTTGAGGTCAGAAGTTCAATACCAGCCTGGCCAACATGGTGAAACCCTGTCTCTACTAAAAATACAGAAAAAAAAAAATGAGCTGAATGTGAAGGTGCATGCCTGTAATCCCAGCTACTTTGGAGGCTGAGGCATGAGAATTGCTTGAACCCAGGAAGCGGAGGTTGCAGTGAGCCAAGATCATGCCACTGCACTCCAGCCTGTGTGACAGAGTGAAACCCTGTCTCAAAAAAAGAAAAAAAAATGCTATAATTGTATAAGAACAAAATTGTCAGAAAAGTGTCCCTGGAAGAAGAAATTAAGCTGCATCCAAGAGAGTAAAGAGTTAGCAGACACCTCACTGTCCTTTTAATATGTATTTCTGTGGATAATTATAAATTAATTAGTTTAAAAAATCTCTTTGTTGACTGATAATTCAAAGAGCATAGTGACAGCATTTAATTTGCTCCTTAGAAATGTAACTTTGACAATATGCAGAAAAGATTTGGAAAAAAAAGAGACAATCAAAGCAGAGAGAGCAGTTTGGAGGGTTTTGCTATAATGCAATTGATAAATGCTCAAACTAAGACGATGACTACCAATATTTTTCCAGTCTGAAATTTTCTGTTGTATTGGTACCCTTTTTTCTTTAAAGATTTTACAAAGGCTTCAATATTCATGTAGGTAAACTTGTCACTCTTTTACCATAATTTATTATAACTTATAAAGTTAAAAGAATGTGTGTGTGTGTGTGTGTGTGTGTGTGACTTCCAGTTGCTTTTTTGTCTCCTATGGTTTTCTAAAAACTATTTAATCTTTTTTATTCACTAAGTTTTTTTTTCCATTTTCTGAAATTCATCTGAATCAGAATATTCAGGCCTTGAGACAGAAGTGGGTCAGAAATCACTCAAGGTTTTTCAAACAAGTGAATATAATACAGGAATTTGGTTACACTTAGGTAACTATGCTAAATGGCTGCTGGGAACAGCGACAGTCCTTCTGGCTGAAGGCGTACGTGGAGGTGATGGAATCACCAGAGTCCAGAATCATGGAGAAGAGAACTACCTGGGCCAGTCCTGAGACCACAAATGAAACACCACCTAAAATAGATGCTAGGATTACTGAAGGGCTGCTACTAAGCAGGTGAAAGGACTCCTTGCTGTGGGTGCTGGAAATGCTAAAAGATGATGATGAAATGCCCATTGTTCCTTGCTGCTGGAAAATGCCAATAGAAACTAAAATAAAAAAGGTCCCATCTCTCCACTCCTACCTTTCAAACTTCTACCAGTAATTCTTATTGATAGAAACTAACCAGAAGCCAATAGGAAAGTATCTTAGTCCATTTTCAGTTCCTTATAACAGAATACTTGAAACTGGGCAAGTTACAAAGAAATTTATTTCTTACAGTTATGGAAGCTGAGAAGCCCAAGGTCAAGGGGCCACATCTGGTAAGTGGCTTCTTGCTGATGAGACTCTGCAGAGTCCCATGGTGGCACAGGACCTCACATGGTGAAGAGGGTGAGTGTGCTAGCTCAGGTCTCTCTTCCTCTTATTATAAAGGCACCAGTCCCACTCCTATGATAACTCATTAATCCATTAGTCCATTATTCCATTAATCCATGAATGGATTAATCCACTCATGAGAACAGAGCTCTCATGACCCAATCACCTCTGAAAAGCCCCACCTCTCAATACTGCCACATTTGGGATTAAATTTCAACATGAGTTTTGGAGGGGGACAAATATTCAAACCTTAGCAAGTAACTAGGAAAATAGAATATGCAGGGCCCCTGGACAGTCAAAATGCCTGACACAACCTAGAAAGGCAGAAATGAAGGCTGAGAGCAACAGTCAAATGATCAACTCAAACTATTTTTTCTTTGGGGCTTCTGAGTGCCTATAACACATCCGAGAAGGTCATCTATTTGAATTTCGGGATATGTGTTTTTTCTTTGAGACATGAAAGAGAGCTGATGACTTTAAAATCTTCATTTGGATTGGTTTATTTTCATAGATTTATGTATCTCCACCAGGTGGAGTCAGAGGCCAGTTTATTAAAGGGTTAAACTTCGGAAATAAATTTGGTTAAGGATTTTAGTTTCAGAATAGATGAAGGAAAGATAAACAACACTGCTTCTTTCTTCAGATGTTCTTGCTGGAATGGTACCTTGTTATTATCATATCCGCTTTATGTTTTGTCAATGTGCCCCCGTCCTCTGGCTATAACTTAGGACACTTCTGTTGCAAGGAATGGAGACTCATTCCAGCTGGCTCAAGAAAAAAGAATGTTATTATAAATACACAACAAGGAATATCACAGACTTTTTTGGAAAAGGAACAAAATACAGCCAGAGCTTACCAGGAACAGGAGCTGCTCTTTGCTTCTCTTAAGGAACATATGGTCACTCTTATTTCTCTTGCTGATGTATTCATTATTCCTTCATTAAGTATACATACTGAGTCTCTACTATGGTGGTAGGGCCTGGATATACAGGGGTAGAAAAGATATTAAATGAGAAGACAGGCATTAAAGAAATAAGCACACACATAAAATTATAAATTGCTATAAATGCTTGGAATAAAATGTGCAAATTTGAAGAGGGAATGTATATGGGGACTTAATTACAATTAAGAGGTTAGGGAATAAACCATTATCAAAGTGACATTTAAGTATAAACCTAAAAAGATGAGTAGGAGATGGCCAGATTGACAATGGGGTAGGATGTTTGATTGCTTATAAAGGATTTGAGCCAGAAAGAATTGAACCATTTTCTATGCATACAGGAACACAAGGCTTGTTATTTAAATAGCTTATTATTTTAATATAGGGCAAACATATTTGTGGTGAATGGGGGACATTCTGTCAGAATTAGTGGAAACAGTTGTGGAAATATGTGAAATATCTATAGTGTGATTACATTCAGGTTGGTTCTTTACTTCATATTTGCTTCATGTAGTAATTGAAGATATCAATTGTAAATTTTTTATCAGCCCAATGTTTCCCAACACTTATTCATAATGTAATTTACAAGTGCATGAAAATAACTTGCCTTGCATTTTAAGTTGGCCAGTCTCCCTTCTTCTTGTGGGAGGTTTATTACACTAACTAGCAGATCTGGCTCTCCTTTGTTTCCGCTTAAATGGTTACAAGGGCAAACTTGAGCCAGGCATATAAACAGTGTCCAACCTACAAGTGATTCTTCCTTCAAACCAAGTCATTGAGACCACAGCACACCACCTGACATCATCTGGCGTGGCTGTGTACACTGATACATACCTGTCAGAGGTCAGACATACAGTCCTGTTCTTTTTGATCCTTCATATGTACCAGGCTAATTATGAATTAGTATTTTGGCCTCTCTCAGTCTGAATGTTGCTGGTAGCTTTTTTCTCTCCCAGGTCCTGACTTCACAGATAACAATCCACAATTAAACTCATTTATTTAATAAAGCTTCAGTGACAGTAAAGCTTCCTATGTTGATGTTTACTTATAGATTTGGGTAATAAACCAACAGATGGTAGATACAAAAAACTGAGTCACAACAAGCATATCCTAATAGTCTGCTAAAGTAAAAGATTGAATATAAAATAATAACTATTCTATCCAAGCTATCTAAGCCTAGATAATGAAATATTTAAAAACCTTGCCTAGAAAGCAAATATTCCCTTTAGAATTTTTTGAAAAATACCTAGAAAAGTTATTTGAGGGCAGTTTACTTGCATTCCTCAAATTGTACAATTGGCAATTTAAACGAAAACTTTCTACTGACCTTTGAAGTCTCTTGAAGTTTTTTTTGCTTGTTTATTTTGTTTTGTTTTTAATTTAAGAAAGAAGAGGCATCCAGCTCTGCCTTTTTCCCTCATTAAGACATACCAACAGAAATAACTGGCTGCATTTGGTCTTAGCCAATATCATATGATTATTTTTAGGGATTTTTTTGGCCCCCACACAGTGCATGGTTGAACTGCCAAAATATAAATCAAGATATGAAACTTACTACATTCTTCAGAATTAATAAATATTTTCCCTGGTTAAAGCAAGACTCCCATAAGCAAATCATCCAAAATAAACTAGATTAATTAGGTCCAGAATGGATAAGATAGAATATTCACAAAGGATAACACTGTATACAATTATAAATATTCATTCCTTTGTGTTGCTAATTTTAGATTAGGTCAGCCTGTGGATGTATTAGTCTGTTCTCACACTGATATAAAGAACTACCTGAGACTGGGTAATTTGTGAAGAAAAGGGGTTTGACTCACAGTTCCACAGGCTGTACAGGAGGCATGGCTGGGGAAGCCTCAGGAAACTTACAATCATGGCAGAAGGGTGAAGGGGAAGCACGCATATCTTCACATGGTGGCCGGAGAGAGAGAGAGAGTGAAGGGAGGAAGTGCCACACACTTTTAAACCATTGGATCTCATGAGAACTCACTCACTATCACGAGAACAGTAGGAGGGAAATCCACCTCCATGATCCAATCACTTCCCACCAGGTCCCTCCTCCAACATGTGGGGATTGCATTTCGACATGAGATTTCGGTGGGGACACAGAGTCAAACCATATCAGTGGACATGTAATGAAAATGAAAGAGCCTAGCACACTTTAAAAATGCTCTTCATATCTCGGTGCACTGACTAAGATGGCAGGGCAGGCTTCAAATGCCTGCTCTATCGGTCACTACTGTGCAGCTAGGCATCCACTAAACTCTTTGTGCCTCAGTGCCCTAACCTATAAAATAGGCATCATTCCAGCTTGTACACACCATAAGGTTTTGATGAGGATGGGATGAGATCAGGTTTCTAAGGTACTTGGTGTGTAAATAAGCTCTTAATTGAAAATCATATAGTATTATTAATGGCCAGTGATTTTGTTTCATTGCTTAACTCTGCCAGGATGTAACTGTGGGGCAGTGATTCTCACTCCCCCAACCTCAGGAGACATTTGGCAATGTCCAGAGACATTTTTGGTTGTGGGGGGGCTACTGGTATCTACTGAGTAGAATTCAGAGATGCTGCTAATACCCCACAATGCACAGGCAGCCCCCACAGCAAGACTCAGACAGCCCCAAATGCAATAGTGCCAGGTTGAGAAACCCTGCTCTAGTGGGCCTCCTTTTTACTGAGTGTATGTTATACAAGAGTGTGACTTTGTGTTTTGTGCTCTCTAGTTTACTTTCTGCTCCTCTCCCCAATGCTCCCAGACTGTGAACTCCTTGGGGGCAAGTTCTGAGTCATCGTTACTGTGGCCATGCCTGCAATGTCCAGCCCAAGTCCTGGCCTAGACGAGGCCTCAGTAAATGCTTGCTGAAGGGTATTTTAAAACTGCTTTTCAGAAACTCTATTGTAAAACACTAAATCTACCAATGGGGACTATGCATCGATTATTACAGTTCTGAAACTATGGTAGTTTCAGTACATTTGTTCTGACAAGGTACGAGAAAGTTTATGGCACGGTCATCACAGCACATGTTTTGGAGTTGGAAAGACCTCAGTTTGAATTCTACCCTCAATTTACCACTTAGCCTTTTGTAAGTTATAAAAATGTTGACAATAATGCATTTATTCCAGGGATGCTGTGAGAGACTTTATAAGATGGTCAGTGTGAAGAGCCTAGCTCAGAAAATAGTTCCTAGCAGCTAGGATGTGCTATGACTTCAGGCAAGTTCTCAACCCCTACCTCCCCAGCCACAGCCTTCTCTGTAAAGGGGAGATAATAACTTCCTTGTATGATGCTAAAAGGATTGAATCAGGCCATGATGTGCTTAGCAGAGTTTAATAAATGGTGACTATTATTATTATAATCTTTTCATTTCAGTGGCAAAAAAACTGAAAAAAAATAAATAGTTCTCTGTCTTGTGTTTTTCACTTATCCCATCTCTTTTATTAATACTCCCCAAGAGCAGCAGGAAGGAAACAAAACAAAACAAGAGAGGCCAAGAAATGCATTTTAAAATATTTTTCTCATATTCCAAAATAGTGCCATGAATTTAAAGCTTTCTTCAAAAGAAGCATTGGACTCCCTTGTTCTTGTAGCTTCACTGGCTGGAAGAGGCATTGATAGCCATTACTTGTGTTTCTGGGTCACCCTTCAAAGTATTAAATTATTTCACAAAGATTTGTTTCTTTTCATGTGACAAGAAAAAATAAATTGTGATGATTACTGTCACCTCCTGCCCCTTCTTTTTTTATTAAAAAAAAATCACAGGTGAAGCTGCCAAAATATTGAAAAGTTGTATATATCAAACATGTACCAGTGCAAGGGAGAGGAAACAGGAAATAGTATGGGGGCTTTGGAGCCTGTACTTCCATATATATATATATATGAATACAGGCCGGGTGCGGTGGCTCACGCCTGTAATCCCATCACTTTAGGAGGCCAAGGCGGGCAAATCATGAGGTCAGGAGTTTGAGACCAGCCTGGCCAACATGGGGAAACCCTGTCTCTACTAAAAAAACAAAAAATTAGCTGGGTGTGGTGGCGGGCATCTGTAATCCCAGCTGCTCGGGAAACTGAGGCAGGAGAATCTCTTGAATCTGGGAGGCAGAGGTTGCAGTGAGCTGAGATCGTGCCACTACACTCTAGCCCAGGCAACAGTGTGGGCTCTGTCTCAAAAAATATATATATATATGTATAAATATAAAATATATATTATACAAAATAAATATATATTACAAATGTAAACTATATTTTTATAATATATAAGTATATAATATACTTATACATTATACATATTATATATGTATAATAATGTATATTACATAAAATTAAAATATATAAAATAAGAGAATATTTCCTATTTGAGTGTGTCTGTGCAGGTGGGGAGGGAGGAGAATTAGTCAGGATCTTTTGGTGTGTGTGAGGGTCAGAGACACAGATGCAAACTTTATTGGCTCACTGAATCATGCCTTAGGATGGACTCTATGCTGGAATGAATTCTGTGTCCAAACCTAGGAAAAACATTGAGTAAGAAGGATGGGCAATTGTTCTTCTCCAAGCAAGAGACTGGAGTTCACCTTTGTGTCCAGAGAGTTGTATACTATCATTACAGGCCCCACTGGAAGAAGTTCCCCCAAATCATACCCTTCTTAATTTTTATTTTTCTTTCTTCTGCAATCATCTGATGGGTTCTTCCTGTGTACTGCACAGACAAAATCAATTCACTGAGAATTGAATTGGTTCAATTTCAGTGGTATTGCAGTAAAGAAAGAGTGTAATAGATATGAGGCCGGCCTTATAGGAGATGGAGTTATTACTCAAATCAATCTCCCCAAAGGCTCAGAAGCTAGGACTTTTCAAGGATAGTTTGATGGACAGGGGGATAGGGAATGGGGAATGATTATTGGTTGGGGATGCAACCTTAGGGGTGTGGAAAATGTTCACTGAGTCAGCCTCTGGGCCACAGGACTGGTTAAGTCATGAGTTGTGGGTTTGGGTGGAGTTAGCCAGTCCTCAGAAATGAAAAAGTCTGAAAAGACACCTCAAAAAGTGAATCTCTGGTTCTACAATAGTGATGTTATCTACAGGAGTCACTGGGGAAGTTATAAATCTTGTGACCTCCAGAACAATGGCTGGTTATCATTTAATGACACAAACATCTTAGCAGAATTCAGGCCCCTCTCATAATCCTAACCCTGTGGGATAAGTCTGCGTTAGGCACCCCTCCTCCATGGTTTGTACTGCCCTCTTTCATAGAACTTACTGCTTTGTGTTATAATTACAGAACTACAATAGTCAGTTTACCCATCTGTTGTGGATTAAATTGTGTGTCCCCTATTTCACAAGATAGAGAAAGAAGGAACCCTCCCTAACTCATTCTATGAAGCCAACATCACCCTAATACCAAAACCAGGAAAAGACACAACCAAGAAAGAAAACTATAGACCGATATCCTTGATGAACATAGATGTTAAAATCGTTTACAAAATACTAGCTAACAGAATCCAACAACATATCAAAAAGATAATCCACCAAGATCAAGTGGGTTTCATACCAGGGATGCAGGGATGGTTTAACATACACAAGTCAACAAATGTGAGACACCACATAAACAGGATTAAGAACAAAAATCACATGATCATCTCAATAGATACAAGAAAAGTGTTCGACCAAATCCTGCATACTTCATAATTAAAACCCTCAGCAAAATCGGCATACAAGGGACATATTTTAATGTAATAAAAGCCATCTATGACAAACCCACAGCCAACATACTACTGAATGGGGAAAAGTTGAAAGCATTCCCTCTGAGAACGGGAACAAGACAAGCATGCCCACACTCACCACTCCTCTTCAACATAGTACTGAAAGTCCTAGCCAGAGCAATTGACAAGATAAAGAAATAAAGGGCATTTGAATTGGTAAAGAGGAAGTCAAACTGTCCCTATTTGCTGATGATATGATTGTTTACCTTGAAAACCCTAAGGAAGCTCCTAGAACTGGTAAAAGAATTCAGCAAAATTTCCAGGTACAAGGTTATTGTACACAAACTTAGTAGCTCTTCTATACACCAACAGCAACCAAGCGGAGAATCAAATAAAGAACTCAACTCCTTTTACAATTGCTGCAAAAAAAAAAAGAAAAAAAAAACCTCAAGAATATACCTAATCAAAGAGTCAAAAGACCTCTACAAGGAAAATTACAAAACACTGCTGAAAGAAATCATAGATGACACAAACAAATGGAAACACATCCCATGCTCATAGATGGGTAGAATCAATATTGTGAAAATGACCGTACTCCCAAAAGCAATTTACAAATTCATCACAATCCTCATCAAAATACTACCATAATTCTTCACAGAGTTAGAAAAAACAATTCTAAAACTCATATGGAACCAAGAAAGAGCCTTCATAGCCAACACAAGACTAAGCAAAAAGAATAAATCTGGAGACATCACACTATCTGATTTCAAACTATACTATAAGGCAATAGTCACCAAAACAGCATGGTACTGGTATAAAATAGGCATAATGGAACAGAAAGAGCACCCAGAAATAAACCCAAATACTTACAGCCGACTGATCTTCAACAAAGCAAACAAAAACACAAAGTGGGGAAAGGACATCCTTTTCAACACATGGTGCTGGGAATAATTGGCTAGACACATGTAGGAGAATGAAATTTGATCCTCAACTCTTACCTTATACAAAAATCAACTCAAGATGGATTAAGGACTTAAACCTAAGACCTGAAACTATAAAAATTCTAGAAGATAGCATTGGAAAAACCCTTCTGGACATTGGCTTAGGCAAGGATTTCATGACCAACAACCCAAAAGCAAATGCAATAAAAACAAAGATAAATAGCTGGGACCTAATTAAACTAAAGAGCTGTTTCACGGCAAAAGAAACAGTCAGCAGAGTAAACAGACAACCCATAGAGTGGGAGAAAATCTTCACAATCTATACACTGACAAAGGACTAATATCCAGAATCTACAACAAACTCAAGTCATTAAGAAAAAAACAAACAATCACATCAAAAAGTGGGCTAAGGACATGAATAGAAAAATTCCCAAAAGAAAATATACAAATGGCCAACAAAAATGAAAAAATGCTCAGCATCACCAATGATCAGGGAAATGCAAATTAAAATCACAATGTGATACCACCTTACTTCTGCAAGAATGGCCATAATAAAAAAATAAAAAAATGGTAGATGTTGTCGTGGATGCGGTGATCAGGGAATACTTCTACACCGCTGATGGGAATGTAAACTAGTACAGCCACTATGGAAAACAGTATGGAGAATCCTTAAAGAACTAAAAGTAGAACTACTATTTGATCCAGCAATCTCACTACTGGGTATCTACCTAGAGGAAAAGAAGTCATTAGTCGAAAAAGACACTTGCACATGCATGTTTATAGCAACACAATTCACAATTGCAAAATTGTGGAACCAACCCAAAGGCCCCTCAATCAACGAGTGGATAAAGAAACTGTGATATATATGTATACACAATGGACTGCTACTCATCTATGAAAAGGAATGAATTAACAGCATTTGTAGTGACCTGGATGAGATTAGAGACTATTATTCTAATTGAAGTAACTCAGGAATGGAAAACAAACCATCATATGTTCTCATTGATATGTGAGAGCTAAGCTATGAGGATGCAAAGGCATAAGAACGATACAATGGACTTTGAGGGCTTGAGGGGAAGAGTGAGAGGGGGTGACTGATGAAAGACTACAAATATGGTACAGTGTATACTGCTTGGGTGATGGGTGCACCAAATCTCATAATCACCACTAAAGAACTTACTCGTGTAACCAAATACCACCTATACCCCAATAACTTATGGAAAAATAAAATAAAATTAAAAATTAAGCATAAATAAATAAATTGTGCATCCCCTTCCAAAATCATATGCTGAATTCTTATACCCTAGCACCTCAGAACGTGACCATATTTGGAAACAGGACCGTTGCAGATGATATTAGTTAAGTTTAGATGAGGTTGTTAGGGTAGGCCCCAATCCAATATGACTGTGGCCTTAGAAGAAGGTAAAGATTGGGATGATGCTTCCACAAGCCAAGGAACACAAAAGCTTGCCAGTGAACCACCAGAAGCTAGGAGGGGTCCTGGAACCAATTCTCCCTCACAGCCCTCTGGAGGATCTAACCCTGATCTTGAACTTCCAGCCTCCAGGACTGAGAGCCTCCAGGACTGTCTCTAAAAAATTTCTGTTTGAGCCACCCAATTTGTGGCAATTTGTTACTGCAGCCATAGCAAACTAATACAGCATCTATTTGCCTTAAGCTTCTTAAGATCAGGAAACTCATCATCTGGATCTCTATAGTCCCATCTCTGAGTACTTTTTCTCATACATAGCAGGCATAAGAAAAAGGTTAAAGGCATATAAAAAGGTTTTAGAATAAATGACTATGTAAAATATTTGACATTCAATGGAGATAATAATGATTATAATACTAACATTAATCATTTTAAAGTTCTATGAAATCCAGTGAAAGGAACAATGGCTTGTTCTGGCTGAGATTCTTTATGAAAGCTTTCATGAGCAAAGTCAAATTTATGCATGCAGAGGGTGAACAACTTGGTAATTCAAGTCAAACTTGACAGCACATGGCCATAGAAACCACCTTTCAGGCTTCTTTCCTTTAGAGCAAGGTTTCTTAACTTTCACACTAGTGAAATTTTGGGCCAAATAAGTCTTTGTTGTTTGGGACAGTCCTGTGCTTTAGAGGATGTTTTTGCAACATCCCTGGCCTTGACCCACTAAATGACAATAGCATTCCTCATCCAGTTGTGGCCACGAAAAATGTCTCCAGACATTGCCAATTGTTTAACCTTCTCCCCAATCCCTGGATAATTGAGAACCACTGCCAAAATCAGGGTGACTTGAAGGTAGAGGAGACTGTGGTATATTGAGGGCTCATTAACGTTGCTGGCAGCTGGGTGTAGTGGCTCACACCAGTAATCCTGGCATGCTGGGGGGTCAAGACATAAGAATCGCTGGAGTATAGGAGTCTGAGACCAGCCTGGACAACATAGTGAGGCCCCATCTCTACAAATAGATACAAAAGTTAGCCTAGTGTGGTGGTATGTGCCTGCAGTCCGAGCTACTCAGGAGGCTGAGGTGCGAGAATGACTTGAGCCCAAGAATTTGAGGCTGCATTGAGCCACGGTCATGCCACTGCACTCCAGCCTGGGTGACAGAGTGAAAACCTATCTCTAAAAAAAACCAGGAAATCACTGGCATTTACCTGTATTGAGGGAATGGGTGGGCAGAAATCAGGAAAAGGTCATGTGCTTATTAATTTTATTAAGCTATTGCTCTGCATACCCTCTGTTTTTTTTTGTAATTTTAGTGGAGTATGAAACTGAGCTTATTATCTCTTCTATGGGGCCTATCCTTCTTTGAGAGAAATGGGAAATTTAAAAATGTGATAATCTATTGGTGAATGGGGAAAACATCTGCTTAGTGTTACATTTACTAAATGACATGACCAAGTTGTTTTTCGTAACCCTGAGGGTTTTTCAGAGTCTAACTTATACAGCGAGGCTGCCTCAGGGATTTCTGGGCTGCCAAGGCAGATATGAGACCCATAAAGACTCCTGGAAGATACTTTTTACAGGATCTGGGAGGTCTAAATCTGGCACCTGCAATCCAGGATTAAGACATTCACGCAACATAAGGCGGATCTATATTACTTAGTCTTGTTTGGAGAAGGTTTCAAGGTGTCCTGTTATGCTTAGATTCACCTCGATGGAATCTATTCTTAGTAATCATCTTTTGAATAAAGGAAGATGGGGTGAAGCCAAATTCATGGTCTCCAGTTTGAGAAACAAGGTTGGTAGGCAAAGGCTTCCCCAAAGCACCAAATCATACCACTCTGAAACTTTTAGGCCTATTTAATAGGGCAGTCAGTTCAGGCCAGAAGTAGTCAACCTTTTTTATAACCCCCTTTCAACTGAAAACCTGTTTTGAAGCACAATATATAAACAGATAAAGAAGGATTGGGATGGAGGGAGGAAGAGGGGGCTCCCCTCAGCCGGTCTGCTCACACCTTGCCTTGCCTCACGAATGCTCCCTACCCTGCTCTGTTCAGAGGGCTATGTGGGGGCAGTTTGCAAAACAAGAACCAGCAGTTGTTACTTTAAACATGGAGGCTTCTATCTTGTTAAGTCAAAGAATGAGAATCTCTCAGAAGTCAGCATATCAAGATTGAGCTTAAAAAGCCATCACATAAATAGAAAGAGTAGTTCCATGTGAAGCTCTCACTTCAGTGGGGCCTAAATTAAGCAGGGTGTTGGCTGGGCAGATCACAGCCATGGAGAAGAGGGCAAGCAGCCAAGCATAAGCACTGAGCAGTTGTGTGGGCAAAAGCCCAAGCTGGCTATCATGACCCAGCAATGACAAACTTGGGAAAGTCACTTTCTCCAGTAGCATGAAAGGATGGTCCTCTGAATATCCTAGCTCAGGATTGTTGCCGCACGTAGCCTCAGACTTAGAAGGATGAGAATAACGCGTGAGGACATGAAGGCTTCAAGCCCTTGAGCCCTCAAGCTCTTTCCATCATGAATGTAGCCTGGGTTTTGCAAGCTAATAAATTTGGATGAAAGAGTGAGTTTGGTCCAAAATTTGTCAAACAAAAAATATCCAGCCAGAAAGATTCAGGGATTTTTGGTAAGTCTTGTTCATACAGGAAAAAAGAGAGCAAGGAGCAATTTATAAACTTTTACTTCATCTTATGGTAGAGATGCTGAATGTCTCTTCTCTACAAGGAGACTATCAGTTTTAGGGGATACACGGCAAGACCCAACTTTCCAAATCAGTTTGGAGCAGGCGTATTGGCAATCACTCTATGTTCCTCACTCTATGTCCCTCAGGGGTTCAGGACAGGCTACCCTAACTTACGGCACCTTGGCATATTGAATATTTTAGGCTGAAGGAAATTGAGAAACAGCATGTGCAAGAAGGTCTCTCTGACCTTTCCCCTTCTTTCTCCCCCAAAGCAGGTCCTAAGACCCTCATATGAGAAATGCCCTTCTTATGCCTGGAGGAAAGGAATATCCTTGTCTCCAAGATGAGGGACACCAAGAGGAATCTGAATGAACAGGTCTTGCTTTTCCCCCAGCTTATTACTCTTAGTTCATACTGTTTATTTTCCTTCTCTCATATTTTTCTACAACTCTCCATTCTTCATCCACCTCACTACAAAACATTCAGGTTTAACTAATTGAACTTCACTTCCTAATGAAGGCCCCCTTGCTACATAAAACTTTAAGTAAGTATGCATGCTTTTCTCTTTGTAATCTGTCTTTTGTTACAGGGGTGCCAGCCAATGAACCCAAGATGGGCAGAAGAAAAAGATAAGTTTTCTCCCCTACATTCCCTCAAGAGTAACCCAATCGCTACTCTTGACATTATTCTGCTTTGTGTATCTTCACCTCCTCCTCTCACTGGAGCCTAACAGTGACTGATATGTGTCTTGTCATGTGTTCTAAGTATTTTACATGATCCTGTAGAACCCTCTTTTAACCTATGGGCTGGGTACCATCTTTATCCTCCCATTACAAGTGACAGCCTTGTATTTAAACAACTTGCTCAAGATGCCACAATGAGACTTGGTGGAACCAGGATTTGAACTCAGAGCTTTCTAGCTTTAGAGTCTTCAGGAGTTCAAGCCTACTTCTTCCCTTTGCAAAATTGCCATTGAAATAGAACCGATCTGTTGATGAGACGATTTTTTTTCATGTGTTTTATTGTCAGTTGGTTTTGCCTTATGGTCCTGTGATAAAACTAGTAGTTGTCACAGTAAGTGGAGAACTGGGTGTGGTTGGGTGGGTCTCATTACTCAGAGAACTGGGAAGGAATCCTCTTTTGAATATAGTCCCTCTGGGTGTGGAGGTTTGTCTAAGGAAGGAGCAAACATCAGAGCATTCAGAAATAGGGCCAACAATAAAAGAAAAAAAAAGTTGAGTTAATAAATTAACAAACAAACCCACCAAAGGTTAAATGAATGAATTAGTTGGTGAAGTGAAAGCACGCAAGAACACGGAGAGTACATTGTGTGATCCTTGGTAACCTGGCTGGATTGTTATTCAAGACTCTAACAAAGAGACAAAAAAAGCCTCAAGGTTCCTGTCTCCCCATTCTCCTTAGTTATTTCTACCATATATTGACTGTTCCAAATGGAGCAGAGTCAGATGTGTCTATTTGAAATGCTTTTAGAAGAGTTGCAGGAGGTCTTGTGCACTCCTTTTGAATATGGTGAAGTTAACTTCCTTTGAGGTGATC
The DNA here is from genome assembly GCF_000001405.40 of Homo sapiens. Lineage (NCBI taxonomy): Eukaryota > Metazoa > Chordata > Mammalia > Primates > Hominidae > Homo > Homo sapiens. The sequence continues at coordinate 72,884,521 of NC_000009.12, forward strand.
CCAAACAGGGTTTGAATGTTAGCTTCACAACTTAATAGGTTTATGAAGAAATAACTTAACTTAAACTTAACTTTCCTTCACTGAATCTTCAAAAGGAGATTCTTCAAGCTGAGGACATCTACCATGTTACTAGGACACTTAGAAATTGTTTAGAATACATAACCCCCACACACACACATACACACCCTAATTCCATGCCTATTGCTCAATAAATATAGCTGTCATTTACTAGGGTTGGGAAGAAAAAAAACAAAAGGCAGGAGGATAAAAATCCCAATCGAATTGTCATGATTAATATAGGCATACCATTTCCAGAGTAGCAGCTTGTCTTTCTCTCCTGCTTATATTTGGGCAAGGCAGTTTTCCAAATCAGGTATTTTCTTATTGAAGGATAGGATCATTTGATCACTTCCATAGTTTGTTTTTACCTTTGGGCTTTTTGTAATATCTTTTTGTGGTTGCTGTCCAGGTATATCATTACAGAGGTTTAACTTTTTCTCAAATTTCTTTGGTGGATTTATAGAATCTTGTTATTTTGATGTGTAGATGCTGGACGTGGGGATGGTTATTCACAGATTTAGGTCTCACTTGGCATTAAGGTGGCAGAAGCACACAAGTGACTCTTGGGTTCATTGCAGATGTTATACCTCACCAGAAGCCAAATATTCACAAGAAGAAGAAGGGAATATCCAATGTGCCCAAATTAGAATCACCAAAAACTTTCCTTTTCTCACACCGCTGATAACAATTCTGTCTGTAGGTCGTGAGATGTGGGTTGCTATGGAGAAGAAAAGACTGAAAAATATTATATAGAAAAAAATGGCTGAGCTTATATAATATTTAGGAAAATATATTTCTTTGAGCTGGCATTGAAATAGAATGCACCGTCCTGTAATGGTAGCAAGAGTTATAAAGTTGATAAAATTTCCTAAGGTTCCGTAAGCCAAATTGTATGTATAATGTATTACTTCTGGGCTGAGGCAGGTAAAAGCTAGTGTGCTTCTTCCATTTCTCTCCCCTTCACTTGAAACATCTACTTTTAAGTCCACACATTCCAGATGGCATAGCTATAAGATGCAGGAAAGTCACAGTCCCCACATGAGACTTTATGTGAAAGAGTAATAAACCTTCATTGTGCAAAGCCACTGAAATTTGGAGGTTTATCTTCTGTTACTGCACATGATATACAGCCTATCCTGACTAAATCAAGGAGATTAGGAATATGCTCATAAGATAAAGCCCACAGGCAATGAGATGTCATCCTTAAGAGATTGACCCGAGTTTTAGTCCAGGTCTGCCACAGACTGTGAAGTAGGCTTCACACAATATGACTAAACTTGTTTCCTCATCTGTAAAATGGGAATACAAATATGTACTTCATATTTTTATTGTTGTTTACTTCCGGTGTACTTCAGAAGATTGTGGTAAGAACAAATGAGATCATTTATGCAAAATCAAAGTGCTTGGCGTAGTTCCTGGTGCAAAATAAGCACTTAATAAAATGTTTAATAACATCTTAAATTTAAACATATAAAATAATACAAAAATATGAAGTGATTAAAAAAATACTGAATAATCTTGCCTTGCTCAAGATATCAGTCAAAGCCAATTTAGGGGTCTACAAAAGAGAAGTTCTTAACTTGTAAGACCCACAGATGGATTTTAGAGGATAGTAAGCCTCATGCAATTGTATGCAAAATTACGTGTATAAACAAATGTGCATTTGTCTAAATTTATTGAATACCAGGTAAGAGTTACTGAGAGCCTCACTTGGGATAACAGACTGTAATAGAATGGAAAATCACATTTAGAAATAAAATATATTACAAAAGCAGAACATAAAAGTTTGGAAAATTTGCAGTCTGACAATGCAATAGAAAAAAAATCCCATTTTCTGAGGAGAAATTCAACCTGGCTGCAGAAATTTGCATAAGTAACAAGGAACCCAATGTTAATCCTCAAGACAATGGGGAAAATGTCTCCAGGGCATGTTAGAGACCTTTGTGGCAGCCCCTCCCATCACAGGCCTGGAGGCCTTGGAGGAAAAAGTGGTTTAATGGGCCAGGCTCAAGGTGCCCATGCTGTATGCAGCCTAGGGACTTGGTTCCCTGAATCCCAGCTGCTCTAGCCATGACTAAAAGGGGCCAAGGCACAGCTCAGGCTGTTGCTACAGAAGGTGCAAGCCCCAAGCCTTGGCACCTTTCATGTGGTGTTGAGCCTGTTGGTGCATGGAAATCAATAATTGAGGTTTGGGAACCTCCGCCTAGATCTCAGAGGATATATGGAAACACCTGGATGCCCTGGGAGAAGTTTGCTGCAGGGGCAGGGCCCTCATGGAGAACCTCTGCTGGGGCAGTGCAGAAGGTAAGTGTGGAGTTAGAGCCTCCAAACAGAGTCCCTGCTGAGGCACAACCTAGTTGACCTGTTAGAAGAGGACCACCGTCCTCCAGACCCCAGAATGGTAGATCCACTGATAGTTTGTGCAGTGCCCCTGGAAAAGCTGCAGACACTCAATGCCAGCCCATGAAAGGAGCCAGGAGGGGAGCTATACCCTGCAGAGCCACAGGGGCAGAGCTGCCTGACACTGTGGGAGCCTACCTCTTGCATCAGTGTGACCTGGATGTGAGACATGGAGTTAAAGGAGATCATTTTGGAGCTTTAAGGTTGAATGATTGTCCAATTAGATTTCGGACTTGCACTGGGCCTGTGGTTCCTTTGTTTTGGCCAATTTCTCCCATTTGGAATGGGTGTATTTACCCAATGCCTGTTGTATCCCCACTGTATATAGAAAGAAACTAACTTGCTTTTGATTTTACAGACTCACAGGTGGAAGGGACTTGCCTTGTCTCAGATCAGACTTTGGACTTGGACTTTTGAATTAATGCTGGAATGAGTTAAAACTTTGGGGAACTTTTGGAAGGGCATGATTGTGTTTTAAATTGTAAGGACATGAGATTTGGGAGGGGCCAGGGATAGAATGATATGGTTTGGCTGTGTCCCCACCTAAATAGCACCTTAAATTGTAGTTCCCGTAATCTCCATGTGTCATGAGAGGGACCAGGTGGAGATAATTGAATCATGAGGCTGGTTTCCCCCATCCTGTTCTCATGATAGTGAGTGAGTTCTCATGAGATCTAATGGTTTTATGAGGGGCTTCTGCCTTTGCTGGGCACTCATTCTTTTCCTTCCTGCTGTCATATGAAGAAGGACATGTTTGCTTCCCCTTCTGCCATGATTGTAAGTTTCCTGAGGCCTCCCCAGGCATGCTGAACTGTGAGTCAATTAAACTTCTTTCCTTTACAAACCCAGTCTTGAGTATGTCTTTATTAGCAGTGTGAGAGGCTGTGTTATGGGCCATGGTCTTCACATTTGGCTGAGAATAAATTTCTTCAAATATTTTACAGAATTTGGCTTTTTTTTTTTTGTCAACAAAGGTATAAAGAACTTTTTATTTTCCTAGAGTGAAAAAAAATTTGTAGGTCTGTGGGAATTTTCATGCAGGGTCAGAAGAACTTCTCCCACTAAATATATTTTCATGGGACAGCAGGAGATAAAAATAAAGCTGTATATTAACTAGAACCCTTGGGTCTCATTTGTTCTATATGCCTGATGTATTAGCAATCATTCTTGCTAGTTCCAGTAATAGTCTTGAATAGTGTGTTCTGACTAGCTGAGCTGTGGTTATGTGCCCAACCCTATACCAGCCTCGATCCCAGAGAGATAACAACTCCGATTTGCCAGATATGAATCATTTGCCCTGAAGTTAGAGAAGGATTCTGACTTTCCCAAACCATATGGAGTGAGAATGGTAAAAAACTAATCCTCCAAACACATGCTAAGCTGACAAAATAAAACAACTATCAGTAATATGTGTATTGGAAACTCTTGGGTCATTTCCAATCTGAAGATGCAAATATTTTAAAAGTGACAAGTAGCATGATCTTGGGAAAAGTCTGATTCTAAAAATCAGCAATCCTGAATTCTAATCATGACATTGCCTCTAAGGAGCTATGTGACAGGAGCCGTACCACTTAACCCCTTGGGGTCTCACTATTCATATATTTATACGTCCAGGCTAAAATGTATACTAGATCCTTTTCAATTTAGAACCCTATGGCAGGCATAGAAAGGTTTTGTCTGTCTCTAGAGGGAGGAGTTTGACTTTGCAGTCATTTATTCTGACTTTCTCCTTAAATCTATGGCAAAAAACCTGCCACAACCAAATGCCCTGGGAAGTTCATTGAAATGTAGGTGATCTACAGAAATGTAATTTCAGTGCCTCTCTTTTACCTGCTGGGTACAATCATGGCATAACTGCCTATATTTCTTTGCTTCTAAGAAACTTATGGATCAGGGGAAGTTCAGATGGAATTTTCATAAGCCCCACAAAACCCACCTTTTTCTTTAAATTGTACCATCTGCCTTGTGGGAAAATCTTACCTGGTTTATTTTCTTCCGGAATGTGACTCAAAAAGATTGGAGGGAAAAAAAAGTGATATTGCAACTTTGGGTAAAATGTTCTGCAATCCCTTAATATCCCCTGCACAGAAAGTCATTTTCTGCCTATTCTTGCAGTTTGAGATCACAGGATTCTTGACAACCTAATAGCACTTCATGCCAATAAAGTCAGGACTGTCTTTTTGTTTGATGTTGTTTGGAACATGCAATTATCTCAAAGACAGGTTGTAGCTAAGCATTTTCATCTGTCCCCAGCCCTTTCCGCCTGGGGGTAGGATATGACATACCTCTCAGTTTCAGTTATATGCAAAGGTGCCTAGATTGGCAAGGTTCAGAGCTTTTACCTTTCAGAATGTCCAGTGCTACAAATCTTGCTCTAGGGAAGTTATCTGGCCCTTTCATAATGATCCTTTTACTTCCAATATTTGTTTGCATGAAAGCTTCAGAAATTTCTATAGTGTCCCACCTCCATCACCATTCAGATATTATTTCGAAGCTTTTGTCCATCTGTTAGATATAGAGTTGGGATCAGATTCTCAGGCCCCAAGCAGGGAGCATTCTGAGTGATGTGCAAGTGTACTCTCCAACCTACTCCTTCCATTTTTGCACTGTCTCTACCCATCCTGTTCTATGCTCAACTGAGTATTAAAAATTGTAAAGGAACAAATAAGCATTAAAAGGTCAAACCATGGATTTTTGAACGGAAAACAGATCATATGAAAAGAGAGCATCCTTTTGGGATTGATGTTACTCAGTCTTCATTCCGGTATCAGTAAGCGCAGTATTCCTTATCTGCATTTCTTCCCTCTGCAACCTTCCTTTGAAATCGAGGGGCAATATGAAAGAGAAATGTCACCCTCCCTCTGTACCACCTTCCTTCTTACTTTTCTGCAGCCTCCTCTTCTCCACCACTGAACTGCTGTTCTTTGCCATAGCTGCTTCCCTGGTATGCTTTGACTTGAAAAGCACAGTGAGAGCTGTGAGGGCACTGGCTAGCAGCCTGGAGTAAAAAAATCAGAAGATTTCAGCACAATCTTTGTACCATCACTTCTTTTCTGGGTGAACTTAAACAAGTCAGTAAATCTTTTAGAACTTAAAATTTCTCATATATCCAGGGTGATAACATGACCTTCCCAGCTCAACCCATGAGATGGTTACAAGAATCAAATACAATAATGTGTGTGAAAGTGCCATGTACTATGCAGCAATGTTACTATAATGAATGATCTAGCAGCTAACTTTTATGGGTCATACTATGTGCCAAGTTAGTTATATGCTTTTAAGTTAGTTGTAAGTTAGTTACATCAATTAAATACTTGCATAGATTAATTCTCACAACCCTCTGAAGTTGTCACTATTGTATCCCTATTTCACTGACAAGATGAAGAAAGTGAAACCTAGAATTGCAATTTTACCCAAAGTAGCACAGCTATTCACATCAGAGTAAGAGCTGGTTCTTTGAAGCAAATCTGTGTGATGCTAAAGTTAGCTCTTCTTTGCAATGTCTCTGTAGTATTTCTTTTATGTGCGATGATGAGAAAAATGACACCAAGATATTCAGTGGATCTGGCTCCTTCTTAGCCTCCACTCCCTGATCATTGATATCCATATAGTTTCATTATCTCTAGATGTAAAAGTTTGAGAAGAACAAATGGCAAAAATTAGAGTCACAGAACATCCAACATATATACTTTACATATAAAGTATTTTTTGGATGTGTAACCAAGAATTTTCAAAAGACCAGGATGCCAAAGTATAAATCCACTCTATAAGTTAGAGTATATTAGAACTGCTAATAAGGTCAGGCTTAGTGGCTCATACCTGTTATCCTATCGCTTTGGGAGGCTGAGGAGGGGGGAACGCTTGAGCTCAGGAGCTCAAGACCAGCCTGGGCAACACAGTGAGACCTCATCTCTATAAGTTAAATAAAATAAAGGAAAGAACTGCTAACAAGTACTAAACTCTGTGCCGAATCTAGGAGTATAAAATAAAAGTGTAGCCTCAGGTCTTGGGTTGTCATTTCTCAGTTCTAGTGTGTGAAGCAGGCAGATAAACAGAGAGTTACAGCTGAGAGCAGTAAGTTCGAGGTGAGAGATGAACTGAGTGTGCTACAGGACATGTGGGAGCACCAAGTGACTAGAAGTATAGAAAAAAGAGGGCAGGAGGAAAGGCTTCTGGGTGGAGATCTTCACTAACTCAAATGTTAAAGCAGCACCTGTGTTACCACTATAATAAAATACAGTGCTTCCTCCCACTGTAGTATCTGTGCCTTCAAATCTTATGCCTTCATTCCTTATTTCCCCCAAACCCTACCCTGACTTTTCACTTAGTCATAGTTTGAGTATAAGAAAATTCTTGAATCTGAGGACTTCTTTCTCCATATTTTTCCTCAAGACTTGAAATGCCTAAAAACTGGCACTTTCTTCGTTTTTGGAGGAGGTAAGTCCTAATAAAATCCTTCAACCCTTGAAAATTAACTGAGAGTAGCTTAAAAGTCTTGAAATGTTATAGAGGCCCCACAGTCACTTCACGTGGCCTAAGACCTTGGGCACTAGAGTTGTGGAGGCCACTGTTTTCATTGCAGAGGAACACTTGGGTACATTTTTGGCTGGTAGGGCCAATGTGTAAGAGAGATGACAATTTCCTTCATGTGTTCCTTTGTGAAAATGGGCAATAAAGAGACATGAAAGGATTTCTCCAACAGTTTTGTTTTCAGAGGATTACCTTCCATCGAGTCCACTGCCTATGGATCTTTTTGCCAACAGAGATTATCTGAGAGATCTAGATTTAAATATTAAAAAGAGGAGAAAAATAGAATATATTTGAAATCTGAAAATCCTCAACGACTTTTTATGAAACATGAATGCAAAAGAACAAAATGTTCTTATGACTCAAACTATGAATGCAAAAGAACAAAATTAAGTTTTGCTAGTGATATTCTATAATTTGCAATTGCTTGACTGGGCCTGACATTCAGTTATTACAGTTTAATGTCTAAGAATGAGGGCGATTATGTAGTTAGACTGCCTGGCTTTGAATTCCCAAGCTTTTAATTACTAGCCCTGTAACTTTGTCAAGTTGGTTAAATTTTCTGAGCCTCAGTTTCCTCACCTGTAAAATGGAGAATGTACTGCTGGTCTTACATGGTTGTTGAGAGGAGAAAATGAGGTAATGCTTGAGTGCACTTAGAATAATGCCTGGAGCTTACTCACATGCAGTAAGGGATGCAGCTCTTCTGGATTGTTCCATGACCTTTCATTCAGCAGGAAGGGGCCTGGAGTGCTGCTGAGGGCTGGGGTAGTCTTAGCCCAAGTCAGCAGCTGGGGGAGTAAAGACAGAGCCAAGTTCATATAGGGACAATATAACTTCTTTTGGATGAGGGGGATGTTGGTGGGGATCATGTTTGGCGGGGTGGGGACTAATATGTCCAAAAGTCCTAAGGGAAAAGCCACATGTTTTGTGCCTCAGGCTTTCAGAGGAGGATTCATGAATGAAGACTCGTGGGGTTGACCTGACCCGTTTGTGCCTGTCTAAGAACATGAGGCACATTCTCTCACATGGGGGCCCTACTTAATACCTTTCAAGGCTTCGTTTCGTTTTTAACAAGAAAGTTGCAAGAACTGTCCCTTCTGTTTTCTCAAATATAACTCAGAACTTCAGAGGAGATTCAGTGACACCTACAAAACTAGGGAAGTAGAATATTCCATGTCAACAGATTCTTCTCCCACTAACCCACCTTTCCATTGCCATTCTGTTTACATACTTGACTAGGGCATGGTAAGACACTTCAGCTACTCCCAGATGTTATTAAAGAAGAAAAGAAATAAACCTGACTCCAAAGATATCTGTCTTAGGACCTGTCAAAACAATTCCCATTGCAAGTGGAAAAATGCAATCAATTATGTGTGGGTCTTTGTTATGATTCAATATGTGCAACAACTTGGGTGAATCTGCAGAGAATTATACTTAGTGGAGGAAAAAAAGCCAATCACAAAAAATTACATACTATATGATTCTCGAAATGACAAAATTCTAGAAATAGAGAACAGATTGCCAGAAGTTAAGGAAGGGGTAAGAGTGGGAGGGATATGATTATGGTAATAAAAGGGCAACATGAGGGGTCCATGTGATGATGGAAATGTTTTGTATCTTGGCTGTAATCGTGTTAGTGTTCTAGTTGTGATATTGTGTTAGAGTTTTGCAAGGTGTTACCATTGTGGGAAACTGGGTAAAGGGTACATGAAGTCTCTTTCTATTATATCTAACAATTATGTGAATCTACAATTATTTAAAAGTAAAAATTTAATGAAAAATTCAACCCCATTGAATTTACCATTCATTTTAAAGTTCCTCCTTGTCTGATTTTTTGTGGCTTGACTTGGAATTCAAGGTTTCCTCTGTTTTGACAACAGAGGTTATCTGAGAGATCTAGACTTAAGTATTACTTCATTTTCTCCTCTCAATAACCATGTGAGACCAGTAGTACTTTCTCCATTTTACAGGTAAAAGTCTTGAAATGCTGTCCAGCCTGATCTTCCAATGAAACAGAAACTATGTCATATAAACCTGGATTTTTTCCACTTATAGATTCATTTTCAGGCCAGAATGTCCCTTCTGCCTGCACACATTCTGCAAATGTTCTGGTCCTTCTCCATGTCAGAGGCTAGGCCAAATGCTGCCTAGTCCATCGAAGTCACTGCAGGGAGAAGCCATTTTTCTCCCTCCAAACAATTGCAGATTTTTGTTGCTGTCAATCTTATAACACTCTGTGCATTCTGTCTTTTATTTCCATGATTGTGTGTGTGTTTCTCATTTCCTCTATTAGATTTAATCATTGCAAGAGCAGGATCTTTCATTTTTATATGAAGCAAATGACTTCTGTGCAGGACTCAGAACTGTGCTCGCAGAGAACAAGAACATAATGCCCATTATTCCTTTTGCAGTTCTCGGTATTTTTTCCACAGTATTTTGACTCTGCAATGACTGTTAAATAAATATATTTTTATTTTTATATATCTAAATTAGCAATTTTACCTTTGTAGCTAAATTATTAATACACTGTTTTTACAGATGAATGAAACTAATTTGCATTGAGGATTTATAAAAGCTATCATTTAGAGCTTTTCCTTTTTAGACAAAAGGGATACATTTCAATACATATAATACATACAAATGAAATGAAACATGGTTGTTATATAACTTTTTCTTTTTTAGACAAAAGAAATAAAATATAGTAAATAAGATATATACAAATAAGATGCAACAATGGATGTTACATATTTAATCAAATATCAGTTAAATGTTCGCAGTGCCACATGGAATAAAGGCAATAGTACAGAAGTAGGAGTTAGAAGACAGCGTATTAACTAAACTCTGCCACTGATAATTTAATAGCCTTTCAAGTGTCGCTTGATTTCTTTATGCCTCTGTGAGATGAAGTTATTGGGCTAGAAGAACACTAGGTTCTTTCCTAGTTCTGACATTTTGTGGTTATAAGAATGTTGGATGACTGAGCATTGGGCACAAATGCTAAGCCATGTGCTTTTCCGTCCACTAATCCTTCCCATTGAATTCATGCGGGCTGAGTCTTTGAATCAGTCATCGGATGACCAACATCATTGTGGGTTCCTATGCTGCATTTGAAACCAGCCTCATCTGTTTGTTGTTCCTTTAGTCCCCCTGTCCCTGACTATTAGCGTAAAGATTAGCCATGATGACTGGTAACTATGGAGTGAAAGGCAGTTGAGTTCATTTAATTAGAACTAGCCCTGCTTTGGTATTAGATGTATTTAAATTTCTAACCTCAACTCTAAGCCGGGTTTTTGGCTCACATTCTTTTCCACCCTGTTATTTCTTTGATGGAGAATTTTAGCCTTTATCTGAAGGGAATGATTAAACAACAGCAAAAAAAAAAAAAAAAAAAAAAGAATGGATGGAATGGGCAAAGCATCACAATTATGAAGTAGTAACTGAGATTGGTCTAACAACTAGGACAAAGGAAGACTGAGAGAAAGAGGATGTAGAAGGAAGATTCAAAGTCAAGGTCAAGAGGGAGACCTTGGTGTGTACAGGAAACATATTATTTTTGTTGAAATAATCGTCAGTGCCTAGACATCCATTTAGTAGATAAGTAACATGTATTGGGCACTTGTTGTGTCTTAGGAAGCCTGCTAGGCATTTTACAAATATTATTTCATTTAATAGAATATCCCAATTAAATAGATATCATTATTAATTCTTTTTACATAAAGGAAACTGGAATTTAGGAAGATTGGATAATTTTTTCCAAATCCCAAGACCACTGAGTGCAGAATACGAATTGGAAACCAAATTGCTGGGCTCCAAGTTCCCATGTGATTATGCATAACCAATGTTCTAAATAACATTGTATTGCTTCACAAATATTAGTAGCCACTCTGATCTGCTGAATGACTACTATATGAGAAAGGTTTAATAAGTGACCTAAGACCATACCACTAGTACATGGCGGAATCAGAATGCAGCATCTATTTAAATCTAAAAATCAAGATCTTTCTACTGTAATTGGACTTTTAAAGGAAAGTAATTTAAAATGTTTTATGTGACTAAGGGATTTGTAACTAATTGATATGTAGGTATCTACCCAGATGACATCAGAACATAGGCAACCTGTTATTAAGGAAAAATGTTCAAATAAGCTAGGAAATCAACTAACAAAGGGCAATATTGTAATAACACACACCAAGAGCAGAGACCAAGATCCTCAAGGGAACATTCAACTTTTCTTTACAATTGTCCAAGAAAGAAGGATCATTTTCCAGCCTGCATACATACTCTTATCTGGTTTATCATGGAGAATGGTAATTAATAATCATATATTGAACTATTTACTCTCTAAAACCATCCACCTGCTTTTGGCTGATTCTTGTTAACTCATCCCTTACATTTCCCTCCCAAGCCAAGACAGTATTAGCAACCTGATTGAATATTAGGTGTGCTTACAAGTTGTATTGTCATTATTAAGGAAAAGTAAGAGGAAAGGAAACCATAATAACTAAATATAACACATGATTCAGAATTAATTTTTAGATAATGAGGGAAAACGCCATAAAAGACATTAGTAGGCCGGGTGCAGTGGCTCACACTTGTAATCCCAGCACTTTGGGAGGCCGAGGTGGGTGGATCACTTGAGGTCAGGAGTTTGTGACCAGTCTGGCCAACATGGTGAAACCGTGTCTCTACACGGAGGCTGAGGCAGGAGAATCTCATGAACCTGGGAGGTGGAGGCTGCAGTGAACTGAGATCACACCACTGCACTCCAGCCTGGGCAACAGAGGGAGACTACATTTAAAAAAAAAAAGGATATTAGAACAATTTGAGAAAAATTTTAAATAGTTTTAAATAGATCATGTATTAGATAATGGTATTTTGTCAATATTAAATTTCCTGAATGAGATAATTGTGCTGTGGTTTTGTGAAAGAATGACCCAATTGAAGGATTTGGGGTAAAAGGGCATGATGTCTAAAAATTATTCTCAAGTTTGTCTCAAAAAAAAGAATGAAAATGATAATGTCAAGAAAGAATAATATTTAAAAATAAGGAACAAAGGCTATACGGGAGTTCTTGGCACTGCTGTAGCAGCTCCTCTAAATGTTTGAAATTGTTTTAAAATAAAAAGTTAAAGGAAAATCAGTTGCCTACCTAGGTCAATTTTGTGTTTTCATATTTAGTGTATTTTTCTAACCCTGATGAATCTTTACATAAGTGACTTGACAAAAAGCAAACAAAATCCTAAAACTCTGGTGAAACACTTCAGCATAGCACTATGGCAGCCTCCTATGAACATGTCTGTAAAACTCAGAGATGTCCATTTTTTAAAAACTAAATTCTTGTGAAACTATTCAGCACATGGCACTAAAGTATTTTATTTTTCTTTTCTTTTCTTCTTCTTCTTTTTTTTTTTTTTTTTTTGAGACAGTCTGGAGTATAGTGGCGCCATCACCACTCACTGCAGCCTCAACCTCCCAGGCTCAGGTGATCTTCCCACCTCAGCCTCCTGAGTAGCTGGGACTACAGGTGCCTGCCACCACACGTGGCTAATTTTTTGTATTTTTTTGTAGAGAGGGATTTTCACCATGTTGCCCAGGCTGGTCTCAAACTCCTGGACTTAAATGATCCAGCTACCTCAGCCTCCCAAAGTGCTGGGATTACATGTATGAGCCACTGCGCCCAGCAACACTAAATGTCCAAAAAGCATTGTTATTCCTTTGGTATTTCTTTACGTGATAAACTTGACTTGCTAGGGAATTGGGAATTAACCTAGATGTTTATGGATGAGACTGTTTTTCTCTGGGATAAACCCACCACCCAGAATCAAAGGGCCAATTAAGAGACATGATCTTGACTTGTCTCAAGCACCCACAGATAATTTTGTGGTTTGGTCTTCAGAGAGACACCACCTCTGCTCTTCCACAGAATGTCAGAATGGTAAGTGAACTCTTTTCCCTCCCTTGTGTCTTGACTCAGGATATTCTCCAGGATGCTACAGTCCTTGTGTCCTACAACAGAAAGCTTTCCTGCATTCCTGGCAGTCACTAAATTCTGGTATCTAGAAAATTTAGTTCTCATTGCCAATTTCCCTTTCAATATATTCTTTCACCACCAGACTGGAAAAGCTCAAACACGTCTCCAGAGAACATTAAAAAATCCCAAGGCATTCTGTTCTTGTGTTAGTTTGCTGAAGATAATGGCTTTCAGCTCCATCCATGTCCATGCAAAGGACACGATCTCATTCTTTTTATGGCTGCATAGTATCCTATGGTGTACATGTAGCACATTTTTTTTTATCTAGTCTATCATTGATGAGCAGTTGGGTTGATTTCATGTCTTTGTTATTGTGAATAGTGTTGCAGTGAACATACATGTGCATGTATCTTTATAAAAGAACGATTTATACTCCTTTAGGTGTATACCCAGTAATGGGATTTCTGGGTCAAATGGTATTTCACATCCTGCACATGTATCCTGGAACTTAAAATAAAATAAAATTTTAAAAAATCCCAGGATAAATCAGTAAATGAAACTCTAATAGCAAATGTGTTTCATGTGAAAATGTAACCTGGTCATGTAGTATACTCTGAAAAAGCCAGGAGAACTAATTTGCAGAATTGCATTTCTAAGTGTTCAAGTGAAATTAGACACTCAAAACATTACACACATTGCCCAGACAAAAGATCTTTTGAGTTCATTGCTCCCTCCTGAATTATGTGAAGAAATGGCTAAAATTCTCTGAGTTGGTTCTATTTGAGTTGGTCACAAGAATTTAAGAAAAACGTTTAACCTGCCTTCCATTTCTTGTTGGCTGTTTCAAAATAAAGCCAGAGGTATGTATTCAATAAAGCCAGAAGTATGTATCCTTAGAAGATAACAACAACAAAAAGACAAAACAACAACAACAACCACAACAACAAAAGAGAAAAAAGAAAAAGAAGAAAACCGAACTAGATTAGACATTTGTGAATGAGTATCTGATACCTGATGTTGTCTCTGCCTAAAAAAGTGAATTCCAACCTCTGTCACTTAGTTTGGTATTCCTGGAGATAAAAATACTTTACCATTTGTACACTGAGGACAATGAGATCATAGTTATGACCGCAAAACTGAATTTTTCAAGATGAAATTTCTTACTGGAATTCCTCTAGCACATGAGCTAATAAGATACTTTTTAACTTTTCAAGGTTTTAAGAATTACTACCTGTATGGCTTTAATATAAATAATGAAATATAATACAAATAATGTCTAGAGACTCAGAACGAGCCAATATAAAACAGATATTTTCTGTTTAATCCTGTAATGTCTTATTTATACAATGAAAATTTTCTAATATTTAAACTTGCTTCTGGCTTTTGTCTTGTTCTGTCCTCTGCTTTCTTTGTTACACATTTTAAAATGTTCTGGTTGCATGCCATTACAATATTAACTTGTCTACCTATTAATTTATTTACACGTGGCTTTAAACACATCTTTTAAAATGTAGACACTGTCTGGCTTTAGGAAAACACAACTCCCTCTGTGTTTGGACACTTTTCCTTCTCATTGTCCAAAGACCTTTCAGTTCTCCCCAAGGCTTTGGTTTCTTCAGTTTTCAAAAGGGTAAACATGTCCCAAATCTTACGAGGTAGTCCAAATTGCAAAGTTTATAGGCCAACATAAGTTTGAAAAACTCTCGAAATGGGAGTTAAATTATTTCCTGTAAAAGAAGCCAATGAACTTCATTTGTTCTTACATTGTTACACTTGACTGCAGCAGCTAGTAGTGTCCTAATAATAGAGGCACTGAAGTGTCTGTTAATGTAAAATGATAAACTTATATAAAATCTGAAAAAAATGTTATCCTAAGTTGCCAAACTAAAAAAATTTTAGAATGTGTATAGTTATACACAAATGTTCATTTCATTTGGGCCTAAATCACTTTGTATATGGAAGCACAACAGAAGAATGAAAACACAAGCAGCAATTCTGTTATGAGGGGGTAAATGTGTAAGCTTGGTGTAGTTTCATGTGGAGGACATTTTTTTCAGCTGCTCTCTTTTGATTCCCAGATCTCTCCTTAGAACTCTAAGGGTTCCCTCATTGCATAGGACAGCAAGGGTTTTTATTTTTATTTTTATTTTTGAAACAGGGTCCCACTCTGTCACCCAGGCTAGAGTGCAGTAGTATGATCATGGCTCACTGCAGCCTCGACCTCCCAGGTTCAAGCCATCCTCCTGCCTCAGCCTCTCATGTAGATGGGACCACAGGTTTGTGCCCCTATGCCTGGCTAATTTTTTTTTTTAAATAAAGGTGGGATTTTGCCCATTGCCCAGGCTGGTCTCAAACTCCTGGGCTCAACAGATCCACCTGCTGTGGCCTCCCAAAGTGCTAGGATTACAGGAGTGAGCCACTGTATTCAGCCCAGCATGGGTTTCTTAATGTTAATTGGTGGTAACTGAGGAGGTGAGGGAGAGGAGACAAAGTCTCTGCTAATTTGGAAAAAAAAAGGGGGGGCTCTATTAAAACTAAGAAGGTTGCAGGACTTCTCGAAACCTATAATATGCTGCCGATGTGCAATCTGAAATTCCAAGAGAGGAAAATATATTGTATAGAATTTTTCCGAATGTTTTTTCAATGGAACATGTCCTGATAAATTTTGTAGAACCTCTTTCCCCTTTATTCATTGCAAATTTGCCCATTATTAAGGTTTATATTCAGTCAAATTTCCTACCTGAGGCCATTCCTGATTCCCTCAGTTAGCCTTCATCATGACCACTTCTGCAAGTCACTACAAGTTTCTAAAATCCTCATTTTTTTTATGACCCCTCCTTTCTGTGGTGCAGGGATTGTGTCTTTATTAACCACTAAATTAAAGATCTTCAGATAATGGACCATTCATTATTCACCTCTTTTCTACAACACTTAACACATACCCAAAACTTTGTAGGAACTCAATAATTGCTTACTGAAGGACTGAGGCCATCTATTTCAGATAAAATCCACTGATTTTGAGAATTCTTTTGGAAAATACAGCATGTTTCTTTACCTATTTGAGAATAGGTGGATTAGACTTTTACTTTTAAATGTACCTTTATGCTCAGTTTAACACTGTTTTTAAGTGACAAGAAGAAATCACTGTAACCAAAACTTGTACTTAAAAAAATTCAAAAGTAACAAGAATCATGCAAGGTTGTTTTTATTAAGCTTTATATTCAGTTTACAGCTAAATATTACAGGGATTATTTCTTTTGACAAGCAGACATGACATCCTAGGAAACTTTTCAAAACAGTCCAAGGACTTTATAACTACTGGGAACAGAGCAATTTACTCTGCAGTTAACGTGTATGTTAAGTACTTCAAGAGTCACTAAGGGAAAGAAGCTAAATGCAACTGTTCCTTTTCTATAAAATTATTATCCTGCAAAAGTAGCTACAAAGGAAAATCACATAACTATGACAAAGCTAGAGAGATCATACATCCGAATTTGTCTTTTTTTATTTAGGATAGGACTTGGGGGTCACATTTCAGAAGGCAAATAATTCTTTCAGAAGAAGCTACATGTCAAGTTTTCTATGGGTAGTATTAATACTAATATGATTTAGCTTATGTTTAAAAAAATCAAGAAAAGAAAAATTTTGTCTTTAAAATCTACTATATTAGTGACTGTAAGGAGATGCTTAGCTATTGAAGAGCTTCTCTCCACTCTTGTATTTTCTTTATGAGTTCTTCTGAGAGATTTTCACTGTGACTGTTTTGACCTCTGTATATTCATGGAAACCGTACTCTCCCCTAGAGAGAAGAAAAACATACCCACAAACACCATTTAGCACAGCAGTATAAATATACTGTAGTTCATGTTTGGTACGAGTTTGTTCTTGTTTTACTGGCTAGGGACAATAGAAAATATTTCTTGTGTACAGAGCATTTTATATAGTAGCTAGCCAATCATAAGATTTCTGGTCTTACACAGATTCCCTTGTGGGGAAAATTTTCTTTAAAACTTTCATTTTAAATAATCATGTACTGTCAGTTGATTTCTCACATAAATTGTCCCCTTTTGACATTATTCTACTTGATTTTAAAAACTCGAACTGCAGATGCAACAAGATCATCTTGGAGAAATGAAAACAAAAAGCTCTAAAACTACTCAAAAGACAATTCGACCCAACAAGAATTTTGTCATTTCTAGTTTAGATTGAAATAAGATGGACATAGGACAAGAGGAGAAGTAGTAATATATGATCACTACAAGGTCTACTCTAGTTCTACAGTTTTATTGTAGTACTAGAGCAGAGCTTGTATTTACCATGTGTGATTGTCATAGAAGTGGTAAGGGGATAGAAATTGATCATGGTTTCATTTTTAGTCTGAGGTGCCCTAAGATGGCTTGAAACAAAATATTTTGCAGCAGTAGTTTCAGCAAAATCTTTTGATTCTTGGCAAAACAAAAACATGACCTTTATTTTTTATTTAAAACTTTTAAATTGTTTTCTTTTTAAGAGGAGGAAGATGATAGATTGGTCTAAATTCAGGCTCTTGGGCTTTTTGCAGTTGTTGTTTTTTCCCCTTTATACAACCTCCTCGTCCCCTACCATTTTCTTGTATAACTCTTAAGTTCAACCCAAATGATCAGGAATTAACTCAGTCAATCAGTTTGGATTTTGGGATCTTGTTATCAGGTTTATGGAGACCTCCCACCAGTTTTAGAAACTGACTGATTTACCCCTTGTTGAAGAGATGACTAAAAAGATTGGGCTCAGTTATTCTCTATATTGTTTTGATAAGAGGATCAAATTACATGTATATAAGAGTAGTCTCAAAATCATAACACTCATGCACATGTAGGCTTACAGAAGAATAAGATCTTGATCCTTTTTTACCCCTCCCTTCTTGTGATGTAGACAGGTATGTAGAAGACATCATTTTCTGCTGGGTAACCTAATACTCTTACACTGATTATTTTCTTGGGCAATTAAGCTTTTGAAAATACCTTTTAAAAGCTTCAGTGAGCATGGTCCTTAAAGTAATTAAAGGGCTTAGCCTCAGTTGTCTGAAACCCATTAAAAGATAATATTTTAATAAGTATTTTATCTCAGGGTTAGATCAATCAACCCATGACTTTCGCCAATAGGCTTTCCATTGTATTTTGGGTCATATAGGCACTTGAAGCTCTCAGGAGAGTAATAAGTGGGATTTTTGTCATATTCAGGCTGAAATATGTCCTGCTCCTTAGGATTCCTATGCCTATACTATATCTACGACATAGCCCCAAACATCTGTTTGGATTTCTCTTCATCTTACTATGTCTGTGAGTTACTGTTTGTATACTTCTAAAATCTTCAATGTACAAATCACCTGGGACCTTATTCAAATACTGATTCTGAATTAGCAGGTCTCGAGTGAAGCCTGAGTTGGCATTGGTAATAAACTTGCAAGTGATATCAACCTATGCTTCTTGTCCAGGGTCCACACTGTAAAAAAAAAAAAGGCACTAGTACCACATTACATCTGATTTCCTCTCTGTACCCAGGATTAAGACTGGCACTAATTAAGTAGGCACAGAAGAACTGTTTGCTGAACACACTTGGTAAATATCAAGAAAAAAAATTCATTTGTGTTCTCACTATACGACCATTAGTTTACACTTCCTTGCTCCCTTTTCTATGGGACAGGAGGAAAAAAATATGGTGGGAGGGGCTAAGAGCCAATCAAGTTTAAAATGGCATACTAGCAAAGTCTTAAAGGACCTACGTTAACCTAAGTGAAACAGTACAGTTACACAAAGGGAGGAATTTCTGTCTTTTAACTAATCCCAGAGCCAACACTATGATCAGAGATGCAAAATCAAGATTTGCATACTCTGTATCACCTTCAAACACACTGGGGTCTGCATAACACCATTTTTCGCTCTTTGAGGACTCTGTTCTCAACTGATCAATTCTCTCTATTGTTGAGGAAAATTTATAATTTAACTCTTGGGAGTCATTTGAGGTTATCGCCTGAGTAATAACTTGTAACTCTTGGAACATCTTGCAGCAAATGACTTGGTTATTAAATTCACCAAATTTGGTTTCAGGTACACTTTAACTGTAGCATTCTCTAGTTGAATTTTTGAAGTAAAAAAAAAAAAACCCACAACTTTTTCCTTTGTATTTGAAAGAAATTATCTATACTCATGTTCTAGATTTTTAGGAAATTACTGATGGTTGATTCCTGTTTTCAGTCCTTCTCTTATTTGATTTCTTTATGCCTTCACCTTAAAGTCTGACCAAATTATGTTCAACGAAATTGACATGTTTGGTCTACTTTAGTCTTGCATTCCTTTTGATTATTTTATCTTTAATGTTCTCAGTGAAATGTGTTGTTAGATAACCAGGCCAGAAACGAACCAACTGCCCTTCAGAGTAATCTAACCTTTGTTCTTACTTTTTGTACAAAGTAATTAGTTTTGCCAAGAGATTCTCCAGTAATAGAAAGAGAAGAAACTAGGGAAGGAAGAAACCCATTTGTTGAATTTACACTTTGTGACAGTTATGTGGCTAGGGATTTAATATTCAGTATGTCATTTAACTCCCACAAGAACTCTCATTCCATCTTAAGAGGAATGTGAACATCTCCACCAAATATGAGAAAGTAGAGGCTCAGAAGTTAGGTAGCTTGAACTGGGGTGCATGGCTAGCAAGTGGCAGAATTAGGAATCAAATTCAGCTGGTCAGACTCCAGTAATGTTTTCTCAGCTACGCCATGCATTTTTGATGGGCTAACTTTTTGTTCTACTTCAGCAACATCCTAAATATATCCATGGCTTTTCACTACTCCACTAATAAAATCTAAGTCAAATTTCTTAAATGCAGGACTTCTTAATCTGTATCATATGTTACTCTGAAATCATATTTTTCATCCCCATAAATCCACACCAATCAACAAAATTCACTAGCCCCTCAACATACCACATGTAATGTTCCATGCAAGAAAGCCCTCTTCTCTACTAACTGATATCCTACACTTGCTTTCTGCCCTAGAGGAAGTTTCATCTCTTCTGTTAGGAGAAGTTTTCTTCTCTATAAACTGCCATTAAGTTTTCAACCACTGGATTTCCAGTGGGGTCAGAACTATAGAATCTTAAGCATGGAATAGAGGTTAAAAGATCTATTTTCTTCTTCCACTCTTATCCACACTCACAATCCTTGGCCTTGTCTGACAGATGAAAATAGTGATGGTTAGAGAGATGCCATCCTGACTCTTATACTCTGGTAGTGTCTAGGTTTTCTTCAATACTTTGCTCGGTACTTTAATTGCTTCTCTACCTCCATAGGATATGGAATCCCAGTGTATTACTACTTATTTCATAGTGTATGTAGGTTATTTTGCATGTCCTGCCACCACAGCTATGTAGAGCATGGAACATGGTGTCATGTCTCTGGGGTTCCTAGGACCTTACACATAGCAAGTGCTTAATAAATGAAAGCATATTGAGAAAGTAGACTGGTCATTTTATAATTCTCCCATTTCACTGACTCTTCAGAGATATTTGTTTCCTTGTAATTTTGCTGATTTGTTAGAGTACGGTACTCAACCATTTAATACATTTAGAGATTGAGAAAGGCACATTTTCACTTCCTAATTACAAAATGAGCAAGTTTACGATCTGTGTTTGATACTATAAGGTTTCTATTTCTTTTTTCTTCATAAATGTTTACATTAATACATGTAAAAAAGTTTTAAGAAATAAAATGACTAAACTTGCCTAAACAAAATCAACTAAGCATATTGCCACTACTTTCTGTATTTACATATATATGTGCATACTTAAAAAGTCTATATACCCTAGTTTCAAAAGCAATTGAAATTTCATAAATGCATTTATATATAAATATTCTTAATCTAGTCACTACTATAAAACATGTTTTCCTCAAATTTCCTTTTAGGTTTAAGTTTTAATACTAAAAATAACTTCTTATGGTAATAAAAAATGTTAAAGTCTACATCAATAATATCTCAACAAATGGGAATCATTCCTCTTACACTGAAATTTCCTTTACATAAGTCACCTAATTTACTTATTTAAATGGTTTATTCAAATAACTAGAGTGTTTACATTTGCACCTTTCTTGCAATCACCAATGCATAGTTTCCACCTCTTTTCTGGAAATGTTTCCCAAATGGATTACATTCATATATATAGCAAGCAATTCTAAAAGCAAGCAGTATTACAATCACCAATGTAAGTTGCTTAATATAGTCCCTAAAATATAGTAGGAATTTAGTAAATTATGTTGCTGTTCTGCAATCACCTTTTGCACTTATGGAGTACATCCCACATTTAATAAGCTATTTGGTGCTATGAATCTCCAGGAAAGAACAGAGGCAGGTTTTATGTAAGGTGAAAACTATGAGTTAATTCCCTGGGAATGAAAATCATTTTCATAAAAATAAATATTTATCTTAATAGAACGTTAATCTTACAGTTCTCTTCCATTTCCAGACATCTTGAATCCACCAAAGGGGCACTGGGCACTTACCACGCCATAGCAATTCACCCTGAAGGAAAAGAAAAGTGCATTATAGACAATACTTAAGGTGTGAAAAAAAAATCCTTTTTGGCAGTTTTAGAAATTTGGAAAGCTCCTTACAAACTCCATTAATTTCATTATAACATACTCATCTTGATAAAAAAAAGTAGCACTATAAATTAGAATGCAGACATATATGGATACACACTACCTAGAAACAAATAGAATAGTGCAACTATATATATGGATAGCCATTTTGGTCGTACATTGTGTCCCTGAGAAGTGGTAGTCTGAATTTATAAAAGATAGAATAGTCACTATGCTGTAGGGGGAAAGATATGGTTTGCTAGAAGCTAGAATTTGTTGGATCAGTATTCATTACTGCTTATATATGGATCAGCTTGTAATTCTCTTGATGTTTCTGTACTTAACAGGCTAGAATCAATTTTCTTTTGCAATTGTAATATGTATCATATTACTCAGTTAATTTTTTTTCCCATTAATTGGTTAAATAAATTGCTTAAACAGAGGCCTTGGCAGGAGTTGGGTTTAATTATAATTTATTCCCTGTCATATTTCATAAAGTGTTTAAAGATGCTTATATAAACAAACATAATTACATGAATAGTAGTAATTAGAATCCAACAAAAAATTACAATAGAAGATCTAGATGGGGAAAATTAGAATGCAGTTTTGCAGACCATAAACAATTTGTTTAGCTTTAAATTTGCTGGTGGCCAAAAGTTAGCAAAATCTAATTATTTACCTGATTCTCATTATACGCAAGAGAAAAACACTTTTTAAAGGAGATTTATGTTTATACTTTTCTCTCCCTTCATGCTATTTTAATAAGTGGACAAAAATGTGGCTTCCAGAGCCTGGGTTAGTAGCTGGAGACTGAGGCAGGAGGATCACTTGAGCCCAAGAGTTTGAGACCAGCCTGGGCAACATAGCAAACCCTTGCCTCTACAAAACAAATTTAGAAAACCAACCAAACAAACAAACAAAAAACCAGGGTGGCTTCCAGATAAATTGTATTATACTTTGAAGGTTTGGTCATTACTTTTATCCTGAGATAATATTCAGATGTTTTCTTTGTTAAAACACTATCCCAGTTCCCGAAGTTCCACATTCTCACTGGACCATAAAGTTCTTAACTATGTCTCTCATCCTGGAGGGATAATTCCTTTAATAAATTTACACTTACAAAAGGCAGTATTGTCTCAGCTTTGTTTAATTGCCCTTTAAATTGCAAAATCAAATACTACTTTGAAATTATGAGTAAACTTCCTGCAACTCTGGAGTTCAATAATTTTCCTGAAAACACCAAGCAGCTATTAGGTCTGGGACAATGCCAGAAAATTATTATCTTCTAGGATATGTAGTAACAAGATGGTCCCCTCTGTTTTTCATAATAGAGGAAATTCCTGATCAGGGATTCCCAAGACCCTCAGTGGGGTGATGTCATAACAAGCTTCATCAAACAAGCATGGAACATTCTGCTAGTCGAAAATACAAAACTGAAATTTGTCTTTGTTAAAAAGTGCAGAGAGTAAATTTGCTCATTTTACTGTCAACTAGAAATGAAACTATTTTACTGTGAATTAACAGGGAACTGAGAAATGTTCACTTGGCAAAAACTTTGAGTTCAAAATGTTATCTGTCTTCTGCAAGCGTTTCCTCATGTGTAAAGTGGGGATGATAATATTTAATAGGATTGTTTCAAGGTATGCGTAAGATTGCGTGAATAGTATTCTTGTTGTAGTACTTGGTATAAATATCTTCAGTAAGTGGCGATAATATACATACACACAGTAACTATGCTGAATTTTATTAATGCTTTTATCATAGGCAAATTCTATATTCATCACTAGCTATACCGACTATTCAAGAAGAACTTGCTGAATTTTATTTAAGAGTCTCCCATTAGGCCCACTTCCTATTGCTGTTACAATGGCATTTAAATTGCCACATGGGCTTTGGAGGAGAAATTTAAACTATACACTGATATAATTTGTGTTAATGTATACCCTCCCCTGCCCCAAATCAGTTTATACATTTTTAAAGCCCCCGAGATGATTCTAATGAACAGCCAGGGCTGAGAACCACAGCCTTAGAATATTGTATAGGTCCAGGCCAGCATGGTGGCTCAGGCCTGTAATCCCAGCACCTTGGGAGGCCAAGGCGGATGGATCACTTGAGGTCAGGAGTTCGAGACCAGTCCGGCCAACATGGTGAAACCCTGTCTCTACTAAAAAAAGAAAAAAACAAAATACAAAGATTAGCTGGGCTTGGTGGTACATGCCTGTAGTCCCAGCTAGTTGGGAGGCTGAGGCAGGAGAATCACTTGAACCCAGGAGGCAGAGGTTGCAGTGATCCAAGATCGCACCATTGCACTCCAGCCTGGGTGACAGAGTGAGACTCCAGCTCAAAAAAAAAAAAAAAAAAAAAAAAAAGAAGAAAGAAAAGAAAAGAGAGAAAGAGAAAGAGAGAGAGAGAGACGAAAGAAAGAAAGAAAGAAAGAAAGAAAGAAAGAAAGAAAAGAAAGAAGAAAGAAAGAAAGAAAGAAAGAAAGAAAGAAAGAAAGAAAGAAAGAAAGAAAGAAAGAAAGAAAGAAAGAAAGAGAATATTGCATAGGTCTGATCTAGGTGTGACTTAGTGTTGGGAAGGAAAATAATCTTGTGCTTTTTCCAGGACTGAGGGGCCAAAATTAGGCTAATGGGACCAAAGTGACCAAAGACATAGTCTAGAGACTGACAGCTGAGTACAGAATGCAACAGTTTGAGAGGCACAGACTTCATGTTTATATCCTCTTGATTAAAGTATAAAAATAAGAGATATAAACTAGGTCAAAAATGGGAGAGGGAGGGTATCTTCAAAATTCAATCTTTCAAAAATAACTTCAATTATCTCTAATAATCCTAGAGTAAGAAGGCCGATATAAGAATATCTGCATACACAAGGGTACCAAGTAAATATTGTTCTTACTCTTTTACCTCCCTGTATACAGCATAGTACCACGTGCTCAGAAATTACTTGGCAATTCTTATATTGTATTAATCAAACATCAATACAATATTTTTGGTAAGCAATTTCAAGAAGCTAGATAAAGTTAAAGAAAATATCCTCCCTAAAGTTCTTCCAATACAGCTTTTTTTTTTTTTTTTTTTTTTTGAGACGGAGTTTTGCTCTTGTTGCTGAGGCTAGAGTGCAATGGCATGATCTCGGCTCACTGCAACCTCCGCCTCCCAGGCTCAAGCAATTCTCCTGCCTCATCCTCCATGTAGCTGGGATTACAGGCATCACACCCATCTAATTTTTGTATTTTTAGTAGACATGGCGTTTCACCATGTTGGCCAGGCTGGTCTCAAACTCCTGACCTCAGTCAGCTGATCCACCCACCTCAGCCTCCCAAAGTGCTGGGATTACAGGCATGAGCCACCGCACCCAGCCTTTTGTTTGTTTTTCAAGGCAGCAACTGCTTTTCTAGAAGGATAGGTAATTCCAAATGAAAAATCCAAGTCTGAAAAAGTTCAAGGTAGTAATCTGTTAATGTGGTTATTACTGAAAAGGCTACATTCCTTAGGTTGGACTTACCACACTGTTCCTGCCTGCAGAGCAGAGGAGATTGTTATGGCTTTATCAATGTCTTTGGTAAACACTCCTGCTGATAAGCCATAGAAAGTATTGTTTGCTCTTTTGATCACGTCATCTAAAGATTTAAACTTCATGATTTGCTGCACTGGTCCAAAAATCTATACCACAAGAAATAAATAAGTAAAAATAATAGGTTAAAATGAAATATTTTAAATGATATCGTAGATTTTTTTTCCTACACGCTATCCTAAATTGATTAAGATTTTGCTTCTCATCTCAAACCTATGTGTGAGAATCCAAATAGGTAACTGCAAAAATGGTAGGTGAAAACAGATAATGGTCAGGTGTTAAATTTCCTTTGGAAGAAGAAAGGGTACAAATAATTAAGGCAATATTAAGTTTCTAGATGTTGGAATTAAGCTTTCAAGAACTTATGATTGTGCAACAAATCATTAACTTCAGAATTTCTTTTTCACTTGGGAATATTTTAAATTCACTCTCTAGTTTTTCTTATCTTCCAAGTCACTACACATAGTAACAAGTCCCAGAAAGCAATCTACTGGATAAATGAATAGGCAATGATAATCTGCTGGATAAATGAATAGGCAATGATTGATAATAATAATGCTTTAAATACCTGTATGCCATTGGTAAAATATTAACTATTCTACTGTACTCAGTAGAATAGTTACTAATTACTTTTCATAATTAGCCAAGTTAGGTAAACATCACGAACTTTTAGTCTACTCTGTAGCAAAATCTTAGGCAACTTAAATATATCAAACAGAATTGTTCCTTACTGCAAGAGCTTATACATTCTAAACCATCCTATTCTAATCAAAGCATGAGTTCATTGGTAATGGCTATAATTGCAGGACAGAAAACAAAAATCACAATTTGCTTATTCTAACGTAAAGTACTCTTTTGCTTTCACTAAGTTCCTGGTTACTGCAGCCCAAACTCAATTCACCCTGTATCTCAGCCTCAGGTAAAAGAAAGACAACTGGATTTTCTCTTTAAAATTAAGCTCCTGCATTTCAATAAAATATTTATTAAGATCAGATAAAGATTCCTGAAATTACCAGAATTTTCTGGGAAATCTGAATGAAGGAAGACAAAAATCAGAAATGACAAAGAGTTTTCTGGTGTTCACCACTGATTTAAATGTTAGAAGGGAGGGGCTGCTGTTCAATAGAGGTTGAGTGTGAATCTTAACGTTATAAATCTAATCCTATTTGAACATAGGAACCATATACACAGCAGCTACTCTAATAAATGTGTTCATATTTTACATAATTTTAATTGAACACAGCACATAGCTCCAGGCTCCTACTTTGAAGTAGCAAGCTAGCTGTTCTACTGTATATTAATATATTATAGGAACACAATAAATGTTTCCTTAATTGAAGATTTTTTTCCACGTCTTATCTGGTATTAATCAAGATATGCAAGAATGACAGCTCATTTTTTTTCTAATTTTGTATATTGTAGTTAAATACTTGGTGAGCATATATATAATGTATATACACATTATATATGTATACAGACACACATATATACACTCACCAAACACTTAACTGCAATATACAAAATCAGGAAGTCTAACAGCTGAAACAAATAGGACTAAGAGCACATAGAAGGTAGGGAGTGATAGAGGGGATGAATGCTGTTTTCAAATACATGGATGGCTGTTATATAGAAAGAGTCTATAGGGCAAAGGTGGAACCAGAAAGTAGAACCTATATATTTATCTCTTTTGTGGTGAGAACACTTAAAATTGACTCTCTTAGCAATATTCAAGTATACAATACATTGTTATTAATTACAGTCAGGATATTTACGATAGCTCTCTTGAACTTACTCCTCCTAATTGAAAGTTTGAATCCTTTGACCAACATTTCCCAACCCTCATCCTCCACTCCCCCAAGCCCCTGGTAACCACCATTCCAATCTCTGCTTCTATGAGTTCTACTCTTTGAGATCCCACATAAAAGTGAGACCCTGCGGTATTTGTCTTTTTATGCCTGTCATATTTCATGGAGCATAAATTTTCCAGGTTGTTGCTGCAAATGACAGGATTCTTTTCCATTGTTTTAAAGCTGTGAAGGCAGCACCTGAAAATTGTTAAGCATCCAGATCTGTGTTGGCTGAACATTTGTGGCTGGCCCCATGGATCCCTTACTACTTTTTAGTATCTATCACAAATAACTTAAACCTCTATCAAGAACAGAATAAAGAGTAAGGTTTAGAGGGAAAGATGTTCCAAAGAGCTGGGAATTTTAAAGTGACACTTTGTATACACACAAACAGACAAAACATGGCAACAAAAAGAACAGAACAGAATGAAGCCATTTACCTCCTCTTTGGCAATGCGCATCTCATCTGTAACATTAGAGAACACTGTGGGCTGGACAAAGTAGCCTTTATTCCCCCACGGGCCTCCTCCACATTCCAGTTTGGCCCCTTCTTTCTTCCCACTCTCAATGAGGTCAAGTATTTTATCATATTGTTCCTTGTCAATCTATTTGAAAAATATCACATGAAAAGAAAAAAAGTAGTCACTTGTAAAGATAACACATTGCTGGGCCTGTTAACAAGGGCTTCAAAATGCTAAAATATTGCAATTAAACCAAATATTGAATCGAAACAGCTAACAGAGGTTCAGATTCATTCTTTGGATATATTTTCTTCTCATGACTTTTAGGGGAAAATCTCTTGAAGACAGATATTTGTATTTAACATTTGTTTTATAGTTATATAGGAAAGCATTCAGCACTGCAAACACATAAAAAACACATAAATGACAATCATCATTTATTCACTCTGGAAGAAATGCCTGTTAATCTAAATACATTTACCTGGAAACTATTGTCCCGGCTGAAATGAAAGGAGGGAAAAGAGAAAAACAGAACTTTGATACTGAGTTTAATTAGATCTGTTGGGAAGCAGATGCTTTAAGACTGTTCTTAGAAGACTCCCGAGCCTCTGTTTGATCTCCCCATTTCTGAATCACCCACTCTGACCTGTCCGATGCCCTTGGATATCCCATTCTGACCATAGTCTGCGCACCCTTCCCAGTTCTGGTCCCACTGGGGCAGTCAGTAAATCTGCTTCCAATTTCTGGCCTGTCCTGAATGTCACCATCCTGCTTCATTAAATGAGCCACATCTAACTATGTGCCAAGTATTACAGAACTTAAATCGTCTTTATTTAAACACTATTTTTATAAGGAAAATAAATGAGTTTGGAGTTCTGGTTGTGAACACCAGGAACACGTACCTCTTCAAGCACTGAAATCTGGGGCTAATTTTTGTCTCAATTTCTATTTTGTGACATTGAATAACTGGGTGACTCTTGGATTCCAAGTAACCGGTGAGGGCTGCCTATCTCAGGTGTAGCAGGGGTTAAGGATTAAAGGAAAAACAGGAGATCTAGGAGCTAAGATGGGTTGGAGGGTGGAAGCTCTTGTAGGTTTAACTTCCCACTACTTGAAAAGTTTTATGTTTCACTTTCTCTTACTCTTCTCTGACTCTGCAAATCTTCTTTATCTTCCAAAGCCAAGAAAAAGCTTCCATAAAGTTATTTCTAACTGAATACAGCTCAGCCCCCATATCTAACTAGATTAAGCACTATTTGAAACTAGAAACTATTTTCTAAAATTTGGCACAATATTTGGTACAATGTTGCTCAACAGTCTTTAGTGCAATATTTAATATAATATCCCAGAAGGAAAATATTCCTTCATTTCCAGCAGATTAAGAAAAAAATAGTGTTAAGAAGAAATATTTAAATTACTACATAGGTTGAATAGTAGCAGACTAAGGGGTGGGGTGAGATAAATTCTGCCTGGGTAAGGTATTCTAGTTTCTCAATAAATAGTCAAGGGTCCATGTCACTCCACATAAAGCTTTCTGTCTTATTGGAACATATTAATCTGACTATGCCCTCAACATCATGATATCTGGTTTTTATTTCAAGATGTATTTCCCAAGTCATGTTTTCCTGTCTGTGACCACGTTGAATAACCAGTGCCAATCAAATCCCTGCATACATACTGGAGAAAAGGGCTGAAAAGCCTTATTTGTTGGAAAACTTAGATGGTCGCTAACTTATAAAACTACAGGCCTTTGTATTTCAGTGCCTTGCTACCGACAATGTGGTCCTACAACCAGCAGTTGTGGCATCACTTGGTA
This sequence comes from Homo sapiens, assembly GCF_000001405.40. Lineage (NCBI taxonomy): Eukaryota > Metazoa > Chordata > Mammalia > Primates > Hominidae > Homo > Homo sapiens. Next base: position 72,913,795 of record NC_000009.12, read on the forward strand.
GCCAAATGTGCTTCTTTGACCCCACCTCAGATCTACTGAATCCCCGGGCACAGGAAAGATTGAGGAACACTGTGGTGGAGCTTGGGACTACAAACAAAAAATTAGGCTCTACTTAGAGACTGGTCAGTTTTGTCTGGCTAATTTTGATTCACCACAAATACAGACCTTCTTCAGAAGGCATCAGGCTGACCATATATAAACTTGACCTTCTTTCTGGACACCTGGGACTGTCCAATAATGCTAGGATGTAGCTGGGGCTCTTTCATGTGATGGGCCATTGGCCTATGGGCTAGTCTATGAAATGTATTAGGTAGGTCATGATATGGTAACAGTCTCAAAGGAAACATTTTAAGGTGTTTGAATGGGTAAATTCTTTGATTCCTTAGGCTTAATGGGTTAAAGAAGATGAATTGGGAAAAAGCACTTACATGTTCTCAAATTATTCAGAAACCATGTATCAACAAAAGCAATGAATAGATATAGAAGTAATTGATCTGTATGATAATTGTCACCATGGGTATAAATGGAAGCATGTAATTTTTATTTATTTACTAGACATTTGAGCATGTGGACCAAGCACTCTGATGGATACATTTTATAGATTATCCAATTGCACTGCAGAATTATTCTTCAAGATTGAGGTTTCTATGCACATTCTACACATAAGACAATAGTTTCAGGGAGGCTGGATTTTAAATCCAGTTTAAATCCTATATAACTGTAACTCCAAAGTCCATCTTTCCACACTATTATAAGGTGCTACTCTGTGATAATTTTAGTATCGTTTATGTGGCTATCACAATTTCTGTTTCAAATGAAAATACTAATTTTTCCAAGTTTAAGACAATATATATTTTTTCTATAAAGTCAAATAGGAAAATCACTTGAAATATGAAAAAGATACACACATGAATCCACAGATATAATACAAATATGCAAAGTATATATATATATTTTGTAATTGCTCTAACCCCCAAATAATTTGTAATGTTCAAATTTTTTTAAACTTTAATTTTTTCCCCTAAAACAAATCGTTTTGACCATTATTTTTTCTATAACCTTTTTGATGTTATATTTAATGAGGAAGATTCCATCATTGTATTTAAAAGCCTCAGTTCACTCAACCACCCCTGGATGAGGCAATAGGCTAAAGCTTAGTGAGTGAGTATCCCCTTTGCGTAAGTTTTTTCTCCTAACAATAGATGAATATTTAATGGTAAAGGAGCCCAGGGCTTTTTAGTCTTTTGTTTCTCCAAATTCTAACATACCTACTTATCCTACTGACTCAATGGAACTTGTGATAAAAATCTATTCACTTATAGAAACTAAATTCTTATATTAATCAGATCACTGGATTCTATTCATTTATAGAAACTAAATTCTAGATCACTGGATTATTTACTTTAGAATCTTACAAATAGGAATTTTTAAGTCTATTTTAACTTCCTTATCTTAAAATCAATGAGGTATTCCAGCTCAATTTTTGAGTCTTTGGTTGAATTGTGAAGATGTCCTAATGGAGGAAAGTACTGCCCAACAATTAGGCATTAGGTATCTTAGGTATTCTCTCCTCTCTTCAGATCTATCAATCAATCATCCATCAATCCATCAACAAAATAAGAAAAGTGCTTCACTTTTAGTTAGATAGATAAATAATCACAACAAAAAACATAGAATTCCATTCTTTTTTGAAATGGGAGACCAAGTCAAAACTGATTTGAATATATCTCTTGGCATCCATATACCAAATATGAAAAAAAGGGCAACTACTTTTAAGTACTCATTAAACTCAAAGACAAATACAAAATATAATGGGATTAAGATAAAACAAAGTATTACCTCACTTGCCGCTTATTTTAGGGCCTTTAGATTTCAATATGTTACACTGCCTAAGTCCTAAGATTTTCCTACTTGGATGTCTTGAGATGAACAGGAAAATCCAAGACTGTCCAACTTACTTGGACTGTAAACTCCATGAGGTCCGGGATCAAGTCCTCTTTGTTCTTTTTGGCATTGCCAGGTACCCATCTCAAGTTTTAGCTGATAGCAACGTTCACTAACTTTTAGTTAATTGAATTTACTTTTGGCTTAGTGAATGAGTCAAGAATAGCGTTTGGTTTCAAATTGACAGCACGCATCAGTGTAAAACCTTTATTGTGAAAGAACAGAGCCTCTAAGCTTAATGTCTAGACTCCAGAGCAGGATTTCTCGGCAGTTGTCCTGTTGGCATTTTGGGCCAGATAATTCTTTGTCATGGGGCTGTCCTGGTCACTGCAAGATGTTTAGCAGCATCTCTGGCCTCTACTCACTAGATGCCTGTAGAGCCACCGCTTCTCACCAAGGTAGTGACAACTTAAAATATCCCTAGACATTGCCAAATGTCCCCGGGGTGAGGGGAGCAAAATTGCCCCAGTTTAGAATCACTGCTCTAGAACAAGACCCAAAGGGCAGGAAGAAATTCACAACCAAAGATCCAGAAGCTTAAACAAACAATGAACAGAGAACTATGCAAGGAAGAGGGAAAGATGATCTTTGGATAAGAGAGAGAGAGACCTTTACTGATAATAAAGTCTACAAAGAAAACTGAGTGCCTAGGGGAATAATTGGGCTTTAACAACTGAAATACGAAGTTTGCCGCAAAGGAAACTCAGGACATTTTAGGACCCCATGCTACGATTAGGGGGTCAGAGTAACCGATGACTTGCAGAGGATTTAGGGGAGTGCTGGTTATAACTGTGGGATGGCTGTGGAGATGAAGGATTCAGGAGGAAAAAATGGTAGGAATGTATAAGAATTTCAAAGTGGACAGAGAACTGTATATAGGAATCAAGAGGTGTGCAGATTGAGGAAAGCCAAAAATGTAGAACATTTGTTATTTTTCCTCATGTCTTTAATTCTCAGCATGGCCGGTAAACTGTTTCTAGACATGAAAACTGGGCAACACAAAAACAGGATGATTTCATTCTCACTGGGAGTTAGATTGCTTTTAAACACCAAACTGGCACAGCATTGTCACCTAGGAAGGTGTGCAGATGGGAAGTAATCTTACTCAATAAAATCTAGGTCTAAAGAGGATACTTTATTCCTGTGCCCTGAAAATGCTATCCTTTCTATTTTATACTTACCTGAGGGCCTTGAGTGACTCCTGGGGTCAGAGGATTTCCAAGGATATACTTCTTAGCCCGCTCAACACTCCTTCGAACAAACTCATCATAAATTGATTCTTCCACAAAAATCCTGGATGCGGCTATACAACACTGGCCCTGGTGGTAGAATACCCCATGGTGTGCAAATTCAACAGCATTGTCCACTGCGAAGAAGACATTCACATTAAAGATATATTTTATAAAAATTATATATTTTATATGTTTCTCAGAGGCAACATGGAGATAAAGAAAAATTATGAGTTGTGTAGTCAGACATGGGCTCAGTATAGTTTACCTCCTACCAGCCAGGTGGCAAATTAATCTTTCTGATCCTGCATTTACCATGGAAAAAATAGAAACATACAGAATCTGAAAAAATAGTGGTTACTATTACAACTTTAATATGGACATCACCAAGAATGTAGATTTGATCATGAGACCAAATCTCTTTGGAAATGATTTATATAAATATCTCCAATTATATAATTAGATGATTGTGATTATTTCTTTCAGGCCCCAGATTTTAAACAGATAATAAAAAAAACCTGACATGTCTATCGAATTAAATAATTTCAAAAGATTCTTAAATACTCTACTCAACAGGAAATGTGATCTTTGTGGGAAAGAAAAACAAAATAAAACAAAAACAACTAAAAAGTAACAAAAAACACTAATACTCAGAATCACTCACTCACCTTATGATTTTATTCCATCAAAGACATTTTCAAAATCTATCTAAAGTATACCGTATTATTTCATATGTGCCTATAAACTCTTATTTATTTTAGGCGATAAAATGTGCATTAAAAGGAAGAAATAGGTTGCTTCCTTAGTAGACTCTAAACAAGAATAAAATTTTCTTTGCATTTTAATTTTCTAAATGCTGAAGATTCAATTCAATGTTATAGCAACTGGGTATGATTATTATTTATTTTGTGAACTAATTACATCTGCTTAAGTTGTAGCAGAAGCAGTTTATAGACAGTCTTAGTAAAATTAGAAATCTTTCATGTTTATAGAATATTTCATAAGGTAGTGTGTTCTAAAATACTTCAATTAAGATCAAAACAGCAACATAGGCTAATTCCATGAACCATTTGTATTTACAGCCTCTAACAGATAATGCAGTTGTGAAAGAAAAAAGAATGTTTGACCATGCATTTCTGCTAATTAACTTCTATTTAGGAAATAATTGGGAAATTCTACTTGGTAATATAATCAGAATGAACCTAAAATATTATATAGTGGGGTTATATCAAATTTGTAGGTTTAATGTACATAAACTCCACTATACTTGCTAGGAAAAAATATTTAAATATTAGGTATAATTTTCTTCTGATCATTTCATTTAATGAGTGTATGACCCAGAGTGAAGGGAGAGGGCAAATGTGAAACTGCTGTCTCCTCAGTTGGTCTCAATCCAAGTCCCATTCTGGAGTATCTCATTAGCTCAATGAAATGCTAATAATCACAGATATGGAATTTAAAAAATACACCATGGCATTTAAATGCAAAATGTTTACATCATCTAGGGTTCAGCTGAGGAAATAGCAATCTATTCTAAACGAGGAAGAAATTGTGTCTATTATCTATGTGTTATAACTTTAGGATGATTTAAGAGATTTTCAAGAGTAATTTTGGACTCTTTACACTTTGATGTTAGAAGCAAATGCTTTTTTTTTTTTTTTTTTTTTTTTGTAAAGTTCAAGTTCACTTTTGGCATTATCAGACACCAAAAACGATGAAGGACGAAAAGTTAACAAAGTGGTTTCTACTCACAGTCGGCATCAGCTAACACAATGCAAGGGCTCTTTCCTCCAAGCTCCAGGGTCACCCTCTTCAGATTGCTTTTCCCGGCAGCTTCTTTGATCAACTTGCCAACCTGAAAGGGAGCATTACAAAGGAGGAGGCTTACCCTGCTCTCATGAACACAGGTTGCTTTAGCATTCTAAATTTATGTGATGTTTGTGCCACAGTAAAATTTCATTTGGGAGAAACACCAAATGGCTTTTTTTTTTGAGACGAAGTCTCACACTGTCGACTGGGCTGGAGTGCAGTGGCGCAATCTCGGCTCACTGCAACCTCCGCCTCCCGGGTTCAAGTGATTCTCTGGCAAATGGCATTTTTAAAGATCTGGCACTTTTAGATATGTAAAGCTCCCTCATCCAAGCATACAGACATAAAAGGAATCAGAAAAATGCTGATTTTTCATCAGCAAGAAAGCAGAGATATAGAACACGGATAAGTGATATTGATGGCTACGGAGGTTATTTTTAATTTTAATCAGAATATCATCTTTCTACAGATTGATCAGACTTATCATGACCCAGTCGCAACTTAGCTATTTCATTTTTTATCCCTCTTCTGGCATCCAGATAACTCTATCCAGTCAAACTGACATATTCACTACCTCTTGAATCTCATCCTTCTTCTCATTATTTGTCCACCCCAACCTGGACTGCCTTCAAGTTCTATTTTTCTTAGGGGTCCAGCTCATATCTTAGCTTCTCCTTAAATCCTTCTCTGATGACACTAGGTCAGATGCTAGAAGAAATGACAGGACCATTTCTTTTTCTAGTCTCCCAAAAAACCTCATGAAGTCTCCTTCAGAGTCTGATCCAGATTGTATTATTTGTATAGAAATACATTTCCCAAATAGATTGTTAACTCTGTGGTAGCAGTAACAATAACGTATCACTGCATACCTCTCCTCATTAGTATCTATGACAGAAGGCTCATTTAATTGCGGATTGACAGTCGTCTCTCTATCTCTTTCTTTCTCTGTCTTCCCACCCAACACACACACCTTTGAACAGTGGAACTGGATGAAAGAAATGGGATCTGTGCAGCTACTTCAGTTAGCTGGAATCCTACAGTTCTGGTTTCTTCTTTAATGCTAGTTTTCCCTTTTCAGAGGAAGACTTTGTTTTCAATTATTTTTTCCTTTGTGGATCACTTCCCATCAAGATTATTTACTATAGTTGTTTCTGGTTTTTCTATCTCTAAAAACTTGGCTGGTTCTACAATTATTTCTTTTTTATTATTTGTATGGCAGCCTTAATCCACCAACATGTTCTTTGCCTTTCTTTTTTAAAGGCAATTCACTATTTTGCTTCTTTTATTTTCTAGGTTTCTTTTTTTTACTCTGCATGTCAGATTTTAATAAAAAGTTTCTATCCCAACTGAACAAGAGAGAAATAGATGTTTCGTGAGTGTATGTTTAGATTTTATGTGGTTACTGAACTAACTGCTACTGTGAATTACAGAATAGGGCATTAATATGCTAATGTTTTCCTCCTATTTAAATATTTTATGTTTCTAAATCAAACCCCTAAAAGATTAATAAAAAATAAATTAAAAGGAGATTTGCACTAGGGAAATCCTGTCTGAAATTTCTCTTATATGCCATTCTATAACACACTTCTTATGACCACTTTCAGAAACTGAATTTTCATTTAAGATGTTAAGGAGTTTTTAATTTTGTAGATAAAAAATTTACTTACCTGTCACCCTTTGATTTCTCTAAATTCTTTCTGAATTTTTTTTATTTGTTTAATTTAGGTTTACGGAAGTAACTCCATTAAAGTAGATAACTTTTGCCTTGGAGAAGGTAATAAAATCAAATATATTTTTGTAAAAGCTACAAACGTCAAAAGAACTAGGATGAAGAATGGTTAGAAGTATGAATGAGAAAGAAAGTCTACACTTTTGCTTAGCACAAGTTTAGATGGCAAATAAAAGGCTTGAGTTTTCCCAAAAGTCTAGCTAAAGTCAAAACAAAGAGACATTAATTTTTGTCTCATGATTTCATTCCCTTATTTGGAGAAAAGTAAACGTTTATCATTTTTCTCAAAGGAGTATGCAATGAAGAAAAGATAAGAACTATTAAGACTATGGCTAAACAGTGTATTCCATGATACTGTGGCATTGCCATGTGGAGCAGAAGTAGCAAATGCCCATGAAAATGGTCTAGCTTATTATGTCTTGCATAATGTGGGTAGAGTTCTATTTTATATGAATCTAATGGGATATTGCGGTGGCTCACGCCTGTAATCCCAGCACTCTGGGAGGCTGAGGCGGGCAGATCATGAGGTCAAGAGATCGAGACCATCCTGGCTAACACGGTGAAACCCCAACTCTACTAAAAGTACAAAAAATTAGCTGGGCGTGGTGGTGGGCGCCTGTAGTCCCAGCTACTCGGGAGGCTGAGGCAGGAGAATGGCATGAACCACGGAGGTGGAGCTTGAGCCAAGATCACGCCACTGCACTCCAGCCTGGGTGACAGTGCACGACTCCTCTCAAAAAAAAAAAAAAAAAAAAATTCTTACCTTGCCTAAAGTGTTGTTAGAATGGAGGGTCTTTGCTACAATGAACACAAAGGATACAGTCTATTGTTTGCCTCTTTCATGACATTTATCAAGTTCCTTAATATCTGCCAAGCAACAAATGTGAAGCTAAAAGAAAATCCAGAAAGAAGTTCCAGGGAGTATGGAACTAAGTTTCAGGAGTTGAAAGTAGGATGGGTTTTGTGGCTCCTAAAATCGTGTTATTCACATTTAATTCTTTTTTTTTTTTTTTTTCATTTTTTTTTTTTTAATTATACTCTAAGTTTTAGGGTACATGTGCACATTGTGCAGGTTAGTTACATATGTATACATGTGCCATGCTGGTGCGCTGCACCCACTAATGTGTCATCTAGCATTAGGTATATCTCCCAATGCTATCCCTCCCCCCTCCCCCGACCCCACCACAGTCCCCAGAGTGTGATATCACATTTAATTCTTTAATACTTATTTAGAATTTCTTACTGTGATGGTTTCTGGAGATAACAATGAATAAGACTGTCTTTGAGGATAATCAGCAAGAGAGAGAGACACATAAGGCAATAGGCATGCACTGTTATTATATGTGGTGGACAATGGGAACTCAGATGGGGTGTTTTAAAATTTAGGCTGCTCTGCTCCTGGGACTGTAGAGGCAAGGAGAAAGCCAGAGAGGGAACGTGTGGGAGCAAGTTTAGAGTAGGTTATGGCCAAGGATGAACTAAAAGCCTGGGGGAATGAAAAGATACATGGAATAATCAGGAAGAGATGGGGCAGAGTGGCAGAGATGGAGAAAAAGAAATATTGGGACAGGAAGCTTTTTTCTCACATTGTGTAAACTAGTGTGCGAAATTAAAAAGTATGGGAGGAAAGAGGAAATATGGCATGTACTGAGCGCTCAGTAGGGTGATAAATGTTTTACTACTCATTAGCTCATTTAATTGTATTCTGTACAACTCAGTAAATTTGATCTCATCTCCATTTTACAAATGAAGAAACTCAAATTTAGTAAGGCTACTTAACTTTTTAAAGACACACTGCTAGGAGGGGTAGAGTCAGAATTTAAACCAAGATATTTTCTAGACTTTTAATCTCCAGGGATTTTTTTAAGTAGGTAAAGTGCTCCCCCAATGTTATAGGGGATCATGGATGAGCGAAGACAAACTGATGCTGAAGATGAGATCAGCAAACAGTAGCTCCTGGTCCAGATGACCTGGAGAAGGAGTAGGCATAGGATCTAGACCAGGGTTGTTCAATCTTTTGGCTTCCCTGGGCTACATGGGAAGAAGAATTGTCTTGGGCCACACAAAAAATACACTAACAGTAAAGATAGCTGATGAGAATGAAAAAAAAATGTGTCGGGCTACATTCAAAGCCATCCCTGGCCATGGGTTGGACAGACCTCAACAGGCACATGGATTCCCTATTGGGGAGGGTCTAGAATTCTAGGCTGAGGAATTTTCACCTTTATTCCTCTGGTATGATTTCAACCTGTGGTGTCACCATTTTTAAATGTATTGCCATATCTTGAACATTCCCACTTGTTCTGTCTACAATAAATCTTGACTGTGGGGTTTGCTTTTCCCTATCTCAATTAGGGAGTTGCAGAATGCAAACTTTTTTTACTCTACGTCTGTGAAAAACAAAGAAGACATATATATATTTATTTACTTCATTTTAAAAAGACCAAGAAAAATAAAGTTTGATTTTCCACCATTTCTTTTTGCTATGTAAATTTGCCTTTATTCTGGAGTAAATAATTAAGATTATAAAATAATCAAATTATGCTCACCACACTATCTGGAATGTCTTTTTTGCTTCTCAACTTCCAGGAAGTTAAAAAAGTAACAATTCCTCAAAACCCAGAGCTAGTTCTAGTACCCATTTGGACATCATCATTCCTTCTTGTGAACCTTTTTTACAGCATTTTGTACATGCCTTAGTACCTTATCACACCCTGCCTGGTCTCTTGTTGTCAGCAGCTTTCTAAGATGGAGTGAAGCTCACTCTTCACTGTCTATACTGTGTACCAATGAATAACATTTTTGCACTGAGCATCTAACAAAGTCACGTAATTTAATAGAATGACTCAATAATTTTTTTTGCATGGTACAGTATGCTTCCACCACTTTCTTTTGCTTAGGATAGAACATCATCAATAAATGGGGATCTATTTTCCCAAACTTCACCTTCTAGTCTGCTCTCCCTCCTGCCCGCCACTTCTCCTTTGTGGTTGGGGTCTTTTTCTTTAACCTTTAGGATGGTCAAGTTCAAGCCAGAGAGGCAGAAAAGTTAGTCTAGGTACCACTGAGGGAAGCTGAGTTTCTGGCTCTCTTTCACAGTGTCCAGGAGAAAGACAACCCCAAATAAGGTGCAAAGGGTGAGACTCTACTATTTAATTTTCATAACCTATAGGATAAAATCATATTCATTCATACAAATCACTATGGCCTAATTTTCTATTATAAATCTTCCTAATAATATGACAAGGTCTCAGCAGCCATATTTCTCGTCAGAGAAAGTAATGAACATACTAAAAATAGTTTACTCTCATTCTGATTTAAAATAGGTGCATCATGTCATTCAAACTACATCTGCTTATATTCTATCCATATGTTTGAAGGCTAAAATAAGTAACAAATCATTAAAAAGAGTTTTTGTTTTAAAATTGTTGGCTCAAAAATAGTTACATAAAACATACTTCATAGCTGGCAATGCAGACATTCTTAACTTTTGCCCTGAGTAAATAATATTACCTCTGTTGATCCTGTGAAGGCTACTTTGTCTATATCCATGTGAGAAGAAATGGCTGCCCCTGCTGTAGGCCCATAACCAGGAACAATATTCACTACTCCAGGAGGAAACCCTGCCTAAAAGATAAAAAGTTTAAAAGTTACAGTATAAGAATTTAATTCAAAAAGGAGGAGAGTAGGGGATTGAGATTGTCTCTTAATGCCAACCTTATGAGATGCTCTAGAAAAAAATAATTCACCCAACTGGCTCTATTCTTTAGTCTTATTATGTCATTTCTAAGCACACATAAGAGAATAACTTCAAGGGTTGCATTATTAAAGGACAATTTCTTGTCAGGGTAAGTCCATACTCTATGAATCATTGCTCCAGTGATGGCTCTTTCAAATTTCATAATGCTAACTCAAAAAGATTGTATGTAAAAAAGTGTTTGGTAAGTTACTTATGTAGAAAGTAAGTAACATGTTTATTATTCCCATCAGCAAAAATAAGAAGCTGAAGGGATCTAACATTTTTTAGTTCCTAGCTGTTGTTGATTGTTGAGGGCATAACTGCTGAGTTGCAAATTCCCATTGGCATTACTTAGTAAATTGTTAAGTAAATACTGTCATCCCATTCATGATTCAACATCACAGGTTGATTTCAATCTTCATTAAAGAATTCAGGTGAAGGCATGGGAACTGAGTTGGGCACATTACAATTTCATGTTATTTGCATCGAAATGTTTCATTTTGACATCTCTTTTCCCTGTTTTTAATTTCAATAAATAATATCTTTAAAAGATAAGTTCAGTTTTGTAACTTTAAGTTTCTAGTGATTAACATTTATTTTTTAAGATTTGGTAAGATGAAGAAAAAAGGACAATGAATTGTTTGCAAGTATATTAACACAATCTAGATAGCTGATGAAAATGTTTTACATGTTCTTTTACTGTTTTTGAACAGGAAGATAAATGCAGAGGAACTCATAATAGAAAACTGAATATAAACATATCCACTCATGAGTAGATTGAAAAGTGTTTGGAAATAATGTGGCCCAATATTACAAACAAGCATATTGGCATAGAGGCCCTTTCAACCTTACATAGATTAGTTTACACAATTTTGCAGAAAACACTAGGCCATCAGTGGCAGGTACAAACCAACTTAATGTTTCAACATTTGAAAGAATGCTACATTAATTTCAACATGAATTTATGTTCATGAGAGTTGGACAAAGAAGCAAAAATGTGATCCCAAGTTGACTGTTTGACACCAAACCTTTGTGTTTGGCTTCCTGTCTGCATTTGGGCAGAGATGAATTTGGGGTGACTGCCAGAAATTGCAGCCAGCCGTCATGCTAAATGTATTCCCCCCACTGGACAGGAGCCATCTGTAAATAATGTACTTTATAGTAGCAACAAATGAGGTCTTCCTATTGTAATTTAGGATTCTTGAGTTCTTGAGCATATTTTGATTTCGGGAGACTTACCTCTTTTATTAAAGATGCCACGTGGAGAGCAGTGAGAGGAGTTTGCTCTGCTGGTTTGACAACCACTGTGTTTCCACAGCTCAGTGCAGGCCCTATCTTCCAAATGAGCATAACCAACGGGAAATTCCACTAGAAAGCAATATGTAACAATAGATTCTTTGTATTGCAAAAGGCATATTTGCTAATCCAACTTCCATATTATACACCCCCTGTAGATGTTATGTAATAATTGCGTAGTTTTGTGAAATCATCTGGCATATTATACTTCATTGCTAAAAGCAACTAGTAAATGCTAAAACGCTCTGAATAAACCAGATATGAGATATGAGAAGGAAATAGGAGAGAACCTCAAAATTTAATCAAGTACTGTTGAGTTCTTTTTCTACCAGGAAAAAAAAAATCACTGCATGGTTTGGCTTATTATGGAGCACACTGTAAGTTATCTAAAAATGTTTAAAAAGGATGATTACTCTCCTTCTCCATAAGTCATTTATTGTAATTATTTACCCAATAATATTATTTAGTAGCTTTTATTTCCAGGAAAAATACCTTGCTAAAGACAAAGATGTCCAGGGTCCAGAGGCCAAGTACTTGGGTTCAAATCTCAGCTCAATCACTGACCAGCCATGTGAACTCACACAGGTTACGTGCTCTCTGTATCTGATTTCATAATCTGTGAGTGCTGATAATAGTCCTCTCTGCCTCAGAAGGCTGTCTTGAGCATTAACCAAGAAAGAGGGCCAGGGGCTCAACACAATGACTGGTCTAGCATAGACAAGTAGTACATATCAGCTATTATCAGTGTTCATAATTATATAGTTTTTATCGATTTATTGGGACTTTTGAATTAATAAGCAATTTCACTAAAATATTGATATGAATATATTTCAATCTCATTGGAGCCAAAGATAAGTCTTGACCATTTCTTCACATAAGGACTTCGCTACCATTTTTTTGTTTGGCCTTTTAAAGCATGTCAGTTAAAATAAAATCATTTAGATAGTGTCCTGTTTGTTGGGCTTAAAAAATCTTCACAATCCTCTTAAAAAGGCTACTTTCCTCTAAGAGTAATATGGAGGATCTGAGCCTCTTATCTAAAGGTAAAATATATTCCATGCAGTGCTTCAAATGCCTCTGGTATTCTTTTTTCCATTTTGATTAAAAAATGTGTGTCATGAGTTGAACACTCTGGGAGCTACTGTTCTGCATGATGAGATGTCTCAATGAGAAAGTGCGTTGGAGAATAGTAGGCCCCACTACATTCCACCAAAATGCTATCCTGCAGATGTGCAGTGGAGAGCACCTTGCCATATACATGTAAAGCTTGGCTCTTATAAAGAGTACATAATACAACTTTTAATAAAACAACCCATAGAGTAAAGGGTTAACATTTATGGATGATGTAGTATTAAAACATTCTCAAGAGATATGCCAGAATATAGATAGGTTTTCGGACTACCTAATTCATATGCAAGAAGTTTAGTCACAGGGAGACCAAGTTCAACAAATCTTACATTTACTCCACATTTAACAAATACATAAGCATCCATCTGTTTTAGAGAAAGCTTCATCATTAGATAGAATAAGAACTCTTCTTTTTAAAATTGAGAATTATATAGGAGAAAAGCTTACAGGAATGATTTGGCCACATACACCAATAGGTTCATGTCTTGTATATGTAAAAAAATTTCCATCTGAAAAATAAAACACACACAATCATATATAAACAAATGTATTTGACATTCACAAAATGGTGGTTGGTGATGTGAGAGAAAGGTGTAGACAATAATTTTAAAAACATATATCTGGCCAGGTGTGGTGGCTCACGCCTGTAATCCCAGCACTTTGGGAGGCCGAGGCAGGCAGATCACGAGGTCAAGAGATCGAGACCATCTATATCTCCAACTATTCCCAAAATGGTAAGTGAAGCCCTAAAATAGTAATTCGAAATGATAGGAACCATAAAATTGAGTTAGGTGAAATCAAAGAGGCAAAATTGGCAAAAATCTGAAAGATAATTAATTCCACCTTTCATCTTCTAGGAGGCCTGATTTGAAAATTATCTTTATTCTCTAAGTGTTATAAAAAAGGGACGAGAAAGGAAGTAGGAGGTCTCTGGCGAAGAGAAGAACCACATTCCAATTTGTTTCTGGTAGCTCAAAGTTCTACCAATAAGAGAATTCTTTTTAAAAGTTATAATATAATTTTTAGAAATAGTAAAATTAAAAACAGTAGAATTAAAAAGAAAATCTCCCTATGAGTAATAAGCCTTTCCTACTGACTTGTTCTAAAATGTATTTTATTTGCCTACCAAACAATAATAGCAAATTCTCTAAATACATGAAGAAAATGACAGGAGTATAAGACATTTATTTTCAATCTAAATTTGACCAATTTATGTGCCCCGAAGTTTAATGTGGTCATCCAGAGAGATACATTATGCTTTACATTCAATTCTGTTCTAGTTCCCACAGAAGCTTCCTGGTTTCAGCAAGGACTCTCTTCATCAAGATCTATTTGTGTTTTAAGTGACTTCTCCCATTTTGTCCCGGAGTAAAGTAGGACAGTTCTAAAGTAGCCACATTTCTTAGTACCACCGAGGTCTTACTCTCCTCTCAACTTTCTGCTATCACTTCTGACCTCCTGCATGCTCCAATTGGATTGGAAGTGCACATCAGGGCCAGTCCTGGAGGGTATTGTATTCCTAAAGTTCATAGGTTTGCCTGAATTAAATTCCACCCATACTGTTTCCTAAATGTGTGTGTTTTCATGTTTCACATGAAATATCTTTAGTATTTCTACTCCATTATGTGCATACCCCACTAAAATAACACATACGTACAGATTCACACACACAAACCCTTAACTTAGGCTGCAAACACAGTCCCATCTTGCTTTGAAGATATTTGAAACGAGTCCGTGTGAACTGGCTTGTTTGATTAGTCTGGTCTAACTACACTGAGTTTGACCAGGCACAGATGACCATAACTGACTTATACTGGAACATGTAAAGAGGCTTAAATAATTACATTACAGAAAGGATATAAATGTCAGTATTGGAATAAAACCCAAATAAATAATTTCAGAGGTCAGCTTTAAAAAGTTTGGGACCTTAGAGAGGCAATTGCCTCAGATCAGTAATTACTGCCAAAGGAATGTTCTTACTTTGACATTTTCTAAAATATCTATAATGTTATCTTCATGATTATGCTGAAACAACTTTAAAAGACCTTTTATGAATTTTAATAGAACTTCTAAGTTGAAAACTGTGTTGTCTCAAAGTCAAGAGGAAAATAATTTTGCCTTATTTGGTTGACATCTTTAAAAGGGAGAGTTTGAAATTATTCAGCTCTATAGTAAACTCCTCGCTCCTATCCTCACCATTAGTGGTTTCTCAAAGATACTTACCAATTGGTATTGTACGGCCCTGGATCTTGTCAGCCCAACCTGCACAGTAGCGCAATGTTTTGATGCAGCCTGCTAAATCATTCAGATATGCATTGGAATAGAGTTTTCCACCATTCATTGACTCCATTGTCTGAAAAACATGTCAAACACCAAATCTAAAATTCCATAAGTTTTAGATTAAAAATATGTAGTAAATATTTTCAGCAATCATGTGCTAGGGAATTTTTGAAATAGAAGAAATCTTGTCATCTTGTCTAACCTCCACTTTTTAAGAGTTAAAATGACTTCCTTTAGGTCAAATAGCAAGATCTGGGCACAAAGGGTAGTGAGATTCTGATTTCTAAACCCCAGTGCTCTTTCTATCTCATTTTGATGTTCTCCTGCTAACCAGCTTTCTAGGAATCGGTCACAATTTGATATACACATAACATCTGAGAATGAAACCTAGTCTTCTAAGTCCTATCAGAATTCCAACAAGGTTTCTCTTATTTTGTAATCAACTGTGGGTGACAACTTAGTGTCAGTGACTATTAATGATGGCTCAGTAATCATTTTTAATTTTTACATTCCATCTGGATATACACAGTCTACTCACACAAACTTAAGTAATGCCTGGATTTTTCATCCATGAATTTCCTTCAGCAGAATTTTAATTAGGAAACTACCAGTGTTGCCATTATTGTCATAATTGCCGTTTTAATGGTCAGGTAAAGTTAAACATTTTCTAGTCATGTGCCCTAACCATTATAAGATGACCTATCTCCCCTTTGGCTTCTCTTCTTAAGCAGGACCTTAAGCTCTTTGAGATCTAATATTCTGCTGGGGTGGTTACCTGGCAGAAATGCACAGGTGATGAACTGTTAAAGCTATTTGTTTCTGTACTACACTCTCTATCATGTCAAAATTTAACCAAATGTGACTTTTGTATGCCTGTACTTTTCTCTCTATAGGATCTTATGCTGACAGGCAGTCAACAAATCAGATAATTGAGAAAAGCCAAGTTTTAGCATTTTCTGCTTTCTTCCTACAGGTCATTTTTATTACTATAGTTTTATTGCACATAGCTGCTCGTTCTGAATTTTTGTGTATTTCAAATTATGTTGAATATTTGAGTAATAAATGGTCCTTTGATTAACCATACTTGCTATTAACCATACATGCTAATGTTGATTTTTTAAAAATGTAGACTTCTTTGTTACTGCCACTTTCAGATTCTAAAGATGAAATTTGCTTGAAACCTGATCTTGGTATTTGTTTATGTTAAATTGGCTTCATCATAATGCCCAATTGAGACAACAGAAACAAGGAAATACCCTCCCCCAACTATATTATGCTCTGACTCATCTAACTGCTAAAACATAAACAAACAAAAATAGTATTCATAAAAACATGATTTTGATAAACCACATTAATAATTGGATTTTTTTTATTTTTTGCCTCTTTCATCTGTAAAAAGAACATCATTTAATTATGACCCTTGTGAACAGACACATTTCAGGAAGAAAAAAAGTAGCCATTTATTAAATATCTTAGCGAGCTAGACTAATGAGAAATAAGATTTATTTTAGAGAAATATTTTGGGCACCCTTAACAAACTTGAGTTTTTCCATCAAAAGAGCTCAGTGGTCAAATGCTTGAATAAACCTAATATATCATTCTAGGAGACTCAAACTTCATGTGATCTTATTGAAACCTCTGAGAAGTTTTAAGGTAAAGAAATTTCTAAAATTTGGTTTAACTTGGGTTTGCTAAAGTTTAGACCGTAGAATCTATTATGGGAGCAGAAATTAACATCATCCAGAATTGAAATGCAGATTACTATTTGAGAATAGTTCAATGTTAAGGGGCCTATTCATTGGGACAAAAAATGTTTTCATTTTGTTTGTAGAGAGCATATAGTGATCCCTAAAATCAAAACAACTTGCCATTTCAAACGCTGAATGCTTTTGAGAGCTCTAGCTACCCATCCAGCTTGGATAATACTCACCGCCAGCAGCAGACGATCTCTTTCGATTAAATCAGCCAACTTGTATAATAGTCGCCCCCTCTCGGAAGCATCCATAGTACGCCACGGGGATCCAATCTGAAAAGCCTGTCTTGCGGCCTTCACTGCCTTGTCAACATCCTCCTGTAAGTCAACAGGAATTCAATTCAGTAAGCTAAACATATTAGGCAAGCAAATTTAATGCCAATAACCCTGTAAAATAGACTGTAGTGCCTCATAAGCAGGCACTGTGTCTCCATTATCCCAAAGTCTAACACATTGCGCACATTCAACTACTGTATGTTGGAATTACTCCTGCTGAATAATCTTTACATGATGAGCTCCACGTACCTAGCACATGCTGGATTTCCTAGAATATAAGTGTTTTATGATTTTAATAGTTGCTATCATCTGAGTGCTTGCCCTGTTTCAAGTAATGTTCTGATGACTTTATACCTATTAGCTCATTTAATTCTCATTAATTTTATGGCACAAATATGTTCCCTGTTTTACAGATGAAGAAACTAAAGCAAAGAGAGACGGGAGCTTTGCTCAAGGTTAATAACTAAAAGTGGCTGAACTGAGTTTTAAAGGGAGCCCATCTGATTGTAGAATCTTTGCTGTTTACCACACATTATACTTTCTTAGTGACTGGGTTACAGGAATTCCAGGTCAAGCTCAAGATCCAAAATAATGAATATCTTCCTTGGTCTCTGGTGACTCAACAGCCTGTCCACTTTCATGAAGAGCCTATTGAAGGGTGAATAAGAACTTTGCTTTGCTGTTGAAGAATAAACCTTAGAAACATGTGCTCATTCCTCTTGTGCAGAGGGAACAGGGCATGGAAATAGTGGAACTAATAGAGTAGGATGTGCATGTGACAACCTCTCATTTCCCAACTGGGTACAAAGAGATCCTTTTAAATCCCTAATCCGATAAAGAAGTCAGTTTCTTATTAAAGATGCATGGCTTAAAACTACATTAATTCAAGTAAAAGTCAAAGAGTAAAGTGACTCCACATTCAGTGTAGCCTCCTGTCCTTCACTCTCATAGTGCCTTCACTCAATTTCTTTCTCTGTTGTGTTTTTCTACACCAGATATATTCTCTGGTTCTTTTGCAATTCACCTCAGTTACAAATATTGCCCTGACCACTCCACTCCCCTGCAGATCCCTGTTCAGACCTCTTCTGAGCTCTTACAGAACATACCTACTACTACTGCAAACACCATAAAGGAATATATCATTCCAGTGTTCTTTTGTACATAGAACTGGCCACTACATGGAATTGTATAGCTCCACAAATAGTGGCTATATCACAGGCCAGTAGGTTGCAATATTTTGCAGGAGACACAATTCCCTTTAAGAATTGGGGGAGAGAAAAAGTAATGACCCTAGATTTTTTTAAAAAATTGTACACAATTAAGCTAAATCCCATCTAAGGAGATATCTTCCCCTCAAATGGACCTCAAATTAACATCCTCCTCCTTAGGCTATATTCAATCAAGAAGACCCACACTTACAAGTCTGTGAATTAAAATACAAAAAAACTATTCTTCTAGTATTTATCACCAAAATAATATGATCTGGGGCAAGAGAGATATTTTAGAAGCACAATCTGGTCTGATTAAGTAATAATATTTACTGACTACAAGCAAAGATTCTTTCAGTGTAATACATCACACACTGATATATCTCACTGTCTAACTTTTCAGAGAATGATGATATATACAAAATATATGTATTTATTGCCTGCCTTTCCTGAGAAATACATATACAGTGCATATTTGCGGCATTCAGTTAATCACATTGATTGCTTATATTTAGACATTGTTTCATGCCACACGTTCTAACTTTTTCCTAAATTTACAGAGCACTGTTTGAAAAAAAGAAAAAGCAAACCACAAAAATCTGAGATTGTCAGCATGATCTGTGGATACCAGAGCTTATAAAATACATGCTGGTCTGTGTTTAAACAGATCTGTATGACACAGCTTTCATTTGGATCTTTCTGTTCAGTGTCCTGCTATTGGTCTTAGCCAAATATGGGCTATCATAGGGATCTTGGCCTCCCAAAGGGATACGGAGAACTGGCTTCAAGATAAGTAACTCTCCCATATGGAAAGCACATCCCTAAAGAATGCTGCTATAAATAAAGATGTTCTTATGATTATGTCCTTTGGATCATGCGCCCCCTTTTCTCACATCTTATATGTAATCTTGCAGATGCAGAAATACAGTAATGTTAGTTAATATATAGTTTGATATGAAAACAACCCAGATTTGAATTCTGATTCCTCTTCATTAGCTGTGTAAACCTTGAGGCATCTAACCATTCATCCCTCTAGCTAAAGGTTTGATAAATATTCGACTCTGCAGCATTCTCATCATCCCTCCGCTAAAGACAGCAGAGTGAAGTAAGAAGATTGTCCTTTTGGAATATTCAATCAAATGGGAGAGACATACAATCAAATCACTATCCCAAAACATTATTATAAACCATGAAATATGTTGTGGCATGACTTCTCTAAGGTTCAGCTTTCTTTTCTTTAAAATCAAGGTATGTTGCTTGGTGTGGTGGCGTGTGCCTGTAGTCCCAGCTACCCAGGAGGCTGAAGTGGGAGGATCGTTTGAACCTGAGAGGTGCAGGTTGCAGTGAGCTGAGATTGCACCACTGCACTCCAGCCTGGGTGATAGAGTAAGACCCTCATCTCAAAACAAAAAAAAAAAAAAAAAAAAAGAAAAAGCAAGACAAAAGAAAAAAGAAATTGGGGTATGTTACCTCACAGGGTTGTAATGAAGATTAATAAGATAACATTTAAACATTTTCTATGTTAGAACATTATGTATTATTCAATGGTGGCAATTGTTACTGTTGTCCTAGCAGTTAAAACTTTAAATTTTAATATAACTCTCAGCAATTTCTCCCTCTCTCAATAGAGGGAGATTCACTCTGTTGCCTAGGCTGGTGTGCAGTGGCACAAACATGGCTCACCAAAGCCTAGACCTCCTGACGAGCCTCAGGTGATCCTCCCACCTCAGCCTCTGGAGTAGCTGGGACTACAGGAGTGCATCACCATGCCCATCTAATTGTTTATTTTTAGTAAAGATGAGGTCTTGCTATGTTGTCCAGGCTGGTCTCAAACCCCTGGGCTCAAGTGATCCTCTCACCTTGACCTTCCGAAGTGCTATGATTGCAGGCATGAGCCACCGTCTGCCTAATTTTTTTGTAGAGATGGGGTTTTGCCATGTTGTCAAAGCTGGTCTAAAATTCCTGGGTTCAAGCAACCTGGCTGCCTTTGCCTTCCAACGTGGTGGGATTACAGGCACACAGGGATTATAGGTGTGTATTGCTGCACCTAGCAAGTTCTAATGTATTTTAATCCTTCCTTTCAGTTTTCACTGCTCTGAACAATTTTAGGCCCTATTATTTCATATTGTCAATGCTGTCTCAAGTTCATTCTCTTCTCTCCTCAAACTATCTTGGCTACTATCACCAGGCTAATCTTCTGCAAATAATTTTATCTTATCACTTTGTCTTTCAAATGTTTACACCTGTTCCCTTTCATCTACAATCTCAAGGTCAAAGTCCTCCCTGGTTTTCAAGGCCCAGGATTTTCAGACCACATCTCACCTATCCAAACTTAGTGTTTACATTTTTTCTACTCTATCTGACCCAACTCCTTCTTACTTTTGTGTCTGTAGTTCTCCTTGCCTAGAATATTATACCAGTATACTCCCTTACTTTCTAAATCCTATATATACTTTAAGACCCAGCTCAAATATCAATCTACCTAAAACCTTGCCAGACTAGTCCAGCTTGATGATGGCTACTAGCTAAGAGCCTACTAAGCTCCAGGCACTAAGGAAAGTTCTTTAAAGCCCCATAGTTACTATTACTATTAAGTATCATGAGCCTTGGTTTATAAATGAATAGACTATGGCTCATGGATATGAAATCTAGCAGACAGTAGAATCAACCTTTGATCCCACATCTGACTACAAAATCTAGTTCTTACATCTCTGTAAGGCTGCCCTAATAATGACCTCCTTTGCAACAAATATATACTGCTATTTGTTTTGTAAACTGTAATATTTCTTACAATTCTGGGTCTACAATGGGCAATAAATAAATTTTGAATAATTTGGTTACCTGTTTTATAAACTCATCATGTTGTACTGATTTTATATAAGGGGTGCCTTACATAATTAATTTAACTACATTGGCATTTACATAATAAATCATATTTTAATAGATTCCATGATACAACAAAACTTATACATTATTCAAAAACTGTTAGACATAACAGTTATTGTTTTCTTAATTCCAGGACTAGCATTTTTTAAATTTTTATTTCAGAACTGGAATTTTCAGGGATATAATTTTTTAATTAAACAGAAAACAATTTGGTACATTAACTCAGATTTGCCACCATCAATAACAATTTTGCTTATAGCACTGAAAATGCTCCTTTTTTTGAAGTAAGGGCCACAAGCTGAATGTAAAAAGACAGTTCAAATGATGATGAGATATCAAATGCCTCCTAAAGCACAGTTAAGGAAGGACTGAACTCTTCCATCACTCCCAGATGGTACATTTCCATATTAAATTCATTCAGAGATGGAGAAAATAGTTATCAGACCAGTTTTACTTTTACACATGTCAAAGGCACTTACTTTAACGGACATTTACTTTTATCCCCACCAATTATTTGTTAGGTCATGCCTTAGTATTAAAAGCAGTTTTCAGGATTAGTCAATATAGCCTAAAAGAACCACTGAAGTGAAAAGAAAACAGTTCCCACCCACATCTGTACTTTGCTTTGTAACCTCCATTTGTTCTTGCCCTTCCTCTTTTCTTTATAATACCGTTGAAAGGCGGTATGTAGCCCATTGTTAGCCCCATTCTACTTACAAATTAAATCCCTAAAACCTCTTGGCTCATTATCTACAGAGTCAGATACAGCATATTAGGTTTACTGTGACTATGTAATTTACTAGATTTGTACCTTTCACTAAGCAATGTCGGAGTTTACTATACATTTGTCGGCAAAATTGTGGGAAGAGCAATAATTATTTAAAAATATGTTTTAAAATAATTCAAAAAAGAATGTGATGATAAGAGTGCTAGATGTTCAAACTGGTTTACCATGAACAGTTTATACCATCAACATTTTAGTTTTAGTAACCAGTTGACCAGCCAACTCAGTTGGCATTGTGACCTGATTTGAAGCTTGGGTAGATGTTAATGAGCATCCTTGATCTCTTGGGTAAGCAATAGTAATTGTCAAGAAGCACAGAGCAAATCAGTGGCAAACATTTCTAAGTCTTCCAGTATGATCATTAGCTTTCCCTTACTATACTTTAGGAAGGAGGTAAATCCCACAAACTTCACTAAGAAAAGTCCTCAGACTGCCTGACAAGGTTTCAACTGGAACTTTGGGCATAGAGATTTGTTTTCCTAATAAAATTAATCCCAGTGGCAAAGGTCGATGTTCAAGGCTCCAGAACTAAAACATCAATAATATTTTTCTGTTTGTTAGTTGCAAACTGCAAACAGATCTGGCCTTCCTCTTGAATGGAGAGAGAAAGTATGTAGCTCTCAAGGGCTCACTCTGTCCTTGCCCTTTATTGCTTTTCTCACCTTCCCAGGCCTGCTAGAGCCACTCAAGCAACTAGAGGAACATTTGAGGTGGTGGTGTGTGGATCTCCTGAAGTCTCTGATAAAAGGCGTTCATTCTTCTTTGAAAGGTGAAGAATAAATTTCTCTCTTATTTCTGGGAATGGCTTATAGGGCACAGGCTTCTGGGGCTCCTATAGACCTTGCCAGGGATGATCAGTATTTCTATGCCCAATTTTGGTTTGGTAGCATTTCAGAGAGGTGCAGAGTGATCACCACAGTACAGTTTTCAATCACTAACTTTCTTAGGTGTCAAAACTCTTTGACCCCTGTTAAATGTTAACGCTTGAGAGGAGATACAACTTAACAGCTTAACACTTTAGTTCGGTGGTTCAAGATGCATTCCCTCACCTCCTTCCCAACCAACAACATCAGCATTACCAAAGAATTGATAAAAAATGAAAATTTTCAGGTCCCATTCTAAGATTATTGCAGTGAAACCTAGGGGAAGGTGGGGCTCAGCTATCTGTGTTTTAACAAGCCTTCCTGGACATTCTGAGACAGGCTAAATTTTGAGAATGTCTGCCATAGCCAATAGTCAGGTTAGTACTAAATTCCTAAGGTGAGGAATGTGGAATGTATGGAAATTCAACACTTGATGAAAAAGAAGACTACTTCATAGATTTATAGAATATACTATATCTATAGTATAGTATATCTATCGAATATAGTATAGCATACTTATAGGATATACTATATCCAGAAACCAAGGATATAAATGAGAGATGCAGTGTTGATCTCTGCAAGAAGCATATTGTCTCAGACAAATTAACCTATAGCTGTATAATACAAAGGTTATAATACAGGCAAATACAATGTCCTATAACCACACAGAAGAGAGTAAGTCTGCTTGAGAAGGTTAGAGAAGGCTTTAAATAAGTATAAAACCCGGGCATGACTGAAGGTTTAGGATATGCCTGGCACCGTTGAAGAGCTCTATATATTTAACTCCTCAAGCATTTTCTATCTCCTCATTTTACATGAAAAAGAACAGAATCTCAAAGAAGGTTAAGTACAAACATTGAAAATCTACGCTCTTACTATAGATGGTGACTTGAACTAGGTCCTGAGGACTACACTGTGGACATGTACAGAGGCAGTGACTAGCAAGCAATTGTTGGGGATGGACACTGGGCATGACGAAGTTGAAAGTCTTAAGTTAATGCGGTGGCCTGGGAAAGAGGCCATAAACAAAGGTTGAGTAATATTATAAAGGACCTTTGTTTGTGCACTTTTTCCCACAGACAGTGAGAAGCAGAATGGAGAATTTATGCTTTGGTGAACTCTTCAGTATAAAGAGTAAATCTGAATCTGAAAGCCAGTGACATTTGTCATCATTTTATTTTGTTTCTACTTCTCAAATTGTTAACCCCTATGGTTGAACTCCGTACTCCTGTGGCTTGAGACTTCGGTCTTACTTGTTTTCATCATACTGAAATCTGAACCAAGGGCCTCTCCTAAATCTAAAAGGGCCCCCTCAGGTCTGTCACTATCTTGGAATAAGTATCTGCATGGCCCAGTACGTTGAGATTTGTGATCTCATTTACTGGGGCTAAAGTAATGGAAAAGACTGGGCAGGAGACTGGCAGGAACATGTGATCGCTATAATTAACTAAAACACATTGTCATGAATAATATTATCCTTGGGTGTTGCTGACTTTAATTTCCCAGTAGTCTTTTCCTGCAGCAATAATAATAATAATAAAATAAAATAAAACATTACTTCTTTACAGAAATTTAAAACTTGGCAACCCCTGGGCAACTAAAGAGCAGAAAAATCATTTCAAATTAGACTTAGAAACACTTACGTGTTCAGAAAAATATTCTGAAGTTTTTTACTCTCCTCACCCAGGAGGAGAATAAAAAGTTTATTTAATATTATGCTATCTAATTTTTTATTTTTTATTTTTTGAGACGGAGTTTCGCTCTTGTCACCCAGCTGGACTGCAATGATGCGATCTCGGCTCACTGCAAGCTCTGCCTCCCGGGTTCAAGTGATTCTCCTACCTCAGCCTCCCGAGTAGCTGAAATTACAGGCATGCGCCACCATGCCCAGCTAATTTTTGTATTTTCAGTAGAGACGAGGTTTCACCATGTTGGCCAGAATGGTCTCAATCTCTTGACCTTGTGATCTGCCCGCCTCAGCCTCCCAAAGTGCTGGGATATCTTACTTTCATAATAAGAAAGACTATTTAATTTTTTTTTTTTAATGGAGCTTCACTCTTGTTGCCCAGGCTGGAGTGCAATGGCACTATCTTGGCTCACTGCAACCTCTGACCCCCGGGTTCAAGCAATTATCCTGCGTCAGCCTCCCCAGTAGCTGGGATTACAGGAACCCACCACCATGCCCAGCTAATTTTTGTATTTTTAGTAGAGGTGGGGTTTCACCATGTTGGTCAGGTTGGTCTCAAACTCCTGACCTCAGATCATCTGCCCGCCTCGGCCTCCCAAAGTGCTGGGATTACAGGTGAGAGCCACTGCGCCCGGCCAACCCTATCTTACTTTCATAATAATCACAAAGTGAAGCAGTAGCCCTACTAGGCACAGGTTATAGTGTCAGAGGAACAGCATTTTAATGTTGAGGTTATTACTTATTAGCAATGTCACCTTGAGTAAATTACTCAGCCTTTCTACTCTGCCATCTCATCATTATTTGTAAAAATGACTCAAAATAGTACCTGCCCTATAGGGTTGCTTTAAGTTTTAAATGAAGATAGCATTTAGAACTTGAGAACAATTTTCACTAAATAAAAACTGGTTTTTGTTGTTTCTATTATTAGCTGGAAAATAACAACGCTTGTAATTTGTTAGTCAATTTAAGTTATTCTATAATATAATTTTTACAGGTGTTGAATAATAATATTAATGCAGTGATTTTTAATAAAATAACTTAGTAATATATTGTTCTAAAAGTTCTATAATAACTTTTAGTTTTATCTAGCAACATAAAAAGAACAATTTCATATGAATAAAGCATTTCTCTCCTTTTTCCTTTTCTTTTTTTTTTTGGCTGGAGTGCAGTGGTATGATCTCGGCTCACTGCAACCTCTGCCTCACGGGCTAAAGCAATTCTCCTGCCTCAGCCTCCTGAGTAGCTGGGATTAGAGGCATGTGCCACCATGCCTGGCTAATTTTTGTATTTTTAGTAGAGACGGTGTTTCCCCATGTTGGCCAGGCTGGTCTCGAACTCGTGACCTCAAGTGATCCAACTGCCTTGGTCTCACAAAGTGCTGGGATTACAGGTGTGAGCCACAGCGCCCAGCTGAAGATTTCTCTACTTTATAACCTATGATCAATCCCTTCTTATATAGTCTGTAAAATAAATCTATATACTATTTCAATTGAAAATAAAGGAAAATGATGTGAAAAAAAATCACCATGACACCCAGAAGCACAGGTTTATCATTATTACATAACTACAGAGCATTTTTTTTTTTTTTGGTAACAAGGACAACTTAGACAATTTTCCTAAGCTGCCCCAGAAACCATATTTTCATGGCATGTCTTTTGGAGCTTGCAATGGGGTTCAGGAGCTCAGAATGGCAAAAAACCAAGAAACCTGGCATAAAATGAAACTAGTGTTCAGAAACTCACCTTATCTCCTTCTTCTACCTGGCAGAGCTCCTCCTCAGTTGCAGGATTAAAGACAGGAAATTTCTTGCCACTCACTGAATCATGCCATTCATTGTTTATGAAGATCTGTAGAGATGAAGAGAAAATACATACAAGGCGCTTAAATATGCAGAAAATTTTGGAAGTTTTCATAAACTTAAACTAAAGCATTTCACCATGCCTAAATGATGCACATCTCTTCACCTCTCAAAACTTTCTGGCTGTTTGAGACATTTTGTGTTCACATGCATAGACATGTACTAAAATGAAGTACATAATGCTTTTAAGTTTAAGGTATGCAATCAGTTCAACACTAGAAAATACATACTGGAGAAAACAATCTAGAAAACAATGCTTTTACCTGAAATGGCCATGAATTTGAGGCAAAGCAAAGGCTTTTGTGGGCTTGGTCTTTATTAATGATTGCTTCTATTTTCCACTTTAAATTCTGAACATCCTCATTTTCGGCTACTGGTGATTTGGAATCATAAGAGACTATTTTCTAATCCTTTAATGTTTTAAAGTTAAAAAAAGAATTTTGCTAAAGGATTCTAAAAGGAGTTCACTTAGAGAAAATTAGCTAGTCACATTGTTTCATTGGCTTTTTAAAAGCATATGGTTTTATTCTCCTTTTCAAAAGATTACCTGGTAATTTCGTTGTCTTCAGACAAAATCAGGAACAAGATTTCTTAATGGTAACTATGAGAAATAGACATGCAACTAAAGAAACAGTAAGCACTAAAAAATATGAAATTTTGTCTGTGTGTACTATAAAATAGAAATACTTAAAAGCATCAGTATGTCATTTAAAACATCTCAGTTTCAACTTTCATGTCACTGAATTTGTCTTTTCTTGAGGAGCCAGCTTTCACATTTCTAATTATTTGAAATATGAAAACAATCATAAATACAGTCTTGGATAGTATATAACTTTCTGTTAGACTTATGACAAGATGGACTAGTTTATTCTATTTTGAATCAGAGGTAGCTAACACAGGGAGTAAAGGAAGGTGACATATGTGCTGGATTATAACATATATCCTAATTCAGACATCCCTTCTTACTGGATATCTAAAGATAAGTTATTAATAGTTCAACCCCGAGGGAGAATGTAATGAAACACTCCTCCAAGGTTTAAATTAGCTACTATGCTAAATGCAAATTACTTATTTATTAAAAATTCCCCGGTGATCACTAGCATAGCTTAAAATTCTATCAGAGTAATAAAATGTATATTACTATATATCCCTAAATGCCTGAATATAATTCATTCTATATTCTGTGATTTATTATTTAGACAAAATATACTTCCCTGGTCTCCTCTATACTTCCATTGGACAATTTGTCACTTTTTAAATAGTCATTTTTAAGTGTCTGCCTTCCATCAAGGGCTGTGTATGGTTTTCCAGTCTATCTTCAGTGTCCAACAGCCCTCAAGCAATTTTAGCCTCAGTAAAAAATTCTTGAATAACTAACTTAATTGAATCAAAGATCTATAATCCATCAGCTACTCATGGATAAGATCTATAACGTTCTGCAAATGAATACTCTATGACACTTGTGATTTCCTACAAAATGGGGAAGAGGATAAGCCGTCTTGTTTGCCCATTCATGCCAATATAATTTTCCATACAAGAAAACAGCATTATTTCCATACAAGAAAATTATCCTGTATAGTTAGAAGCATTCAAAGGAATTGTAGTACTAGCCTGAAATTGATGGTAAAACACATGGGCATGCCTAAATAAAGGGAAAAGGGGCCCAAAGCTGTTCAGATGAAGAGACTAGATGTGCAAAAATACATATATGGGGAAATGAGAAAGATGGAAGAAGTATCAAGAAACCCTATCAGATTACAGAAACAAGATTAACTGAATACAGATGAAGACCATAAAATTCATTGTATTATCTTTTGGGAAAAAACACTAGGCTCTTAGATCAACTTGAGGAAAAATAAATTCAGACGAAAGTGCTGATTTGCCCAATGTCTCTTAGAGTGAATCAACACTCTAGCTATCAGAAATACATTTTACAGAATCCCATAATTATTCTTAGAGTGTTTCCATTTATGCCCTTACAGCTTAGTATTTTTCTTCTCAAGGGATGGCTGGGAAAGAACTTAATCAACTTGTCCCGAACTCAGCTCACTGTCATCTCTAGCTTTATGCTGCTCTCACCCCAAAGTTCTGAAGCTTGCTCATGCACACTGTCCCCCAGCCCTATCTCTCACACACTTTCCTTCTTCTGTTAATGACACAAATAATCCCTAGGTACCCTTTTGTATCACTTTGTTCTATACAAGTATAAAAAAGCTTTCCCTGTTCTCTTTGCCCCCTACCTCTGCCTAATTAAAATTTAATTTTCACCTTGTCATCATAATCTTCCTCAGATTCTGTCTACAGCCCTCCTCAGAATACTTTAGTGATCCTCTATTGTCAGACTGCTTAACATGGCACTGGAGGTGGTTCACGATCTTGCTCCAACATGCTTTTCCAGTCTTTTGCTCTACCATTCCCTCAGTTTACCCTTTGTTCCAGCCTCATTCTACTGCCTCAAACACCATGCTGTTTTTTGCAGCATGCTTTTATTCACACTGTTCTTTAGACTAGAGTTCCACTATTTTCTTCTATTTTTACTTCAAATTCTAGCTTACTGCGTCATCTCCTCATGAAGATTTGACTAGTTGCTCCAATTGAATTTAATCTCTTTTTTCTTCTTTCCAACATAACATGTTAGTATCCTACTGATAAATTACTTATGTTCTGCTTTGTGTTAATGTTAGATATCTACATATCAGCCCATAAAATTCCAAACAAAAAACTAAAGATATTGCGATACCTGCCGTAGACTTTTAAATCAGTCTTTCAAAACCTGCATCAGATTTATTCACTTGGGAATTCTGCCTTCTCTCTGCCTAAAGATTGTATTACCACCTTAGATTTTGTACCTGTAAACTAAGGGAACACAGATTTCATTTTGGCAGAGATCCAGAATTTCACCCTTCTACAATGTAATTTCATTAAAAATAAAATAAAACAACATACAGAATCAATTACATTTTGCTAGGCCTGTGGTCGGACTTTCTAGTTCTCGCCCGAGTCCTCTTATCCTTAGGTCTGTGATAATCTGTGGTTTCAAGTTCTCAATAATATGCTCTCAATATATTATAGCTTATTTTACTCTCTTTACACACTTTTTTGTAAAAGAATTATTACAGTATGTATGTACCATCTAGTTCCATGATCAGAATTTGCATCTAAGCTGTACATAAAACTGCCACTTTAGATTAAAGCCAGTGAATGTTTTGTAAATGAGCATTAACCTGAAGTAATAACACATGTTTATCTGGCAGCCTGCAGGCAACTGAAGAGATCAGCTGTAGAGGACCCCAAATTACCAGCACTGTTCTGCATTATTCAGTTTTAACCTTTAAGACAGGAGGACACTGTGAGCCCAACTTGTGTTTGAACTTGTGTTGACATTTATATAATCATGATTAGTAACTTTTGCTTTATCAGAAAAGTGTTTGTCCAATAATGAGTAAATACTTGAGACATAGTCTGGCAGTTATTGTGGAAAAATGAGAGATGAGTTAGCCATGGCCTCTGCTCTCAGGGGCTTATAATCTAAGAGGAGAATGTATTCATATCAAGAGCCGCCAGTACAGAATTAAAGACTGTGGAGCAAAATGGCCAAAGCAGCGGTGTTGTCAATAAATGGTGTAGAGGGGCATAGGCTGAAAGAATGCTTCTTTGAAGGATGGAACTGGATTGGTGGAAAGAAGGAAAAAAAAAGAGTAAAGGGAGGGACAAATCTTTGGAGGTTTGTAACACAGTAAACAGAGCAGCTCCCAACAGAATGGAGTTGCAGTGGACATAAGTCACAGATAAGGCCTGACATTGAAAATAAAGTCAATTTGTGGCAGATCCTGATCCCCAGAGAAAGAAGTTTAGGCTCTATTCTGGATATAAAAAGGGAGAGAGACCAGATCAAATGGATGTTTAGGAATACTGATTTTAAAGTATCCCAAGTAGATTTGAAGTAGACCAACCAGAGTCCAAGAAATTAGCCTTGAGACTAATTTCATAATCCTATCATAAGGTCACAGGCTTTTGAAGGAGAGTGATGTAACAGTGCAGTCTACAAATTATGAATTATGCCATTCTCCCACAAACAGAGGCGTTTCAGCATGAAAAGGGAATTTGGCATAGGTAATGTGATGACCTAGATGGTTAGAAGGCCAGGTATTGCCCAGTCTTTTTCTTCCCCTTAGCTACAGATAATTTATTCATAGGGCCTACCTCAAATACATTTTTTTTCTGTTTTAATTATAGGAGCTTTACATTGGGCATTTGCCTTCCAGCTAACTGTGTGACCAAACGTTTTTGTATAATCACTGTTCCTATAGTTATATTAATGGTTATATGGAGAAGTCTAGGCTAATGAATGTTTGTTATAATAATTATAAAATTTACATTAGGCTTGTTTAATGTTCTATAATGGTGACAATATTATTTTCCATTTGTTTTTTGCCTTTAGCCAGCTTAGAGGAAAAGAGATGATACTATAAAAGTAAAATATTCTTGGGTTCTATGTAACCATTATATATTAACTCAATTCTAATTATGAATTTTGGACTTAGGTGACTTTTGAATAATATATATGTAAAGTAGACATCAACCTTCTGTTTGAAATATTGATTGGAAATTATAAATGCCTATGCATACTCTTGGACTTCAAGTACTTTCTATATGGGGAAGCAATCAATAGAAATGTTGAGGCAACTTAGAAATGGATTTTTACACTTCAGATTTTAGATATGCCACATTTTAAGAAATGCATCATTTTACCTTTGATAAACAAGTAGCCATTTCCTGGATTCAACTGGTGTCCAAGAATTAGTCATAATTGTGAAAAAAATTGCCTTTCCAGAGTAAAAGTTATTATGTCTTAATGTATTGTGTATAAATCTACAGTTCTAAATAAATAAGCATAATTTTCTCAAAATATTTCTGGCTTGGATAAAGCTAGTTTTGACTAGTGGCAAAATAAAGCCCTATTTGCCTTATCTGCTGATATGAGATTTTGGAGTCTGTGGGCTAAAGTGGGGAGCCCCTGACTCCTTGCAAAAGATACTCAGAGTGCCTTAAATTAATATTATCTCGGCAGGGCAGCAACTGGGCCAGCAGCCCTAGAGTCTGTAAAGGAAGGCAATACTTTCTTGGTGGGAGAGAGATTTTAAGAGATCACATTTTCAATGCACAAAGAATTTCTTTTAAGATTTTCCAAACGAGAGGGAGGGTGATGAGAGTCCCCATTTAATGTCATCCATGTGAATTTTCAAACTTGAGAACTGAGTCACAGCATAGGCTGCATGGGTGGTGGTGTGAACCTGTGGAGACTGGTGTGTGCTGTAAATGTGTCAACCTTTTCTCAGCTTAGGAACCTACCAAAGTACTAAAGGCCGCTGGGAGTCAGGGAGTATGAGATCGGAGATGAATAATGAGGAGGAGAGACTGAACAAAAGTCAGGTGGGGTGTTAAACATTTAAAAGAATCAAAGCTGGATCTCTGGCAACTGCTTTGCACCCTAACCCTGAGGCAGGAAAGCAAAATGTTGAGACTCAAAGTTAGAAAATGTAAAAGGAAATTAAGGAGGAAATAACAAAGGGAAAGAAAATTTTTAACTGTCATCAAATGAATGAAAACAAAATGACAGAATGACGAAAACAAAAAATAGGAGAAATAAAATTTTCCTTTCATTTGTTTTAAATGATAGTCTGACTTTAGTAACGTGAGTATATACTCTTTTTTCTTGTTGTTTGCAAAACCCCATCAGCCTTTTCAATTGTGTCAGGGAAAGAGAAAAGATGCCACAGCATTTGTTTTGAGCCACTCCATCACTGTGTCCTAGAGATGATAACAAAACTTGTCAGCAACTTCTGTACATCATATATTTTCTGTATCAGAGTTAAGATGTAGAAGCGATAGAAAGTTCTGCCCATTTTTAGCAGTATCAAGACCTAGTAATAGAATTGCTCGCATGTAAGCCCTCTTCCTTCTAAAAGAATGCCAAATATAAAGCATAATTCAGTAGTTATTTGTATTCCTTTGACATCTAAAAAAGTATCGATAGAGCAGTGGAAATAGTCAGTGGAAATGGGACCAGGGTTGGGGGAGGGAACGGTTCAGGCAAAGTTTTTAGAGATGTGAGATTTGTGCAAATTCCCCAGTGAACAAATTTCCATTAGTAAGTCAAACGTTACAATGAATCAGGTAGAGATAATATCAGAAAACCCAATATTAGCAACACTTCACATCCTTCTCAAGCAATGCTTCTAAGTTTGTGGATACTTTTGCTATATACATCTATACACCCAAAACATGTCAGCGTCAGGAAAACCAGTATTACACAGATTTACTTTTCTGATTTATTGGATTCTAAGTAAGGGTTTGTGAAGCAATCCTTGCTCAAATTCTTTTGAACATGGTTCTATGTTGTCACTTACACTTTGTAAACATATAATATATCCCCTGGCTATAGTTATAATAGCATCATGATAAATCAAACCAAAGTGCACCCCCCCACACCACCATCCCAAGCCAGATAATTGCTATTTTCAGATATCTCTGTTTGATGTCTGTATTTCTGTGAGATTTATTTTATGCTGATTTGCAACATATCATCCTATAGATTATCCATGCCATTTCAGAGTCATTACCTTTACTTTGGGTTGGTCTTCAAATGAGTTATTTTTCATATTCTCTAAGAGTGTTTCCCTCATTCTGGCAAGTATGTAGTGACAAATTCAATAGGTTAAAGTCCCTGTTACAAAGTTATATAAAGAGTTGTACTGAGAGCCCTTATGAAATGGGGACAATACCCTCTCTTAGGACATGTGTTCTTTACTTTAGAATTGTTAATTCCATTTTCTTACAGTCAGGCAGGTGCCAGAAAACAAAACAACTTGCCAAGACAGCAGTCCTCAGAGATGAGCATTCTAAATATTAGTAAATGATTATCTCCCACTATTAAAATCAATGATTGGTTCTGTCACTGGTTTGTAGCCATCATCATGTTTCTGCTTAGCTCTGGCACTTTCTGAAAGGAAAGTTTCTGATGTGGCTGAGTGCTAGTTTCTGGAAGAAACTGGAAGCTCTATTGTGAAGTAACTGGAAGGTGGTTGCTGCATTGAAGTTATAAGGCTCACTCACCTAAAACTTTTAGACCCTTGCTGCTGGTCAACAGACATTTTGGTAGCATCAGCAAAAGCTGAAAGACTGTTAAGAACACAGAATCTCAGACTTCAGCCTAGATCTATTCTTTCAACCACAGTAAGGAATGAATGATAAAAATGCAGTAATAGGTGTGAAAACAGTTGTTAGAGCTAATTGGGAAAGGGGGATAATACCCTCTTCTCTTAGGATATGTGTTATTTACTTCAGATTTTTTTCTTGATTAGGTTTTCTTGAGTGAGATTCTAGTACTACTGGTTTTGATATTTAAGGAAAAAAGGATATCATGTGGGAAAGCATCAGATCCAAGATAAAAAGATTTAGAATCCAGTTTATTCTACTTTTGCATTTTAAGAGCTATGTGACCTTAAGTCAGTCATGATCTCTGAGCTCGGGCTCCTCAGCTTTGAAATGGGACTCTGCTAACATCTTTTCTAGCTCCTCTCAGTGGTTAATGATGCACCTCAAATGAGAGAAATATATGAAATCAGTTTTGAGCTGTGATAAGCAATATAAATATAACTTACATTGAGAACAGAATGATCATATAATTCTAGGAGTCATCTTGGGAAAGAGAATCAAGGAGAGAAAGGACTAAGTAGTTAATAAGTGCCAGCCACATTCCACAAATTACCTCACTTAATTCTCACAGCCACTTTCCAAGGTAGTCATTCTCATTCCCAATTCACAGACAGAGGAACTGAAGCTCCAGGGGATGAGAAGCTTGGCCAAGGTCATATAATTAAATACATAGAATAGCTGGAAATTGAAGCCAGGTTTAGCTTGTTCAGTCACTGCACCTTGCAGCCAGTCAGCTATTTTTTTCACCTGCTTCCAAGCCCAAAGCAAACAAAATATTGCTTCAGTTGGAAGGAAGTTAAAAACATTTCCCAAGTGAAAGCAGCATCACAGCACAATCAGCTTTGCGTTGAACATAAGTCCTTTCCTGTTTTAAGCACCTCTCAGTGATCTTCCTCAAAATCCGCCAGCCGATCTGGCCCCAGCCTGTACTTCAGTTTCATCTCATCCATTCTCTCCCTTATTCACTTTACTCCAGCCAGATTAGCCTTTGGATAGTTCTTTGAGCATAACATGCTCTTGTCCTCGGGGTCTTTGCATGTGGTAAGACCTCTGGATCTTTGTTCTTCCCTACTCTTGGCCACCTTATTCTCTACATCCCTCAGGCTTACCTTTAAAGCACCTTCCCAAAAATCCTCATCAAAAGCTCTTCTACTCATATCCTCTCAGCTTTCAGTTATTTTGCTTTAAACATTTATCCTAATTTCTGATTAAAGCATTCTCTTATTTTCTGCCCCACACTATTCCACACACCTTCCAGGAACAGAGGCTGCATGAGACGTGAATCATATTAGCCCTCTTATATCATGAGAACTAGCATAGGGCACTCATTCAAGGCCTTGTTAAATAAGAGGAAGGGAAATATGGGAGAAACGAAAAGCAAAAGGGAGAAACAAGCAAAGGGGACAAAGGAGGTATTTGGAAGTTCATGTAGCTGAATTTGTTTGTTGTAAGAATTTAAAGAGATAATCATGGGGGAAAAGAAGCACTTCAAATCGTGCCTGGGACGTATTATTCAATGATTCATAACTCTTCTCCATTGAAAATATCTCTTTAACCCAGAAGGGTTAAACAAAACCAGAAATCTAGGAAAGCAATCTCCTACTCTAACCAAAATCGATTCCATAGGAGTTGAAGAAATGTAGTTCACACAGACATTTCACATCCATGTCAAAGTCCTCTGCCTCATAGCCTCTCCTAGCCCAAACGTCACATTTTCAGTCAAAGCAGAAAACCTATTTCCTTTCAATTTCCCTATTGTTCTCTTTTTCTAAGTTGGCTGCAAACTTTCTCTTATTGGCCTGGGAACAGCTGAGCAGCAGCTGGAAAGACCATGGTAATCAGCAATGGGCAAATGAAAGTCAGGATGAAGAAGGATACAAGAGGATTCTGGCAAGTCAGTGTCCCAGAGTAGTGGAATTGACCTTAGACAAGTCTCTTGCTAGTGTGTTAGCTCAAACTGCCAGCATTGGCAGTGTAGCTTTGTCACTTACTTGCTGTGTAACTTTAGTAAGTTACATAGCCGCTCTGTTCCTCAGTTCCCTGAACTGTGAAACAGGAATAGTAACCTCCTCATAGGGTTATTATGAGGAGTAAATAAAATCATTGTCAAGAACTTAAACAGTCATGGCAGAGTAAGCACAATAAATTTTACCTATAATTATTTATTGTGTGTGTGTGTGTGCGTGTGTGTGTGTGTGTGTGTATGTATGAGTAAAATGTCATTAGCTGATGAAGGTCTTTTGTAGCATGAACAAACCATGGTTTAATAAGTGAAGCTTACTAATTAAGTTAAACATTTTGGCGTTTGAATTCTGTCTGAGAATGCTTGTCTTCTTGAATTTCCTATTTCCCTTTTATAAAAAAAAAAAAAGAAAAAAGAAAAGGTAAAACAACAGTATTGTGAAGAGAGAATGGCAAACAAAGTTACCGAATCCTGTAGGAGAAAATTTTTGATCCCTGAAATCTTGGAAGACCCTTGGAACTTCACTCTGATGCAATCTTTGTCAGATGGGACATGACTGTACAAAAAAGAGTGACAGAAAAGCTAGGAGAAGACGTGAGGCATACTTGTAGGAAACAGGTCTAGGAAAGGTTGGGTAAAAGGGAATATTCTGGAAAAACTGGAAAGGATTCAGAAAAATAGGACTAGGATCACTAACGTTAAATCATTTCCCATGTCCAGGCATTATTTCAAGGGCTTTGTACGCATTAAGTTCGTTTAATACTTTCATCGACCTTAGAAAATACGTGCCTTTATCATCCCCATTTTAAACATAAGAAAACCGAGGCAGAGAGAAGTAATGTAGCTTGCCCAATGATCACATAACTTTCAAAGAATCTCTTCATTTAAAGGCTCAATAAAATGGAAAATGTGGGGTTCATTTAGAGTTGGAAAGAGGAGTAATGAGGATAAGGATGGGATATGAGTTCATATTAGTGAATTTATAGCGATGTTTTTGAGGTTTTAAATTCCAAAAGCTTTTGTATAATTTTAGAAAGCATTTCTTAAACTCTGATCTCTCTTTAATCTACCCCAACAAAGAAATAATCAGACTGTACTAGAAAATAAGTCATAAAAACATATGCATCAATAAATTCTTTTGTTTGGGTGAAAAGCAGTCCCAAGCTTGAGAGTATGTAGCTTTTCTATCGTAGTTGTAATATTTTTTTTTTTACTCAACCCTGTCTGTTCTCTCCAACTTGTCCTAACAACCAATATACTTCTAGCTATAATAATAATAAAAAAGGACATTAGAATAGTAACAGAAAAATAACACAAGACTTTAGGGGCTGGTAATAGAAGATAATTCCTCAGACACTATAAACTCCTTGCTTACTTGGTTTGTAACCAGGGAACTTTTTATAGTTAATAACCATCATTTTTTTTTTTAACTCCTCTTGCAAGAGCAAATTCAATCCAATTCTTCACTGGGACATAGTAAACAAAAAATGCGAAGGCATTTGAAAAAGTTCACCCATTTAGATTTAATTACATACATAACTGGCGTCCTCCCAAGTGTGAAAACGCTGTAACCAATAAATTAAACAATAAAATGCTATCTGAGCAGAACAGATTTATATAGAAGATGCACGAGAAATCAAAATTCACTGACTTGTTTGGAGTATTTTTACCCAGAAAAGTTCTTAAACACAGAGCAAAACGCCTGCTCTTTGAGTCTTGCCTTCTTTTGGACACTTAGGTCAGTCACTTTCCCTAGAGGGGAGTTGTTGCACAGTGACTTCGAAGTGAATAGGTTTCAATCTCAAAATCATCTCTCTGTGTTAAGGGTTCATTAGGTCTGTGCTTGTATGTTAGATTTTTAGGACCATCTCATTTGTCTAGTACCGCTTCTTACATGCTTAGTTAATGACTACTAAGTGAAGCTTAATTTAGCAGGAAGGTTATTTACATTAGAGCTTCCTTGAAATACACACACAAGGAAGACTTTGCAAACTTCTGCAAAGCCAAAGGAGTGGGGAGACAGGGGCATCCAGACTACCAAAATATCTTCCTAGGTAGTATTATTAAAAAAAAAATCCCATTAATAATAGTAATACAATAATCTGAGCATTGTCGACAATTTTGAGCTTCATGAAATGTATTTTTAAATGTACCCACTTTCAATTGAAATTTCTTGTGAATGACAAACTTGGAATAAGAAAATGAGGGAGACTGGACTCTTGCAACCTTTTGGACATACCTTTGCCAAATGTAAATTGTTTGACGGTATGGATTTACTGCATTTTTCATGCTACCATTTGTAGTAAAACTAAATGGAAAAAATCTTTCCTCTTTAACAAAACCTCGTGATAACAATACCTTAAAATACACTTCATAGCTGCTGGTCAACCATGTTAAAGGCACAATCTGATCTCTGCTGCTACTTTCCTGAGGAAAAGAGCCAATCAGCTGAGCAACTTCCTCATTTGTTGTGCTTTATGAAAATGAAAATGCAACAGACCTTGGGATTTCAAAGCCATCCATGGTTACAAGTGAGGAAATAAATATATAACAGTGGGGACTTTTACTTTATCATTAAATTATAATGCCCTTTGTTTTTCTGTTGGCTAATTCAGACAGCAAAATGGCTCTCTCTTGATTTGCAAGAGTTAATTTCTTACCATACTTTCTGCATCACACCATAAAGATAACTTCAAGTAATTTTGGTTAGATTGTGTTTTATTCATTTGTTTGTTTTGGAGTTCTAGGATCTGACAGGAAAGCAGTGTGAAACAGGCAAAGTTCAGAGTTACTCTCAGAACGACTCAAGCAGGATCCATTTCCTAGTTCCCCCCAGCTGCGGATTTTAAAGTCTGGATCTAGCTCCTGCTCTTGTTTCTCTAAATATTTATCAGTTAACAATTACACATCTGCTCCAATGGCAACAAACTTGGCTGAAGAAATAATGCTTTTCTTCCTCCCACCAAAATATGCAAAATAATGCAAGTCCATCTGAAGATTTTCGAATCCAATTATCAGACTTAAGTCCCCCTATTTTAACACTCATTTTATTAAACATATTGGAAAGTTATGTTATTTCAGTATGCTCTCTTTCTCCTTGTTTGCTTTCTATTGTTCCTACTCGTTTGGTTCTTTCCAGTAAGCTTCTCTAGTGAGTATTTTGCTCTCTTATCATACATGCCGGCTATAGTGAAGTTAATAGAAGTGCTTAGTAAAGTCCTCTGAATCCTGGTATAAGAATCCTTTCACACAGAAGAGAATTCCTTTCGCTTGGAAATATTTTAAGAAATAAATTTATGAAAGATTGTCTGATATGATTTAGATCATATTTGATCAGGACACTAAACTGAGACCTGCATTTTGCATGCCTTTTATTTTTATATTTGCAAAGGGCTCTTTACACAAGTTTACTTAAATTGACCTTTAATGCTTTACATAAATGCAGTTTTTGCAAACCCGAGTCAAAGCAGAAAATAGAAGTTTTACTCACCTTAGTATATTGAATCTTCAAATCGGTGAGTAGGACAGGTAAGTCTGGCGTGCCTGAGGATGACATTTCTGATTCGGCTCCTGGAACACAGGTGACTGGCTCAGCAATTTGGTTCTGATAGAGCACTTGGCTTTATTTGTTCCTTTTTTATCTGCACGGGCTAAAGTTTATTTGCATACTCGGATACGATTGGATGAACAAACTCAGAGCAAAAAAAGAAAACGACACTACTTATTTGTAACACCTAGGGCAGGAAGCCTTTGACTTTAAACTTAAATCCTTAAGAAACCAGTGCTCCAGCATCGAATTTGTACCTGGAGACAGTGCACTATTTGCAGATGAATTAATTTACAAAGCCGAAACCTGTGATAAGTGTATGCAGCAGCTGCTCTGGCCACTAAGGCCAGTTATTATTTTTTTGACTTCTCATGCTTTTTAATGCTACTATGTAACTTTCTGTTCTCTGACAGACTTGGAATCAGAGAATTTGAGGATTGAAAAGAGTCTAAAAGGGCACTTGTTCTCAGTAGAAGCTGGCCAGGTGTCTTCAGGACAAGGCTTTCAGGAAATCAGTCCATCTCCCAGAAAATCAAGGTGCTGTTTGGGGAAGAAAGGCCCTTTATCTACACCCTACCCTAAGTTAGTTTTAAAATATCGTATCAGTCTTGTGTATTTTCAGTGCTGGGTAAGTAGACCTACTGTGATCTCAGAAGCCCTAAATTATCTTTATTTTCTATATGTGAACAGAAAAGCCAGCAGGACTTTTAGGGAATTCGGAACACACTGTCACACACAATCACCACAATTAGAAATATGGCAATATCATCTATTAATACTCATTTAAAATGAAAGTAATCCTGGTTTTGGAAGTTGTCTGTATTTATCAACATAGGCAGTGTACAAAGACTAAATTTAAGCAGGGCTTCCAAACAATTCAAGTTCTTAAATTAATATTTAGCTGAAGGACAATTTTTTAAACAGTGTTACTCCCATTTTAAGTACAATACTTTATTGTATTGTAGCTCTAGCAAACGTTACAATAGGAACAAGATAAAATACTCTGGATGCTCTGATTGTGGAGAATCAACCAATTTTTTTTTTTCTAGTGAAACTTGCCAATTCCCCTGAATATGGGACTTACATAGGGAAACTAAAAATTTCTGAATTGTTTGCCCAAATCAGGTGCAGCACTTGTTTCCCTTTCTACCCTCATTTCATATCCCCATTTTAGAGACATACAGAGGGTGAGTAGCTTACTTATGGTCACAGATCTATTAGTGCAGGACCAGAATTTCATTTCAGGCCAGTCTGACTCCCAAACCTGGACTCTTATTTCTGTTTACTATTTCTACCCTATTCTCCACAAGAGAACTCCTACATGGGTTCAAGCATCAACTGCTTTGGTTTTCTCAGTGAATAGTCACCCTTACAGGCATTTAAACATAACTTTTTATTCATCTAAGACAAGAATTTGCAAAACTTTTTCTGTAAATATTTTCAGCCTCTGGGCTGGATGGTTTCTGATATAATTTACTTGACTCTATTTAAAAGAAACTGTAGATGATAGGTAAATTAATGGGTGTAGTTGTTTTCCTATAGAACTTTATTTAAAAAGACAGAAGGCAGGCCAGATTTGGTGCACGGGCCAACTCCCTAGATTCTAAGGCAATATCATTCCCAATGCCTTTGACTCCCCCGTGTCTTATGTTTGATGACCAGATAGAAACTTCTGTGTTC
This sequence comes from Homo sapiens, assembly GCF_000001405.40. Classification (NCBI taxonomy): domain Eukaryota; kingdom Metazoa; phylum Chordata; class Mammalia; order Primates; family Hominidae; genus Homo; species Homo sapiens. The sequence continues at coordinate 72,954,672 of NC_000009.12, forward strand.
TTTCAACATTTCTCTGTTTCTTTCTTTTTGGAAAGTCTAATTGTTTTCTCTCTCAAAAATGTGTTTTGAGTTAAATGCACAATTACACAACAGCTGTTACATAACTTGAGAGTGGCGCTCTGGCCATGCCCAAACAGCTGTGTTTTGCTGCTTTCTTCTCCCAGAGTCACAGTTGTTTGTGGATTCAAATACTGGTTTATTTGATGTCCAGGCGATGAAAGCTCAAGGCTTCATAACATACTTGGCTTGTCATCTCACTTCTTATATGATCATTCTCAATTGTATTTTATTGGATAATTATGTAAGAACAGTCCCTTTATACCAGGCATTCCTGAATGTAGGCAAAAGGAGTTGCTTTGGAGACAGGTTACCACACCTGCCCATTTAATTTCAGCAAATATTTACTAAGTATCATTTATGCATCCATAATTCTTTAGCCCTAACCTCACTTAAGCAGATCTTTTCTGCCTAGAAACCACAGGGCCTGAGACCTATATTTTTGAGGTAAACATCATCCTGCCCTGAGAGCTTATTTTGTAGAATAGCATATTTCTGGGAATTGCTGCATATGAGGAAAAGATTTCATCAGACTACTTCTATTCCTTACAGAGGAAATAATGGCTTTTGTGAGAACCTAGGGACCAAGGTTGCACATTTTAGAACTGGACCCAGGATTGTACGTTTTTATGGTATGCCAGGACTATGCAGCAGAGGAGGAGCTGTCCCTTTAACTTGAGAGTAATCGACAAATGATGTTTCATCTTCTTTTTCCTCCTTATGAACAAACTAAATCACACACACACACACACACAGGCACACACACATATGGAGAGAGAAGCAAGAAACATAAGAGGATAGTTTATTCATCTCTTGAATTTGACTTCTCCAGCCATTTGTGAAAGCTTTCATTATACCAAGAAACATATAGATTATGACTTCAACCATTCTTGAAACTACTCTTTCATTTTACAACAAACATCTCCAGAACTCCGTCCAATCCTCAGTTCCTGAAAAGATAAAAGGAACCTAATCTGCCACCCAGGACTTAAAATTTTTAAAAAAATGTTGAAAAAAGTCATATGATGAATTAAAAATAGCTTCTGCAATGGACTGAATTTTTTTTGTCCAGTCACAATGGATATGTTGAAATCCTAACCCCCCATGTGATGGTATTAGGAGATGGAGCCTTTGGGAGGTGTATTAGTCCATTCCCATGCTACTAATAAAGACATACTTGAGACTGGGTAATTTATAAAGGAAAGAGGTTTAATTGACTCACAGTTCAGCATGGCTGGGGAGGCCTTAGGAAACTTACAATCACAGTGGAAGGGGAAGCAAACACGTCCTTCTTCACATGGTGGCAGCAAGGAGAAGTGCTCAGCAAAAGGGGGAAAACCCCCTTATAAAACCATCAGATCTCATGAGAATTCACTTATTATCATGAGAACAGGATGACGGTAACCCCCCTCCATGATTAAAGTACATCCCACCGGATCCCTCCCATGACATGTGGGGATTATGGGAACTACAATTCAAGGTGAGATTTGGGTGGGAACACAGAGCCAAATCATATTAGGAGGTAATGAGGTTATGAGGGTAGGACCCTCATGAATGGATCAGTGCTTTTATAAAAGGGACTCCAGAGAGATCTCTCGCTGTTTCTGCCATGTGTGGATGCAATGAGACATTGGCAATCTGTAACCCAAAAGAGGGCTCTCACCAGAACCCAACTATGTTGGCACCCTAATTTCAGACTTCAAGCTTCCAGAACTGTGAGAAATTAATTTTTGTTATAGCAGCCTGAATGAACTAAGACAGTTTCTTTTCATATTTCCTGATTTCAAGATGCTGGAACCATTTATTGAAGATGAACCTCTCCTACTCCAGTTACATGACCACTCCCCTAACTATTCTCTGTTGCCTTAGCATGTCTGCCTGTTGGTAAACCTAGCAAGAAATCTATCCCTATGCTTTTGATTACTACATTTTTATCAGATACCACATTGCTCTTATGCTTATTTGAGTTTTAATAATTTGGGAAAAGTGGATCTTGTATGTAGTGAGAGAGTCTGTACTTAGTTGACAAGTTGATGTTAAAAATGGAAGTGGAAGGCAGAATTCAAGTATATGAACATATGTATTTGTTGACTAATTTCTGTTCACATGCCATTCTTCTTCAATTGGAAAAATTTCCTCACCTCTGATTTCTCCTGCTCTTTACATATCTTTTCATTGTTCTTCTCTTTGGCTTGTGTTACTGAGATAGGATAGATGCCCCTCTAATCTGGTCTAACCAGGACACTAACTGATTAGTAAGGTCACTAAAAGAAACAGTACATTAAAGCCTCTGTAAGATAATTATTTGAGTTTAAATAGGTTTTTGCTAAACCTTATGGGTTGAGGCCATTTCTTGGAACTGGATTTGCTGCTTGGAATTTGAAATAATCTTGCATAAATAGTACTCATAGTGTTTTGTCTAGTTTCCAGTTTGCTTCCTTAATGTGTAGAAAGAAAGACATGAAAGACATCAATGAGTCAATCAAAATGTAGACTACTTTGAGATTTCCACAATTTTTTCTTTTTTTTTTTTTTATAATTCTCATGCAGATTATCCAACAATGTGTTTAGAAATTTGATGATATTGTTTGTAATATATTCAGTTTAATTTTCATATAAACAACTTTTCTTACCACCCCTGCCCTGGCAATGAATCAATATTTTGAAGCTATTGAAGGGGACCAGAAGACAAATAATTAAAGAATAAAGCTCTATAAACTGGAAAACATAAGACAATGGATTCTTTCCTAGAATCTCTGGAGAGAGCCTGACCTGTCCACTCCTTTGATATTGGCCAGTGAAACTGATTTCAGATCTCTGGCTTCTAAAAGTGTTGTTTTAAACCGCCAAGTTTATAACTGTTACAGCAGCCATTGGAAACTAATGCACTAATCAATAAAAGTTCAAGTTCATAGGTGTCAAAATGTATATGTTGTCATTGATCATGCACCCGTCATTCTTTGTGTCATTCAGGTTTATTGTTACTATCTAAATATTCTAATTTAAATAAAGGTAAGCTTTCTATCTGTACCTTACAATGAAAAACTCATCAGGTGTTTTATATATTTTATATACATATATATTTATGTATATATATGTATGTGTATATATAGAGAGAGTAAAGATGAGAAAGAGGTTTATTTGGCTCATGTTTCTGTAGGCTGTACAAGCATGGCACCAGCATCTGCTCAGCTTCTGGTGAAGCCTCCGGAAGCTTTTACTCATGGCAGAAGGCAAAGGGGGAGCATATATGTCACATGGAGAGAGAGGGAGCAAGAGAGAGGGGGAAATGTGTCAGGCTCTTCTTATAACCAGCTCTCCTGTAAATTTATTACCGTGGGGAGAGCACCAAGTCATTCATGAGAGATCCACCTGCATGACACAAACACCTCCCACTAGACCCCACCTTCAGCACTGGAGATTACATTTCAACATAAGATTTGTGGGGGAAAAACATCCAAAATATATTATTCTGCCCCAGTTCCCCCAAATCTCATGTTCTTCTCACATGGCAAAATACATCATTCCTTTTCAATAGTCCTCCAGAATCCTAGCTTGTTCCAGCATCAACTCAAAAGTTCGAAGTCTCAAGCCTCATCTGAGACTCAAGGCAAGTTTCTTTTACCTGTGAGTCTGTAAAATAATAAACAAGTTGTTTACTTCCAATATACAATGGTAGTACAGGCACTTGGTAAACATTCCCATTCCAAAAGGGAGAAATTGGCCAAAAGAAAGGGGCAATGGGACCTACACAAGTTCAAAATCCATCAGGGTAGTTGTTAAACCTTAAAGCTCCAGCGTAATCCTTGACTCCATGCTCAGCATTCTGGTGTGAGAAATGTGGTCCTGAGGCCTCTGGTAGCCCTGTCCCCATGGCTTTGCTGGGCACAACCCACATGGCTGTTTGCAAGGGCTGGAGTGAATGCCTGCAGCATTTCCAGGCTCAGAGTACAGGCTGCTGGCGGCGCTCCCATTCTGGGCCTAGAGGGCAGTGGCCCCATTCCTACAGCTCCACTAGGCAATGCCCTGGTGAGGACTCTGTTTGGGGCTCTAACCCCATTTCCACTTAGCACTTCTCTAGTAGAAGTCCTATGTGGGAGCTCTGCCCCTGCATCAGGTTCCTGCCTGGGCACCAGTCTGAATACCTGCAGACTTAACATTGCATGGAAGCTGCCAAGCCTTATGGTTTCATCCTCTGAAGCAGTGGCCAGAGCAGTGTCTAAAGCCTTTTGAGCCAAGGCTAGAGCCAGAGAGGCCTGGTATGGGGAGCAATGTCCCAAGGTAGTGTAGGGCAGCAGGGCTCTGAATCTGACCCCGAGAACCACTCTTCCTTCCTAAGCCTCTGGGTCTGTGGTGGGAGGGCTTTGAAATGGCTTTGAGGCCTTTCTCTCCTTGTCTTGAATATTAGCACTTGGCTCCCTTTTAGTTATGCAAATCTCTCTAGCAAGTGGTTTTTCCTCCAGCTGGTGGATTCTTCTCCCGAAAATGCTCTTTCCTTCTCTACCACATGTTCAGGCTGAAAATTTTCTGAATTTTTACACTCTGCTTTGCTTTTAATTATAAGTTACAACTTTAAGTTTTTCCTTTGCTCCTAAATCTGATCATAGGTTGTTAGAAGCAGCCATGCCACATCTTCAGTGCTTTGCTGCTTAGAAATTTTTTCCTGCCAGATTCTAAGTCATTACACTTAAGTTTAAACTTCCATAAATCCCTACAGCATGGACACAATGCAGCCAGGTTCTTTGCTAGGGCATAACAAAGGTAACCTTTGCTCCAGTTTCCAATAAATTCCTTATTTCCATCTGAGACCTCATCAGCCTGGTCTTCACTGTCCATATTTCTATCAGCGTTTTGGTCACAATCACTTAACCAGTTTCCAAGAGGTTCCAAACTTTCTCTCATCTTTCTGTCCTCTTCCGAGTACCCCCTCCCCAACAAACTCTTCGAATGTCTTCCTGTTACCCAGTTCCAAAGCTGCTCACATTTTCAAGTATCTTTATAGAAATGCCTCACTCCTTGGTACTAATTTTTGATGTTAATGCATTTTATGTTGCTTTAAAGAAATACCTGAGACTAGATAAGTTATAATTTTCTTTTAAAGAGGTTTATTTGGCTGACAATTCTGCAGGCTGAACAAGCATGGCACCAGCGTCTGCTCTGCTTCTGTTGAAGCCTCAGAAAGCTTTTACTCATCGCAGAAGCAAAGGAGCAAGTATGTTATATGGTGAGAGAGGAAGAAAGAGTTACATTTTAAAAACCTTCCAGTTTTGGTTGCATTATAAATCTTTATTATATTGCAAACGTATTATGCAATAAATAACGATTTCTGTGAAAGCTTTTGCTTTTTAAAGTAATTATTATATTTGGAGAATATAAAACTTTTGGTTTGCATTTGCTTGCTTGAATTTGTTTTCACATTTTAAAGTTATACATACATATCCAGATCTATGACCACAATCCAAATTTATCTTCCAGGCCCTGGCTTTGCATTTCAACTGCTGGTCAGATAACTAAGCTAAATGCCACACCTCATCATGTTGCTGGGTTTGCAAACCTGAGAGCCAGCATATTTGTTTTATGTGGACTGTGCAATACTGTACAAATTAGAAACATTTTAAACCCCAGATTTTAACTTCTTAAACTGTCAGAAGACCTGAAGAATAGTTTTAGCCTCTCTGCTACACATTAAAATCACCTGGGGAATTCAAAACAAACAAACAAAAAATAAAAGATTCTGACTCTGTAGGAGTAGTTTGAGCCCAAGTGCGTTTAAAGTGCCTTAGGTAATTCTAATGTGTGGTCAGCTGTCAGAATCATTGGAGCAGCTCTGGGTTCCATTTCCTCATAATGCAACCATGAAGCTGAGTAGTAAAGGTTCTCAAAGTTGGAGCAACAACTACATCCACTGGCAATCTTTTAGAAATGCAGTGTCTGACCCCATCTTAGACCTACTGAATCAGAAACTCTCGGGTGGGGCTCAGCAATTTGTGGTGTAACAAGCCCTCCAGGTGATTCTGATTCATGCTCAACTTTGAGAATAACTGCACTCCAACATAGACCTCGATCTATCTCTATTATTTATTCTAGTCGCCTTTCACTTAGGTTACTACCTAGTCCTTTATTTTATATTTTAAGACCACTAAAGGAACACATTATCATTTTTGCAACATAATCTTTTTCTTGAATTTCCTGTCTCTGATTAGGACAAAACAACACCAACCGAACTTCAGGCATTGGCAGTTTCTTGACTTTTTTTTTTTCTGTTAAAATATTAATTTTATTTAATGAAACAAATTAACACTTTCAAATTTCCAGTGTCCTTATATTTTAGATTTAGGTTTTAAAGAGCATACAGCTGGACTGCTTTTTATCCAACCTGTCTTTATTTAACGTTTATGTTTAATATGTATTTAATGTGTATATATATTTACTCCTTTATTTATATCTATTGTAATTACTGATGTACTTGTGCTTTCTCTTTGTCTTTAGATCAGTTAGGATTAAATTTGGCTGCCTCTGATGCAAAACCCAAAATAAATATTCAAGATGGAAATGGATTCTTCTCTCACATAAACAGATTGTAAGCAGGTTGTCCATGGCAGCCATGGTGTCAGAATGGAAAGACAGAGGCTGCTTCCAGCTCACTGCTCTAACATCCCTAAGGTATGGCTCTTTGCCTCCTGATAAGAGAAGACTGCTAGAACTCCAACCATTACATTTAAATTCCAGGACTCAGAGGAAAGTGACAAAGCTCTAGGGTCCATCTACATTTTGAGGAGGTTTCCCTGAAGCTTGGAGCTCATTGACCTTAGCTTAGTCTCATGTCCATACCTAGCTATAAGGGTAAATAAAGATTGTAAGCTTTCTCTAGGTAGCCTGGTTCATAGTTAAAAATCAGTGCTTGTAAGGGTTAATATCCAGAATCTACAAAGAACTTAAATTTACCTGAACAACCCCATCAAAAAGTGGGAGAAGAATATGAACAGACACTTCTCCAAAGAAGACATTTATGTGGCCAAGAAACATATGAAAGAAAGCTCATCATCACTGGTCATTAGAGAAATGCAAATCAAAACCACAATCAGATATCATCTCATGCCAATTAGAATGCAGATCATTAAAAAGTCAGGAAACAACAGATGCTGGAGAGGATGTGGAGAAACAGGAATGCTTTTACACTGTTGGTGGGAGCGTAAATTAGTTCAACCATTGTGGAAGACAGTGTGGCAATTCCTCGAGGATCTAGAACTAGAAATACCATTTGGCCCAGCCATCCCATTGCTGGGTATATACCCAAAGGATTATAAATCATGCTGCTATAAAGACACATTCACACGTATGTTTATTGCAGCACTATTCACAATAGCAAAGACTTAGAACCAATCCAAATGCCAATCAGTGATAGACTGGATAAAGAAAACGTGGCATGTATACACCATGGAATACTATGCAGCCATAAAAAAGGATGAGTTTGTGTCCTTTGCAGGGACAGGGATGAAGCTGGAAACCATCATTCTCAGCACTCTAACACAGGAACAGAAAACCAAACACTGCATGTTCTCACTCATAAGTGGGAGTTGAACAATGAGAACACATGGACACAGGGAGGGGAACATCACACTCGGGGGCCTGTTGGGGGGTGGGGGGGGTTAGGGGAGAGATAGCATTAGGAGAAATACCTAATGTAGATAATGGGTTGATGGGTGCGGCAAACCACCATGACACGTGTATACCTATGTAACAAACCTGCATGTTCTACACATGCATCCCAGAACTTAAAGTTTACACATAAAAAAGAAAGGAGTGCTTGTTGTATTAAAAATGGGGAGAATGACTATTGCAGAGGTAACTAGCAGTTTCTGCTCCACACTCTTCTTCTTGCCTATCTTCTGTTTTACTGATTATAATTTATTTATTCCTGGCCGGGTATGGTGGCTCACGCCTGTAATCCCAGCACTTTGGGAGGCCAAGGTGGGCAGATCACTTGAGGTCAGGGGTTTGAGACCAGACTGGCCAACATGGTGAAACTCCATCTCTATTAAAAATACAAAAATTAGCCAGACGTGGGGGCATGTGCCTGTAGTCCCAACTACTCAGGAGGCTGAGGCAGGAGAATCGCTTGAACCTGGGAGGCAGAGGTTGCAGTGAGGTGAGATTGTGCCACTACACTCCAGCCTGGGCGACAGAGGAAGACTCCATCTCAAATAATAATAATATTAATAATAATAATACTAGTAATTTATTTATTCCTACTTTTTCACTTCTGTTCTTGTTTGGAAGAAATGCTTTTTGTTAACCTAAAAATTTTAACAAACTTACATGTAAATATAATTACTATTTTTTTCTTACAAAGAATTCAGGGATTTTTGAACACTCTCATTGTCCTATTCTACATATTATCGTTGTCTGTTATAAATTTTTGTTCCACCTTGATTTATAGCACCCAAATGAGTCATAATTATATCATTATTATTTTATTCACTCAATTCCTATTTTACTTTACCTGTTTATTAAATTTTCTTCACTTATTATTCATTATTTAATCTCAGTATTTCCTTCTTGGCTTAATTTCACTATTTGAGAGTCTGTAGAGGTTCACATTCTTGACCAGTCTTGTCAGGAGATTGTGAACTTTGCTAGTTTTTCTTTTTTTCTTTTTTTTTTTTTTGAGACAGAGTCTCGCTCTGTCGCCAGGCTGGAGTGCAGTGGCTGGATCTCAGCTCACTGCAAGCTCTGCCTTCTGGGTTCAAGCGATTCTTCTGCCTCAGCCTCCCAGGTAGCTGGGACTACAGGTGCGTGCCACAACACCGGGCTAATTTTTGTATTTTTAGTAGAGATGTGGTTTCACCATGTTGGCCAGGATGGTCTCCATCTCCTGACCTCGAGATCCACCCACCTTGGCCTCCCAAAGTTGCTGGGATTACAGGCATGAGCCACTGCGCCTGGACTAGTTTTTCAAAGAATTTTGGACTTTGTTGATCCTCTCTATGTTTGTTTGTTTTTATTAATTTCTGTTCTTATTGTTTCCTTCATTCTATTTTCTTTAGGTTGTTTTGATGTTCCTTCTCTAACTTCTTGATACTTAGATATTTAATTTTCCAGCTTTTCTTTTTTTTTCATTTAAAGCCCTAAATTTCCCCCTAAGCATGTCTTTAGCAGCATCCATAAGTTTCTGTATAGCATTTTCTCGTTTGCTCAATTCAAAATACTTTTTAACTCCCATTATGATCTTTTCCTTGATTCATGGGTTATTTTGATGTGCACTTTAAAATTTCTCTATTGGTTAGTAATAAACAACCGCAAAATCTTTGTGGCTTACAAGAGTAAGGCTGTTTTTTATGTGCTTACAAGTTTAGAATAAGTAAATACACACACACACAAATATGACATATATATCCCATTTATTTCTTCTTTAATTTTTCACAGTCATTTTTTGGTATTTTTTATATTTAGTATAAGTGATAAACGACTTGGATCTTTCTAAGTTTTTCCAGACTTACTGAGGTATACTTGACAAATAAAAATTTTATATATTAAAGGTATACAGCTTTATAATTTGATATATGTATACATTGTAAAATGATTACTAGTGCAAACTACCATATCAATCATCTCTCATAGTTATGATTAGAATTCCTTGTTGTATTAGGTTGGAATTATATATTATTTTTACTCTTCTTTTTGTGGTTATTCTAGAAATTGCATGTATTTTTTAATTTATCAAAGACTAAAATTAATTAGTACTTTTACTCTTTTCCTCAGTGAATCCAAACACAATAGAACATTTTAAATTCTATTTACATCTCTCCCAACATATATCATTGCAACATCATTGTTCTGGATATTTACTTCAATGTTTAATGCATATTAATATTACTGGATATTCTATTTTTTACTCCAGATTTATTTCACCTTTTTTTTTTATGGTGAGAACACTTCAAATCCACTCTCAGCAAATTTCAAGTATGCAGTACAGTATTATCAACTATATTCACCATGCCGTACATTAGATTTCCAGAACTTACTCATCCATATAACTGAATATCTATACCTTTTGACCAACATATTCCCATTGCCCCCACTTCCTTCACCTGGTAACCAACATTTTTCTCTTTGCTTTTATGAGTTCCACTTTTTTAGATTCTGCATATAAGTCAGATCATGCGTGTCGTTCTGTGTCTGGCTTATTTTACTTAGTGTAATGTCTTTGAGATTCATTTGTGTTATTGCAAATGGCAGGATTTCCTTCCTCATAAAGGCTGAATAATATTCTACTGTATATGGATCCCACATTGTCTTTATTCATTCATCTATCCATGGATACTTAGGTTGTTCCATATCTTGGCTGTTGTGAATAATGCTGCAATAAACATGAGGGTGCAGATATCTCTTAATGATACAGATTTCAATTCCTTTAGATAAATAGTAAGTCCTCACTTAATGTCATTGATAGGTTCTTGAAACAGCAATTTTAGGAGGAATGGCATGTAACAAAACCAATTTTACCATAGGCGAATTGATATGAAGAATAGTTAAATTCCTATGGCATGTTTCTGGTCACAAAAACATCAACAAACTTCTGAGTAAGGACCAAAACACTTCTAATATTAAATGTTGAAATAAATGTGAGCTATACATACATTTAAGAAAGATTAGTACAAACAAGATGATTATTTACCTGCTGATTCCATTTCAGGGTTGTGGGTTGCCAAGCCTATCAAGCAGCTCAGGGCACCAGGAGGTAACTAGTCTTGACCAGGATGCCATCCCATTGCAGGGCAAACTCACACAAGCACACCTATACTCACGCAGGCTGGGACCACGTAGGCATGCCTGTTCACCTAACCTAACATGCACAGATTTGAGACGTGAGAAGAAACCAGAGCGCCCGGAGAAAGCCCACAAGGACATGGGGAGAATCTGCAAACTCCTTATACAGACAGTGGCCCAGCTGGAAATCGATTTTTTTCCCTCAGCAATGTTATAATGAAAAGATGTTGAACAAAGCAATGTTATTGGAGGACCTGCTCTATACCCAGAAGTGAGATTGCTGAATTATATGCTAACTCTCAGTAACGTTTTATGGTTTTTACTGTGCAGGTCTTGTACCTGATCTTTTGTCACATCTATTCCTAAGTATTTCAGTTTGCTATGCTCTTGTAAATTGCATTTTAAATTTCAATTTTCTATAGTTTGTTGTTAGTCTGTAAAATGCAATTGTTTTTTGTATATTGATCTTATATCCTGAAACCTTGCCAAACCCACTTGTTAGTCTTATTATCTTTTGTCTTCCTGGTAGATTTATTTAGATTTTCTACATACGTTAACATGTCATCTGCAAATAAAGACTATTTTACTTCTTCCTTTTCAATCCGAGCGCCATTTTATTTATTTTTCTTGCCAGATCATGTTGTATAGGATCTGCAGTAAAATGTTGAATAGAAGTAGTGAGAGGCAAATATCCATCTTCTTTCTTATCATGGGAAAATGTCTTAAACCTTTATTATAATGTTAGCTGTTGATCATTCTTAGAGACCCTTTACCAGGTAGAAGATGTTCCTATTCTTAGTTTGCTGAGAGTTCTTTCATTTAAATCAGGAATGGATGGTGAATTTGCCAAATGCTTTTCCTTCATATATTGAGACAATCAAATGGTGACTTGCACTTACTGCTTTTTTTTTTTTTTTTGATGGAATCTTGCTCTGCTGGAGTACAGTGGCCTGATCTCTGCTCACTGCAACCTCCACCTCCCAGGTTCAAGCGATTCTCCTGCCTCAGCCACCTGAGTAGCTGGGATTATAGGTGCCCACCACTGCGTCGGGCTAATTTTTGTATTTTTACTAGAGATGGGGTTTCACCATGTTGGCCGTGGTTGGCCAGGCTGGTCTCGAACTCCTGACCTCAAGTGATCTGCTTGCCTCAGCCTCCCAAAGTGCTGAGATTATAGGCCTGAGCTAAGCGCCCGGCCATTGACTGCTTTTTAAAAGTTAAACCAATGTTCCATTCCTGGGATAATTCTTACTTGGTTGTGAAGTAGTAACTTTGTATATACCTTTTGGGTTTGATTGCTGAAATTTTAAGAATTTTTGCATCTCTGTTTCAGAAGGATATTATCTACAATTTTTTAAAACGTTTTTGTCCAGTTTTGTTATCAGGATAATCTGGACTTCATAGAATGAGTTCAAAATATTTCTTTTTGTTTGATTTTTTGGAAGAGTTTTTGTAAATTTTGTTGTTACAGGTTTGAAGGCAAATGCAGTCTTTTTAATTTCATCTTGGCTGGGAGAAGAAATCTGTTCTTTTAATTTCTTTTAAATGTTTTAAAAATCATTTATACATATACATAGCATAAAAATTCAAGTAGATCTTAATCAGGTATTTTAAATACAACCAGACATTATATTTATATTGTTTTATACATTTATTGAGATACGTTTGTTTAGATATATTGACATATTTTTCCTTTCTATTGTTCTTTATTTCTGCATCTCCAGACTCATACCTAGAATAATTTTATCTCCACCTGAAAAATGCCCTTTAGTGATTCATTTTATTTCTTTTAGTGAAAGTTTGCTGGTGATGAATTCTATCAGATTTTTTTTTCTGGTCTGAAGAAATCTTTGTTTTACCTTCATTCTTGGAGTATATTGTGGCTGGAAAAGACATTCTAAGTTGGCGGTTATGTTAGCACTTTGAAGATACCATTCTAATGCCATCTATTTCCTTTGTGTTGTTCCATCAGCTGTCAACCTAATGGTTGTTCCTTTGAAGAAAATTTGTCTTTTTGGTTGTTCTTGTTGATAAAAGTGTTTTCTTCTTTTTATCTTTTTCTTTTTCTTCAGCTTCACTGAGATGTTCCTGTGACTGGATTTCTTTTGATTTTCTTTTATTCTTCCTTTTAAAAAATAAAATAGATGGGGTCTTTCTATGTTGTCCAGGCTGGCCTTGAAATCCTGGGCTCCACAAATCCTCCTGCCTCAGCCTGGATTTCTTTGTATTTGTCCTGCTTCGTAGGGCTTCTTGAATCTGAGTCTTTTTTTTAAAAAAATAAATTTTTATTTTAGATTTAGGGGGTACATATGCAGGTTTGTTACATGGGTATATTATGTGAGGCTGAGGTTTGGGGTATAAATGATTCTGTCACTCAGGTACTGAGCACAGTACCCAATAGGTAGTTTTTCAGCCCTTATCCCTCATCCACTCTCTAGTAGTCTCCAGTGTCTACTGTTCCCATCTTTATGTCCATGTGTAACCAATGCTTAGCTCCCACTTATAAGTGAGAACATGTATTTATTTTTCTGTTTCTGCATTAATTTGCCTAGAATAATGGCTTTCAGCTGCATCCATGTTGCTGCAAAGGACATAATTTTCTTCTTTTTTATGTCTGGATAGTATTCCATGGTGTATATGTACCACATTTTCTTTATCCAATACACCATTGTCAGGCACCCAAGTTGATTCCATGTATTTGCTATTGAGAATAGTGCTGCAATAAATGTACAAGTGCATATGTCTTTTTGGTAGAATTATTTATTTTTCTGTGGGTGTATACCAAGTAATAGGATTGCTGGGTTAAATGACAGTTCTAAGTTCTTTAAGAAATCTCCAAAACTGCTTTCCACAGTGGCTGAACTAATTTACATTTCCACCAACAATGTATAAGTCTTCCCTTTTCTCTGCAGCCTCACCAGTATCTGTTGTTTTTCACTTTTTAATGATAGCCATTTTGATATGTGTAAGATAGTATCTCATTGTGGTCTTAATTTGCATTTTCTGATGATTAGTGATGTGGAGCATTTTTTCGTTTGTTTGTTGGCTGCTCGTATGTCTTCATTTGAGAAGTATCTGCTCATGTCTTTTGCCCACTTTTTAATGGGGTTATTTTTCACTTGTTGAATTGGTTAAGTTCCTTATAGATTCTGGAAATTAGACCTTTGTCAGATGCATGGTTTGCAGATGTTTTTTCCCATTCTTTAGGTTGTTCATTTACTCTGTTGATAGTTTCTTTTGCCCTGCAGAAGCTCTTTAGTTTAATTAGGTCCTACCTGTCAACTTTCATTTTTGTTGCAATTGCTTTTGAGGACGTAGTCATAAACTTCTTCCCAAGGCTAATGTCCAGAATGGAATTTCCTAGGTTTTCTTCGAGGATTCTTATAGTTTGAGGTCTTACATTTAAATCTTTAATCCATCTTAATTTAATTTTTCTATGTGGTGAAAGGTAGGGGTCCAGTTTTATTCTTCGTATGGCTAGGCCACTATCTCTGCGTCATTATACTGACTAGGGAGTCCTTTTCCCATTGCTTATTTTTGTCAACTTATCAAAGATCAGACAGCTGTAGGTGTGTGGCTCTATTTCTGAGTTCTCTATTCTGTTCCACTGGTCTATGTGTCTGTTTTTGTACCAGTACCATGCTGTTTTGATTACTGCAGCCTTACAGTATAGTTTGAAGTTGGGTAGTATGATGCTTCCAGTTTTGTTCTTTTTGCTTAGGATCACTTTGGGTATATGAGCTCTTTTTTGGTTTCATGTAAATTTTAAAATACTTTTTTCTAGTTCTGTGTAAAATGATGTTGGTAGTTTGATTGGAATAGTATTGAATCTGTACAGTGCTTTGGGCAGTACGGCCATTTTAACAATATTGATTCTTCCAGTCCATGAGATGGAATGTTTTTCTATGTGTTTGTGTCATCTATGATTGAATCTGAGTCTTTATGACATTCATAAGTTTGGGAAAGTTCTGAGATATAGCTTGTGTTCTATTCTTCTCCTCTTCTTTAAGAACTCAAGTTATGCTTTATTAGATATGTCATTGCATCCTTTAGTCATTCATCCTCTCTTCTCTATTTTTTATTATTGTATCTCTTTGTGATGCATTATTGGAATTTTCTTACACCCTAACCAATTTATTAATTCTTCCTTCAACTATGTCCAATTACTATTCAACAGTTCATCCAGTGAATTCTTGATATAGGTCTTTGTTAGTTTAATAATTATTTTGTTATTTTTTTTTGGTTTCCAAGCCTCTTCTGAAATTTTCAGTTTTATCTTTTAAACACAGATATTTTAAAGTCTATATTGGATAAATCCAATATACGAAACCTCTCCATTTCTCTTCATATCGTCTGTTGTTTCCTCAGAATTTTGTTCAAGATTTCTTTTTTTTTTATAATCCTGCTAGACATTATGTCCTAGGCATTGAATTTAAAATTTTGTGTATAGAAATAATCACAGACCTATGACAATATTACCTTCTTTCAAAGAATATGTGTATTTGCTACTGTTAAACTCCTGGTGTCTCTAGTTCTTCCAAAATAACACCGGACTCTAGTATTCTGGCATCAAAGTAAGTGGCTTTCATCAGGACAATTCCCACCACTTCTCTGCAGGCTCTGCACTAAGTACCATGAAGTTGACAATTGTGTACCACAGCCTCTCAGATATTCAGGTATACCTTCTGCACCCAGAAAATGCCCCCAAAGTAAAGGTAACCCAAACACTGGGATTCCTTTCCAGGACCTCCATCTTGCCCTAGAATCTAGCCCAATAGTGTGTCACCATCTGGTTAGCAATTTTATATGTTTAAGAGATTTGTTTATATAAGTACCTTGTCCAGATATTACAGTTGTTCTTCACGAAAGGCTTCAGTCCAAATTATTTGTTTTGCCATTACCATAATCAGAAGTTGGGAAACTTTCCTTTTTTTCTGACATTTTCTTCATTAAAAATTTGGATTAAATAATATTTCTATGTTATCAGCTTATTTTTTTCTGTCAGTCACTTATACATGTCATCTTCTCTCTTCCTTTTCCATGATATTGTTTTTACTATGATATGTCTAAATGTTTATTCTTTTGTGGATTCAGTCTGATACCTTAATCTGGGTTTCATTGTTTTCATTAGTTTTGAAGATTTCTTAGTCTTTATTTTTATTAGACATACATTGGACCTTCTCACTCTAACCTCTGTATTTTTAAATCTATTTCAGAATTCCTATATCTTGATTTCCTCTGCTGCATCCTAGATAAATTTCTTATATCTATACTCTAGTCTACTTAATCTCTATTCAGCTATTTTTAAATTTGCTGTTTGTTTTACACATTGAGTTTTTAATTTCAATGACTTTATTTTGTAGAGTTTAATTTGATCTTTTAAAAAACTTTGTGCTCTTTTTGGTATTGTCTTGTGTTGACTTTGATTAAAAAATAGCCTCAAATCATTGTTTAACTAAATAATTCAACAGAATTATAAGATGGATTATGTCTTTATGCATAAATGAAAGAAGAAATTCTAAAGTTCTTCTTCTGGACTTACCATAAATATCTCAAAGTAATTTACCAATTTAAATAGTATTACTTAGGCAAAACACATACAAGAACATTTGGAAGATACATTGCATAAAACACAGCAGTAATCTTCAAAGTTTGAATGTCTTAAAAGGCTTGTTTGTTTAAATAACACTTCCAAGGGTGTGTTATGGAATAGAATAGGATTATACACTTATACAAATCTTTATATGGGAAAGAAGAATCATATTGAGATGATTTTGTAAATGTTCTCAATTTACCACATAATCAGAACTAAATGCAAGACATAAAATTATATCTGTTCCTTTGTTACCTCGGAGGACGAAGGAACATTTTATTCTTTCTTTCTGATATTCCTTTGATAGACATTTGGGAGGGGCTGCAGTTTTAAGTCTAAGTGCTGAAACACTGACAATGAGTATGGAAGGAATAACTTTTTTTCCCCACCCACACTACAGCCCAGGTTAAGAGCTATGATCATGTTGACTTCCCATCTAGGCATTCAGAGAACATATTTTTCTATTATATTCTTTCGTGACTGTAAGCTATTCAAAGATGTGGCCTCTCAGTTCCTGCTTCCTCTTCATGCAACCCTGACTGCTCCCCTTACTTGGCTATTAAGCTATTTGGCTATTAAAGCTGAAAATTCTCAAGGGCAGGAATAATTTGTTTACCGCCCAATTCTTAGTTTCCTCTTTGTTCTTTTGACTTCCTGAGATTTTCTTCCTTTCTTATCTAGCAAAGTATGCATTTGATGGCTACTTATTATATTTGTATCTTGCATATTTAGCTGTGTTTTAGAAGAAGAATTTTCACATTCTCTAGCTTGCTATACTGAATGAAATGGAATTTTTTTTCAATCAGAAGAGAAAAACAGTCACAGTCATTTAAAGAAAAAACCCATTGAGCTATAAATCTGCTAGATTTTTATGGGTCTCCATTTTGAGTTTGTATTTATTTTGTGAAACTTTTTCTTATGAATAGCAATTGATATTAGAAGATGTTCTTAGTTTCTTACATTATAGTTTTATTTTTGCTTAACTGTTATGTAGATACATAAACGCATGTGTGTTGGAAGATCTTTCCTAATTTGAATCTGTTCTTTCACCTTTTCCCTTTTACAGACACTCTTGGTTAATTTACTGTTAAACATTACAAAATTATCTCAGTTTGTTATTTTTCCAATATAAAGTTTTATATTTGTATTTAGATAGAGTTCCACATTGAACCTAAATTCAAGCTAAAATCCACTTCCATTGAGACATTTTTGGGTGTGTCTGGAATAATTACACATGGCCTATCAGGAGCATCTTTAAAGGATGGGATAAGATCTTCTTGGAAATAACACTCTCTAAATGAAGATAGCAGCAGATAAGTAAATTTGGGTCTGTAATATGCTTTGGTTGTCAGACATGAGAGTTGAATCTGATCATAACTGGTCGTTTGCTATTGAAATTTGCTTTCTGACCCAGCACCCTCTCTCCCAAAGATGGTCTCTAATTATAATGGTAGAAACAAAGTAGGCTGAAATTAATTAATAAAAAAGTGCTTAATTAATGAAAAATCATCCTCCATCATAGGCAGAGAAATTACAGGGGTGAGTGATTCATTTCTATTACCCACATGATAAAGAAAAATGCAAAAGGGAAGAGAGACATATTCTACCCACAGTGGCTTAGGGGCATTAATGGATCCAGAAAATACATTATCACTGGCATTTTTGAAGACTCCTGTATATTGCTCATGGCAGCAAAAATTCCCAGGAGATAGGGTAACCAGGGAGATTTGATAGCAGCCAGGCTGCAGGGGGATATTGCAGCTTAGTAACCACCAAGAGTGAGATTGTACCCTTGGCTCTAGTATCAGCTTTCTTACGTTGTAAATGATGGCAGCGAGGTACTGTCAGATGACTTTATGGAAGCAAAAACCATGGTAAGAACCCTTGCTAAAAAGAATGAATCAAGAAAGGAGAAGCAGATGAGACATCACATAGATTGGCAATTGCCAGGGGCTGCAGAGAGCGGAATAGAGAGAAACTGCTTAATAGGTTAGGGGTTTTACTTTGGAGTGATAGAAATGTTTTGGAACTAGATAAGGGTAGTGGCTGTAACACTTTGAGAATGTACTAAATGCCACTCAGCTGCTCACTTTAACATGGTTAGTTTTATGTTATCTGAATTTCACTTCAATAAATTATTTTGAAAATGAGAAGCAGAGAGATACTCTTTCAAGTGTAACAACCCAAGACCTACCCCAAATAATGGATGATTTTTTGATAGGTGATAGAGACTTTCCAACATCAGAGATATTAAAAGCCCAAGAAATACAGTTTTTATTATTTTGAAACTGACTCAGCAATGGATGCACTGGGGAAATGTAAATTTCATACCATTTAAAATATTTTGTTCCCATGTTATATTGGTTCAATTGCAATTCTTAGATATTGTGATGATATAAATAATGATTAGCATGCATTGGATAGATCTTCAGGAATATTCTAAAAGGGTAAATTTTGTGTATATTTTTCATTATTTCTGATCATTTTCTGAAAAACTAAAGATGATTTATCTTATGTTCTCCCTCATTTAAAGACGAAAACAAAAGTAGCTATTAATTTATAATATTAATAAGTCATCCTCATTAGTTTTGGGAAGGGCCTGGACAAGATCCTGATAATTAGAAACTCATTTCTCTCTGAAATCAGATTACTAGAGCTTTAAAGAAAGGAATATCAATGTAGAATATGGGATTTAAACATTTAAAAAACAAATGGTATATGAACATAGGAAATAGTTTCCCTCAGGCGATAGTATCATGATCTGTCCTGGACCCAGATTTCAAAGCCTCCCTCTAAACCATTGGGAGATATTTATCCTATGATCTAACTTTCCTAGCCAAAAAAGTAATGGAACATTTCTTTCCCATATAGTCCGATATGAAGACTGATTTCTTAAATAGATGGGTCATAAACTCCATAAACACGTATTATCTCCTAAAATTATCTGCAGGCACTCCGAACTATATCTTCAAGAAAATGAATGTCAACAGTTCAAATTCTTGGAAAGGCTATGGTTCATTTAGGTTCACTTAGCATTAACAAGTTTATTTTCCATTTCCAAATAAGAAATTAGGTATTGAATCCAATCCCTCCAAACTGCAAAATTCTAAGAAGCACCCAACTAATGCCAAAAATACTGTTTTGTTGTTGTCGTTGTTTGGATTTTAAGAAGCATCCATGTTCATAGATTCTACTTCGCTCTACAGAATTGCAAATTATTCATTCCTTACCACTTGACTCAAGTAGACTTCTCAGGGGAATTGAAATTGACATTATGTAACTATCCTTAATTCAATTACCATTTGAGGTCATCTGATGACTGACCCCTTAGAAATGTTTTTTATGTTTCTTCATATGTGAGCTGTCATTGATATGTGCATGGAAAAATTATTTTACCGTAGTCAACATATGGAAAGTGGCTGGTGGAGTTCTCCCTCAAAAGTGTAAAATGGTAAATTCATAAAATTGTGTTAATAAAATAATTCTTTCTAAATACAAACCAAGGACAGAAAAACCTTGGTGCCTCAGTCTGTTGTAGGCATCTGGCATAGAAAAGGCATTTCACTCAATAACTCCATACTAAGTCCTGTGGCATTCTGGATTCATACCAATGAAATATCCAGCAGCTGATGATTCTATTCCATGTGCCTGGCATCCTACACTCCAGTGTTTTCAATTGTTGGAATCCTGTTCATCATCCCAAATCAAACTTTCAAAGAACTATGTTAACTAAAACACAAAGAGCAACAATGACAACTGGCAATTATTTCTAGCTATTGTGAACATGATTCTGCTCTAAGTGCTTTATAAGTCTATGTCCAAAGTATTATTATTTCTTCCATTGTACAGATGAGAACACTAACGTTTGAAGAGGTCAATAATACCCCCAGAGTTCTACTGCCCTCCTAACCATTCCAAGTCAATTTAGTCCCTACCTCCTCTGACTGGCCACCCACTACAGAAATTTGATAATCTTATCTTGATGTATCTCTTCATCTAGCTCCCATAAATACTCTGGCTCATCATTCTAGCACCATGTAAACTGAGAGAACAGCCTGCGTCACTCAGCTTTGTACCAAAAGTGGTGCAGAGGGAAGTGCTTTGCATATGATAGAATCTTTCATAATTATTTTCCCATTTTGAAAATTATTGACATTGATGTTAAAGAAAAGTACCTAGATTTGGGTATAGACCACCCAGTATCTATTCAATGAATAGCTAATGATTTATTAGTTCTAAGTTTCCTGAGCAATAGTTCAACCTGAGTTGGCAGAGATAGAATACTCATATTATAGTTTAGAAGCAAGACTCCCAACCAGCATACTTGGTCCAAAGCATGAAAGTCATTAGAAAAAGTCATTTAGAAAGTCATTAATATCAAATTTTCATTTACAAAACTATGCATGAGCTGCTTAACAAAACAAGAGACCTGGTGAGGGGCTTTTTTTTTTTTTGGTTAATATACAAGGCTATTTCCACAAAACTTTATATTTATTTGCCTTGTGAGATAAAGAGACCATGACTATATCACCTTGCCAGTGTTCTTAATTTGTGACAATTTTGTATCACTAGTTGTTTTTTTTTCCCTCTTAGTTTGAGGTTAATTTATTCTGTGATCACATTGTTATTCTGCCAACTTTGTTCTCATGGAATAAGTAAATATGTAGATGTTTTGGTGACTAGAAAAAGGTCATATTTCCTTCTCTCATCTCTAGTGAAAGAGACAGAAATTATGAGAATCGTTCATAATTCAGTTTGAAAGTAGAAAGCCCCAAAGAATTTTTACAGACTTTTCTTCCAAGAAAATATCATTGATATGTTATTTGATCATCTCCACATTTGGAAGCATATTCTTTACATCTCCGTTTAGTGTGGATTGGGCTGGTGTTCTTCTGCTAGGTAGACAATTGTTACTCCCTCTGAGGGAGAGGCTGCTACTTTCCCACCAAAATCGATGACCCTCATCTTCCATAGCAATAATACCGAGGCTGCCACATTACTGCACAGCACATTTCCAGAAGTTTAGCATGCCACTGCTTGGTCTGTGATTTCTGACATTGACTGTACCTCCTCCATGTTCTCTCGCTTTCCCACCAGCAAGAAGCTAGATGAGGTGGAAATTCAGGTCTGATCATATAAATAGTGACAGTGCCAAGTATATAGAAGGAATTTGGTCTATGAATGATCTCAAAGAATAAGGTTTTCCTGAAAACCTGGAGTGAACTCATATGGACCTTTATGGGAGAAAGACATGGGCTGCTCTGATCAATAGGTCACTGGATTTTGGACATCATTTACAGTAGCTTAGTCTTGTCCTGACAAATACACCTAGTCTGTGAGTGGATATCCCCATACTACAGGGATTATAACACTAACACAAGAACAGAAAACCAAACACCGCATGTTCTCACTCATAATTGGGAGTTGAATAATGAGAACACATGGACACAGGGAGGGGAACAACATACATCGGAGCCTGTCAGGCGGTTGGGGGCTAGGGAAGGGAGAGTATTAGGAGAAATACATAATGGAAATGATGGGTTGATGGGTGCAGCAAACCACCATGGCACATGTATACCTATGTAACAAACCTGCACGTTCTGCACATGTATCCCAGAACTTAAAATATAATTAAATAAATAAATAAATATTTATCAGTTTCTTCTTTTCCCTATGAGTTTTTTATTTGCCCGGAATCGATTTTGTCTTTATGTTGTCCTAACACAATTTATTAAATGGTTCCTCTTCTGTCCCTCTTTCATTCTGTCATAAATTAATTTTTAATACATATATTACTTTGTTTCTGTTTTCTTTATTTGTTTGAACTCAATCTTTGCCCAAATATATATATTTAGTTTACATAATATGCATACAATTTTGTATACTGTTTATTTCAAAAGTTACAAAACCACTTTCCATATTTCCACATTGTTTTATAACTATAATATTTATGCCTACATACATTTTTACAACATGTGTTTTATTCATTTGCTTACTCTTGGTCAGTTAAGCTTTTCTCAATATATTTGATATTATGGAGAATGCTAAATGATTATTTCATGCGTATATCTTTTTCCTCTGCTGAGTAATATCCTTAGGTTATAATCGTAGGGATAGAAATATTGGGCAAGATTAAAGATATTTTATGGTTTTGAATATTATAAATTAAATATTGCCATACTCCATTCCAAATGATGATTTCACTTTAATATTTTAAAAAGTCCCTGATTCCAAGTTATTAGTAATGAAATGATACATTAGCTGAATTTTAATTTAAATTTATTTCATTGCGTATAAAGCTAAGCAAGTTTCCACGAGTCTCTTTATTGTGCCTGTCTCTTCATGAGTGGGCCTCCCGCTCATTCTCGTTATACTGAAGTCTTAATATTCACATGCAGATTTGAATGAGCTCTCTATAGGTTATAGGTTTATATTAGATAATATATAATTCGATTTTTTAAGGACCAAATTTATTTTAAGCTCCTACCTAGCTTTTCTTTTTTTTTTTTTTTTCATTTCATCATAAGGAACACATCACTCAAGATTAATCTTGAATTTTTGAATAGTGGCAATGGATGCTTTTTTCAGCTGCATTTTGGCACAGACATGGCATCATCTCTCTGAAACCACTGTCACTTACACCTCTGGGAACTGGAGATTGAATTACTGCTCTGCTTGGAGTTACCCGCAAAGACTGGCTTCAAAGATGAGGGTTTAAGTTTTATCCCATTCACAGCAGTGGCAGGCATGGAAGCAGAGCACAGTGAGTCATCCTCATCCCTTTGTGGGCACCCAGCTTAGCTGGTACTTCACATCTGACAGTGCTCAGCTTTTAGGTGAAGGAACATCAAGTGCTATGTTAGTTAATTACACCAAGCTTAGAATGTGACTCCTGTAGTATCTGGGAGGAGATGCACACACAACCTTTACTTCTTCACATTGGCTATTCACCAGCGTGCAATAAACCACAAAGATTTCCTTGGACTGAACCCTAAGAAGAACTAAAAGATCTCATGCTTCTTTCACTCATTTTAGCTAAGAATGTACCCTTTCACCTGTCTAGGTTTCATGATGAAAAGTGTTTTACAGATAACATCATAGCCCCTCATTCTCCCTCTCCCCACCCTCACACAGCTAGTGAGTCTTGCTCATTCAGGATTCACACATTTTGGATATATCCGCTTTTCTTTAGTTATATTGTTATCACTCATCTGGATTATTTTAATTCCTCAGTACAGCTCTCTGCTTCCGTTTTTCCTGACTTTTGCTTTTGATATTAGTGAGAACATTTTAAACTACAAGTACAGAAACTCAAACAATGCTAACAAAACAAAATTAAACCAACAGAACTTATCGAACCAAAGAATTGTAGTAAGAGAGTTGGCTGCAAATATAACTGGATACAGGGGATCAGATGATGCCATCAGGGTTCTCTTTCTCCATCCTCAGCTCTACTTTCTGACACTCTTGCTTATAATCTTAATCATACTGTTTTATAATTATGATTATATATCTTTTCTCTCCTAGATTTAAGGCAGAAATCATTTTGTCTACTTTCTCTGCCAAACACTGTACTGTAACTCCTAGCTAATGCCTGAACAAATACATGTTGATTAACTGAATGCATACATGAAATAAGATCCTAGATTTTTGTGTTAAAAGGTTATTGAAGGCCTGATGTTTCCAACCAAATGAATCTAGTTGCTCAAAAAGTAATTTGTGCTGAGGGACCTCATCTAATAATGTGGCTCAACAGGGTGGCAGAAACATGTTGGCACAGTAATTTATTTGCAATGCTGAAGACATTCTGCGGTTTGGAAGCATTTCCAGATAGTGGAGTGAAACATTATATAACAATCCAAGAGATTAAAGGCCTGAATAATGCAGTATATTAAAAGTATTTCCTTCTGGGACTTGAATCCCCTGGCTCCCAACCAGTACTCTGCATTTCTAACTACTTATATGTGAACAGTTGCTTTAAGCCTCACACATTTTAGATAAGCCAGGGCATAGTATGTGTTCATGAAATATATGTTTGAATAAATTTTAATTTCTTGTATGTTTCCATCTCATGAATATCCACAAAATGGTTATTAAAGAACAGAAGACAACCATTTTAGCAAGACTTGAACTATTATGATCAAGCACGCCCTGAAACTTTTTACTGTGTAGCCTCTTTCTCAGAGCAACTGTAGATTACTGCTTTCTTTTCTACTGACTCCCTCAAGTCCTTACCAAAGAAATGATTATTTTCACTAAGACCAGGGCACAAGAATCACAGAATTGTGGGAGACACTATTCACATATAAAACAATGTAGTCACATCAAATTCACTTGTGTTTACTAGGTTCTGATATCTGTAAGTCAAGCTAGAAGTAGAACTGTGGTGCAAACAGCAACACCGACCACAAAAATGCTCTTATGGGTACCACCACACCAAATATAAACAAGACTTCAGGTGTATACACAAGGAGTATGCCCTGTTGCAAAAGACCATACATAAGGGCCTTTTGTGTTGTAATGAGGTGCAAAGTTATGCAAATGCCATGGGAAAAGATAAAGGTGTAGATTTTCTTTTTGTGGGTTATATAACAGTGATATGAAAATTAGTTTATTATCTTTATCAGCAAATAATGCTGACTCACTGTGCAAGAAATGAAAGGTCAAACTCTAATATATAGATTAAATCCAAAGAAAAGTGCACTTTCCTCAGATGCAAGACATGGTCTTTGTCAAAAGATGCTGTATGAAGTCATATGCCCATTAGTGATTTTTATTTAATATATTAAAATATCATCATTAATATATTAAATTAATATTTAATATATTAAATTTATTTAATATATTAAATTATAAAGTAACATTCAGAACCCTATGAGATGCACCTAGTGGTGCCATCTATCAGAGATGTCACAGTTCAGGTGTGCTCTTTATTAACAGAATCATTCTTTTACATATACACACACATTAATAAATAATATATATTCTAGACAAGTAGGTTTATCTTACCCCAGGGTATTAGGGTATAAGGACTTAAGACTAGGAACTGCCTTAGAGATCATCTAGTTTCACTGTTTCATTTTTCAAGTTAGAGGAGTAATAAAGAAATATTCATTAGGTATTACAAACTACCTATAAAATACTGGATACCAATTATTTAGGCCAAGTGGGAGCCTGTTAATGATTTGCCAATGAATCCAGTCCCCCTGCAGTGATAATTTACCGTAATTATTGAGCAGTTTTCCAAAATGCCTTGTTTCTCATTTAGCGTTTTACATTTTCTATAGTGGTTTCATAATTTTCAGAAATGTGAGACAAATAGTTGGCAATTTAGTGGTGGTGGGGGCAGTGATAAAATTGTCTACAGGTATCCAAATAGACACAACACTTTAGGGCCCCACATTTCAGTGGTCCACTTTGAACTGTAGATTATTGTTTTCTTTTTTTTTTTTCTTTTTCACTTCACTGGAAAGATATTTTGTCCATTTTATTCTGCTTCGTATCCTGAGTTAATCTGAAAGAAGATTCTGATCTACATTTTTGGCTCTTTAACGAGTAGATTTCTTGATATAGTCTCAAGTGTTAGTTCTTTGATCTTCTACCGAAGCCTGCTACTCACAGAGGGAGTTATTGTGTATGCTGGGCTTTGGGGGAAAGTGTGCTTTGAATAACCCTACCTCTGTTCTATGTTACTGCTCAGATCTTTATCTCACGTCCCTTAGTATTTTGTAAACCCTTTTCAGCTGTTGCCAGCATTACTCGCTGATAGCTTAACTACATTAAGGGAGATGTGTTTATGAACAATGGAGAGTGTCTTTCATTCATCTTTGGGCTTTTCATGATAAACAACTGATTTTCTTAATAGTTAACCTAACATGTTTTGAAAAGACTTATAAAAAGACTATGCTGAAGGATTAAGGAAATGCTGACTCTCTCAAACAAAATCCAGAACCGCGAAAGATTTATCACTGGAAGCAGAGTTCCCCACGGGGACGTCCATTTTGAACGAAGCGACTCCAAACTTGTTCTCTCGAGTTTCCACTTTCCCATGGGTGCTGGTGGTAGGCGAGAAAGTTCTTTCTACATTTTATGTTATTTTTTTCCTAACTTTAGGCATTCCTTTCAGTACAACTAAGCCAGGCTAGATTTTCAGAGACTTTTATATACAAGGAACAAAAAGGAAATAAATGCGGAAAATACATGATGGACTTTCTTTTAGTGAAAGTTGTGTAGATCTCCTTCAGGGCCAGGAATTAGCCTTATTTCTCTAAATCTCTGACACTTAGGACAAATTTTGACACACAACAACTGTTTTATATATTGAATTAATGAATACTCCAGTGACTAAAATATGTGAGTAATTTGGATAACAGAGTACACATGGCTAGTGTGCAAGTAGGTTCTTTAAGTTTCTAAACCGCTGCCCCAAAAGACTGGACTAATTTTTAACCCCCTTGCTTTGCTTTCTTGTTTCCTAGATCTGGCCTCTGGAGAAATGGAGATCACCATCTTAAAACCCTCGCCCTTCAGTTGCCTCCTGGACAAGCAGGCAAAGCCATAGTGAGGAGAGGCGGATCCTATTCTGCTGCTCAAGGAGGCTCCAGGCTGTTGAACAGACAGATGACACCCAGAACGTCTCCATCTCCACCAACCCATGCCCTATGGTGCAGGCAGAATAGTCTTTCAAAATACCGAAAGGATCACTCCATTCCTTTGCTTAAAACTCTTCAAAAATTTACTCTTACTTGTAGGCTAAAGCATAAAATTCTTGACAAGGCTTACAACTATTTTTTAAATGGCATAAATATATATATATATATATATATTTTTTAATATGGCTTAAACAGTATTTTTCAACTGACAAATCAGAAAATCAGTCAAATTAATTGTCAAACTAAAATGTAATATCAATTCAGTAAGTTGAGACCAGCATTTACAAAAATAAAATGCAGTGGAATATGTTAGTGTGTACTGCATGTAGAAGGAGTCAGTATTATTCATGAACTTTAAAAAAAATGACGCTTATGTGACCATATGTAATATAAGTATATCCTATATAAAATATGACATACAAATATCATATCACATTGTACATTACCTCAATATTTGCTGGAAATGATGAAAGTTCCTGAATGTACTATTTCTGAGAAATATCTGTGTCATGGGGATAGGGAACCTAAGCAGATTTTTGAAAGTGAGGCAGCATGACTCATTCAAAGGAACACAGTTCTAAGGAGGAATCTAGGCTTCGTTATCAGCAGGACATCTGCCCAGATATCTTTTCAAATCTGGCCATCATAGCCAAAGTTGGACAATGATCCGTTGGGTCCACAAATCTTACAGTGAGAGCACTCAATGCAGAGAATTCTTATCGGGATTAAAGTTTCTTAGGAGTAGTCCCAAGTTCGGAATCTCAAACTCTCTTCAATTCTTTACCCCCACCTGCTTCATGATGATGGCATAGAGGACATACCTTTGTAAATCATCTTCCTAGGCTCCTCTGTGGTATTTGAAAAATCTACAGTTTGCTCTATGTTTTAGGAGACTGTGAAACATAAACTATTTTTCGTAAGCCTATTGTAAATCAAGCCAGTCTGTTAAAAAAATGCTTTGAAAGAAAAAAATAAATCTAATTTAGATGTCTTCTGTGGTTACAAAATGGCTTAACAGACAACTTTTGATGAATACATCACAGGAGTTACCAGAAATCAGATAATGTGCCTGGAAATGTTAGTCAATTATTAAGAATTATCCTCAAAACTGTTCCAAAAGAGTTTATTTGATTTTATGTACCTACTAAGGAATACAACGCTATGTATAAAGTTTGCCTGCATTCATGAAATTTAAGCTAAATACTGGCAATGGGAAGCAAAAAGCGGAATAACTAACTAAAATATCCCCCGTAGAGACCAATCATTGAGATAAGTATAAAAATAGGTGCCAAAATACAAAGATCATCCTTTTAAATGATTTTTCACAATCTATTAACAGCTCCAATTTGGAAAATTCTCACAAAAAAATTAAAATACTGGATCAAGTGGAAAGGATCCTGATTCCAGTCAAGAGTCAGTGTCTCAGTTCCAGCCATCTGAAAGTCAACAATGTAGGCCTGGACAAAGAGAAGTGCCAGGCTCTGAAGACCTCTGTGTTCCTAACTGGAACACAGTGCTTTAGAGCAGATGGGCCTGCCTTTCAAGCTCTGTGCTACATGATTCCATGTGCACATTCTCTCAGGCTGCTCATTAAGGTACTTATTTGCCATGGAAGATAATAATCTGATTCAAATTATGTATCTAGACAGAACAAATTCAACAATAACATGAAGTTTTCCTACCTTAAAATTAAACTATTTTGCATGTAAATATTTAAGGAACAGCTGACTTAAGTTTTCTCTATTAAATATAATATAAATAGAAAAAATATCCTCATCCCCACATCAGGCTGCAGATAAAGTTGTTAATCATCAACTTGCACTGTTAAAAGCAATTGCGGTTGAACAGCTTTCAGCTTTCCCTGCAGCAATCTGTTTCAAGTCAAGATTCAGATAGCCTCTTGATTTTTACATGTTGGACATGTGGGCAGTAAATCTATAGATAAATATTTTTGCAGTTAGGCATCACACTGATGACACTGCATTTTGAGAGAAGTGGAGAGGAGAACTGACTACATAAATGTAGTTACATCATAACAAGAAATAATTGTTTAATGGTGAAAACTTTTGCCTATATATCATTTAAAAAGGCCATATCCAAAGTGCTAAGTCATTCTATTACAACCGGGGTTAAATTAGTTTGATGGTAAAGTTCATAGATAAGAGAAAAGTTACTCTTTAAACCATCCCCTCACCCGCCTGAATGCTTGGTGATAGGATGTCATCGTTAATGATTTGAGTTCCCTAAAGAAAGCTCTGTAGCCTTTGGAGAAAGCTAACGATGTGTAATAGAAATTTACTAGAAGGATTCATGGTTTTTCTACACTTATACTAGACTGTATAGTACAAGAGGAAATTATTTTAGATAATACTTCATCTGATATTTATTGAGCATCTGAAACATTCCTGGCATTGTGCTTTACATATAAGGGAAAGAAAATGTTGAATAGATTCCTAAATATTCTGCCAATCTTGGCCCTTCTAATGTTTTCTCCACAGAGGCAGACCATTCCTTGTGAAACACAAATCTAGTCGTCATGTCACTGCTAATGCACAAGCCTGTTCAGTGGCTCCCTGTTGTACTCTAGCTGATAAAATTCAAACTCCTTAGTGTGCCATGTTAAATTTCCTTCATGTTGTAGTCCTAGCTTACCACCTCTAACAGCCTCACCTCTCTACTTCCTTGCCCATAAATTGAGCTTCCTCATGTTACTTTACCACCCTGAATAGAACTCCCTCTTTGGCTTATGGGAATTAGAATATGATATTTTCTCTATCTCTATCTTTTCCTCTCTCTCTCTCTTTTTTTCTTCTTGGCCATCTTTCCTCTCTCTCTCTCTTCATTTGGTTAATTACTATTTCAGGTCTCAACCATGATACCTTATTCTAGGAAACCCTTCCCTGGCCCCTTAGGAGTGGGGTCAGTGTCCTTCCTTCATGTGATCTAATAGATGCTTGATCCAAAGCATCTAACGACTTCCAGTCATGGAACTTATCAGACTATGGTGTCTATGAATCTGTCATATGCACTCAGCTATTACAGGACTGTGTCTTGCTAGCACTGTATCCCCAGAAACTAATATAGCACATGACTTAAAGTAAGTCTGTTCAATACATAATTATCAAATATAAGAGTAACACATATCATGGTCCTGGGGGAGATGCAGGAAAACATTTTCTTTGTGTACCAGGTTCATAACAGATTTTTACAAAAATTGTTCTGAAGATGAAGTACACTAAATTGTTAATCACCATGATTCCAAAGCCTAAGGTTTGTTCCAAGAGAGCTGTGGGCAGCAAAATATGGAATTATTTAGAGACTCTCTGTCAGTAACATTGGAATTGTGAGGAGATTGTTTAATATAACTACGTAGAGTAAGTGCCTGGGAGGAGCATGCCTATAAAAAGTAACTGTGCTTCCATTTTTAGGCATCTTTGTTCAGCACGGTGCCAGGTACATGCCGTCTCCTGCTTGGCAGCCCAGCATAGAGTTACACCCTCTGCATTGCATTTAATTCCCTTTATAATTTACATAATCCTTCTGCCTGTGCCTATCATTTTACAGAGCAAAAGGAATCCCATCATGAGTACACTAAGCCATATACTTGGCTGCATCACACAGATGTTTCACCTGGACTATGTCTGGCAGTGCAAGACCCCAAGTGATGATAATTTCATTGTACTTAACACAATGTCTCCCTAGAGACAGTGGGAGCCAGGGGAGGGGATACCTGAGGTATAGAGAAATCAAGCCTGCTAAGCATAATCACCCTTGATAACTTGTCTCCTTTCAACAACTTGTGCTTTTAGACATGCATTCTCATTTAGGGTATTTAAAACTTACCTATTTCAATAAAATGGTTCCAGTGTCAGCCCCCTTTGAAAACTTTATACTCATGCCAAACTATCACTGTGATCACTTGTGAAATACTGGCTTTGAGAGGAAAGATGGTTCAATTTTTTTTTTTCTGAAATGATGGTGCTTATTAGATCTCTACATATTTTTAAAGATAAGACAGGCCACCATGTTAACTTTAAAAAAAATGTATCAATGAAAAGACATAGAAATTACCAGAAGTAAGCAGAAAGAAGTAGCGCTCTGAGTAAAGGGATACACAGTAAATCTTGGCTGCAAACAATAAAACAATTATGATGGTGTTCATAGTACGTTTATGTTTGCACAAATTTACAGGCTAATAAAAACAGAGCACTAATGCATTCAAATATCTGAAAGTGCCAAAAGAACTGAGTGCCATTTCACAGGTGTACTTTAGATACATTTTTTGATAACAAGATGAAGGGAAGTAAGAATGGTATTTGAGTACATCAGTGTGGTTTAGTTCACCAATGTCCTACAAGAGACATTTTACTTCTCAAACAGAAGCGCTAAAGCTAACTTCACAAAGAATTTGTTGATCACTCTTTGGCATTCAGATATACCCATTTGTAGGATCCTACAATCAGAGGGCCAATAATTTCTATATAATCCTTAAAGGCAAAAAATATTTAATGAAAATTATTCATTCCTCATATTCTCATTTTTTGCATTATTAAAATATGACTATGCTGTCATTAATTTCTTCAAGTTAATAAAGTCCTGGAGAAGTTCTGTTTCAAGTATTACCCAAATACCCTTTAATACAGGTGTAAGAGGAGCTTGATGATCACACAAATGTAGGGTCTTGGGTGATTAGAGCTAAGCTGAGTCTAGGCACATGCATTCTAGGCTGATTCTACCTTTGACTATAGGACTTTGGGCAATTCTGTTTTGCCTTTCACTATGTCAGTGGTTCTCAAACTCGTAATCACCTGGAGAACTTGTTAAAATACGAATTGATGTCTCCCATCCCCAGAGTTTCTAATTTAGAAGATTGGAGTGGCGTCCAAGAATTTGGATTTCCTAATAAATTCCCAAATAATTACTAATGCTTCTGCTATGGGACATATTTTGAAAACCAGGGCAATAAACACATCTCACAACCTGCTCTTCTTTACAAGAGGGCAGCAGAGGGGTCACAGATGTAGCAATGTAGAGTGGTCTTTCGATGACAATGTGGGAGTAGCGTGCTTTCATGGGAATGGAGTCAGGAAAGGAGGGAGCAAGAAACTTTGGATCTAACTCCCAATATTCTCAGTTTATTTTAGCAAAAAAAAAAAAAGATGGGAAATGAATTGCAACCATGTTCAAAAACCCAGAGTAGACTAGAGAAGAGTGAAGAATGTGTCAGAACATTCTAAGTACATTTGCTAGCTCTGTCCTTGCCCATACTTATATCCGGGAGCTTAAAAATCCAAAATGATACATGAATGTAAAGGGGCAAAGCCAACAAACAGTTATCCTGCTGGGGGGAATAAAAGGTCTTTCCATACATACAAAGTGACAACTCTCATCAGCTTTGTATTTAAAGAAGAACAACAAGGTTGGATGCATTTTTTAAACAGAATGTGAAGAATTACTGTGTTTTAACTAGACTATGTTTAAATTTAAACAAGAGTAGACATGTTCTTCATGATACATATAAATACATATTCACTTTTATGTGGCTAAATATGGCATTATAAATTTATAAAAAACATATTTTCTAGTAGGAACACCACAATAAGAAAAGATTTAGTTGGTTCATAAGCTTGTAAGTGATATCAAGATGGAGCTCCCTTTTTATATTCTGGAGTGTAAATCCCTCTGTTATTATTATAATTAAATAAATGTCTGTGAAACAATGTTTTTTCTACACTTTAACAGGTGTATTACTTATTACAAGGAGCATTAAACACAATAAAATGCTAGTATAAAAATTGTCTGCAATGGGATTTTTTTTTTTTTTTAAACAGAGTCTCTCTCTGACGCCCAGGCTGGATTGCAGTGGTGCCATCTCGTCTCACTGCAAACTCCGCCTACTGGGTTCAAGCGATTCTCCTGCCTCAGCCTCCCAAGTAGCTAGGATTACAAGCATATACCACCATGCCCAGCTAATTTTTGTATTTTTAGGAGAGATGAGGTTTCGCCATGTTGGCCAGCCTGGTCTCAAACTCCTGACCTCAAGTGATCCACTTGCCTTGGCCTCTCAAAGTGCTGGGATTACAGGCATGAGCCATGGCGCCTGGCCTGGATTTGTCTTATAAAAGCTATTGTCTCTTCAAAGATGAGGCTGCATGCTTTTCTTATTTGCACATCATTTTCTGCATAGAATTCTCCTTTGTCACTGAAATTCACTGACTCCTCATGGAATTACCAGACGGTTCAACATATTTATAGTGCCATGAATTACATTACTGAAATAAGTATTACAATGCCACCCTATTCGGTGGACGTCATAAACAGAAACATAACAAGACATCTGCTTCCTCTGGAGGAAATTGCATGAACTCTCTGTGTAATTTTCAATGAGAAAGAGAACACTTTGATAACCTAGAACCGGTTTGTGTAATTTACCCATAAAAGTCATTCAAGTTCATACCAACTCAAGTCCAGACACGAAGTTGTCTGTATAGTTGTCTGTACAGATTTTGCAAACTCAAAAGATTCAGTAAGAGAAAGACTTGCAATTTTAAAATAATTAATTGGCCTTCAGTACTTTAGACACTTTTTTACTGACTGGCCTTGGGTAGAAAAATTTATATAAAGCACTAGACAAGAAAAGCTTATAGTATGATCTTTTCAGTACATACTTATAAAACAACATAATTTGTAAGGAAAACAATTTTACATGATTTTCTGTTATAAAAATTTGGTCTTTTTCACCTCATCAATGTGTCAGACAAAAGGAAGTTAGTGTTTAAGATATATATTTTAAAGGTATAAATAATTTGAATAAATAAAATTATAAATAATGAAAATATTTAATTTCTGAAATAGGTACACAGATTTGACAGATATTTTTACATATTAAATTAATGCAAACTTTATGTTTAAAAATTTAAGTTCAATTAAGTAAAAGTACATCAAGAATTTTAATAATATATATCCATTTACTTGGAGAGGAAAGATTATTATATTTGATTTTGCTTCTCACATAATGGTGACAATAATAGTATAATAATAGAATAAATTTTCAAGACTTTTTCTTCCATAAAAATAATACATCTTGTCTCTACAAGGTGAACAGTCTTCAGAACATATAGAAGGAATATAAAAGTAGAAAAATTGTATAATATAATTTGTAATAAACATTGATATTTTTTTAAAAAGTTTGGTATACTTTTGCAATTCCTCTATTGTGTCAGGGGCTAGCAGAGTGAGTGGTGAAGAATGAATATTCTAAATTGTGTTCATAATTTTATTTTTCAAGTTGCAACTTTAAAAACATATATAGAGCATCAAACTTTTCTTGTCTCTTTCCTCTACATCAAAAAACCACTCTTATTAACAAAGAAATAAGCTGAGTTTTTCACTTTTTTCTTGAAAGTAAAAACAGACAAAGTTTGATCATGTTAGAAGATTTGAAAATACTTTTTTGTTACTGAGGCAACATCTGAGTTATTCATATTTTAAACAGACAATTATGAATGTAACTGTTATAAAAGTCACTTTTTGACAAAAAGATGACAGTTGCAAAGTTAATACGCAAATACAGGGAAACTAATATTTTAATAAGATTGACTTTTATTACTCTACAAAATCTTTTATATAAACCTCATATATTTTATTGAAATTATTACTTTTTTTGTATTTGATTAATAACTTAATTTTTTTAAACATAAAGAGAGTCTTGCTATGTTGCTCAGGCTTAGAACTCCTGGCCTGAAACAATCCTCCTGCGTCAGTCTCTCAAGTAGCTGAAATTTGATTAATAACTTCTTTATGTGAATATCACTTAAAAATTGTTTGCCATATAGTCAGATACCATATCTTTAGAAAATCTAAAAGCATATCTGATGATTACTAAATTAATATTTGAAAAATTTTATAGTAGCTATATAAACTAACTGCACCATCCTACACAGTAGTCATGGGCCCCATGTAAGTGCTGAGCACATGAAACATGGAAAGTATGACTGAAGAACTGATTTTTAAATTTTACTTCAAAAAAAATGTTAAGGCTGGGCACAGTGGCTGATACCTGTAGTCCCAACACCTTTGGAGGCCGAGGTGGGCAGATCCCTTGAGCCCAGGAGTTTGAGACCAGCCTGAGCAACAGGGAGAAACCTCATCTCTACAAAAAAATACAAAAATTAGCCGGGTGTAGTTGTGCATGCCTGTAGTCCCAGCTGCTCAGGAGGCTGAGATGGGAGAATCACTTGACCTGGGAGAGCAAGGCTGCGGTGAGCCGTGATCGCGCCACTGCACTCCAGCCTGGGTGACAGAGTGAGATCCTTTCCCAAGAAAAGAAAAAAGTTAAATATACCTGGAATAAGTTTCTCAATCATAAATTTTATAAAATGTAAATACAGATAAAATACATCTGATGAAAATTTAGCCTTTGGATTGAAATTTGCTTTAAGTGTAAGACACAATTATGAAAAACAAAGAAAGGGAAACAGGTATCGGTTTTTAATATTGTTTATGAGTTGGATTAATAATATTTTGGATATGTGGGATTAAATAAAATATATTATTGAAATTCCTTAAAATTCACCTATTTTAATTTTTTTAAAAAATGGCTCCTAGAAAAATTTAAATTACATAGATGGATTATATTCTATTTTCAACTGGACAACATTGATCTACATTGTAGATAGAAATTAAAATTCACCAGTCTTTGCAGTTTATAAAATCTGTGGCCAATTATCATTACATGTATTTTTGAGCATATCTATTAAAACTGACTAAAGATCAGAATTTCATAATAGTCACAGCTGATCTAATCACACAGGGCAAAGATTTCTCCTTAACTTGTGGGACCATTTCAATTGCTAGTAAAGTGTTCAGAGCCCCATATTAGGTTAGTTTTTTGTTTTTTAGTAAAAACCTGAGTTTATAATATCCAAGCATCTTTGCAGGGTCACAGTGTACAGTATGAAAGGTTATTTATGACACAGGACTGCTGACTAAAAGACCCAGCTTGTAGTATGCTCATGAAACCTTGGCCCTGGCAAAAACCTGCATTTGTCTGGTGTAAGGAGCTTCTCTCCAAATTGGCAGAAAGACAGCATACAGGCTAGCTAACTCTGCATGTTTTCATCAACATGCAATATCGCAACATGCAATATTATAAAAAACATTCTCAGATGATTTCTTTCTGCCCAAATCATCCAGGTGGAGTGTATTACTGTAAGTAATATGCAGTGAAAATTCTGGGGCCACCTTACATTTGCCAAAGGTTTTACTATTCCCCCAACTATCACATACATTTTATCAATGTTCTCATAGTAATACAAGGAGATGTTAAGCAGGTATTATCCTCATTTTACAGCCAAGAAACTGGAATTAAAATGTCTCTTTGGATTGGTATAGAATTCAGAATAATCACATTTGCCCTTTGCAAATAAAATTATAGCTCCTATAGCTTGTGAAGCAGTCTCATAGACATAAACATTGCAACTAAAATTGAATATAACATTTATAGGCTAAGAACAGACCCAACCATATGTCTCATTGAGTTTTGGTTTCCAATAAAAGCATATAATCATATTTTATTATTTAATTTATGTGTTTTAAGAGACCCAAAGAGTATATATACTATCTCCCAAAATTTAACATATTTTTATAATTATTACTTCTATACAACTTATCTACATGAATCCATGAATAAAAGTGTTCTCCCTTGAAAATGTTCCTGAAAATAACAGCTACCTTTAAGAAACAACTTTGCATTATAGTCAATTAAAACCTATTTATTTTTAACATTGTTAAAAATAAACAATGTTTTCATGCTATATATTTTATTTAAAGATAAGGGAAACAACTTGGCTGGTGCTTTTATGAATCTAGAGGGCTCTGAAGAGAATATCTTTAGGATAATTCCTTAATATCCCTTTTGGAAGAGTATTAGTAGTTTCTTATTCAATGTAGATTTCTTAAGTAGCTGACATTTATTTTATTTCCTACCACCTGATCTTGGTACCTTAAAATCTGTTTTTTATTTGTTTTACATTTATTCATGTTCTAATGGCTCCTAGTGATTTTCAATTAGAATTTTCTTAAGGAATGAGTTTTAAGATCTTTCTCCCTATACAATGAGTATTGTTGGTACCTATATATTTAAAAAAAATAAAATCTGTATTTTCTAAACATTGATGACTCATTGATTATACTCTTAATAGTTACTAATTTTAAACCACTGAATTGGAAGCTTATAGTTACTTGAATGCGGTAAATGGCAAGTATATTTAATTATATCAAATATTATGCCTCTTTTGGGTTTTTTATAGATATATTTGTACACTGAAATTCACACCTGGCCTACATCACATAGATTTTGAAGAATGTTTTACCTTTATAACAAAAGTTGGTCTCCCAAATCTATACTCCTAAGCGAAGTTTCCTTTCGGGGTGTCAAATCACACCACAGCTGCCAGGTTTTCAATATAATGTAACCACTAATATTTTATGTTTATTTCATTCTCATGTTTATCAAACCCTCGTGGTCATCAAAAGAGATTATTCAGGCGTATACTTCATCCACATTGATTTGAAGGGGAATTTTAATAAAACATGACAAAATGGAAATTTATTTTAAATGTAAAAATGTGAATTCACACACAACTATCACACACACTACTCATTCGGTAAATCATATAATGGACATTGTCATTTTGACATGTAGAACATTTCTCTTCCTCCATCACCTTTGAATTAATCGGATTGTAAGGGCGGGTAAAGGAAAAAGGGGTGGAATTTGGAATTCCCAATGGCTCCCATTGCTATTTATATCATTGAACCATTTTGAAGTCAGGTAGATGTTAACCTAATAAGGGAAGCCCCACTGGCTTTCTGTCTCCTCCAGACAATACAATGGCATAATTGTGTCTGTGCTTCTCTTTTCAATTGTTCTACTGTAACACAGATTGAGAACTAACCACAGATTCTAATTAACTCAAATTAGACTAATGAGAGAGATGATAAGTACTACAACATGAAGATTAAGAAATTAAACCTAATTTGAAACCTCAAAGATGTTGGGTACAAAGGAAATAAATGTTAAAAGGACAAATTGGGCCACAGCTTCATAAATGTTGAAAGCAAGACTAACCAATCAATGGCTGTAGCCCATCTGAATAAATGTTCCTGACTTTCTAGAAGGAAGAATTTCAGCACCTACAGAAGAGCAGCCCAAGTTTCATAATGACATTAAGACTTTTCTTACATTTAATTCTCTATTTATCATTAGCTTGGAGATGGGAGGAGTAGAGGTGGCAGGAATAGAAAAATAACTTATTGATATAAAAATCTGTGCTCAGCAAGTTTTTTCCAAGTATAGAAAATTTAGAAAAAACTAAAGTATTACAATATATTTTAAAAGACATTATGTAAAAGTATAATGAGAACTTTTAATTTTATTGTTTGAGGAAACCTTTAATTATAAATGTGCATTAAGGAAATTTCTTATTTGAAATGTTCACACTTTCTATTTTCCCATGATTTACAACTCATTAAAATGTATTTCTTTTACAATGAGTGCTCAACTTTTATACTGCTGCTTCTAATGTTCACTCATTTCTCTGAATTTTCAATTATTTACTATGAAAATAAACTGGTAGAGAAGAGGTAATCTTACTTAGTGTTACAGAATTCTATAGCAGTCTTGTTTGAAATCCACTTTATATATAAGTTTATTTGTAAGTATATGTTTGTATTTTGAATCCTTGTGGTTCTACAAAGGATATAAGGCAGCCAAACTTAAATACAAATTAAGTATTATATAAAATATAGAGCAATATTATCAGAATTAAAAATAAAGGCCACATAAGGGAAGAAAACGAAAATGAAAGCTGTTTGGATGATATTAGGGGACACATAATTGAACATCAAATGTAACACAGAATTTTCTGGAAGCCAAAGTAAAAAAGGAGATAAGGTAGGCTACACGACTCAAGATTTATAAAAGTGGAATCTCATTAATTCCTCAATGCTTTCAAGAAATATTTGAAGTCTTTCAAATAGGAACTCATATGTAGGACACTAATCATTTCTTCAACACCTGCAGTTCATAGTAGATGCTTGGCACATTTGTAAGAAAAATTTGGATTGATATTCCCAATAATACTAAAAAGATAATTTTGGTAAAGTGCATTTAGGCAGTTTTTCCATTCACCATTTTTAGGCTCTTTCAGTTGATTTTCTAGTACCCTCGCTTCTCTCCCTCTTTCCCCACATTAGAAGTAGCTATAAGCTCTATTTTCTCTCTCTCTAACATACCAGGTGGGATGTTACAGGAAAGCCAGTTTCTGACAAAATCCAGCATACGACAGATTTATTGTCAAGTAGGTACAAAAACATTCAAATAATCAGTTCTTTAAAGTAAGTGAAATTCCATCTCTCTGCCCTTCAAGCACTGACCAGTACTTTGCACAAAATATTCTCTGGAAGCCAAGTGACAATAGTCTTGAGGAAAAATTTGCTAGTCATCTAGGTGTAATTAGGTGAATCCTTTATTACAACAGTGGCCCACAGACAAGAACAGGAGTCCTAAGACTAGGACACAGCTTTTAAGGATGTTAGGACCCTGGCTCCTCAGGTTCTCAAAATGGAAAAATGTGTTTCAAAGAGCTCTTCTGTTCAAATGCAGATGGAGGTAGTGATATTGGAGTCATTGTGATGTGAAGTCATTGCACTTGGAATAACCTAAGTTATGAAATAATGACTGTGATCTTTCTTTCATTTTTGTTTGTTTGTTTGTTTGTTTTTGAGACAGTCTTGCTCTGTCCCCCAGGCTGGAGTGCAATGCTGCCGTCTCGGCTCACTGCAACCTCTGCCTCCCGGGTTCAAGTGATTCTCCTGCCTCAGCCTCCTGAGTAGCTGGGACTAGAGGGGCATGCCACCAGACCCGGCTAATTTTTGTATTTTTTGGTAGAGACAGGGTTTCACTGTGTTGGCCAGGCTGGTTTCGAACTCCTGACCTCGTGATCTGCCCGTCTCAGCCTCCCAAAGTGCTGGGATTACAGCCGTGAGCCACAGCGCCCGGCCACGATCTTTCAAATGCTCTAACCATTCCTGGAGAGTAGATCTCTAATTATAATATTTCGAATGTTAACAATTCACTCTAGCAAGTAGAGTACAGTTAACTTATTCACTCATCTATGGCATATTTTGTTTTATTGCACTTCACTTCATTGTATGTCACAGATACTGCATTTTTTACAAATTGAAGGTTTGTGACAACTTCGCCTCAAGCAAGTCTATGGGCACCACTTTTCGAACAGCATGTGCTCACTTCATGTCTCCATGTCACATTTTGGTAATTCTTGCAATATTTCAAACTTTTTTATTATTTCATAGCTGTTATGAAGATCTGTGATCAGTGATCTTTGATGTTTCTACTGTAATTATTTTGGAGTGCTATGAGCCATGCCAGTGTAACTGGGTGAACTTAATTGATAAATGTTGTGTGTGTTCTGCTCCACCAAATAGCCATTCCCCCATCTCTCTCCTTCTCCTCAAGCTTCCCTATTCTCTGAGACACGACAATATTGAAATTAGGTCAATGTATAAACCTACAATGGGCTTTAAGTGTTCAAGTGAAACTAAGTGTTGCACATTTCTCACTTTAAATGAGAAGCTAGAATGATTAAGCTTAGTGAGGAAGGTGTGTCAGAAGTCAAGATAGGCCAACGGCTAGGCCTCTTGGGCCAAACAGTTAGCCAAGCTGTGAATGCAAAGAAAATGTCCTTGAAGGAAATTGAAAGTGCTACTCCAGTGAACACATGAATGATAAGAAAGCAAACAGCCTATTGCTGATATGGAGAAAGTTTTAGTGTTTTGGAAAGAAGATCAAACTGGCCACAATGTTCCCTTAAACCAAAGCCCAATGCAGAGAAAAGTCCTAACTTTTTTCATTGAAAAGAGTTGTTTTTTTTTTTAAGTAATAAAGCATTTTTAATTAAGGTATGTATAATTCTTTGGTAGACATAATGCTAGCCCACACTTAATAGACTACCGTAAAGGGTAAACATAACTTTTATATGCACTAGAAAATAAAAAATTTGCGTGACTCACTTTATTGTGGTGATCTGGAACCAAACCCACAGTATCTCCAGGGTATGCCTGTATCATACAATCTATGATGAAGTATTTAAAATGAATTGCAGGTAACGTAACAGGAGTTATTATAATCTACCCATAAGAAAACATTAAGTTTTATTGAGATGTCTACATCAAATCTTTCCCTCAAATGTCTACTAATAATCGCATCATTCTTCATTAATTCCACAACATATTTAATGTATAATAATAAATGCAAACATTCTTCTTTTTAGTACTTCATTATGCATAGTATTTTGTGTTTCAAATTATATCCCATACATCATTTAATTTAGTGACTGAAACACTGTAAATTGGAATACAATTGTGACCAGTACCTATGACATACAAGAGAAGACAGAAGGACTCACTCTGGTAAAGTGAAGTGTCCAGAGCCACACAGCAAATCTTGATAGACCTGGCATGATCTATTGAGACAGACCATGGTTTTCCAATGAGTAATCTTTCTTAGTGATCTTTCGTAAAGTTTTTTCAACTGTTTTTCCAGGAAAGACTACAAGAGGAAAGCATTGACATTCTTTTATATGTTTCACTTCCTCTCATTATTCAATAAAATGACTTTA
Organism: Homo sapiens; assembly: GCF_000001405.40. Taxonomy (NCBI): domain Eukaryota; kingdom Metazoa; phylum Chordata; class Mammalia; order Primates; family Hominidae; genus Homo; species Homo sapiens. The sequence goes on from NC_000009.12 coordinate 72,996,446, forward strand.
AAAAGTACTCTGGCTGGGTAGAATTTCTTTAATGCTTCCTGAAAAAAAAATTCTTCGGGATGAAATTTAACTATAAATCGAGCACCATTTTTATTTGGCAAAAAATGTGAAGCCTGTGCTTCATAAAACTCAAAACCTTCACCATATAATAAGCCTTATTTAAAATATGAGTGGGAAATCTTGTCCATTTTTGTTATCTGGGAGATAATTAGGTTGAAATTATCTGTTTATAATTTATCTCTTCTCTACCTTCAATGCTTTCTTTGAAACAGAATTAGCTCCTCCTAGGAAAATACTCTTGATTCATGAAAACACACTAAGTCATATGGAATGAGTTTTTGTCTCATTTGTGCCAGTTATTTGCTAATTGACTGCCTCATTCTTATAACTGCCTTAAACCTAGACTGAATCTGAAAAGAGGCAGTCATATGAATTAGAATGTTTTAGGGTTCATGGGAGTACTAAATAGGGGCACAATATGTTAGGGTCTTGTATTTGTTTTCCTGGCAAAGTCTTATTTCTTCAGATTCCAACTCAGCATCACCTCCTCTGAGCATCTATCTTACCCACTTTACTGGGTACACTCTTCTCTGCTTTTTGCTTATATCTGTAATAGCATTTTGTGCAGAATTTACCCAATTCTTTGCTTCTCTTGTAAGACTAGCAGTCCATAGAGAGTAAGAACATGTTAGTCTGTAGTTCCACTCCAAGTGCAGTGCTAGATACAGAGCAGATTCTCAAAGAAGTTTGTTAAATGAATGAATGGATAACAAATGAATGAAATCCAATGGAATGTGGGAAATATTTACCCATCTATCTTGCAGGATTGTTGTGAAGCTCAAAACTGATAATGTGTGATAAGTTAAATTAAACCTTGTAAACCGAAGTGCCATGGACAGGTTCCCTTAACTTGCATAACTTTAGTAAAAGGCTGGGGATTTGAAATAAACCAAACTAAAACCCAACCATACTCAGTTTGTAAATGCTGACCTTGTGCAGACTGAATGTTACAGCCCTTGAGTGAAGTCGTCTACCCCAGCAATTCATCCTCCTTGGCATGGCCCTTGCTGAGGTTAATAGGAACTGTGGATATCTCAGACTGCCAAAACATAAGGAGATATGACAGGAAACCAAACGGGAAACTGCTGGCTGCCTTGGGCTCACTGAGATCTGTGTCTAACAAGGCAGACTTGTCGCTGGGCTCTTTGGAGGTGAAATGAAGCGATGGACTAATGCTGGGCACGGGAGGCGCCAGGTCCTGACAGGCTAAGGTGTGACCTGCTGAATCCTAACCATCCCAGACATCTTTGGAAGAACAGTGAGCTGGGCGATGGCCAGGGGCAGGCAAGGTTGCAGGGGAAGGAGGTGTATGCAGAGCCCACAGAGAGTAGAAAAAGAAAGGGCAAGTGAGATTACTGGTCATCTGGTGTCTTAGATCACACGCAAAACAAACGTCAAGCACAACAGCAAACACAACCTTTGAGCATTACTGTCTCCAAAGAGTATTTACCAAGTGCTGTCTGGCTTGATCTCCCAGACTTGGTTAAATATGCATTCTGTTAATGTTGTGTTTCTGACTTTCTTTCCTTTCCTTTTTTGTTATTGTTATTATTTCTATTTTTAAAAATGTAAGACTTTACTTGCTTTGACACTGAGGAAGGGAAGGTGTAAGAGTGAGAAGAGAGGGGAAAATTCCACAAAGCATTTTTTAAAAAGCTTTTCCAATAGAAATATAAAATGTAATTAGGTATGTATAATTATATTCTTAAATATAATTTATTATTAAGCATATTATTAAATATAATATATAGATGATTCTTTATATTATTAAATATAACATATACATATAATTCTACAAGTTATTCTTCATTTTAAAATAATAATATTTAGAAGTGAACTAAAAATTCATTTAACTTGTCATTTTTATAAGCTACCTTTCTTAGAAAAAATATCAGTAGTAACATTAAAATACATTTTACTTGATGACTGAAGGCATACAAATGCATGAAAACATTTAAATATTTTTTATATTAAGTATAATTGAAAAATGAGAATGCATAAACGAGGTGAACATTTTTATATACCTGCATTGTGGCAATTTCATCACTTTTTTTACAGTTCTTTGTTTACGTGAATATTGTTCCAAATGAATCCAAGATCTAGGGAAATACAAACGATATCTTGCTCATCCTCGAATTTTCAACATCTAGCAAAATTTGGGGGAATAATAGGTTCTTAATTAAGGATATACAATAAATTTTAACATCATAGCAAAATTGAGTGGAAAGTGTAGAGAACTCCCATACACCCTCTTTCTCCACAGAGGCACAACTGCCAGCTATTTGACTTCCCACACCAGAAGGGTGCATTGGTTACAATTGATGAACCTGCACTGACACATCATTATCACCCCAAGTCCGTAGTTCACACTAGGGTTCGCTCTTGGTGTTCTGCATTCTGCGGGTTTGGGCAAATGTATAATGACATGGCTCCATCATTGCACTATCATACAGAACAGTTTCACTGCCCTAAAAGTCCTCTGTGCTGTGACTATTCTTCTCTCCTCCTGCAAACCCTGGCAACCACTAATCATTTTACCGCAAAATTTAGCCTTTTCCAGACTTCCCTGTAGTTGTAGTCATACAGTATGTAGCGTTTTCAGACTGATATTTTTCACTTAATGATATGCATTTAAGCTTTCTCTATGTCTTTTTATGGCTTGATAACTCATTTCTTTTCAGCACTGAGTAATATTCCATTGTCCGAATGTACCACATGTACTATTTACCTACCAAAGAACATCTTGGTTGCTTCCAGGTGTTGGCAATTATAAGTAAATCTGCTGTAAACATCCATATGCAGATTTTTGTGTGAACTTGTTTTCAATTCTTTTGGGTAAATACCAAGGAGTGTGATTACTGGATCGTATGGTAAAAGTATGTTTTATAAGCAATTGCTAAACTATCTTCCAAAGTGTCGGTACCATGTCGCATTCCCACTAGCAATAAACAAGAGCCCTTCTTCTTCCACACCTTTGCCAGCATTTGGTATTATCAGTGTTTTGAATTTTGGACATTCTAATAGGTATGTCGTTGTATCTCATTGTTGTTTTAATTCTCAATTTTCTACTGACATAGAATGTTGAACACTTTTTCCTCTGTTTATTACCATCTGTAAATTTTATTTGGTGAGTTGTCTGTTCAGGACTTCTGTCCAGATTTTAATCAACTTGTCTGTTGTCTTATTGTTGAGTTTTAAAAGTTTTTTGGTATATTTTGGATAATAATCCTTCATCAGATGTATCTTTTGCAAATATTTTCTTCAGTCTGTGGCTTGCCATTTCATTGTTAAAAACATTTTCTTTTGCAGACCAGAAGTTTTTAATTTTAATAAAGTTCAGCTTATTATTTATTTATTTCATGGGTCATGCCTTTAAGGGTGTATCTAAAAAGTCAGTGTTATACCCAAGATCATCTAGGTTTTCTCCTATGTTACCTTCTAGGAGTTTTACAGTTTTGCCTTCTTACATTTAGATCTGTGGTCCACATTGAGCTATTTTTTTGTGAAGGCTGTAAGGCATATACCTAGACTTATTTTTTGGCATGCGGACTTCCATTTGTCCCAGCACTGTTTGTTGAAAAGACTATCTTTGCTTCCTTGTATTGCCTTTGTTCCTTTGTCAAGGATTAGTTGACTCTATGTATGTGGGTCTATTTCTGGGCTCTCTATTGTGTTCCATTAATGTATTTATCTATCGTTTTGCCAGTGCCATACTGTCTTGATTACTGAAGCTTTACTGTAGTCTTGAAGTCTAGTAGTGCAGGCCCTCCCATTTTGTTTCTCTTCTTCAACATAAAATTGGCTCTTCTGGGTCTTCTGCCCCTCCATGTAAACATTAGAAACAGTTTGTCAAAATCCACAAGATAACTTGCTGGAATTTTGTTTGTAATTTTATTCACTCTATAAATCAATTTGTGAGAATTTATATCTTGATAATATTGAGTCTTTCTAGCTATAAAAGTGAAATATCTCTTCATTTGTTTAATTCTTTTTGTTATCTTTCATAAGTGTTGTGCAGTTTTCCTCATATAGATCTTGTACATATTTTGTTTACATTTAAAGTATTCCATTTTTTATGGAGTGCTAATGTAAATGCTAACAAGTTTTTAGTTTGAAATTCCACTTGTTCATCGCTAGTATATAAGAATGCAATTGACTTTTGCATATTAACCTCATATCCTGCAACCTTGCTATAATCACTAGTTCTAAAATTTGTTTTTGATTATTATAATGTCTTTTTCTGGTTTTGATACTGAGATAATGCTGGCCTCATTAAATGAGGTATGAAGTATTCTCTCTGCTTCTAGCTTCTGGAAGAGATGTAGAAAATTGATACAATTTCTTCCTTAAATGTTTGACAGAATTCACTGGGGAACCAACTTAGGGTGTTGTGTTTTAGAAGGTTATTAATTATTGATTCAATTTCTTTATTACATATAAGCCTATTCATATTGTCTATTTATTCTTGTGTACATTTTGGCACATTGTGTCTTTCAAGAAATTGGTAGAATTTTGGGGTATAGAGCTGTTCATAATATTCCTTTATTTTCTTTAATGTTCATAGGTTCTACATTGATGTCCCATCTTTAATTTTAATTTTATATATTTACTTATTTGTTTGTTTTTTTGAGACAGTAACTCACTCTGTTACCCAGGCTGGAGCGCAGTGGCACAATCATGTCTCACTGCAGCCTCAACCTCCTGGGCTCAATCCTCCTGCCTCAGCCTCCTCAGTAGCTGGGACCACAGGCATAGACCACCATCCTTGATTATTTAAAAATATATATTTGTAGAGATGGGGTCTTGCTATGTTGCCCAGGCTAGTTTTGAACTCTTGGGCTCAAGTGATCCTCCCACCTCAGCCTCCCAAAGTTCTGGGATTACAGATATGAGTCCCATCTTTAATTTTTCATGTAAGTAATGTCTGTCTTTTTTTTTTTTTTTTTTTTTTTTTTTTTTTTTTAGCTAGCCTGGCAAGAACCAATTTTTGGTTTTATTGATTTTCTCCATTGATTTCATGTTTTCAATTTCATTACTTTTTTCTCTAATTTGTTTTTTTTTCTTCTGCTACTTTGGGTTTAATTTGTTTTTCTAGTTTTCTAAGGTGAAACTTTAGATGATCAATTTTAGATCTTTCTTTTTTTCTAATATATGCATTCAATCTATGTATCTTTCTCTAAGCACTGCTTAAATGCTTTTCACATATTTTGATAAGTTGAATTTTCAATTTGTTTTAGTTCAAATATTGTTAAATTACTCGGGATTTATTTTTGGACACGTGTTATTTTGAAAGGTATGGCTTAATCTTTAAGTATTTTGGAACTTTCTAGCTATTGTGTAGACATGTTTTCAGTTCATTTAGGTAAAAAGGAGTGGGAGTTTTATTAAACTTGTTCAGTTATGTTTTATGGTCAAAAATGTGGCCTATCATGGTGAATGTTCCATGTTAGCTTGAGAATAATATGTATTCTGCTATTGTTAGATGTAGTCTTTAGATGTCAGTTTTATTCAGTTGATTGACGGTGCTGTTGAATTCAATTATATCCTCACTGATTTTCTGCCTGCTAAATCTATCCGACTTATAGCTCTGACAGATGGGTGTTAAAGTCTCCAAACATATTAGTTGATTCATCTATTTCTCAATAAAGTTGTATTAGCTTTTGCCTCATATATTTGGACACTTGGCTGTTAGGTACATACGCATTAACAATCATTATGTGCTCTTGGAGTTTTGATTCCTTTACCATTATATAATGCCTCTCTTTACCTCTGATAACTTTTTTGCTCTAAAATGTGATCTGTCTGAAAATAATGTAGCCACTCCCACTTTCTTTTGATTACTGTTAGCATGATATATTTTTCTCCATTAATATTTACTTTACTTTTAATCTATATTTGTCTTTATATTTAAAGTAGTTTTTTTTTGTAGATAATATATATTTAGGTCTTGTTTTTTTTTATTCATTCAGACAATCTCTGTTTTTTAACTGGTATATTTAGATGATTGACATTTAAAGTGATATAGTTGAATTAGTATCTACTATATTTTTTACTGTATTCTGTTACCCTTGTTTTCTGTTTCTATTTTGGTCTTCCACACCTTTTCCACCTTTTGTGGTTTTAGTTAAATCTTTTATATGATTTCGTTTCTCTCCTTTCTTATCATATTAATTATACTTTTTTTAACCTTTTTTAGTGGTTGCTATACATTTACAACCAATCTAAATCTATTTTCAAATAACACTGTACTGCTTCATGGGTAGTGCAAATATTTTATAATAATGAAATGTTCCTAATTCCTTACTCCTGTACCTTGTATAATTACTGTCATTCATTTCATTTATACATAAGAACATATATATACACACACACATACATTTATATGCATATATAATCAAATATATTGCTGCCGTTATTATTTTCAGCAAACTGTTAACTATTTGATCAATTAATAATAGAAAATTTTTTGCTTTCAATTATGCTCTGATGTTCTTCATTTTTTATGAATATCTGAGTTTTTGACCTATATTGTTTTCCTTCTCTCAGAAGAACTTCTCTTAAATTTCTTATAAGACAGGTCTACTGGCAACAAGTTTCCTCAATTTTTTTTTGTATGAGAAACTTTTTATTTCTCCTTCCTTTTTTTTTTTTTTTTTTTGACAGAGTTTCATTCTTGTAGCCCAGGCTGGAGTGCAATGGCGTGATCTTGGCTCACTGCAACCTCTGCCTCCCGGTTTCAAGCGATTCTCCTGCCTCAGCCTCCTGAATAGCTGGGATTACAAACCCCCACCACCACGCCCGTCTAATTTTTTTGTAGTTTTAGTAGAGACTGGGTTTCACCATGTTGGCCAGGCTAGTCTTGAACTCCTGACCTCAGGTGATCTGCCCACCTCAGCCTCCCAAAGTGCTGGGATTATGGGGGTGGGCCACCGTGCCTGGCCTCTCCTTCACTTTTGAAGGATTATTTATTTACCTTTCAAGGGTATATATTAATTATTTACCCTTCAAGGGTATATGTTAATTATATATGCTTCACTTTTGAAGGGTATATAATTCTAAGTTGGTGGATTTATTTTCTCTCAACACTTTGAATATTTTACTCCATTTTCTTCTTGCTTGCATGGTTCATTCAATCATGATTTGTTGAGGTCTGATTGTGGCAGGTAATCTAATAGAAGCCCTGTCCCTACACCCAGAGAGAAGGAATCCCTGCATTAGTAAGTCAAGGGGCAAGTTGTCCTTGGGACTAAGGAAAATGTTTTTCCCTCCTAGACCACGATCTGGGTAGCAGAAGCCTGAATTCCCTGTCCAAATAGCTCTGAGCCCCTTTCCAGTGCTTAAAGAGTTGACTTAGTCAAATGTAATTCTCTTTGTTCCTCTATAGGTAAGGTGTTCTTTCCATCTGGCTTCTTTCAAGATTTTTCCCTTGCCTTTGATTTTGTTGTTTGAATATGGTATATCTAGGTGTAGGGTTTTGGGAATTTATTCTGCTCGTTATTCCCCGAGTTTCCTAGATCTTTGGTTTGGTTTGGTGTCTGAGATTAATTTGGGGAAATTTTCAGTCATTATTGTTTCAAATATTTTTTCTTCTTTCAGTTTTTTTCCATTATGTATATGTTATACCTTCTGAACTGTCCCACAGTTCTTCGATATTCTGTTCTGTGTTTTTCAATCTTTCTTCTGTTTGCTTTTCAGTTTGGAAGTTTCTATTGTTATATCCAGAAGCTCAGTGATTCTTTCTTCAGCTGTGTCCAATCTACTAATAAGCCCATCAAAGGAATTCATTTGTTTCATTGTTCTTGATCTAAGGCATATCTTTTTGATGCTTTCTTAGAATTTGCATCTTTCTGCTTACATTATCTATCTGTTTTTGAAGCTTGTTCATTGTTTCTTTCTTTTTTTTTTTTTTTGAGACAGAGTCTGGTTCTGTCGCCCAGGCTGGAGTGCAGTGGTGCCATCTTGGCTCACTGCAAGCTCCGCCTCCCGGGTTCACACCATTCTCCTGCTTCAGCCTCCCGAGTAGCTGGGACTACAGGCGCCCGCCACCACGCCTGGCTAATTTTTTGTATTTTTTGTAGAGACGGGGTTTCACCGTGTTAGCCAGGATGGTCTCGATCTCCTGACCTCGTGATCCGCCTGCCTCGGCCTCCCAAAGTGCTGGGATTACAGGCGTGAGCCACCGCGCCCGGCCGGTTGTACATTGTTTCTATTAAGTCTCTGCCCTATTTTGAATGTTCCCTCCAAAACTCATGTTGAAACATAATCCCCAATGTGGCAGTATTGAAAGGTGGGACCTTTAAGAGGTGATTGGATCATGAGTGCATTAATCCACTCATGGATTAATGCATTAATGAGTTAATGGATTAATGGTTTGTCCTCGGAGGGTAACTGTTGGCTTTATAAGAACAGGAAGAGAGACCTGTGCTAGCATGTTGGCATGCTTAGCCCCCTCACCACATGATGTTCTGAACTACCTCAGGGTGCTGCAGTGTCCCCACTAAAAAGAATGGTCTCACCAGATGCAATCCCTGAGCAAATTGTTAACTATTCAATAATTTAAGAATAGGAAAGCTTTTTTTTTTCTATAAGAAAGAAATTCCCTTTCTTTATAAATTACCCAATTTTAGATATTCTGTTATAAGCAAAATAATGTATATAAATTGCATTCTGAAACTTATTGCAAGTCAAATTAAATCACTTTTGTTAAAAGTCTAAAGGATCTAGCAAATTGTGTGTTTCAAAAGGAAAAATAAACGTTCTTCTTACTGCTTTATGTATTCTAAATATATGTTCTAAATACCACATAAAGATAAAATTCCAGCTGGGTGCGGTGGCTTATGCCTGTAATCCCAGCACTTTAGGAGGCCAAGGTGGGTGGATCACCTGAGGTCAGGAGTTCGAGACCAGCCTGACCAAATATGGTGAAACCCGTCTCTACTAAAATTACAAAAATTAGCCAGGAGTGGTGGCGTGCACCTGTAGTCCCAGCTACTCAGGAGGCTGAGGCAGGAGAATCGTTTGAACCTGGGAGGCGGAGGTTGGAGTGAGCAGAGATGGCACCACTCCACTCCAGCCTGGGTGACAGAGCAAGATTCCATCTCAAAAATAGAATAAAATAAAATAATAATACAAAAAGACAAATGTTTATTATGGGATTTAGAGAAAGTGCCTTATAACCTTCAGTTTATTATAGTATATTCATATAGTAAGTATCTTCTCTTATTTTCTAATTTTCATAGAGCTGAAAATATAATGTGATCAATTAAATATTCATTGCCAATAATAAACCCATTGGAAAATCTACCTGCTCAGACTTCTGGTTTCTGGTTCAGCATGCAAGGAGCTTACCATGCTCATGTTTGCCTGTCTGAGTGTGTGTGTGGTAATATTCTATTGTTACATTCATTTGTTTACATTCTGTTAGTGAAGTTGAGCATCTTATTAATGTTGTTAGCCATCCATAATTCCTCTTCTGTGAAATGCACCACCTCCTCTTCTTTTCAGTCCAGGATCAAAGCTACTTTTCTTTTCAAGGTCGGAGATCAACATAGCAGTAGCATGTTGTTACTACTTTATTGTAACAACAAGTAACAAGCTGGACAAACTTAAAAATCAACTCTTCCAAATCCATTAGAGAGGTGAGGTCATAGGAAAAACTGCTACTCCAAAATTTTAGAGACAGGCAGATATAGAGAATTACAACTTACTGTACCAGAAACCTGCATGGGAATCAATTCCAGGCTAGGAAAATCTAAGTTGTAATTAACAAATTGTTGGAGTCTCAATGCGAACAAGTCTGAGAGCTAAAAAATGCAGGGGTACTAAGTCATAGGGGGAGGCCCACACTCCATTGATTGTATGATTATATAAACAATGCATAATCTTTGTAAAACTTCAAAGAATACACCAAATTATAGGGAAGGATGAAAAAAGTCCTTCGAAATCCTGCTACTCTTACATATACTGATTTGTAGTATTTTGGTTAAATTCATTTATGTATTTTTATGTAATATCACACTTATGTATAAAACAGCATAAATGGAAAAATATCTTACATACTGGGACACATATTTAATAAATACAGTTGTTTTTTGTGAACTGACATATCTTCTCCCTGTACTCCATCCTACCCTCCCCACCTGGTCCCCCACTCACCGATTATGCAACCAAAAGTTAACTATCTGGTATATGTGTTTCTGTAACTTTCTCCATTATTTTAGATTCATATACACATACATACAAATATGCGTGGTACATATGAAACACATTTTGCCACTTTGTTTTACATAAATAGAATATTGTATTTATTTCTCCGTACTTGCTTTTTTCCTTTGGTGTTTATCAAGAACATATTTCCAGGGAAATATATATAGATCTGGGTCATTCTTTTTAATGACTAGGTAATAATGTATGAAATTACCCCAGTATATTAAATTATGCCTCATTGTGTAGACCTTTAATTTGTTTCCAAAATTGTCAAATATCTCTTTGTCACTATATCCTTATGCATTGAAACTTTTATTTTTATGGTATAGAAAACTAAGAGTGGGGTTACTGAATACGAGGCTATGTGGATTATTAATTTTAACACATAGCACCAGAATGTTTTTCTAAAAGGCTATATCTGTTTGTACTTCCACCAGTGATAGATGAGAGTTTCCTTCCTCTCTTGTTACCATGCTCATGTTTGCCTGTCTGAGTGTGTGTGTGGTGATATTCTATTGTTACATTCATTTGTTTACATTCTGTTAGTGAAGTTGAGCATCTTATTAATGTTGTTAGCCATCCATAATTCCTTTTGCGTGAAATGCACCACTTTCTCTTCTTTTCAGTCCTGGATCAAAGCTACTTTTCAAGGTCTGAGATCAACATAGCAATAGCATGGAAAATTACAGTGCTCTCTGTGTGGCAGCATTTTGAGGAAAATACAAGCACTATACGTAAAATAGTGGTTTACTCACAAAACTCCAGGACCATTCTCTGAATTGATTTGAAGCTGGTTAACAAATGTAAAATAACCATTTTCCTGGAGTGAAAACTAAGGAGTTAATCACTTTAAGCCCCTGACAAACACTAATCAATTTTCTGTGTCTGTATACTTGCCTATTCGGAACATTTCATATATAAAGGAAATCATACAACATGTTACTTTTTGTGTTTGGTTTCTTCCACATGATAATTTCAAGATTCGTCCATTTTTTAGCATGTATAAATTCTTCACTTTTTTGTTGCTGAATTATATTTCCTTGTATGGCTATACCACATTTGTTTATTTGGTTGCTTTTGGGTTTATTTAGTTGGTAGGCTTTTGGGTCAATCTAATGTGTGTTCAAATCCAAGTTTTAACATTCCTTTATGAAGATGGGTATGTTAAAAGAAAAAAGTTTAAATTCAATTTTATCAGCCTCAATACACTGAATTTTATATATATATATATATGATTGAATATTATATATCCAATATACTGGAATACACACACACACACACAAGACCTCACAGGGTTTGTGAAGATTAAGTAAAACAATATATGTAAAATACAGTATCTGGCCCTTGTAATAAGTACTCATATCAGTCAGGAAATCAGAAACCACAATAATTATAACAGAAAGAAGTTAGTATGATGAATAGCTAAAGTAGTAAAAAAGGAACATGAAGGGAACAGAGAAATTAACTGCAGGAAGTAGCTTTGCCAGTAGGCTGAGGGAAACAAGAAGGTGTTGGGATGGGTTATCAGAGCCCAGATGCTGGGAGGGGGTCCCAAGAGCTGAGATCCACACAGCTCAGGGGAAGAATCTGCTTGTCTTACTCTGTTGTCTTTTAAGATGTTTTTGCTGCTGCTAGGGAAAAGGATCTGAGTAGGGAAATGCTGAAGGAACAGTAAGCAAGTAGGGTGGAGTCTGCTTTCTTCCCTTCTGCCTTCCGTTCTCCCGCCAGTGCATTCTACTAACAGAACCTAGAAAGACACAATCTGGCAAGGGAGAAAAGTAGATAGCAGAGTCTCCGCTGAGCATAGAATGAAGAGTTTGGAACTGAGAAAAGCTAGTTTAATAAACTGGCATAGTCTACCCCTTTGACCATTCTACATCTATACACCTTTCTATGAATTTTTGAATTTCCATAAAGCAAAAGCTATGCTATTGTCTAGAAAGATGAAGGAACTATCCATCCTTTGCTCTCTCCTCTCTCTAAAAGAGAAAGCCATGAAGTCCCAACCATAGTAACAATTTCCAGAAAGAGTCACGGTATCAATTTCTGACTGATGTTGATTGCTCCTCAAATTCTGTCACAGTCCCACCTGGAAATTGGTAATATAAAGTCTGAAGTGTAAAACACCATGATCCAATAAGCTCTATGTAAAATAAGGAGAGAAAAAGAGAAAGAAAATAAATATAAATTAGCTAATATGCATTACTATGAATATACCTATAAGTAACAAGAAAGGAAGAAAGCTTATATCACTGCTCTTGTCCTCATTTCTGAAACTAATCACGAGAGCATGGTTAACGTTTCTAACTTTTGTCTTTTCATGTCTATTCCATGTCCCCCTTGTCCTCAGCTAACTAGATTTCTGTACTAGTGGGCTTATCTGAATTTTTGTTTCTGAAGGATGTGAATCCTCAGTAATGGGCCTTTGTGTAGTTGCTTAGTATTCTAAGTGCAGTGGCATGATCTTGGCTCACTGCAGCCTCGACCTCCAGGGCTCAAGCAATCCTCTCACCTCAGCCTCGAGTAGTTGGGACTACAGGTGCATGCCACTATGCCCAGCTAAGTTTTGTGTTTTTGTTGTTGTTGTTGTTTTGTTTTTGGTAGAAGCAGGGTTTCGCCATGTTGTTAAGACTGGTCTTGAACTCCTGAGCTCAAGTGATACACTCACCTTGGCCTCCCAAAGTGCTGGGATTACAGGTGTGAGTCACTGTGCCTGGCCTGGACATAAAGTGTTAATAGGTGCTCAGAGAATCCAGTCATTGTGCTCTCTGCCTCCCTCACTGTTTGGAAGCTGCTCAGGTTCCCTTTGGTAATGAACATCAATTGCTCTTCTCCATACAACAACCTCCTTCAAGTGTTGGCTCAATGGCATGAGCCCCAGGTGTCCAGGCTACAGTTTTAACTTCCAGTTTAATGGAGTTTTTGGTGTCTATGTGTACATTCCTCCCTTGGGATCTAACCATCTGTAAACTAAGTTCAAGGTTTTCTTTCTCAGTTATAAGGAATTCCCTTGGATTGAGTGAGAGAAGACAATGAAGATGGAGTAGGTCTCAAAGGACGTGAAGGACAAATTGAGGCATTGAACCACCTTCTCATGTACATCTCTTAAAAGCATGTCCACTTGATGATTAATTGCTTGCTAAACTTATGGCTTGGTGGACCATATAACACCCAGTTTATGAGGGGCAGTTCAGATTGCACAGTTATTTTGATGTTCCTTGGTCAAGCTTTCAGGCTCTACAAAGATCAAAAGCATTCCAGTAACTGTTTCTCAAAAAAAGAAGCAAATATGTTGAAGACATAGATTTGCTCCCAAACCCCCCTAGAGGTCTGCATTGTAATCCTCCTATCAGGGCTTGCCAGAGACTCCATGTGGTGCCTCTGTATACCACAGACACTTAAGATCTTAGGAACAGCTGCTGATCTTCAAGGGGAAGTGTAGCTCACACTACAGTCTGGACTTGCTGCAGAGCCTTCGCTTGCTCTGGTCTCCACTCAAATTTGGCAGTTTTAGATGTGACTCAATAAATGGAAATGGTAGCTGGGAATCAGATCTCTGAAGAAAGGGTACTTGCCTGCTTCATGCTAGTACTACCAATGGGGTATGGGAAGGCTTGCTCTGGGAGTGCTGAAGGAAGCCGGGGCACTGCTGGGACAAAACCTACAGAAACAACAAGCAAATAGGAAGACCATGTTCCTTCTCTTATTTCTGCCTTTAAATTTCCGTTAGCTCCTTCATTGGTAGGCTTTAACAGGAAAGCAGCTAGGAGGGGGTAAGATTATTTGCAGAGTTGCAACCTCAGTATCAGAAAACTAAGCCAGAAGGGTAAGATAGGACATGACACGGAGTAGCTTAATAATCAGCACAGAATGAAACTAATCATCGATTTACTCTACTGCACAACATTTATAAAAGAATCTTAAACTGGCTTATTTTTAATATTACAGAAGTTGTGTGTATTTATTGTGGAAAATTTATAAAAAAGAATAAAATAAAATTATTCATGATCACAGTATTTATAAATTTTGCTTCTACTGCCCTTGTTATACATACACTGACACATTTGAAATGTTTTAAATGTTTTCAATAACTTGCATTAATAAATAATACTGTGCTAAATACTTTTGTTGAAAATTGTTTGCAGTTATTGTTATGCCAAATTGTGAAGAAATGTCCACTCTACCCTTATTATATTGTGTTTGAATCTTAGACATATTTACTCTCTATATAAATTATTTTAAGAGAAGTATTGGCCACATTAAAAAAATCAATTTCTTGAATAAAAGTTTGGATGCAAACTTCCTCTTTCTCTCTCCCTTCCTGTCTGTTTCCCTCCCTTCCTTCTTGTCTTTCTCCTCCCTCCCTTCCTTCTTTCCTTTATTCCTTCCTTCTTTTATCATGTTATGGTGTGAATATGAAGACATTACTCGGATTATTGCACATTCCTTTCTGGAGAAGAAATTATAACTAAAAATGCATATGAAGAGAGAGTTTTTGAATGTGGGTAGTGATGAGAACAGCTGGGATGTAGACTGGAGGAAATGGCAAGGACATTCAACATAGATATAAATGGAATTGCTTAGCAGAAAAACTTGGAATTTCTTATGCTGGAGCATAAATTTGAATCAAATATATATATACACACATATATTCTTTCTTATAAATATAAAATGCTAAATCTTAAAGCCATCTGTGCTCTTTCTGCAAGTTTGAAACTTGAATTTAGGTAAGTCAAATTGAAAAAGTCTAGGGATGCTGTTGTGTTGCCAAGCAACATTACTAATCTAAGATCTCATAATCACGTGCCATGAAAAATTTGGACACAATAAATGTGTTCCCAGAGCAAGTGAGTCAGCATCAGCTATTTCAGGAAGAATTTGTAGGGAGCCCAAAAAGTCTCTCATGAGGATGAAATTATCTTCAGGCTATTTTGCCTTTCTTTTGCAATGCAAACACTTACACCTCAACTCAGTGGTCCCCAAATCAGACACAGTGAAGGAGATAAAACGTATCCTACTCCATCCTATGAAGGTCCACACATTGAAATGAGAGGATCCCCTCCATATGCAGAGACTAGAAACCCATGCCCTTATTCAGAGGATGGAAGCCCATGGCTAGAATCAACTAACTGGGAAGTGGGTGTCCCATCTGGATCACCATATCAGACTGAAGAGCAAGAAGAGGATGAGAAAGTATGCTTGTGCTCTTGTTCCTGGAAATGTTCCATTTAAATTCCAATATTTCTTTCCTTTCTTGTCCAAATATCAGTTCCACTTGTTGATATTTTTTCTTTTATCTTGTTTTCCCCGCCCCAAAAGAACTGTCCTAAAATGAAATTTGTTAAAGATAGAAATTTGTCATTCTCTTTAATGAGTCTGGCCAAAGTGGAACTTCTGAGAATTGTAAGGAAATGATTCAAAATTGCTAGTTGGGCCTCCTCCCCACCTATGAAGACATATGTTTATTTAAAAGCCAAAGAACTTTAAGCCTTGAATTCCTATGGAGTTAAGAAGGAGAATTGACGGAGACAACCCAGAAGAAAGCACTTCTCCTCTCTGACAAGAATAAGAAGCCTAGAATGGATAATGATATTAACTTCTACAAATTGCTTTATATCTTTAAATTTCTTTTTTTTGGAATGCATACACCTTTCCTGGCTGTTCTTGAATGAAGATGTCAGCATCTGTTAATCGTTGGCCTAGAAAGTTGTGATTGGATTTAACCCAGTAGGGAAGGTCTGTTATCTACCAAAATAATTTAATTAAACATGGAAAATACTTTTCGGTTTTAGTTTTTGAGAAGGTAGGACCCTTTACTTTTTATTATTCTTCTCCCATTCAGACATATATAGTTATTTTCCATAAGGCTAAGTTATGTTACTTGGACTAGTTATTATAAATTTGTGTGTACATTGCTTATATATGATAGGGCAATATTGTTAACCTGTTATTGCTAGTTATTATGTCAAATTATAGAAATGATATGATATTCCTGTATTCCTTTAGTGTGCCATTGTAGAACATTATTTGATGTAATTTTCTGAATTTTATAAAAGTGTTTCAATACAGGTACTATGAATTTATTATTTATGTTACTGGGGTGCTGAAACTTATTTAATGCCAAACCAAATACTAAACTTGGAATTATACGGGTTATAGTTTTCAGGTCATTTAGGAGATGTTTGCTACTTCAAATTGCTAATCTTCTCAAATAAATAATTATTTATCTGATTTTTTTGTAGCAGAATTTTGTAACACTGTGTAATGTTTTAAACGTTATACCAGCTGATACTAGAAATTAAGGAAACATTAGAAACACTTAAGAGAAAAAAGTTATTCTGCATTTGTAGCATTCAAAGATGTAAATGGTTAATTTCCTTCTAGTTTTTAACTATCTTTAACCCTTTTGATCATTACAAAATATCTTTCTTTTTCTCTAGTAACAATTTTTTATATTCTCCTATGTTATACTCTATGATTTTTATATATTTCTATGTGAAAACTATATATAAAATATGTAAAATGCTATTGATCTGAAATACTACATGTATCCTATGTGTATATAAATACTATTATAATACTAAATATGCAATATATATGTAGATAAGAAAATAATCTTTTCATTTAATTTTAAAGAGTAGTACTAGTTTCTTATGTGAGTCCAATGCCATATTAATAGATCTATTTGTGGTGATCTAGTAAGTCACAAACAATGAAATATGTATTTTGGTGGCTATAATGTATTTTTGCCCCATTATACATGTGCTTGATTCAACAGTAGTGTGTAATTGTGGTTATTGTTTTTAAACACTTGCTTCTGTTTCTTTGGAAAACATTTTTTGTTGTTGTTGTCTCTTAATATAGTTGTGGTCAGGAATATGGGCAAAATTACAAGTTTTGCCTTGATGAGATTTGCACTTAATCATCTCTTATTTTCTTTTTTTGAATTATGAAATTAATATTCTGTAGGAAATAAAAGAAATTGGTAGTGGTTTAAACAATAATACTTCTGAAGAGGAATCATAATGTTGTTTAGTAAAATAGCTATATCTAATTTGGGATGTTTATTTTGGCAAGTATGCTTTCAAAATATTAATGTTTCCAAATTTGTGGTCATTTTTAGTAATATCCTGCCTACATTGTATCTAGAGAAGAGTGGTTAAAGAACAATATCGAATAAGTGCAAAGCATTGCTGTGATTCTCAAAAATAATCTAAATTTGACCTTACTTAAATGATCGATGTTATCTAAAGATAAACCATAGTCTCTGAAACCTGTAAATGTTTGTAAATGTACTTCCTAATGCACCTAGTATGATTCACTAACACCTCAGATTTGTTTTTATGTGGCTTATCTAAAAGTATAAATCTGAGACTTGGATAGATAAGCATGTGGAGAAATCATGCCTAGAATCTTATAAACCTGTAATGAAATACATATCACTGGAGTCTCTAATCAGTCACAAGCACTCAGTGAGTAGTACAGCATAATGATTTAAAGCACTGACCTTGGACCAGATTGGCTAGCTTCAAATTCTGCTTTTGCCATTTACAAGCTGTGTAACCTCAGGAAAGTTATTGAATCTCTTTGTGCTTTAACTTATCATGTGTAAAATGGGAAAAATAATAGTACCTGCTCTTGCAAGAATTAAATGAGCTAATATATTTAAAGCAGTAAGTCTGGCATATAGTAAGTATCATGAAAATATAAGCTACTTTTCTGGTTACTATTAACTTAGCACCCTTCTATGCTCTATGAGGACTTTAAAAGTGCCTGCTTTCAAGAAAGCTTAAAATATAATACAGGAGATAAGAATCATAAATAAGATATAATAATAAAAAAAGTATTAGTGTAGTAGTAATCTTCTACTTTTAAGATGACGTTATTTCTGACATTTCTCATCTTCAATATGGTTATAGCCTTTATACCTTCTAATATCAACAAATCTACCAGCTCTGCGACTTTGGAAAAGTTACTTAACCACTCTGTGACTCAGTTATTGTGAGGATTAATGAGTTAATAAATGTGTAGGGCTTAGAGCAGTGCCTTGCATACAGTAAATTCTCCATGAGTATTAGCTATCATTATCGTAATAATATTTTACATTTTACATAAGGCTATAGTCTTCACAGTTTCAACTTAGCGGTAACAAATCCTTACTGAGTGCCTAAAATGAGTGAGGCACTACTAGGAAAAGTATGCTGAAAGAAATTTAAAAAGTAGCTTCAATTAACAGTCATAATATTTATTAACTATCTTCTGTTACCCAATGTGTACTGTTGCAAGCTCTAATTATACCATGAAGAAAGAGTCAGAGCAAGAGTGAGTGAGAAAGAGAGAGAGAGAGAGAAGTTCTGATAAGAAGAAATTTATAGTAGAAAGGAACCAAAAATTTTTCTTTTCTTTTTTTTTTTTTTGAGACGGAATCTCATACTATCACTCAGGCCAAAGTGCAGTGGCACGATCTCTGCTCACTGCAACCTCCACCTCCCAGGTTCAAGCAATTCTCCTGCCTCAGTCTTCCTAGTAGCTGGAATTACATTCCCACCACCACGCCCGGCTAAGTTTTTGTATTTTCAGTAGAGACGGGGTTTCACTATGTTGGCCAGGCTGGTCTTGAACTCCTGACCTCATGATCCGCCTGCCTTGACCTCCCAAAGTGCTGGGATTATAGGCGTAAGCCACCTCGTCCAGCCAGAACCAATAAATTATTAAATCAATAACCAATGAGGTAACTTCAGATACTTATTATAATATGAGAAAACATAAAAGGAATAAATGATTGAGAGTCATGGCATAGAATGTCCCAGCTAGGTTAGAGAAGTCCTTTTTTGGAAATGTGACCTAAAGACAAAAAAATAAAAAGCTTCAAAACATAAAGAAAAGAAAGAAAATGAAAATCTTCCAAAATACCAGAACTGCCAAAAATGAGCAAAAAAAACATATCATATATATGTTTATAGTCAATATAATATAAAATGGTAGAATCCAGTTAAAATATATGTTATAGCAATATGTAAATGGCTTGTTTTTAACTTACTAAATGCAAATATTTAGATTGGTTCACAAAACAGAAACAAAACTCCACATTGTAATGTGAAGTATGGCTTTAAAAAAGTAATACAGAAAGTTTAAAATGAAAGTATGGACAATATGTTTCCAGGAAAATATATTAAAAAGTCACATTGTTGATAACACTACTAGATTGATAACACTGCAAGGTATAATTCCACCTAAAAATAATTTAACAAGATTAAGAAGAAAACACTATAATGCTAAGAAGTCTACAATTTATATTAAAGATAAGATAGGTACCTCAATAATAACAAATATATCTGATTTTTAAGTATTTATGAAAACATTCACCCAAATTGGTCTTCTATTAGATCACATAAAAGACCTCATTACATTCCAAAGAATAGACAATGCAAATAATATTCCCTGAACACAGTTCAACTAATTAGAAAGGATCAATTAATTTCCACTTGGAAATAAGCATTTCCATCAAATAATTATTGAGTCAAAAGGGAAGTACAAACAAAATTTCAGCATTGCTAAAAACAATAATAATTAAGACATTATATGCCAGAATTTATAAGATGCAGCAAAAACAATGCTTACAGGAAAATTTCACCAACCTTAATGAAAAGAAAATACTAGTGGTATTTAAATAGCTTCAGAGCATAGAAAAGAAATAAAAATGTCCAAATTTGTTTTATGAAAAAAGATTAATGATGATTTTTAAAATTAATAATTGAAAAAATAAATTATAGGATAATAACACATTAATATTGATGTCAACATCTTAAATAAAATATTAGCTAATAGAATCTTACACCATTAATATATCCCAATGAGATTTGGTTTACTCTCGGAATGCAAAAGTGCTTCATTATTGGGATAAATATTAATAAATGTAAGAAGATAAATTATATAATCATCTCTAAAGGCATCTGACAAAATTAAACATCCATATAGATACCCTCTATTATATATATACACATATTTGTGTTATATACTTTATACCAAAAGTCAGCATAATACTGCTCATATTATTTTGTAGCACTCAAATGATTAATTTATAATCCATCTAGCCTTTAGCTGTAGCTTCTTGTTTACAATATGTTAATAGAGGTAGGAGGAAGAGAAATTCTAGGCAGACAGGGGTGGCTGTCCAGTGAAATCCTAGCTTTAAACCAAAAAAAAAACAAACACAAAAAAAACTGGCCAAAAGTTAGAACTTCTATTCCTATTTGCTCGCCCTCTCCTGATTGATTTTTTCTGAATAATGTCCTTTTACCAACTGAATGTTGCCTTTTCCAAAACTACCTATGGCCCACCCCACCCCCATCCTGTGCCTATAAAGAGCCCAGACTCAGTAAATAAAGGGGGAGATGCCTGGACTTCAAGGAGACAACTGGAATTTGGGGAAGAGATGGCCAAACTTCAGGGAAGAGGCAGTGGACTATGGAAGAGATGACCTGACTTCGGGGGAAGATGACCTGCCCATCCTGTCCCCTCTCCAGCTCTCCTCTCTGCTAAGAGCCATTTTCATTGTTTAATAAAACCTATTTGTTTGCCTATTGCCTCTGGATGCTTTTTTGTTATGATAGCTGTGTTGAACAGTTGCAACAGAGACCATAAGGCTCACCACAACCTAATATATTTATCGTTTTTAGAGAAAGTTTGTTGATCCCTGTTACAGGTTGTGCTAGGAGTTTTGTCTTTGTGAAAAAGTAATAGAATGCCATCATTTGTGTGGAAATGATGCCTCTTGTTATAATGTGGTGAACTCATTGAACAATTAGTAGATTGATTATGAAGCAATGAGGCAGTAGTTCAGATGAGAGATGAAGATGTATTAGGTGGTATCTCACTGTGGTTTTGATTTGCATTGCACTAATGATTAGTGATGTTGAGCATTTTCATATGTTTATTGGCCACTTGTGTATCTTCTTTGAATAAATGTCTTCAGTTCCTCTGCTCATTTTTTAATTGGGTTTTTTTTTATGTTGAGGTGTACGAGTACTTTGTGTATTTTTGATATTTACCACTTGTCAGATATATGATTTGCAAATATTTTCTCTCATTCTGTAGGTTACTTTTTCACTCTGTTGACAGTGCCCTTTGACACGCAGAAGTTAAGAATAACATAGTACAATTTATCAATTTTTTCTTTTGTACCCTGAAATTTTCATGTCATACACAAGAAATCATTAACAAATCCAATCTCATAAAGTTTTCCACTATGCTTCCTTTTAAGAATTTTATGTTTTTAACTCTCCCATTTAGGTCCTTTGATCCATTTTGAATTTTGACATATGATATAATGTAAGGATCCAAGTTCATTCTTTTGCATGTGAATATTCCAACACCATTTGCTGAAAAGACTGTCCTTTCCTCATTGAATTGTCCTGGCATGCTGGTCTAAAATCATTTGACTATATATTCAACAGTTTATTTCTGGACTCTCTATTTGATTCCATTGGCTTATATATCTGTCTTATGCTAAATAGTACCATACTGTTTTGATTACTATAGCTTTGTAATAAGTTGTGAAAGCAAGAAGTGTGAGATCTTCAACCTTTTTCTTTTCAATATTGCTTTGTCTATTTAGGTCCCTTCAATCTCAAATGAATTTCAGGATGGATTTTCCTATGTATGCAAATAATACCATTGGGATTTTGATAGAGATTACACTAAACCTATGGATGACTTTTGGTAGTATTGACATCTTAAATATCAAATATTCCAATCCATGAACATGAGCTGTCTTTCCATTTATTTGTGTCCTCTTTAACTTCTTTTCAGCAACATTTTGTGGCTTTCGGCATACAAGTCAAGTCTTTCACCTCGTTGTTAGGTTTTGTCCTAAGTATTTCTTTTTTTTTTTTTTTTGATGCTATTGTAAACGGAATTTTTAAAATTTCCTTTTCAGGTTGTTCTTTGTTAGTGTATAGAAACACAACTAATTTTTGCATGTTGATTTTGTATCCTGCCACTGAGCTGATTTCATTCATTAGTTCTAACAGTTTCTTTTTGGTGGAATCTTTAGGGTTTTCTACAGCAAAATCATATCAGTGAACAGAGATAACTTTACTTTTTCCTTTCCAGTTGGTTGCCTTTGATTTCTTTTTCTTGCTTAATTGCTCTGGCTAGGCCTTCCAGCACTATGTTAAACAGAAGTGGCAAAGTGGGCATTCTTGTCTTCTTTCTGATCTTGGAGGAAAAATCTTCAGTCTTCCACCAGTAAGTATAACACTGGCTATAGGCTTTTTATATATGAATTTTATTATGTTGAGGTAGTTTGCTTTTATTCCTAGTTTATTGCATAGTTTTTTATTTTTAATAAAATCTTGTTGAATCTTGTCAAGTACATTTTCTATAGGAATTGAGATGATCAGTAAATTTTTGTCTGTCATTCCATTCATGTGGTGGATTGCATTGTTTGATTTTTATATATTGAAATATTGTTCCATTCCAGGGATAAATTCTAATTGGTCATGGTATATCTCTTAGTCCATTTGTGTTGCTATAAAGGGATATTTAAGGCTAGGTAATTTATAAACAAAATTTGGCTCAGGGTTTGGTAGGCTGTGTAAGAAGCATAGTGCCAGCATCTGTTTCTGATGAGGGGTTCAGGCTGCTTTCACTCATAGAAAAAGGTGAAGGGAAGCCAGCATGTGCAGAGCTCACATGGCCAGAAAGGAGGCAAGAGAGAGAGAGAGGAGAAAGAGTTATCAGGCTCTTCTTAGCAACCAGCTCTTGTGGGAACTAGCAGAGCAAGAATTCACTCATTACCACAAAGACGGCATTAAGCCATTCATGAAGAATCCAGCCCCATGACCCAAAGACCTCCCAACTAGGATTCACCTCCAACATTGGGGCTTAAATTTCAACCTGAGATTTGGAGGGGACAAACAAACCAAATCATTGCAGTGCACGATCCTTTACCTACACAATTGAATTCAGTTTGCTAACATTATGTTGAGGATTTCTGCACCAATGTTCATCAGGGATATTAATCTGTAGTTTTCTTATAGTGTCTTTGTGTGGCTTTGTTATTTGGATAATGCTAGCCTCATATAATGACTTTGAAGTGTTCCCTCCTCTTCAATTTCTGGAAACATTTGAAGAGAACTGGTGTTAATTATTCTTTAAATGTATGGTAGAATGCACCAGTGAAGACATCTAGTGCTAGGCTTTTCTTTGTGGGGAGAATTCTGATTATTGATTCAATCTCTTTACTAGTCATAGGTCTGTTCAAATTTTCTTTTTCTTCATGATACAGGCTTAATTGCTTGTACGTTTCTAGGAATTTATTTATTTAATTTAGATTATCTAATATTTTGGCATACAAATAATTCATATCCTTTTGTAATTCTTTTAACCTCCAATTTGTAATCTTTGTTCAATTTATGAGTCCTTAATTGTCCAGTTTCATGTTGTGTATCATGGCTGGGCCAATGACTCTTTCCCTGCATGGCCCCATGGGTTTCACCCCAGCCAGGGAGTCACACCCACACTCCTAAGAGCCAGACCACCATTAGAGCTACTATGGCCACTGTCATGAAGGTGTTTTAGAATAAGGTGTTGTGGTAGTGATGGAGAAATGTGGCTGGCTTGAGGTTTGTTTAAGAGGAAAAATAAAACATTTAGTGATTAATTGGATATGTGAAATGAAGGAGAAAAGAGGTCAGAGAAGACTTGTGATTTCTGGCTCATGCAACCAGAGAGAAAGCAATATCATCCACTGAGTTAGGGGATGGTTGAAGGAGGACCAGTGTATTGCTTATTGATTTTCACTCTGGGGAGGAGATTATGAGTTAAATTTGGATGTACCAATTTTGAAGTTACTTTTAAATATCCAAGAGAAGATATATATTAGAAAGTTGGATATACAATTCTGGCATTTAAAGAATTCTAATTACATATACATCTTCTCCTGCGGGTTATTAAAAAATTTAGAACCAACCCTAAGAGATAAATAAAGATGAAAGTCCAGGATCAGAATTATTCTGAAAACATTAGATATGAAGACTTCTTCTCTTTGGGATTCGATCTCCCCCAACATAAAGCAGAGAAACTAGAGAAAGGCAGGAGTGCTCTACAGGCAGGTATCAGATGGACACAGAAGAGCTGGAGGAGGAAAACATATTCCACTGATGATGGACCACTCCAAGAGAAAAAGAAATAGACAAGATTCAGGGCTATTCATGAACAAGAACTTCAACACCAATTATCTCCCCCAATATAGGAAGCTATCACCAGTGAATGCCAGATTCTCACTGAATTTACCAAACAGGCAAGCTATTTCTCTATCCAAGGGAGAAACGGCAAGGCAGAGGGAGGAGCCAGAAGTGTTTGTTCTGATACTGTTCTGTGTTAGGGAATGGAGACTGAAATACCATTTCCTTTACGGCAATGTGAGGCATTGTGGTAGGGGAAATTGAGTGGCTAAAGGTTTCCCTTTAATAAAATAAACCGAAATCATATAAAGAACAAAGAATAGGTATTTGAGTTCAAAATTATTTTGTTACATTCTAATTTTAGAAAGGAGAAACTATGGAGTTCAGTTTATATAAAAGAAAATAATTAATATAATTACATTTTTAATAAGCAAAGATGATGGTATATTAATGGACATAAAAATATTATAAGAAATCTATACATGGCTGCCTAGAAGTAGCATTCCAGGGCTTGGCCATTGTCATGAGCCAAGTGTTCGTGGAAAGAGAAAACCTCCACAGCCTGAACTTAACCAACAATAATAAAGCCTAAATACCTTTATCTCTTGAGAATATTCACTGTGGTGAATAGCAGGTATAATGTAATTGATCTACTAGGAAATATCTTATAAGACTTTTTTAAGTACGGCTGCAAAACAGTTCCACTCTTACTTAGCTATTATTCCATTACAGAGCTACTATAGAGCTGAATTTTGAGCTCTTACTACTGTGCTGGTTAATCACTGATTGACTATATTTTCAGTGGGAAAATAATAGATATCTTGTTATAAAGTTAAACAGCCTTTTATATAAGTAATATCTTTTGTTAGTAATGCTAATGGGGAATTTTCTTTTATAATTTTGATTTTTGCCTTCTAGTTGTTCATAAACTCAAAATGTATGCATATTTGTTGTTAAAACTCAAACATTATGAAGGTAGACACAGCATCAGAATACTGTGTGGTATTCAGAACTTAGTACCAGCCACTTCTCTCCATCTCCATCAATACCTTATTCTAAAACATCTTCATGACAGTGGCCGTATAGTAGCTCAGACAGTGGTCTAGCTTCTGGGAGTGTTGATGTGACCCACTGACTGGAGTGAATCCCATGGGGCCAATTTTTGCACCTTCTAGAAGGCATTTCACCTTCTCCCTCTCTCTCTCCAGAGTATCATAATTCACAGTTCCCACCGTATAGCTTTACAGAACTTTATTCATGCATTTACACATTTATATAGCTTTTTTAACATAAGGAAAATCATACTATGTGGTACTAATATTTTCAATATTTCTCTTGCTACTATTTTTATTTAACTTGTTTTTTTTCACCCCACCTAAGCCTCCAAATTGGCACATACAGAACTGCTTGGTTAACTGTAACAATTGCAAGGTAATATTTAGCACTGTGTGAGCACAAGATGTTTTGTAGTATTCAGAACCCAAAACAACATTTTTATAAAAATCCTTAGCATAATATTGGCAGACCTTTGGAAATAACTATTTTAGCTGTATGTTGAAACTACAGGCCGGTTTCTATAATTAATATCACAAGAGAGACAGTGGAACTTAATAGAAAGACCATTGGAACAGAATGAGCCCTTGAACTAACTTAGTCATTTGACCTTCTGGGACTTACTGTCCTTATTTGTAAACTAGAAGACGTTGGTCCAGATTTTTTCTAATAGTCCTGCTAGCTCTAGAATGGTATATATATATACAGTATTGGAATTCCTAGTTTTCATTAAGAACATTTCCTATTTGGCAAGTGTTAAATACCTACCTTCACTCAACACTATGGGCAAGCTGAGTAACAAAAATATATGTTATCTGTTGTGCATGTCAGATATTCATTGGTAAATTACTTGTTCTGATATCTTCTTCAATGATTGCCTCCAACAATAAATATTTCCCAAAAAGTACTGGCGCCATTTTAGATATTGAGCTCAATTTAAAATAAAGAAATTAAGAACCGGAGTAGAAATTCAAGTATAAGTGGTTAGAGGGATAAAATCAAGTGAACTAAAATAAAAATTTATGTTTAAAGTGAAGAGGGACTGTCCCTTTAGTTGTGGTAAATACATGCAGGAGAAAAAAACACAAAGATGTATGGAAATCATATGGGGGAGAATTAAATGTTTGGGTAATTGCTGGGGAATGAAACTATGGCGTCATTCCGCTTCCTGGAAAAGAACTGCTGCTCCCCCTTGCGGCAAGTGTGAAAAGCTGGCATCCTGTTAAAAAAAGTATTTCATTCTAACGCAGTGATACAAGATCTGTTTGAGTTATAGTGACACGCTGCTTTGAAGCGGGAAATAAATGGCATACGTAGGCAACTCAAGTAATGATTCTATCCCAGATATAGGCTTAATGTCACCAAAAGAAAAGGATAGAGGATGTTAGGTTGTGGCTAGAGAGACCACAAAGGCTGACTGTGGTCAACACATGTAATTGGTTAGTCAACACCTACTTAACAAATATGTGTTAAGTTAATGTCAACAATTTTGTAAGTTTGAGAAGAGTCAGTACTGAGAATAGTACAAGGTAATATCAAACAGTCATTTTTCAAAAGTGTGTCACTCAGCTGGAAAGATAAAATATGAAATAGCCACAAGGAGACAGTTAATTACAAGTAGATTCCGTACCATACTGAATGACTTAGAACAGAGAGATTATTATTGTTAGAGAAGAATCGCCAGAGGAGAGAGGCTTTTAATGAATCATGTAGAAAAGCATAATAAGCAGGAAAATAGTCAATATTGTTAGAGTTTTATCTGTATAAACTAAAAGCAAGAAAGAGTACCTAGGGCCAGATTAAACAACCTTGCACTAAGTGCTTTGGATTTTATCCCATTTATTTTATAGATGAATGATTGTATAGATGAATAGAGAAGTGGCATATGGCCAAATGTTTCAGGAAGTTTAATCTGGGAAAATGTATGCTATAAATTTCTCTTAAGTACATGTAAATTTAAATGTTTAAAAGAGGTGTTATTATTAAAAAGTAAAGTTGTACCTCTCTAGTCCATCATTCCCTATTCCCTTACTCTGCTTTTTTCATATAATTTATTACTACCTGACATTATATTATTATATATGTGTTTTCTGTTTGCTTGTATCACTAACTGGCTGTAAGTTTCATGAGGGTAGGGGCTCTGTTGCTTGTGTTTACTGTTGTATCCCTAACTTCTAAGATAGGATATTTGATAAATAAATGGTGGGCATTTGATAAATATTTGTTAATATTATAAATAAATCTGTATTGAAAAACAAGAGGCTTGAGGCAGGAAGAACAATTGTCTGTTTATCAAGATGGTAAAACTTGCTCTTGGAGAGAGGAAGGAAATGAGGATAAAAAAGAGACATTCAATATTTTGAAGAATGAATAAACTAGACTTGATAACTCACTGAATGTGGCTGATGAGGAAGAAAGAAGAATCTCAAATTGCTGAGGCTTCAAGATTATATGCATGGGAGGACGGTGACAGTGGTGAAAAACATTGGGGCAGCCTGGTGTGGTGACATCACGCCTGTAATCCTAGCAATTTGGGAGGCCAAGGCAGGAGGATCATTTGAGGTCAGGAGTTCAAAACCAGCCTGGCCAACATGTGGAAACGTTGTTTGTACTAAAAATACAAAAAAAAAAAAAAAAAATTAGCCGGGCATGGTGGCTGGCCCCTGTAATCCCAGCTATTCGGGAGGCTGAGACAGGAGAATTGCTTGAATCTGGGAGGCAGAGGTTGCAGTGAGCTGAGATCGCGCCACTACATTCTAGCCTAGGCCACAGAGTGGGACTCTGCCTCAAAACAATATACGTACATATATGCCCCTATATCTATATAGGGGCAGTCAGTTGGGAAGCATGTTTTGGTGAGATAACAGATTAAACTTTTGACTCAGAAAGTCTGAGTTGAGGGACAGTTAGAGATATCTGATTAGAGTCCGGGTGACAGGGCAGAGTTGGAGATTTTGCCTTATGGTAGGGATGATAGTTAAAGTCATGAGTTTAGATAAGATTTCTGTGGGACAAACTCTAGATGCAGCGAGAAAGAAGACAGAAAAATAAACCCTATGCCTATTTAAGCCATCTTGAAAACTGTCCTGAAAACCGAATTCTGGCCCATTCATTATTTATGCATTCATCCCACACATATATCTTGAGTTCTGCATAATAAAAATGATATGAGGATTATAAGGAACTCACAACTTAGTAGTAGAGACAAACAAAAAGGGAAGATTCACACACGTTTTTTCTAAATAAATCAGCCACCCTGTCTCCAGCCAACTGTGGACCTACTGTCAGACCTTAGGATCTTTCAAAACAAGCCGAATTTTATGAGACAATTTCTAATACCAAAATATAGGATATTAATTAAAATGTGTGGGCCAAAACAAAACATGTTTGTTAGCCAGATTTAACGTGCAGCCCATCCTAACATATTTGCAATCAGGAAGACAGCCTTTTCTCTACCTTACCTCTTAAATTAGACAATCTAAGGGGAGAATGCTTTTAGTCCCGTGAGAATCAGATTTAACATTTAACAATTTAGTAGCAAGGGACATTTTAGGAAAGTCTGGTATACTGGTAGGTAGGATCATTCTTATTAGTACGTCTTTACTCATTTATTTATTTAACAAATACAGCCTATACTACCTGGTAGGAACTCAGTATATAATGGTGATCAAATTAGAAACATCGATGTTTTGTTCAGGGAAATTTCATCAGATAGGAAAAGATTTAGGGCCATTACCAATGGAAGGAAGAACTCTAAGAGCTGAAATAAATAACTACTATGTTGGCTGAAACTGCTTTAATATTAATGAGAAAGTTGGGCATAGGGAAGACCATTCCTAGTGAAGCATTTTTCTATCTGTGTGTATTGCCTGGGGTGGGAGGATGGTGAAAATGGCCCTAAAAATACATAATATGGATAGAAAAGAGAGACAATGAATGAATAATAAAATATATCACATTTGTTTCTTGTAGGAAATAGCTGCAAAGAATCAGTTTGAAATGAAAACTTATTAAACCAGTGGCTTTCAATTTCTCTGGATTATGTCATAGTAAAAAAAATTATTTTCCCTTTCCATAGTGTACACAAGAGCAGACACACACTTAGGTGTATACACACACACTAAAACCAAATTTTACGTTAATATTTACATTTACTATATATGACACCTTGAGATATTTTCCATTGTTTTATTTTGGTTTTTAAAGGCACTTATCATGACCTTATAATGAGTCAAACCCTCCTCTTTGAAAACAGTGGACTAAATAAAACGGACACATGTCACTGTATATCAGTCCTTACTTCTTCTCAATGGGCACCATGGATTTTCCAGGATGAGGTCCAGAAAGTGTACAGTAGGATCTGAGATACAGTATGATTCTTATACTATGAAGTTATAGTCAGAATTGGATAATTTCCTTATTTATTCTTTTTGATGCAATACCACTTTATATCAAGATGCTGTGCTTATTTTCAGGAACTTCTTACTTTTACCAGTCAAGTCAATCATAATATTTTAAGAATACACAAACTGAAATTTTATGATGGAGGATATCCGGTGTAAATTTATGTTTCTATTTGTAGAACATGTTTGCATTTAAAGATATGCATGGCTGCATGTGGTGGCTCGCGGCCGTAACCCCAGCACTTCGGGGAGGCTGAGGCAGGAGTATCACTTGAAGCCAGGAATTTGAGACTCAGCCTGGGCAGCAAAGTGAGATTCCATCTCTACAAAAAAATAAAAATTAAAAAAAAAAAGCTGGATGTAGTGGTGCACACCTGTAGTCCTAGCTACTCAGAAGGCTGAGTTGGGAAGATTGCATGAGCCCAGGAGTTCAAAGCTGCAGTGAGCTATGATCGCACCACTGCACTCCAGCCTGTGTGACAAAATGAAATCCTGTCTCAAGTAAAGAAAAAAAAAGAAAAAAGAAAAAAAGGAAAAGGATACTCATGACCAAAACATCAAAAATAATTTACAGTATTAAGTGATTATTGCTTTAAGTTTCAATTTGCATGGTAATGGTGACATTAGAAAAAGTAGCCCAAGGCACATAGAATTTGAAAATACACAGGTCTCTCTTTAGGGCTCTTATGATTAATGTTGGCTCATGCTACTATTTTTTAAATCTACTTAGCTAACCTGTTGAATTTTGAAATAATTAGGAAAGCAGGGTATTATATAGAAATTGCCACCTATGCACAAAGCTTTCAGGAGTTGAATTTCTGGAATTTGATTCGGTTTATATTATGTTCTTTAGAAAATGTAAATTGAAATACTATAGAGTAAAACTGATATTTTCATATTATGTAACAAGTCTTTAAGACAGAAACCAAGACAGAAGCCAAATAAGCAAGTGAGGGACCATATAATTGGTGACACAAGACATACAAAATAGATTTAGATAAAGTTTTCCATCAGTCCAAATTTTTGAATTGCATTTCCCACGTAATAGATAATAAACATGTGGATTCTATAATGGGTTTACACTATGATGTCATTTGATTTCCCTGCTCTTACATTCTATCATGTGGCAGAGGCTAGAGCAAACCTTCAGTGATATTTACAGAAACCATTAACTTTGTTAAAGATACCTTAGGAGAAATTAGTAATTGTTTGTGATGTTATGAGTGGAGGTTGAGAATGTAGTCTTGGGATTCCTGCTGAAATTCAAATCCTGGCCCCAACTTTAATTGGCTGTGCAACTGTGTAGAGCTACCTACTTCCATTTGGTTTTTCTGACAAAAATGCACAACCTGAACCTAGTCATGAAGAAACAACAGACAAAGCCATATTTAACGACAGCCTAACAAAGAATTAGCCTGTACTCTTCTGAAGTGTGAAGGTTATGAGAGACAAAGGCTAACTTGCAAAACTATTCTAGATTGAAGGAGTTTATAGAAACACGACGACTAAATGCAACGTGCTTCTGCTATAAAGAATATTATTAGGCAAATTAAAGAAAACAATATTATTTTATCAATGTTAATTTTCTGATTTTAATAATTATACTATGGTTATATAAGAGAATTTTTTCATTTTTTGGAAATATACTCTGAAATAGAGGTAACAGGGTGGCATGTCTGTTACTTACCTGTAAAAATTTAGAGAAAGAAAATGATAAAGCTAAGGTGAAATGAAATGTTACCATTTGGGGAAAACGTTTGATGAATATATTCTTGCAAATATACCATTGGACCACAGTCAACTGTTCTTTAAAAAAATGGCCTACTCGGGAGGCTGAGGCAGAAGAATTGCTTGAACCCGGGAGGCAGAGTTTGCAGTGAGCCGAGATTGCGCCACTGCACTTCAGCCTGGGAGACAGAGTGAGACTCTATCTCATTAAAAAAAAAAAAAAAAAAAAAGGCATAATTATACTGAACATAAAAAGCTCTTACTAAGGATTAAATGAGATAATGTATGCAATGCTGAGAATTCTAAAGTTTTGTGAAAAGGTGCACTGAAGGGCTTATTGGTGGTAGGGGTGGGGAAACACGGCAAGAGGCAGGCCGTTAAAAACATACTCTTCTTTGTAAGCAGAGTACTAACATAAAAAATCTAAAATTCCAATAAAAATTTCAATAAAAATTTCAACACAGTTAAACCTCCAGTGGCAGTTTCACCCTTTGCAGCCTTTTACCATGGGCTTATAGTTTCTCCTCCAAATGTAACTCAAAGAGGTCCTTCATTTTTAATGGAACAATTTCTTCAAAATAAAAAAATAGACTTCTTAATCACCACTTTAAAATTTTTAACACAAGAGTAACTGTCTTTGGAGAGTCTTCATGTGCACTCTTAGTTTCACCAAATAGCTAACTAGGTGGACAGCAGGCTATTGGAGGATTTTCAGGATTTAAGCTTTCCCCCCTCCTTTACATTTTCATGTACTGATAATGATTCTCTTTAACTGAGAAAAAGTTTACCCCTGCTTACTTCAAAACATTAATATGTTAGTGGAAATCACAAATTTAGTGAACCTACTTCTTCTTTACAAAAAAACACGATTCCTCTAGCAGATATAAGCAAATTTCGTTTATGGAAACATGTTTTATGTTAACAGACTGTATTATTTCCTAAGTAGGAAGAATAAAAAGCATAAATTTTATTAAGAGCACATGGTTAAACATGGGCAATTTGAAACTGGAATAGTATTATTAAGAAGTAGAATAGGCTCTAATTAGAGTCTTAGAAAAAATAAAATCATAATGGACCATCTTTTCCTAAAATGAGTGAGTCCTTCTTAGAACAGACGAATTAGATGTGTTCTTCAGTTTGTTTCCAGCCTTCTAAACCAATTCACTGTATTTTCAAGTAAAATCCAGACTTATTAGTGTAGTAACAGTAAGCACTCCTCAGGTCAAGTATTCTTTAAAATTGTCTTTATAAAAGAAGAGCGACTTTTATATTCATTTAAGAAAATTTCAAATATTCTAATGCTGCCATTTTAAAATAAAGGATTAAAAAAGAGTCTTGGTTTACTCAGCTCTAAAATGTTTAGCAGTAATACATGAATAAAGGATTAAGCTAAAAAGAAATGTTTTTGCAATCAACAAGAGGAGATGCTTGGAAAAGAAGTTTAACCACATGCCCAGTTTCTCTAGTTATTCCACAGCAACAGCTGAATGAGAAACATATAATATGTAACATGGAACTGTATTATGATGTTATAAACTGGAAAGGAAGCCCAATGTGTGCAGAATTTTTTTCAGTTGAGAGTTTCAGTCATTTTCAAATTCTGGTAATGTATACTTAACATAAAATGTGCCATTTTAATATTTTTTAAGTATACAGGGCAGTGGCATTAAAGTGGCATGAAGTACACTCACATTGTTATATAGGCATCACCACCCATCTCCAGAACTTTTTTCATTTTCTCAAACTGAAGCTCTGTACCCATTAAACAATAATTTCCCATTTGCCCCCGCACCCAGCTTCTGGCAACTATCATTCTACTTTTTGTCTCCATGAATTTGACTACTCTAGAGACCTTATATAAGCAGAATCATACAATATTGGTCCTGTGATTGGCTTTTTCACTTAGCATAGGATTTTGAAGTTTCATTTATGTTGTAGCATGTGTCAGAATTTTCTTCCTTTTGAAGATCGAATAATGTTTCATGGCTTACGGATACCATATTTTGTTTATCCATTTATCCTTCAGTAGGCATTCAGATTGGCTGAACATGGGTGTACAAATTATCTGTTCAAATCCTGTTTTCAATTCTTTAAGATACATGCCCAGAAGTAAAATTGTTGGATCATGTTAAAGAAAAAAATCGTTCTGAAACTTATGAAAATGGTAAAGAAAACTTTGGACTGTTGCGATAGGTGGCAAGACTATCGCCTTAGGGGAGAGAGAATACAGCAAGGACAGCTGGGTGTCCAGAGACAATCAGCAGAGTGACTGAGTCAGTGGACAGAAAATTACTAAGAGGACACATGAAGGTAAGGTGGTTCTTTCTCACCTGACTTAACAGAATTCTTGCTGAAGCCAGACTGTGGTGATCTGATATCAAATGTGGGGGATGAAGAACTTGATCAGATCCCAAGGGTGATCAGATATCAAGGGTGGGGGATTGTCTCTAAAGAGACTTAGCAGGACTCTTGCTGTAGTTGGACTAGGCAGGCCTAATACAGGGCCCCAAAGATGAGAGCTAGTTAAAAAGAGGGCTGAAGAGAGACTAACTAAAGTTAGGTCAGAGAGAGTCTAGTCAATTATATGTAATTCAATGTTTTAGTTTTTGAGGAACCACCATACTGTTTTCCACAGCAGCTGCATTGTTTTACGTCCCATCAGGAATGAACAAAAGTTCCAGTTTCTCCGTGTCCTTGCCAACATCATTTATTTCCTGTCTTGTTTTTCTTTTGCTTTGATTTTTAATAGCAATCTTAATGGGTATGAAGCAATATCTCATTGTTGCAATTTTGATTTGCGTTTCCCTGATGATTAGTGTTGTTGAGCATTTCTTTCCATGGGCCTATTAACGATTTGTATACCTTCTTTGAAGAAATGCTTATTCGGTCTTCATCTGTTTTTAAACCAAGTTTTTATTGTTATTGTTGAGTTGTTAGGAGTTCTTTTTATATTCTGGATGTGAATTTCTTATCAGATATATTATTTGCAAATATTTTCTCCCATTATGTGGGTTGCCTTTTTACTCTGTTGAGAGTGTCCTTTAATACAAAAAAGTTTGTGAATATTGGCAAAGGAGAAATTGGTCTATTTTTTTTTTCTTTGTTCCCTGTGCTGTTGGTGTCACATCCAAAAATTCATTGCTAAACCCACTGTCATGAAAATTTTCACCTATGTTTTCTTATAGAAGTTTTATCGTTTTAGCTGTTATGTTTAAGTTTTAATTTTTGTACATGGTGTAAGGGTCCAAATTTATTCTTTTGTATGTGGATAGCCAGTTTTCTCAGCACCATTTTCTAAAAAGACTGTCTTTTCCCCATTGAATAATCTTGGCATTCTTGTCAAAAATCATTTGATAATATATGTGAGAGTTTATTTCAAGACTCTGTCTTCTATTCCATTGGTCTACACATTCTTTATGCCAGTACCACACTGTTTTGACTAGTGTAGGTTTGTGTACTTTTTGAAAAGAGGAAGTGTGAGACTTCGAACTTTGTGCTTCTGTTTCAAGTGTTTTAGCTCTTCAGGGTCCCTTGTGATTTCACATGAATTTCAGGATGGATTTTTCTATTTCTGCAAAAACACCATTGGGATTTTGATCCATGAACATGAGATGTCTTGCCATTTATTTGTTTCTTATTTAATTTCTTTTAGCAATGTTTTACAGTTCTCGATGTGAAAGTTCTTCACCTGCTTAGTTATGTTTATTCCTAAGCATTTTCTTCTTTCCAATGCTATTGTAAAATAGAATAGAATTGTTCTCTTTGCTATGGTCCTATGTATTAGATACAGAGCATATGAAGCTAATAAACCGCATCACAAACCAACACATGTGATTATGATTTACTTGACAAGCCTGAACACACATACATGAAAAATTAAAGAGGAATTTATTAGTACTGCCTTCACTTCTTAAAAATCACGTCATGCATGTTGTTTATTATTTAAAATGTAAATGAACATTCAGTGAACTCCCTTTTGTTATTGTTTTCGTCTTCACTTTCGATGTGTGCAATGTTCATTGGTAATTTTTCACATTACTAATGTGAAATTTACCAAAATAAAAAATATTTATAAAAATTATATTATAAAAAATAAAAAATGGTTGAAAGAAAATGTTTGTGGTTTGTAGAAATTGAGACAGAGTAAAAAGTTTAGCACAGTAGAGCATATGCCACGAATCAAGTGTTGTTTATCTGAAGGCAAACTTATTTGTGTGATTTCTGCAATGGAAAAATTGGAGTCGCCAAGGAATGAACTAGGGGGTGTTAAATTAAAATTTATATTTCGTCATAGATAAGTGACATAAAAGAACTCTTGAGCTGAATCCTTATAACTTAAAAAGTAAAAATTTGGTAATATTTTATATTTTTAAGAAAAGTGGCTGGGTGTGGTTGCTCACGCCTGTAATCCCAGCACTTTGGGTGTCCAAGGCAGATGGATCACTTGAGGTCAGGAGTTCGAGACCAGCCTGGGCAACATGGTAAAATGCCATCTCTATTAAAATTAGCTGGGCGTGGTGGTACACACCTGTAGTCCCAACTACTTGGGAGGCTGAAGCAGGAGAATTGCTTGAGCCCAGGAGGTGGAGGTTGCAATGAGCTGAGGTTGTGCCACTGCAGTCCAGCCTGGGCAAAAGAGCGAGACACCATCTCAAAAAAAAAAAAAGAGAAGAAAAATGAGAATTTCCTGTGTTGTAGAATAAGAATACTTTTTTTCCTTACATGAATTATCTATTTCAAATGAGTACATCGATAAAACTTATCATGTGATTTTCAATATTACGTTTCCCAATATAGCAGCAGCAACAATATTAATAAAAATAGCAATCATAACTTCATTAATTGAGACCCTCTTATAAGTCAACATTTGACATATACTTTTCTAGTCATCACAGCAAACTGCAAATGAGAAAAATGAAGAGATTCACAAAAGATAGATGAGTTTCCCAAAGACAATCGGCTAGGACCATGCTATCTTTCCTCTTCTATATACTTTGGCATTAGTAATCCCCTATTTCCTTTTGATACCACCATGTCTATCATACAAGCATGACAAGACAGGCTTGTTGGTCCCATTTGTATTTTCCCATTGGTTTGAAAGCTAGTGTACAGGGACCACACTTTCCTCTTATTATAGAGGCTGGTCATGTCAGAATCCATTGTGTGTCAGTAGCATTTCCTGGGAATCTATGTGTGTCAGTATCATTTCCTGGGAAGGTTTGCATACTACTGACTTTGTATCTTCAAATAATGTTAAGAGTTTTAGCACTGAACTATGAGAACTACACAAGCAATATTACAATAAGGAAAAATAAGTGAACCGTTGTAAGGACAGAAATGGACATACTGATAAAAACTTTGATTTATAGAAGCATGACTTAAAAATCAAAGTAGATCAACATTTTATTAACAGAATAATATATGCTCACTGTAAAAAAAAATCAACACAAGCAAAGTATGAAGAGAAGGTAAATATCTTCCCAAATCTCTTCATGAACACACGAGAACATGCCTCCAGATATCATCTCTTTACAGATATATGTGTATGTGTTTGGGTGCATGTATAATTTTATATAGATAATTCCTTCCTACGCATGTGGTGTGGTGTCTACTTTTTTACTCAGCAAAGTGGCAGGGACATCTTCATGGTTATAAATATTGAGATAGTGCTATCATTTTTAATGGATGCAAAGTGTTCTTTATGTAAAATGCTATATTGAAAGAAACATAGGTGGTTTTGAAATTTCACTGTCATAATCAATGCCACGAGTAGCTTTTGTGTGCATGCATTTTAATTCCCTTGGCTAATGATCTCTTCAAGATAAATTCCAAGATGTTGGATATTTGGGTCCAAGGGTAGAAGCATGATGTTACAGTATAAACCTGTAAGCTACTCAGTTAGAAAAGTAGAAACATGTTGTTTAGCTACTTGTATAGATTTGCCAACCTGTATATACAAATACCTGTAACATGTAAGGAAGAAGTCCATTTTTATTTTTCTATAAGATATTACTGAATAATTATTGAGTTTTTCTGAACAGAATAATGTTCTCTCAAGGCTTTGTGATCCTGTTTCGTTATTGACATTGTTGTCTAACACAGGCACGAAGTATAACAGGCACAATTACTACCTGTTCTCAGAAGTTCCTGATAGAAGTCATAGTAATCCACCAACAAACTGTAAATTCCATTCTTCCTCAATTCAGACATATCAGACACCAACAGAATGGCAGGCCAAAAAAGTTATTCATGGACTCATTAGTTCCTGATCCCAGATGTAGACAGCCAGATTACTTCCAGAGGAGGTTTTTGTTGACAAACATTCTTGGCACATTCTTCCAAAAAGGTATCATTCTGAGGAATCTAGCCTGAACACCAAAACAGTAGCATAAAACTCATATTTTATTGCTTTCTTTTCCTATATTTCAGCCCCCAAATAGTTATCATGAGGCTTAGCTTTCATCATTCCACATCCTAATTAAAAAATGGTTGGATCGCAGCAGAGGCAAAGAAACAAAGGCAGCTAATATCTGCCATACTTCATTCACGTATGATTACCTTTAAGTTCTTGCATCAAACTCTATTTCAGTTATCAGAATTGCAGCAAATGGGTTTTTTTCTGTATGCATAACGAGCAAGAGGGATTAAAGCTGCTTTTCTAAAAGGAGCCAATACGGGTGGTCTATATTTGAGACTTTATGAGTATCTCCTACTCACTGTCAAGAACACTGCTGTGTGTATATGTGGGAGGTATTTATGTGTGTTGTGATAGAGGAGTGGACTTGGACATATGTGCATGTGATCAGGATGGAGGGGCAATGTTAATAAGTAATGCAAGTCTTCTGTATACAGAAATTTGATACATTCAGATACAGACATTTGTGTCTGTAGAGTTGTGGCTTTTATGATTGCCATTTTGATAAGACAAAAGGAGAAATATTAAAGTTTCTATTTTGTGGGGAGAGGTAGTGGCAAGTCTTCCTAACAGCATCTTCTCTAGAAAATCTTTCTTCCTATTTTAAATGCAAGATGTATAAAATCCTTCTAGTATCGTGAGAGTCCAGACTTCCATAGCAGAGCTGACTGCAGGGGGCAGTCAGTTTACAAATATGCCAAATATCATTATATGGGCAGCATTGCCCAAAAGAATATATTTAGTTTGGCACAAATGCCTAGAGAGCTGTTTTTATTGGGTTTTCTGGAAATATATCCAGAATGGAAATTTTTGTGTCAAAATTTCATTGAGAACTCTCAAAAGATACACTTTCGAGGAAATAGAGAAAGACAATTTGGGCAGAAGGTGAACACAATCCACAAGGTATATGTGGGTGCAACCAAAGTCTTAATCCATTTTCTAAGGAGCTGTGGAGCTGGAATGAGGCTTCACAGCTTCCTTGGACTGAATCAAAACATCAGGGCCTTGTGTCTCTACATTCATCATTGCTGACTGTAGGCCACCCGGAAAGAAGGAACATCTTGAGGGAGGGAGTGTTCTAAAACCAAGAGCAAAATTTCCTGAGATGCAGTTAAGAACCATCAGCAGCAGAAATTCCCAACAGCTGCCTGGATATATATGTTGACCCTGAAGAGAAGATCTCGGCAAGACACCACAGTATCCACTCCAACAGCCAAGGAAGGAAAAAGGGAGAAAGCAGGGCTAGGTTTCATAGAATCAAGTGTGTCTCGAAGACTGGTGTTTTCAAGTTGACAATGTAGAGTGTAAGGACATCCTAGGCAAAGGGAACATTGAACACTACAGCATAAGGACTGGTAAAACTTAAAAATGTGGACAAAATTCTAGACCCGTACTGACTAAGAGGAAGGAGAGAGAATCAAAGCAGATAGTACAAGATGAAAGTGACCCAATAGCAAAAGATGACACTGGAAAGGCAGGTAAGAGTCAGTCACAGATGATAATGAATGAAATTCAAAGCACTGTGCTTGCTAGAGGAAGTGAATAAGCAATGTGATCAGATTTGTTCATTTGAAAACTGATTAGACCAGCAGAATGGAGTATGACTGGGGAGAGACTAGCAGCAAACCCACTAGATCTGAAGCACGGCAGGCATGTTAGTTACTCCCAATATCCAGCCTACCTGCCTTCCTTACTAATTGCCCTTTCTTTTCTTTGCAGTGGCAGTATTGCAAGCCAAATACTTTATCATCCTATCTGACATGATAAAACTTAAGCAGAAGTCTACTGGTGGTTTTGGGGAAAGCTCAAGTGTCTTAAGTGATAGAATGATACAGATGGGGCTGACATGGACTTTTCTCCCTTCTTTTGTTTGGAACACAGATAATGATGGCTAGAACTGCAGCAGCCATATGGCAGCCAAAGGGAAAGGCCTAAAGAGTGGCAGAGATATCACCCCAAG
Source organism: Homo sapiens (assembly GCF_000001405.40). Lineage (NCBI taxonomy): Eukaryota > Metazoa > Chordata > Mammalia > Primates > Hominidae > Homo > Homo sapiens. The sequence continues at coordinate 73,036,460 of NC_000009.12, forward strand.
TGTCATGAAGGTACTGAACCAAAGGAAGCAGTCACCCACATGTAGGCATTTTGTCATGTAAGAAAGATAAATTCTATTCATTTAAGCCATTTGTTCTTACTGGCTGCTGAATGTAATATACAAAGCTATTAAAATAGTCCAGAAAATATTTGATGGGGACCAGATCTAGGTAACAACAATTGGGAATAGAAATGCCAGGACAATGAGAAACATGTAGATGGCTGAATCCACAAGACCAAGTCACTAGCTGTGGGCTACAAGGGAGACTGAAGACTCAGGAATCACTGAGATTCTGATTTAAGAATATTTTTTTTCCATGTTCACCTCCTGCCATCTTTTATCTCACCTTATTTCTTAACCATATTTAGTTCTTTTGAACCTCTCTTCCTTTTAAAATGTTCTTCTCTGCTAGATTGCTTCATTCCAACTTCACCTAGTAAGCTCCCCTTTATACTTTAAATTTACTTCAAATATCACCTCCTCCTTAAAGTACCGCCCACTTAATCCCTAAAAGTACAATATTCCTCTTCTGTGGACAAAAACTACTATTTTTGAATGATTATCATGTGCCAGTTATTAAGTGCTTTACAGAGATCAAGTAATTTTTATTCTTTTAACTACTCTCTGAGGCAGGTACTGCTAGATGTATCTTATATGACAGTTTCTTATAGGAGGTCACATCAGTAAGGATGGTTATTGTTTACAGTAGAAGCTTCAGGTTTCAGCTGAAGAATTCTCCACTAGAAGGTGGCACAATCAAAGGCAAAGGGCACAGATATTAAAATATTTGGTTTTAAATCTTTTTTTCCGCCACTTACACACTGTTAGCCTGAACAGATTTTGTAACTTCCCTGGGCCTCAGAATTCATCATATGTAAAACAGAGAAAAAAATAGCAATCCTTCAAAGGTTGGCTACGAGAAATAACTGAAATACAAATGACTTTAAAATGCCTAATGCTTGTAAGCACACAATAAACATTAGCTGTAACGATTATTATCGTGGTATGGATTTTCCTCTTAACCAATGGGAATGCAAGGCAATTTTCATTACCCTCTCCTATGAACCCTTTTAAATAACACACTATTAGTCAGCTATTCTCAATGTCTATAATATGGGTACTTGCATAAATAATTTGATAGAGCTACCTAATGTTTATACATTAATCCAATGTGCGGTTAATTACATTAGAGGAGAGACTTCATGAAAAAACATTAGGAGTAAAACTTTTTTTTTTTTAGCAGTAGCTAAGTATGACATGATTAAATGTCAATTAGCATAACGTCTGCCAGTGGGTCAGAAAATTCCTGTGGTTTGTCGGCTCTTGTCAGATTTTTTTGGTTGTGTGACTTTTGAAGTCTAGCTATTTAGAAACCCATGATATTTTTTTGAACCTGACACCAAGTAACACAGTAGGTCATGGCCTGAAAGTTACCATGGAGGGAACATATTAGGTTGAGCACTCCCCTTGGGGGCTGGCTTTCTCCCCTCTGTGAGAAAGTACTGACTACCATTGATTATTCTTGGGCACTCTTATTAAATCTGACCTTGAAACTCAGAATATTTAGGAAGCCAAAAACTTCAATGCTAAAAACAAACAAACAAAAAAGTCTATTATGTAATAATTTGCAGACACCCTGACAAGAAGGTGGTCCAAAACCACAGGTCATTTACCCAGTTACACAGAAAACCTTGCATTATGTAGAAAAACTGGCATTTATCCAGATTGGGCAAAAATGCCTTGGCGCAGATGGGAATATTTACTCAAACCAAAGCTACCAATATTGCACTCAGAAGTTAACTGTTCTAGTTGTGGAAATGCAGGTCTGTCTGGTTGGTGAAGACTCCTGATGAATCTACCAAACTCATCTGAGAAAGTGGACCTATGTTCCCTTTATTTTGTGTTTCATCGATCCTCCTGCCCCTGAACTTGCTGACCACTCAGAGAGCTGCACACATTTTCCTGGTGCCAAAGTCCAGTTTGGAGAAAAGGAATTCAAAATTCACATCACAGCAACGTCTCTGTATCGCTCCTCCCTGTTTCTCCTTCCCTGCTCCTTGTTATACATCTTTGTATCCTACCTTCGTTTGTTACCAGCAATTTTAAAATGATTTCATCTTTCCATCTCCCTTCTTCTGTCTTGCTTTCTTCAAAGATCAATTTCCATCCTACTCCCTCTTACAGAAGCCTTTGCTCCAAATGCCTTCCCTCTGACTCCACTCACAGTGAAATCTCCGAGCTTCCCAGACCCGATCCTGGCCACAAAAGCCTCTCTACCCCTCTTTCCTGCTCCCAGTGCCCTTGATCAGGCTCCAAACTCCTTCCCACACAGGTCAAAGGTCCACCCCTCCTCCCCTGTCTTCTAGGAAGGGGTGTTCTCACCAGGCCTTTCCCTCCAGGCAAAATTCTGCCCCTGCCTGCTGCTGCTGCTATGGAAGAGACTGTTTGTGTTTCTTAGGACACACACAGCTTTGCCAAAATCCTTCTCTGTCTTTTGGTTCCTGCACCAGATTCCTCACACTGACCCACAAGATTTCTGGGCACAGGTGAGCCTTCCAAGCTGTAACTGGACTGAGTGGGTTTGCTGAGACTGTTGGATGATTATCCTGTCAAGTAGTTTTCCCCTAAAAAAGTCCTCAACTGGAAATGCCCCATAGTCACATTGAAAAGCTTTTGAAAAATGCATCCATCTCTAGAGATTTTGATGTAATTGGTCCATGTGGATACTGCTATTGTTTAACACCTCCTGAGGGAAGTCTAATGTGTGTGTCTAGACTTCAGATCACTACAGAAACCTTCAACCTATGTATGTCTTTCTCACCAGGCTTTTAAAAAAATTGCTTAAAATTCTCTTTGAATCCTTGGTGGTATAGCAGCCCACCCTTAGGGAGCCTCACATCCCCTGTCCTCTGCCTGAGTTTATCCTCAAAACACCAGGAACAGAATGTGCTTCAGTGCTTTCCAAGAATGTTGCTGAGAAAGTTGGCAAAGCATCTGAGCCTGGTAAATCGCCAAAAAGAATTTAGTAAAAGAAATGAGAAGAGCCCAGGCTGAGGAAAAAAATAAAATACAATCCAGGGTGATCACACAGTTACTTACATTTGTTGATGAACTGCTAACTGTTCCAGAGACTCTGGAAAAATAGTATTGTTGGGCAGTTAACAATGTACATCACACTTGGCTTCTGCCCTTTTTTTCCTTTTAGCTTTCATTATTGAAGTCTGGAGCTGGCCTTAGACATCTTCTACTCTGACGTGACCATTTTACAGATGAGGAAACTGAGGCCAACAGAGATTGTAATTTAACAGAAATTCCAGGGCTAAATAGAGGACAAGAGAGGCTGGAAACACAGTCATCTTTCTGAGTCCAGTGCTTTTCCAGCCACACATACCTCCCACCTACTCACTACTCAGCTTTGGAAATGCAACTGATTATTGTCAATGTAGAAACTGGCAGTTTTTTGTGTATGCTCAAGAGAAATTGAATTTTCTCCTGGGCAAGCACTAGATGTAAATAAGTGGTAATTTGTTATTAAGCTCAAAGTGGGAAATAAATGGGAAAAAATGACTTTATCTCTCCAAGTCTCCCCATAGGAGGATGATTTATTACCTCCCAGAGATGTGAGTTTTGAAAGACAGTGCAGACTTTGTTTACTGCTATATCTGCCACATGGTAAGATTGCAGTTAATGGCAGTTTTTCAAATTGTGGATGTTACATTGATTAGGTACTCAGCTTATTTTTTCTAAGTTTAAATGCGTATTCAGGGTTTTTTGTTTCCCATAAAAAAATTTATCTCTCAATTTTAACTCCAAAGATTATCCCTTAAAAAACAATGCCAAGCAAATTACTGTACTTAGCCACATTTTATCCATGAAGCTTAGAAAGATTAAATAAGGCCGGGCGTGGTGGCTCACGCCTGTAATCCCAGCACTTTGGAAGGCAAAGACCGGTGGATCAACTGAGGTCAGGAGTTCGAGACCAGCCTGGCCAACATGGTGAAACTCCATCTCTACTAAAAAAACATAAATTAGCCAGGAGTGGTGGTGTACGCCTGTAATCCCAGCTACTTGGGAGGCTGAGGCAGGAGAATCGCTTGAACCTAGGAGATGGAGGTTGCAGTGAGTGGAGGTTGTAGTGAGCCGAGATTGCGCCATTGTACTCCAGCCTGGGTGACAAGAGCAAAACTCCATCTCCAAAAAAAAAAAAAAAAAAAAAAAGAAAAGAAAAAGAAAAAGAAAGGTGAAATAATTAGATAAGACACATTAATGACAATGTGTTTACTTGAATATTAATAGTGGGAGCTATTTATGCTGTGTAAGGTCTTTAAGATAAATATGCCTTTGATCCTAGGTTCTTTTTCTAGGAGAACAAATTGGAATAGTTTTTACCACCCTGTCACTTTCATCTGAACTGGAAGACAAATTCATTGCTATTTGCAAAATAATCTTTCAGTTTATTAAAATTTATTATTTTTAAAGCTTAGAAGAAACGAAGTGTTGGTCTTCTCAAAAATCAAAGAGAGCTGGACATTTACACTAGCCAATGAGTATATCTATCAGTGCTATTTGTCTCTGTAAGTAATTTGAGAAGTGTGAACAGTTTAGTTGTGTTTTCTTTTAAGAGAGAGGAAATACTAAATTTTCCTTTCTAAGTCACTAGGCTGCTTTCTCCATTGACTTTCCTCTTCTTCTGTCTATAGTTACCATAAAATGCAATAGTTAATAAAAATATTCTGCATGTATATAAAGCATTACTATTATTATTATTTTGGTTAGGATCCTCTTGGTCACAAGTAGCAGAAACCAGTTCTAGCTAGTTTAAGTGGGAAATAATTCAACCTAGAGACAAGAGTGTACCTAGGTCTCCTGAAGGTAGAAGTGGTGAATGTAAGATCATGAGGCCTCTCTTTATCTTTTATTTCTTTCCTTTCTACTTCATTTATTTTTCCAACATGCTTTCTTAGGTCAACCTGATGGGTGAAAGACCACCAAATCATATCTTTGGAACTTAGATGTTATAGATCTAGCTGCCCAGAGAAAGGATGATCTTTCACAGTCCCCTTCCCTATTCCTAAGGAGGATTTATCTTGGGCTAGTGGCCCATTCTTGGATTAACCACCCATGGTCATAGAGCAGAAAGAATTGAGAAAGTCACCCTAATAAACAGCCTGGGAAGTCCAAGGACAGAGGGAGTAGGCAAACAACCAATTAGATATCCGTTAAATGGCTGGTAATTCACAAAGTACTGTTTTGTTTTGTTTTTCTTTTGAGACAGAGTTTCGCTCTGTCGCCGAGGCTGGAGTGCAATGGTGTGATCTTGGCTCACTGCAACCTCTGCCTCCCAGGTTCAAGTGACTCTCCTGCCTTGGCCTCATGAGTAGCTGGGATTACAGGCACACATCACCACGCCCGGCTAATTTTTGTATTTTTAGGAGAGACTAGGTTTCACCATGTTGGCCAGGCTGGTCTCGAACTCGTGACCTCAAGTGATCCACCCGCTTTGGCCTCCTAAAGTGCAGGGATTACAGATGTGAGCCACTGCACCTGTCCCCAAGTACTTTTTAAAAAATAATAATCTGATTTGATCCACAGACAATGACAAACTACTCTGCACCCAATTCCCTTATAGCACTTTCCACTTTCTAATCTTATTTTTATTTACCTGGTTTCCTCCTTAGTCTGTGAATTTTTGTTTTATATTCTTAGTGCTTGATATTAGGGGGTGTGGAAAACATTTACTGAAAGAATGTGACTAAATCTGTGAGGTAGGATAGTTAGAGGAGAAAACTGGGATTCACTGAGGTTAAGTGGAGGCACTGAGGTCCCCCGAATGAGTATAAAGTCAGCTGCTGGAGCCTTAATCCTTTTCCAAGTCACCAGACTGCTTTCTCCACTGACTTTCATCTTCTTCTGTCTATGGTCAGTGACTCATCTTGCAGGATTTTGGTCTGGTGATTAGAACTGTGAAAAGAATCAAATTAGGATAAAGATGCCATTCATTTTGCAAGAATTTGATTTTGCTCTTTCAGTGCATCAGGTAAGAAGGGCTTTCAACTAATCTCAAAGAGTCTGTACTTTCCCCCTAAATGTTCAAAGGGAGAGAGGCTACTTAGTATATGTCTAAAACTACAAAAATAAGATAGACATTTTTCTGTTTTAGGTGTTATATTCCCGAAAATGATTCTCGACCTGGCAGTCACTCCTGGAGAGGTGACCACTTCTCTCATCATTTTGGTGATGGTTTTTGTTTTTGTAAGAGCTCTCAGGAGCAAGGGCAGAAAGCAGGTGTCTCCTCCTGGCCCTTAGTCCTTCCCCATCATAGAGAATCTTCTCCAGCTTGGAGATCATCCTTACCTTACATTAATGGAGATGAGGAAGAAATATGGAGATGTCTTTCTCCTCAAACTTGGCATGGTGCCTGTCTTGGTGGTAAATGGAATGGAAATGGTGAAACAAGTACTACATAAGGATGGGGAGCATTTTGCAGGCAGACCTAACATGCACACATTTTCTTTCCTGGCAGAAGGAAAGAGTCTTTCATTTTCAGTGAATTATGGAGAGAGTTGGAAACTTCATAAAAAAATTGCCTCTAAAGCCTTATGAACTTTTTCTAATGCAGAAGCGAAATCCTCCACTTGCTCTTGCTCACTTGAGGAGCATGTCACTGAAGAAATTTCTGAACTGGTGACAGTCTTTGTAGAGTTGACTTCCAAGAATGGCAGCTTTGACCCCAGAAATGCGATCACCTGTGTGGTGGCCAACATTGTCTGTGCCCTTTGCTTTGGCAAGAGATAGGACCACAGTGATGAGGAATTTCTTAGGATAGTTAAAACAAATGACGACTTACTCAAGGCCTCCAGTGCAGCTAACCCTGCCGATTTCATACCATGTCTCCACTACCTTCCACTGAAGATTATAAATGCTCCTCTGGAGTTTTACCAGGCCCTGAATGGGTTTATTGCACTACACGTACAAGATCATCTTGCTACCTATGGTAAGGTAAGGATTTGATCTTATACCAGGACAAGGGTTTTGGTGAGAAACAAAAGATAATGGTGAAATGCTTCGAATATCATTGGTTCTTTTCACTACAGTTTTGTCACAATGACCTGTACCCAAGCTATTAGTAAATTTGAGGTCCAAACAGTGAGACTGCATGACAGCATTACTCAGTTCTCATATAAAACCCTAAGAAAAGTTCTGAATTCTTTAATCCATAAAATTTTCCCCAGAAACATAAATTTTCCCTGGGTGTGGATAGGGCATATACTTGTATTATGAACGTAAATGTAATTGTTATTTAATCTAAATCTGTTTCTAACTGTTTTTCATGAAGGCTTATACTTTTAAAATCCAGCTATGGTTGTCTGGTGTATTTCTAACTTGCTGCTTCTAAAAGTTGTTTAATATTTCACGACGTGACCCCCTTGCCCCATACATTTCACCCATCTCATATGGATACCCTGATTGTTTGCAACTCCTGGCTTGCACAGAAAGTGCAGATATTGAATATTGTGATTAAGTAATTGCCTTATAAATGATGAAGAATAAGTGAGTTCCTTGAAGAAACAAAGCAATAATTTCATCTCTCCCATTTCATATCTGGCACCATGATCTCAGACTTACAGGTATCACAAATATTAGCATATTTTTATCAGATAGTATTTTTGAATAATTATAAAGGATATTCTATAGGAAGCTTTCAAATTACCTTCATTTTCTTCTTGAGTTTCTTTGTTATACAGACATGAATTTTAAGATGAAAACACATGTATTAAGTTTCTGCAGGTGGCAGAGTGGACCTTTCTTGTGAGGCTATTAAATTATTTGGGGCTCACTTCGATGGTCAGCAGAATAAATTTCTGTCTTGAAATACATATGTACCAGGAAGAATCCTAGTTCACAAGGGCAATTTGCTGGGATGAAGTCATCAAGAAAAAAATAAAACATCCAGAGGTGGGATCATTAAGCAAATGAAGAGGTGTAAGTAGTTAAGTTCCTTCCAGTGAAAAAGAAGAGGCAGAAGACAATCTGTTTCAAGGCACCAGATGGGAAGATGGGAATTCTAGATCAGGTATAGTAAGTATCAGCATTTGTAAGGTGTATAAACTTTTATTCCCATTCTCTCAAATACCCCAGCCCTCTCTCTTTCTCCATGGTGCCTGAAGTGAACACAAAATCCTTCCAATAGATTTAAAAACCTTTTATTGGCAAGGTGCGGTGTCTCACACCTGTAATCCCAGCACTTTGAGAGACCGAGGTGGGCAGATCAGTCCCGGAGTTTGAAACCGGCCTGGCCAACATGGTGAAACCCCGTCTCTACTAAAAATACAAAAATTAGCCACGTGTAGTTTTGCGTGCCTATAATCCCAGCTACTCGGGAGGCTGAAGCAGGAGGATCACTTGAACCCAGGAGGTGGAGGTTGCAGTGACTGGAGATCACGCCACTGCACTCCAGCCTGGGCAACAGAATGAGACTGTGTGTCAAAAATAAAAATAAATAAATAAATAAATAAATAAATAAATAAATAAACTTTTTAAACATTGCCAAGCAATTTCTCTGTAATAAGTTATAGAGAATGCTGATATTTTCAAGTTGTGCTTATAGATACAGGAACTCTTTTTTATTAATTGAAAGAAGTTCTGAGGAGAAAATTGAGTTTGGTAACTTGGTTTTCTATTCCACACTATCAAGATTAAGCATTACAAATTTTAAGCAAAAATGGTTGCAAGGTTTAAGATGATCTATTTACATTCCTTATATTCCAAGACTCAATGGGTTCCCTTCAAGTTATATGGTAATATGGCTCTTCCTGCATGGGATTTAAATTGATATACAACATAGACAGGGATGAAAAGTCATGCTAAGATTTGTCTCCTCAGGATCATATCCGAGACATTACTGATGCTCTGATTAATGTATGCCACAACAAATATGCTGCTACCAAAACAGACACCTTGAATGACAGTGAAATCATAAGCACCGTGAGCGACCTCTTTGGAGCTGGTATGTGAGAGAATTTAGCAACATGTAAGACCAATAAAAATTAGTTGCAATTTGTTCTTATCCATTGTTCACAGTTTAGAGGACTTTGCTCTTCCCATATCGGCCATTTTATCTAGTTGATCTCACATCGTATAAATTTGTTATCTATCTTCTTACGTCATTCAGAAAACTTCATTTTGATCTCAGGAGTAGAGACTTGAGTTAATAATAGCCCGCAGTTAATAGTGCCTTCACATTATTGTCCATGAAATGATTGTCCTTGTTTATCACTTTCACTTCCAGTCCCTTCACCCAATCCATTGACATTTATTCTGAAACTAAAGTGTTATTGTTTTTGTTTTTTGTATTCTTATAAAACAGGCTTGTTGTATTATCATGTACTTTACGTAAATATAATTGTTATTCACATCTAAAACTGTTTCTAGCTTTTTTTCATGAATCTCTGTACTCTTACAATCCAACCATGATTGTCAGGCATATTTCCAATTGGCTGCTTCTAAAGTTCACGTAATATTAGACGTCTGGCACCCCCCATATTTATTTTACCCACCTCATGTGGATACCCTGATTGTTTGCACCTCCTGGCTTGCACAGAAAATGCAGATATTGAATGTTGTGCTAAAGCTAAGATGACCACTCTTGTACATGAATTTTGCCTCCTTTTGAAATACAACCTTATGCTAAGAAGCAGAATTTCTGGGTCAACTAATGAAAGAATTATTGAGTTTTGATGCACATTGCTAAATTCATTTTCACAAAGACTGTGCCAATTCGTACTGCTACCACATTACTCTCATTCTTAAATTTTATAGTTTTCTTTAAAAGTCATTTTTTATCTGTCACATTTATTAGAGTTCCTCTAAGATACTAGACTGCAGGAAGCCAATTCTCAGTATAAGAAAATATAAAATATCATAAGCGTTTTAGCAGTTTCATTTTATGTGGAATACTCCTCAAATGTATTTATTTTTCTTCTTTATATTATATTTATTGGTAATTGGGTTCATTTGTTTCTAGGATCTATGCATTTGTGATCATGAATTCTCTCTGCAAACAGAGGCATTTGTTTTGATTTGTATTATTTTTCCTCATGCAAATGCACGAGCCCCCACATATGTGTGTGTGTATTTATTATTTTAATCATGACTTCAATTTGATGGATTATTTCATCTGATTATTTATCATAAAAATGTGACCAGGCTGTACTTTGTATTTCTTCTGACGACTTAAATAATGCTATGTACAAATATGAGTATTTGTCAGAACATTTTTAAATGCCTGAACATTAGTGAGTACTAAAGACTGGGTATGTGTGGGTGTGATAAATACATCAAGTGAGTTTTATTTTTTATTTGTTTATTTTTAAATTGGCACATAAAATTGTATGTATTTATAATATGCAACATGATGTTTTAAAGTATGTATACATTGTGAAATGGCTAAATCTAGATGCATTACCTCACATAGTCATCATTTTTGTGGTGAGAACACTTAAAATCCACTCTCAGCATTTTTTAAGAACACAATATATAATCGTTAACTATAGTCATCAGACTGCAATAGATCTCTTGAACTTATTCCTCCTGTTTTACTATAATTTATTTTGATCTTGATTCAATGAGATAATATCAATATATTTCAGATATATGTAATACTTCCAAGATTATCAAGTAATTAGCAAATATAAAATTATGGCAGATGACAAAAATGACTAGGATGGAGAATAAAACCATATGACATGTACAACACAGCTAAAAAAAGGTTTGAGTAAAATGTGCACAAAACAGTATTCAGTATAATGGATTACTATATAAAACATTTATTTGCTAAATAAACATATCTGATAGAGTTTATATTTTAATGTAAATAGAGGAATAATGAAAATTAATAAAACCATAAACTTCCACATGTACCTGCTACCTCACTAGTGAGATGTAATAAAATATATTATTAGAATAAATCAGTGAGCTCTAAACCATATATTTTAGTAGATAAAATTTGCAAGCACTCTGTTCCATCAGATCTACTATATTATTAACATTTATATTTCCATATTTAACTTTTAAAATTGATTGTAGAAATAATTTAGTTTCTTCTTTGGGTATAGTGAGGTTTTCCCAAAATCATTGATTTTACCCTCAATGTTTCAATAATCTACCAAGATAGATAACTGCTGGTTGCTTAAGCCTTGATATAAAAAGCAAAATTTATGATAATCAAAATATAGATCCTGATATTCACACAGATAGTTATAGCTCTTGGATATAAGGTTCATGGCTCTACCGTGAGTGAAAGCAGTGTTTTGCATGCACTATTCATGGCATGTTCTTTATTCTAGAGAATAAAGTTCCTTACGCTAGAGAATAGAGTTGATATATTCCACACAGAAGTCCAGATTTTCACACTACACTGTGCTCTGCTATAGACATCATGGTCAGTAACTGTATTTGAACAGCTTACCTTTACAATAACTTATTGCAGTATGAAGTCATATTAGAAATTTTCTGAGTTAAGAACCGAAGAAGCCACTGGCTCACTATGAGAGATTGCCATGTTCAACAGATGTGAAAACAGGCTTACGAAGTGAAGTTTGGAAAGGAGCTAACTCTGTTCTGCAGCTGCATCTGGGTATATTTACTGTGCATATTGTGATGCAAGTTATTTAGAAAACAACTACCTTTGTCTCTTGTGTGACCCATGTAAAATACTTTACCATTTCTATGATGCAAGTTTCTCATTTTTAATGTGAGGATAATTGTGGCCCCCATCTCAGATGACAATGTATTTAAGTGGTCAATGTTTGGTAAACATATTCATCATTACCCGTGTTGTTATCATCATCAGGAAAATCTAGAAATTAAATATATTGATTTAAAAACTCATTTTTTGCTACTGGTTTTATAAGATTTGAGTAGGAAACACAAATAATATTACTTTTGACATTAGGTCATCATAGAGGTGAATTTACAATTAAAACAGTCTAGAAGAGCTTTTTAATGTGGCATTTCTGAGTTTTAGGTTTTCAAGAATTGATTGAGTACATTCTTCGATGTAGTAATCATAAAATAGCCCTTGAAAAAAGATGAAGTTTGGCATACGGAGTTCTTTGCTTTTATTTTCAGTAATGAAACCATTTGGCTGATGTATGGATAATCTCAAAAATAAAGATACTCTGTTTAAAGAGTGAAATCGAAACTATAAAATATACATTAAAACTTATTCAAATAAATTGAATCTGGTCAACCCTTCATTATGTGCTCATATAATGTTCAAATTTAAGTATTGGCTCTTCCTTTTATGAGTTCATTCACCTTGAGCAAAACCCATAATGTCTTTGAGGTTCAGTAAAATTAACATAGTTAGTTATACATTTCCTATCTATATTATGATTTATAAAATATATATATTATAAGTATGTCAATGTATCATATATATGTTATATATTGTGTGTATATATACACACACACACATACACAGAGAGAGAGAGAGAGAGAGCACACTCCTGGATCAGAGTAACTACTTAATAACTTCTTATTTTTATTACAAATAATAGCCATTATTATTATCTACATCAATGGTGTTTATTATGTAATACAATGCTTCCTATGTTTTCACTAGTCTTATAAATAGTACCTATATATTTTTAAAATTTTATTTTATTTTTAATTATGTTTACAAATATACAACATTTTAAAGTGATATAGTTCAGTACTATTGAGTATATTCACATGGTTGTGCAACAGATCTCTAGAACTTCTTCATCTTGCAAAACTGAAATCCTGTGCCCATTAAACACTAATTTTCCCTATCCTTCCTTGCCCTTGGCAATTTCCCTTATGCTTTGTTTCTATGATTTTGACTACTTTGGAAACCTCTTATGAGTGAAGTCATATAGTATTTGTCCTTTTGTGATTACCTTATTTCACTGAGCCTAATGTCCTCAAGGTTTTTTCATGTGGTGGCATGTGACAGAATCTACTTTCTTAAGACTACATAATATTCCACTGTATGTATACATCACAGTTTCTTTATCTATTCATCCATCAATGGACATTTGGGTTGTCTCTACCTCTTAGCTATTGTGTATAATGCTGCAATGACCATGAATGTGCAAATGTATCTCAAATATCTTGCTTTAAATTTTTTTGGGATATATAACCCAGAAGTAGGATTGCTAGATAATATATAAATACTATTTTTAATCTTTTAGGAACTTCCATACTACTTTCTATAGTAGCTACACCATTTTGCACTACCCTAATGGGTGAGAAGTTCAGCAAAAGCACATATAGTTTGGAAATGACCTTAATAATAATTTTATTATGATTCTATTATTTTTTGGCTAGATTTCCTTCTGCTAATTCTTTTTCTTAATCTAACTTCTAAATTCTTAATCTAATTTCTTTAGATTTCTTTCTGCTAATTCTTAGCAGTAAAATAGGAAATAAAATGAGCAAACTGATTTAACTATGCTTTTTTTCATGACACTCGGTCTCTTGGTTCTATTTTAGGGTTTGAAACAGTATCAACATGTCTATGTTGGAGCTTTCTTTATTTGATACACTATCCAGAAATTCAAGCCAGAATTCAAGAAGAAATTGGTAATATGCTTTCAGATGAAAAATGTAATTCTTACGATTATCATTTTTCTTATTAAATCAAAAAATAATTTCTTTAAAGATGGAAACATTGGGCTGAGACCACCCAGATTTGAAGACAGGAAAATTTTACCATACACAGAAGCTTTCGTAAGTGAAGTATTCAGACATGCCTCTTTTCTTCCATTTACTATTCCACATTGGCAAGCATGTAATTCTCCTTTAAAACAGCCACTAGTGGTGGGGTGGAGGCATTGAAGAATCTTAGACATTGGAATACCTTAAGTTCTTTAAAATGTACATTGTATTATGGTTTTAATATTACTTTAAATCTTATTTTATTTTTAAACACTGTAATAAAATTTTTGTGGTCAGTGAAAGCACATTTCATGAGCATTTTTCATTACTAAACTATGTTGTCATTAACTTTTATTTTATGTGTACTAATCACAGGGTCAGAAAGTTATGGAATGTCCAAGCAACAGATAATCCAACCGTAATATGTATTTGGCTATGAAAAGTCATGCAAGCTTGCTTAATTTAAGCTAAGGAGCCGACTTAGCTTCCTTCTTATATGGATTTGTTTTTAGTAGCCTAGAATTTTGCTAAACAGTAAACTAAGGAAGCTAATGTTGTCACAATGAGATTAAACAGAGTATTCATTTGCAGATACTTGAAACTTTACTGAATCTTACTCCAGAATCTCTAGCACGCAAATGCATGCCAGCATAAATTAGGTAGATAGCTTCATTAAATGCATCTGTGGGGAACCAAAGTTCTAGTAGTTTGTTCTGTTTTTATTCCACACAATTAAAAATTATTAAAAAAAAAAAACCACCTGGAATTCTCAGTGTTCGTTCTTCCCCCTCCCTTTAAATAGTGAAGGAGTGGGAATATCTCTCTTCCCAGGAAACTGATGTAATCATTTAGTAATTGGTGTGACAGCATGCAGTGTCCTTAGGTAAGTGTCCCAAAGGGCAAGACCGCCAGCTGAGCAGAGGCAAGGCCAGACAGCAAGTGACATAGTTCCCTGTATTTTGCCCTTTGTTTGCTCTCTTTATTCACACACAGTGGCTATTTTTTTCACAGCGATCCATTTTTTTTTTCTAGCTGCTATGTCAGATCCTCTCTCAGTTAAAGCAAATTTCGTTTTATTGTAAGTTTTAAAAAAATTAAAAAGTTCTACCTATTTAAAAGCAACTCTTCTGTCCCAATAACTTTTAAAGGTGACTTTGGGTGCTTCATACGAGTATTATCTACACTTTTGCTAAGTACCCAGGAACAGAGAGGCTCTGCCAAGTTTATAGGCATCATTTGGAACGAAAGTGATCATCTAATTAGGGCCCTGTAAACTCATCTGAGGGTCTAAGTGATAGGGAGAAATATGTATTAGGACATAGATATTCATTGTATTATTAAAAGTAACGGAATACATTAAAATGGAAAATTGAAAGAACTACTGCATTGGCTAATGAAAGCAGCATGATATGAACCAGGAATTTTGTGCACACAAAAGAGCTATCTTACTTATATTATTTAGGACTGATTTATTCTATTACACTTGGAAGTTTATTGTTTTTCATTTAAAATGAAAATAAATCAAAAGGCACAAAATATGATAAAATAAATTTAAACAAACTAAATGAAATAAACTTAAGTAAAAGCAGCAAAAGTTTGCTATTACATATAACATATATACACACATATAAAACACACAGGAAAGACCAAACCATATCCTAATAAATATTTATTGCATATGCATTTCTTAAAAGTTGTGTGGAAAGCCACATATACACATGAAATTTAAGGAACATAAAAGGAGATAGAGAAACGTTACAATTCACTCTTATATTTTAATACCAGTGAAATAAAATTTTACATACCAGGTTTCTGTAAAATAGAAGCATATAACTTCTATGAGTAGAATCTGAGCAGCTGAATCCACAGAGGCAGTGTGGACAGGGATGTGTTGAGAAAGTCAAGTGGCTATGCATGAGAAAAGGTAACCTTCCAAAAAGCGAGTCTATGGCTTGTTTTGTTCCCCTTTGTTGGGTTTTGAGAAACTCAATAAATAACATTGATATTATTTGCCAAAGCTCAGTACTAGCCACAAAATAGACACAGGTAAAATAGAAATTATATTATTAGCTTTTTAAATAATCAGAGCTAGTTTTCACCATGTGGCTTAGAGCTAGATCAAGTAGACCTCGAAATTAACATACTTCTCTACTCAGTCTCCAGCTAGGTTGAACACTTTCAGGTCTCCTGTGGAAAGACAAAATCTGACCCTCTAAGCTCAGCCTATTTCTGATTGTAGATAAGATGTACCTTCATTACAAATTGGCTAATCTGAAGAGAAAACCCAGAAGTAGTGAGACAATGCCTTCTCTCAAACTAATCAAATTGAAATGTTTCTGCTTCTCTTGGGGAAGTGAGTGTGAGAGTAGGTTAGCGAGGTAGGGAGTGCCACAGGGAAACATAAAACGATTGAATCCAATCCATGAATAATTATAGAGGTATAAAGGGGAAAGGCAAACAGGTTTCAGGAAGGAGTTTGAGTATCAGACTAGAAAAATAGAATATTTGCTTTAGAGGCAACTTACAGACCATCCAACACAACCAACACCTTCGTTTCATAGCTAGGAAGTGGAGTCGCAGAATAGATAATTTGCCCAATATCCCACTGAGGGCAGCATCCAAAGTTCAGATTTCCTTGTTCCAATTCCATTGTTCCTTCTACCCAGTACTAAAAGGTGTGACATTTTGTCTTTCTAATTTATTAATAATAGACACAAACACATTGAGCACACAGAAGTACTTAATAATTCTCTTCATCGTTTCCTGATGTAATTTGATCTGCCTGCTTATGGTCAACTCTGTCATAGAAATATTGAGATAATTTTCTATGGAAATGTTTAGCTCATAGAAGTGCTTTGAATATACTAAGTGCACAATATGCTTAATATATGCAAGAAAAATAAATTATTAATTTGACAAGAAGTGGAAATTGTTTTAATTAATGAAAGAATGAAGATGTATAAAGATATATTATTACAGTAAAAAAAGACATAAATAAAAATAGTCTGTGAGTTGCTGGTGACAGTTTAGAGATGGGTAATTTGAATTGACAGGAAGTGCTGTAATGCTGTTTTTTGCTGTCTTAGTACTACAGCAGACACCACTCTGAATGGCTATTTCATTCCCAGGAAAACTTGCACCTTTATCAACATGTATCAAGTAAATCATGATGAGTAAGTTACCAAAATTAATCTTTGGATAAATTTGCTTGCCTGCTTGGTTGTTTACTGTTTATTAATCTGGAAAAGATTTACAGTCTTCTTAGCCAACCTTCACTCCTGTTTCTCTTGAAAGATATTGGAAAGAAGTTCAGTTTCTCTCCTCATCTATAATGCAAACAGTGATATATTGACACAAATTGAGGAAAAATCCAATATAGGGCAAATCCAATTTCAAAAGTGAGCTCATTGGGAGAGATTTGGGCCGAGGACTTCATGGGCTCACCCTTTGCATGGCCATGGCTAATACATTGAAATGGAGTCTGAAATCCCCCACTGGAATGTAAGCCACCAAGCAGGGATTTTTTTTTCTTTTGTTGTTTGCTTACTTGTTCCTCTACCCCAGCACCTGGATCACTGCCTCACACATAGTTGGCACACAATAAATATTTGTTGAATAAAATAAAGTTAGAAGTTCACCCACATCAGCTATGAAAGAAAGGGCTGAGATGAGAGTACCTAATGCAGTGAAAGTGAGGATAATGACAGTGGTGGTGGTGAGAATGATGATTACAGCTAATATTTATAGACTCCTACTGTGGGCAAGGCACAAAATCTTGCAGTATCTTTCCTGAGCCTCAATAGTAACACGATTGGTGCTATCATGATCCCCATTTAACAGATAAAGAAACCTTCAGCCAGGTTAAACACATTGCCTAAAGTCGCATGTTCAGAAGGTGGCAGAGGTAGGACTCAAATCCAAATGTGTAAATTTTATGTAATGGAAACCATGTGCTTCCTGTAGTGGTCAGGGCTTGATGTCTCCAGTGACTGGCAGAGACTGCATTCTTATGCACTCAGCAGACAGTAAATATGTTATACAGTCTTTTCTCTTCACCCAAGATCTCATCTGACTGATGTTTCAGGCTGCAAGCTGTAAGAGAGGGAAGTGATTATCCTGTGTACCTAATGGCAGCTTCACAATCTCTGTAAACAGAAAGATGGTAGAAGACTATGCATATGCTGTCCCACTGCAACACTTACTGTCACAGAGATTGACACTTCCATTCTCCACACCTAGGCATTTTGAAACCACTATAAGAAGAAATACAGCAAGTGTATATTTAATAACATTTATTCTTACTTAGTATAATCCTAAGTATTCTATTAATAATATCCTAAGAACTGGTGATTATAATGAATATTGAGTAATGTGCAAACAAACTGAGTTAACATGGGTGCTCCTAAAGAAATACCATTTGTATGGAGGCACTTGTTTAAGCTGAACGAGTATGTAACTTAAGACTTGATATTGGAGATCGAGACCATGCCGGCTAAAACGGTGAAACCCCGTCTCTACTAAAAATACAAAAAATTAGCCGGGCGTAGTGGCGGGCGCCTGTAGTCCCAGCTATTTGGGAGGCTGAGGCAGGAGAATGGCGTGAACCCGGGAGGCGGAGCTTGCAGTGAGCCGAGATCCCGCCACTGCACTCCAGCCTGGGCGACAGAGCGAGACTCCGTCTCAAAAAAAAAAAAAAAAAAAAAAAAAAAAAAAAAAAAAAAAAAAAAAAAAAAAAAAAAAGACTTGATATTATGGGAAAATTCTTCATATTTAATTAATCTAAAGCATAGGTCACAAACTCAAGCACCTATTGAGCAATGAAAAATACGAAAAATAAGTGAATTGCACTTGGTGAAGCACTGTGAGGAGGGGAGGTCATCTGCCGCACCTAACTCGGCTCAGTAAACCGTTGGCAAGCAGGACAATGTCCCAATGTTGTCAGCTTTTACAATTATAAAAGAGAACCTGGAAATGCATATTTTCATGTGAAATCTGATTTTTAAATGTTAGCAATAGTGAATTATTTTTAAAAGATTATGAGAGCAAACCAAAATGTATTGGAGGACTGTGTACAGAACTAATCCTCTAGGTCTGTGGTCTCTGGTACAGACAGAAACCAGTTTCTCCTTCTAGAGAGATGATGACATCTACGCACAAACAGGGCCAGTTCTATGTGAAGCCAGGTGGGTTCCAGATATTAGGACCTACAGAAAACATGCTAGCACTGGTTGTCATAAACAAGCCAAATATGGTGCCTGTAACAAAAGATAGAGATAGAAGAAAGAATCAGGTACACAGTGATTTGAGAACTGTGGGCAATCCCCCAATTAGAGCTGCTTTCTGGAGACCCAGATCCTCTCTGTATTGTTGTACAAAGGCCATTTCCTAAACATGTTTTTTACCAGAGTGAGAGATGTGGCCCAGTCTCATCATTCTTATTCATTCTGCTAAAGCAAAAGATATTGAATATTTATTACCTTTTATTTATGTCACCATTTTGGAATATTCTTATGACAATTTTATGGAATTCTTCATTTAAAATAATTAAATTCATGGCTAACCCATACCTTGAAGTTAGCTTGCAGGAGAGCCGAGCTAGAACTGGCTCCTGTATAGGGTTGGCCATGAAGCCAAAACCATCTCAACTCCAAGCAGAACTTCACATCTCAGGTAGTTCATATGCTTAGATTCTCAGACTGAGTGGAGGGTTTCTTATTTAGTTCAGAAAAATTGATGAAATAGATTTTCAAGTATTTTATTCACTAATGAATTGGTAGTCATTTCAGTGAAAATTAAGTGTAATTGTACTAAATCTTTATCATAACTAGATTTGTCAAACATTAAAGGAAAAAGTGACATGTATTCATAATTATATATAATCATACATCTCCATAAGTACTTATACATATATGTGTATATATACTTCATTTATGTATACCTCCTTTCTCTATACATAATTTCTAAGGAATATTCTAAACTTAAAGTAGTTCATGAAAAACAAAATTATTGTGGAAAATTTGCCAACAATAGCAAAAATGAGAAAATAATTTCTTTTTAAAGTGTTGTTTTTATCTATTTTATGCAGAACTATTTGGGATAATCATAGTTTATTTAGACCTGACAGATTTCTAAACGAAAACAGAGAACTGAATAAAAGTCTTGTTGAGAAAGTTTTGATATTTGGAATGGGCATCCGGAAGTGTCTGGGAGAAGATGTTGCACGCAATGAGATATTCATTTTCATCACTACCGTTCTGCAGCAGTTCAAGCTGAAAAAATGACCAAGAGCCAAGCTAGACCTGACTCCTACATACGGGTTAGTCATGAGGCCAAAACTATACCAACTCCAAGCAGAACTCCACCCCTCAGGCAGTTCATCTGCTTAGATTCTCAGACTGAGTGGAGGGTTTCTTACTCAATTCAGAAAAATAGATGATTTGAGTTTATTTAACTAGCAATGTGTAGTTTATTCCCCTGAGCTATGCTATGAATTCAACTCTGTGACATGTTTTATCAAGTATGTGGCATGGCTTTAGTGCCAATATGAGACTTACTGTAGTGTGAGGATACTTTAAGATAATAATAAAGTGTGATGTAAATCAGGGGGTTTAAATCCAGATCTCACACAGTGGTGTCCTGGGTGTCATGTGGGTATGAGTGGAAGGGAAAAGTGAGTGACAGATTGACCAGGCAGGCAAGGGGACTCTGTCTACCTTCCCTTTATGCTAGCTTCAAATAAACAAGCATACTCATCTTTGCTTTAAATATGGGGTTCAGAATAAGAAAAAGTTCTGATCTTAAATATTTTCAGTGATCTAGAGCATAGATGCTCAGGAGGGCCAGAGAAGGGAGCTAGAGTAGCCTAGCAGAGAGCATTGCATGGTCACAGTAGATGAGCTGGGCTAGAGTTAGAGAAGTAGAGAAAAGGAGATGACAGGGATTGCCTCAAGCCAATTTTTGTATCAGATTATGTATTTTTGTGTATTAAATTTTTAATTGTAAGGCAAATTGGTGTTTTCACAACGTTACCAACTTCTTTTGGTACATATTTTATATATATATATATAATTAATAGCTTACCAGGACTGCAAAATAACAGAATACCAGAGGCTAGGTAGCATAAACAACAGAAATTTACTTTCTCACGGTTCTCGAGGTAGAAAGTGCAAGATCAAGGTGCCAGCTGACTTGGTTTCTCCTGAGGCCTCCCTCCTTGGCTTGCAGATGGCTGCCTTTTCACTGTGTCCTCACAGGGCCTTTTCTTTTTGTGCACACATCCCTGGGGTCTCTCCCTCTT
This sequence comes from Homo sapiens, assembly GCF_000001405.40. Lineage (NCBI taxonomy): Eukaryota > Metazoa > Chordata > Mammalia > Primates > Hominidae > Homo > Homo sapiens. Next base: position 73,057,440 of record NC_000009.12, read on the forward strand.
TATATAAGAACAATAGTCATAATGTATTAAGGCCCCACCCTAAGAGTCTCATTTTAACTTCATTATTCCTTTTTAAAATTTTTTTATTTTTATTTATTGATTTATTTTATTTTTTTTGAGAGGGAGTCTCACTCTGTTGCCCAGGCTGGAGTGCAATGGCACGATCTCGGCTCACTGCAACCTCCGCCTCCCGGATTCAAGTGATTCTCCTGCCTCAGCCTCCTGAGTAGCTGGGACTACAGGCGTGTGCCACCACACCTGGCTAATTTTTGTATTTTTAGTAGAGATGGTGTTTCACCATGTTGGTCAGGCTAGTCTTGAACTCCTGACCTCGTGATCCACCCGCCTCGGCCTCCCAAAGTGCTGGGATTACAGGCATGAGCCACTTCACCTGGCCAAGTTCATTATTCTTTAAAGACCTTATCTCCAAATACAGTCACATTCTGAAGTACTAAAAGTTGGGATGTCAACCCATCAATTTCAGAGTCGGGGGGGTGGGGGACAAAATTGAGCCCATAATAGCAAGTTACGAGAATAAAACTGGCTGCTGATTTTTAAAAATGCTTTTAAATGTAAGATTCAGCACTAAGTATATGCTTTATTAATTGAATTTGTTAACGAGCTAAGGCATGTAAGTGAACTTAAAATGGGCAGTGAAAGAACTAGTATTTCAGATTGAGGGTTTGAGGTGGAGTTGCATTATAAAGGATGTGCAATACAAGCTGGGAGGTAAGAGAACATCTGGGGTCTAATTCAACTGGGGAGAACAGTGAGAGAGATGTGGCTCTCTAGATAATGATGATCTTGGCCAAGATGTGACAATGGAAGTAGAGAACTTTTAAGCAATTCACAGACATTGAAAATTAAAGTCAGTGCCAGGTGCGGTGGCTCACGCCTGTAATCCCAGCACTTTGGGAGGCTGAGGTGGGTGGATCACGAGGTCAAGAGATCGAGACCATCTTGGCCAACACAGTGAAACCCTGTCTCTACTAAAAATACAACAATTAGCTGGGCTTGGTGGTGCATGCCTGTAGTCCCAGCTACTTGGGAGGCTGAGGCAGAAGAATCCCTTGAACCTGGGAGGCGGAGGTTGCAGTGAGCCGAGATCGCGCCATTGCACCCCAGCCTGGTGACAGAATGAGACTCCATCTCAAAAAAAAAAAAAGGAAAGAAAATTAAAGTCAATACTTAGTCTTTTTTTCAAATATAAATAAATTCAACATTCTCCTTGTGAACAGACAATTGAATTGCTTGTGCTTCTCTAAGAGCTTTTGAAATTATTTATATTACCCTCATGGCGTTGTGTCAAAATGAAACTATTCTTATATTTTTACCATAAGAAACTTGTCAAATTTTCTGTATACTCAAGAAAAATGGGAATGATTAGAAACTGTGAAAAGCTTGGTATCTATTTATCTGATATTTTCTTGAAAGAATTGCATTTTTCTAACCACTTTATTAAAAAAATAAGCAAAGCTTATACTTTCAACACCTTGTATTATAAAATGCTATTTTGCACTCTTCCTCTGCTCCTAAGGCATAATTAAATAGTATACTATTGGGCTTTTTGTATAATTTATGTTTGTATTTTATGTATCTTTAGAAACAAGGATGAGAATAAAACTGGGGAAAGAAAGTGTGAAAGCAAAATAAGAATAGCTTTTCTTTGTCATTTAATATGTAATGATAAGTTCATTTTAATTATGTGTATTTGCTTATCCTAAAGCAATAATTTGTTTCATGAAATATGTAATCAGAAACAACATAGTATAACTCTCTATCTATCTATCTATCTATATATATATAAACTTGTACTAACAAAGACACATTGAATAATAATCTGGAAACTACTCACAGAAATCATTATGACTATAGAGAAGTTGATAATATATGGATATATGCATCCACTGGGAATTCAAGATGAGTGAGGTCTTAGAGGCAACATGTATGAAGTACAAAAGCAGAGTTATAGGAATTAAATACCCTGCTTCATACAAGTATATGCAGACACTTACATCTCCCAGGCCTCCTTGTAGCCACAGTCCCTGGGGGTTCTTGGTAACGTTATAAAGACAAAGATCAGTCTGGAAACATTATCCACTCCATGATGCAAATGAGTGCAGGATGTGCCTGGTCTCAAGTCTTTTACAGAAGAAAACTTGCACCCAAAATTTAAAAGAACAGGATCGCCTGCTACATTGTAATTCTCTAATTTATTCCCAGTTAAACCTATAATTCAGATGAAATATCAACCCATAATAACACAAGAAGAAATCTGAACTATTTTAAAGAAAGGCAGAAGGGGTCTTTGGGGATTTTACTATCTACATAATTATTAATTAGGCTGTGAAATCTGTCCTGGTTTGCAGATGGTTCCAGGACTCTGGAAGTGTAGATACACAATTTGATATTTCAGATTCACATGGGACCTCCTCACAAAATTCAAGTCATGCTTTAAATAAACAAATACAAAAATCCTATGCTACATGCACTTTAAATCAGAAATAGCTAAAGGGAGTTGTTTTTACGGCTTAACAAGCTATAAAAAGAAATTCCCTGTGAGGAATACCTCCATTGCATTTCTCTTTAGATAAACAAAAAAATGCAGGATGCAGTCAACATATTTTCTATTGTTAACACTGGAAGAGCCAAAATACATAAAAAAATAAAAGTTTATAGGTCTTTTATCCTTCAAGGTGTTTCCAGAGAATAGTGTACTTCCATTCAGTTTTACTATCAGGCCCCACAAACTGTAAATTCTGCACACAAAAGTGTTGTTTTTATCTGCTCTCCCTGTGTACTGATGCATGGTGCATGAATACATTTCCCAGCATAGTGAGATGATCAACTTACAAAACATTCATTTTAACGGCTTTTAAAAGTCTTTCTGAGTTTCTGATGTTTTAAGATTCCTTTATTAAACATAATTTTCTCTTTTCCAGATATTATAGTGTCATTCATTTCTATATGGTACTGCGCTGGGGTGTAATCATTTGATGATCTCTTGATTACATCCTCCATCCCTGCCCCAATACCTGGTTCCATTCATTATTTTAAGGCTGATCTCTACCACCTGGCAAGCTCCCCAAATGCAGGGGCCAAGTCTGTTTTGCTTCCTATTGTATCCCCAGTGTCTAGCACTATTTGAAGTATGTAATACACATTTAATTGGATTGAACTGGCTACAAGGAGGCCGAACATTCAATCCATTCACATTGGTTTGAATGTTCAGTGAATGATGGAATTAATTAATGATTAAGTGAGTGGATCTAGTGAGAGAACAGGAAGAGCTTTAGCAAAAAGGAAGTGTCTAAGAATATCTGGTAAAGATAGTATTTCTGATATCTCTGCTCACATTTTAATTTCTACTGTGTTGCTTACAACTCCTCGGCTTAAAAATCTGTTCAGTCTTCTCACACTTTTTTAATCTACAAGGTCCAAGGTCCAAGTCTCATCAAAGAAGCTCTTAATTTTTTAAAAATGTTTTTTGTTATTATTATTTTAGAGATGGGATCTCACTTTGTCACCTCGGCTGGAGTGCTGTGGCACAATTATAGCTCACTGCAGCCTCACAGTCTTGGACTTAAGTGATCCTACTGCCTCAGCCTCCCAAGGAGCTGAGACTACAGGTGTGTGCCACTACACCCAGCTATTTTATTTTTATTTTTTGTAGAGGCAGTGTCTCGCTATGTTGCCCAAGCTGATCTCAAGCTCCTGGCCTCAAGTGATGCCCTCACCTCAGCCTCCTGGGGATTACAAGTGCACGCTACTGCTCCGGGCTCTCTCTCTCTTCCTTTCATTTTTATGGCACATTTTAATGGAAATTAGCCCCCATGTGTCTTTCCAGAACCATAATCAAAGTATGTCCTTGGTATTTAGGAAGCTTTCCAAAGCCAACATCTCAAGTGCATTCCAAAATGTCACTGAACTTTTTCCTCTCTTCCCATTGCATCTTGCCAACACAAATGCATGGGTAGCTGACAGTGTCATCGGCTCCACCAGAAACATTGTTGTCTGATGGCATCTGCCATGTCTTCTGTCCATTCTGATGAAGAGAAGGATCCCTGTTCTCTCCCTGGACTGTTTGTATATAAGCATGTGTATTGGGATTTACCCATTTTTCAAGACTGTAACTGAGATTTAGCTGTGATTTTGAAGAAAATTTACTTGAAGGTTTGGGGCTATTGGAAAGGATGACTCCAGAAAAATTAAAAAGTTCTATAGCCTACTGCTTAAGCACAGACTCTTCCCAGACTGCATCCTGGAACAGTTCCTTGCATTCTTTTCTCCCTGTGGATAGGTCCCCCCACCCACTCCCTACCCTGACCAATCCAATCTGCATTAGAGCTGTTCACTCCAACTTATGAACACCTTGAGGCTGGTAAAATAAAGAAGCAAAGGAGCCTTCTCTCAGCCCCAGAGAACTGTCTCTTCTGGCCCTTGTCCTGGGCAGAACTCTGAATCTTCACTTCCTAACCTAGGATTATCTAGGACTCATAGAGGGAAAGTCTGATCCTATAATCTCAACAGACATTCATATTATTAGTTTCCAAAATGTGAGATATTCATTTTTATTTATCATCATCTTGTTGTGCCAAAATTAGATAAGCAAGCATTCGTCTTGATTTGTTCTGGTTCTCTCAAGCTATTGCTATTTCCTTTCACTGCCAGAGATCGAGTCCCTAACAGCATACTCTGTGTGTCAGGCAATATAGTAGATATTTCTGAATTATTAATTTTGACACAAACCATGAAACAGGCATTAGTACTAATCTTTTTTTTTGAGATAGAGTCTCATTCTGTCATCTAGGCTGAAGTACAGCGGCACCATCTCAGCTCATGGCAACCTCTGCCTCCCAGGTTCAAGCGTTTCTCCTGCCTCAGCCTCCTGAGTAGCTGGAACTACAGGCATGTGCCACCACACCTGGGTAATTTTTGTGTTTTTAGTAGAGATGGGGTTTCACCATGTTGGCCAGGCTGGTCTCGAACTCCTGAGCTCAAGTGATCCACCCGCCTCAGGCTCCCAAGATGCTGGGATTATAGGCATGAGCCACCACGCCCGGCCTAGTATAAACTTTTTGCAGAAAAAGAGGCTCAGAAAGATGAATATGCCCAAGATACTCTTCAGGTAAGGCTTACTGCAGCGTTAAAATCTACATCAAACTCAACTCAAAACTTATGTAGTTTCCATAATGGCAATGGTTTCAACAGTATATGCCTTAATTTAAAAGAAATTCTGGCAGCATCTCAAAATATAAAGTTGTGTTTGTAGTATGTTCCAAAGTTATTCCATTCAGAAAATCAATTTCAGGTAGGTTAAAGACCTCCATAAGAAAAGTCAAACCTTAGATATTTAGAAGAATAAAGAAAAATTTCTTAAACAAGATACTGAAAATGCAATCCATAAGAAAACAATTCATTTTCTACATTGAAATGGTAAATTTCCGCTAAAAAAGGCATAATAGACAAAAGCTAAAGAAGCCATAGAGTGAAAAACGACATTTGGAACACATAGAGTAGACAGAGGAGTAGTATCCAGAATTAAGAAGACTTTATTCAACTTAATAAGGAAAAAGTCACCGATCTCCATCCCAATAAATGGGAAAGGCTTATAAATAGGTGAAAATATGAAGGGCCAACAAGCATAAAAAGGTACCTACCTCAGTAATAATCAGTGACATACATATTAAAGCAACCTAAAATATTGTTTTGCACATAGTAGGTTGGCGAACAATCTACAATTTACAAATAGGTCAATACAAATAGTGCTAAGTATTTGGAGAAATGAGAACTTACATTCACTCTGATTGGGTATGTAAATATGAAGAAATATTTGAAAAAGTTTAATAAACTTGAAGATTACTTGCTTGAGATTTAGCAATTCCATTAGAGAAATCCTCACACATATGCAGAAGAAGGCATGCATTATCCATTCCAGCTTTTTTTAAAAGTGAAAAACTAGAAACAACCCAATGCTCATAAATAAGATGCTAGATATACATAATTATGTTGTAGTCATACAATAGAATTCAGTAGTATAAACAAGTATGCTAGTGTTACATAAATCAACATGAATACATTGCTGAAACATTCAGTAAAAAAGCAAATTGCAGAAGTACATATGGAGCAAGATATAATATTTATATATATATATTTTTTTTTGAGACAGAATCTTTCTCTTGTCGCTCAGGCTGGAGTGCAGTTGCACGATCTTGGCTCACTGCAACCTCTGCCTTCTGGGTTCAAGCGATTCTCCTCCCTCAGCCTCCTGAGTAGCTGGGATTACAAGTGCCCGCCACCACGCCCAGCTTTTTTGTACTTTTAGTAGAGACAGGGTTTTGCCATTTTGGCCAGGCTGGTCTCGAACTCCTGATCTCAGGCAATCCGCCCACCTCAGCCTCCCAAAGTGCTGGGATTACAGGCGTGAGTCACCGTGCCCGGCCTACATAAATTTTTTTAACACACGAAAAATCATGCTGTATTTTGTATGGACATATTCAAGTGTTTATACTATGGGAATAAATGCTTACATGAGGATGAGAAACACAAAATCCAGTATTCTGTGGAGAAAGGATTTAAGATAGGGAAGGTATCACAGAGTTTCAATGATATAATATATAATTTCATAGAACTTGATTATGAGTTGAAGGTTGTTCATCACGTTTTTTATTCTAGTTTTCTCTATGTTTGAAATATTCCAAACTAAAATTTAAAACTGAAGTGTGATACATGCATGCAGATGGTTAATATTTCCTGCTATTTAATGATTGTTGTGGAAGTTTACTTTTTGGAATGAAGGGATAATATATTACAAATAGCAAGTGTAAAATACTGCATGTATACTTTCATTGATTTTGTTAAAAATATAGGAAAAGAGAAAGATGTGGCAATGTGCTGTAAATAGAATGCTGACAAAACTATGAATTTTTCAAAAAACGTAATACTATAAGTACAGTACTGTATGTAGAGCATAAGCTTAATACAGAGCATATTGTGTTTATTTAAGATTATACATTCCCTTCACGTCTGTGAACTCATGTAAATGGTAAAGAAATGTTTAAGGGTGGCAAGTATCTGTCATAAAGCTGGTAGAGCTGGTCTAGAGGGAGAGTGAATCCTCAGACTCTCAGACTAGACAACCGAACTGTGAGTTGAAACTGCAGGATATAGAAGTTTTGCATTAATTAAATGAAAACAAAAGCTGGCAACTGAGAATACAGGAAGACAAAAAACTGTAAGTATAAAACCTTAGATGTCTGAGATTATTCATTGATTCATCAAGAAACTCTGCATACATACAAAACACTTTTATTTCATGTTAATGAGTGTTTTCAGGGCCCTAGTCTAAGCCAGGCACTTTAGGTGCCAAGCATAAAAAAAAATGACTCAAATATTATCCCTAAGTTGCAAAACTCCTTAGAGTAGACATATATAATGATAATACAATTATATATATATATATATATGCATTTATATACACAGATACCTGTACATAATGTGTATATATAGTCATAAAGTTACATACACATATTTTAGTTGTTCTAAGACTGGTCATAAATATTCAAGCTTCCTCCTACCCTCCTTACACATAAAAATGGGGTATGCATCTGAAAATTGCTTTGCAATAACCTCTTTTTGTAAAACAGACCCTGACATTGATACAGTAGGGCTGGGCTCCTGCCTGAACCCCACCCTTAAGCCTGGAACCTCGGCCCTAAGTGAAAACAACTGACCCCATTTTTCCACCCAAATGTTGCCTTTTTGGCCTGCCCCACCCCTATCCTGTGCCCATAAAAGACTTCAGCTGGCAGAGCAACACAAGCAACTGAGCATCAAGGATACAAGCAGCTGAGTGGCGAGCAGAGAAGCAACTGAGCATCAGAGACAACAGATAAACGTGGCTAACTTCAGGCAGTGCAGCTTCGGAGATGGGCCCAGCCGGAGATGGCTGGGTTTAAGGGAAAGATCACCTTCCCATTCCCTTTCCAGCCTTCCTTTCCACTGAAAGCCACCCACCGCTCAATAAAGTCTTCTGCATTAATCACCTTTCAGTTTGTGTGACCTGATTCTTCCTGGATGCCGGACAAGAACCTGGGCGCCAAGAAGACGGAGGCTGCCACTGTGACCTTCCACTGAGCTGGTTGACACTTGGCAGTCCCCAGACTGCAGAGCTGAAAGAGCATTGGTTGTAACATGGTTTGACACCGTTGTGGGGCCCACACAGAGCCTGCCCCCTCCAGAGAGGAGTGACTAGCCAGTTCTAGAGTTCATTCACTCTGGTTCCCTCATTCCCTTGCTCGCATGCTTCCTCCTGCAAGGAGTGGCCAGTGGCAGCCTGAGTGAAATGAGCCACTTCAGTTCCTGCTGGTGAAGGGGTTCAAGGGAATTATACCATCTCAACATGATGGATGCTTTTTCTTTGATAAGCATATTTGTATAGCTCTACCAATTTACCTCTTTGCACAGAAGGTCACTTTTCTAGAGTCTTCATTCCTTGACTCCTCCATGCCAACTTCACCTAGCTTACACTATGTCCTAGCATTCCATACTTGCAGTCCTCACTGGGCCTCAGTGTGCCTCTTACTGTTCTGCCCAGCATTTTGACTTTCATCTATATGTTTAGCATTGCTAAAGGCTTTTGCCATCTGAATCGGTGAAAACAGGGTAGTTTAGAAATCCAGCAGATTAGGAAGAGAGTTTAACACATTTGAAAGGCAGAATGTCACCTATTGTCCTAGCAGTACTTAGTTAAGTGACTTAAATGTAAAGTCATTGAACATGTACTGGATAATTCATGACCATTTAAAATATTTATTGATTGGCAATCTACTTCACTAGGCCTTTGTGGGTCATAGAATAGTATTGCTTGTAAAGACTTTCGAAAGGTAAAATTGCTATGGGCAGTGAAGTGATTTAGAAGATGATATCTCTTGATTTAACAATCGATATGGTTTGAATGTGTGTCTCCTCCAAATCTCATGTTGAAACGTAATCCTCAGTGTTGGAGGTGGAGCCTGGTGGGAGGTGTTTGTGTCACCTCTCATGAGGTGATCTCTCATGAATAGCTTGGTGCCATTTACTTGGTGATGATGAGAGCTGGTTGTTGAAAGGAGCTTGCAAGAGAGGGGATTAAGACGGTGGATAGGAGGCAGGACTAGCTTGCAGCTCCCTCTCAGATGGACACACCGGTGTGTGGAGACTCATATCATGGACTTTTGCTCCAAAAACTACTGCAGGAACATAGCAGCAAAGCTAAGAGAATCCACAGACCTTCTGAAGGAACTGGATCACTGCTGGAGGCTGCGTGAGACACTGAAAAACTGTGAGTCGGCTTGCTTTCTCAACAGGGAGGCGGTGGTCTGGAGCAAGTTCTCAGCTCTGGTAACTGGCTGCCTGGAAATAGACTCAGTGCTGTTGGGGGGCACAGTGGGAGTGAGACTGGCCTTTAGGACTGTGGGCTGTGTCGGAACAGAGTGAGACCTGTGACTACCGGCTTTTTCCGACTTCCTTGGTGACATACATGACTCAGCAGAGGCAGCCATAATTCCCATGGGAATATAACTCCATTGGCCTGGGAATCACACCCCCATTCCCCACAGCAGCCACAGCAAGCCCTGCCCAAGGAAAGGCTGAGCTCAGACACACCTATCTCTTCCCCTACCTGGTAGTCTTTCTCTAGCCACCCTGGTAGCTGAAGACAAAAGTCATAATCTGGAGCTCTATGGCTCTGCCCACTGCCTGAGAAACCTGAATACTTAACCAGGTGTTCCTAGGGCAAGTCTGCATCCTCCCTGTAGGACCACAGCTGATACACTCTTGAAAGCGCCACCTCCTGGCTGGAGGCTAACCAACACAAAACCAGTGCACTAAACAAAAACACGACACAAACTCAGAGTCCACTTCACTCCCCTGCTACCTCCATCAGAGCAGGTACTGGTATCCAGGGCTGCAACACCTGAAGACACATCACATCACAGGACTCTTTGCAGATACTCTCCAGTAACAGCCTGGAGCCCAGTAGCTCAACTGGTTGGCTAGAACCAGAAGAGCAAAAAGAATCACTGTAGTTTGGCTCCTAGGAAGCCACATCCCTTGAGGAAGGGGGAGAACACCACATAGAGGGAGCATACTGTGGGACAAAAGAATCTGAACAGCAGCCCTTGAATCCCAGATCTTCCCTCTGACATATCCTATCCCAGACTATGAGAAGGAACCAGAAAAACAATTCTGGTAATATGACAAAACAAGTTTCTTTAATACACCCCCAAGAGATCATACCAGCTCACCAGCAATGGATCCCAACCAAGATGAAATCTCTGAATTGTCAAAGAAAGAATCAAGGAAGCACCAGAGAAAGGCAAAGTCGAACTTAAAGAAATAAAAAGCATGATACAGGATATGAAAGGAAAAGTCTTCACTGAAATAGTATAAATAAAAGCAACCATAACTTCTGGTCAAGGAGACACTTAGAGAAATGTAAAATGCACTGGAAAACCTCAGAAATAGAACCAAACAAGCAGAAGAACCTCAGAGCTCGAACATAAGGCTTTTGAATTAACCCAATCCATCAAAGACAAAGAAAAAAGAATTTTAAAAAATGAACAAAGCCTCCAGGAATTTTGGGACTATGTTAAATGTCCAAACCTAAGAATAATTGGTGTTCCTGAGGAAGATGAGATGTCTAAAAGTCTGGAAAACATATTTAAGGGGATAACCAAGGAAAACTTTCCCAGCCTTGCTAGAGATCTAAACATCCAAATACAAGAAGCTCCAAGAACACCTGGGAAACTAATCACAAAAAGATCATTGCTTAGGCACATAGTCATCAGGATATCTAAAGTCAAGATAAAGGAAAGAATCTTAAGAGCTGTGAGGCGAAAGTATCAGGTAACCTAAAAAGAAAAATCTATCAGATTAACAGCAGATTTCTCAGCAGAAACCCTAAAAGATAGAAGGGACTGTGGTCCTCTTTTTAGCCTCCTTAAACAAAACAATTATCAGCCACGAATTTTGTATACAGTGAAACTAAACGTCGTAAATGAAGGAAAGATACAGTCTTTTTCTAGAAAAACAAATACTGAGAAAATGTGCCACTACAAGAACTGTTAAAAGGAGCTCTAAATCTTGAAACAAATCCTCAAAATACATCAAAATAGAACCTCCTCAAGGCATAAATCTCATAGGACCTATATAACAATGATGCAGTCAAAAAAACCAAGGTATTCTGGCAGCAAATAATATGATGAATAGAATAGTACTTCACATCTCAATACCAACTCTGAATGTAAATGGCCTAAATGCTCCACTTAAAAGATACAGAACCGCAGAATGGATAAGAATTCACCAATTAAGTTTCTGCTGTCTTCAGAAGACTCACCTAACACATAAAGGGCTCACATAAACTTAAGGTAAACGGGTGGAAAGAGATATTCCATGCAAATGGACAGCAAAAGTGAGCAGGAGTAGCTATTCTTAGACAAAACAAACTTTAAAGCAACAGCAGTTAAAAAGACAAAGAGGGACATTATATAATGATAAAAGGACTAGTCCAACAGAAAAATATCACAATTCTAAATATATACGCACTTAATACAGGAGCTCCCAAATTTATACAACAATTACTACTAGACCTAAGAGATGAAATAGATGGCAACACAATAGTAGTGGGGGACTTCAATACTCCACTGACAGCACTAGACAGGTCATTAAGATAGAAAGTCAACAAAGAAACAATGGAATTAAACTATATCCTAGAGCAAATGGACTTAACAGATACTTATAGAACATTCTACCCAACAACTGCAGAATATACATTCTATTCACCAGCACATGGAACATTCTGTAAGATAAACCATATGGTAGGCCACAAAACCAGTCTCAGTAAATTTAAGAAGATCAAAATTATATCAAGTATTCTCTTAGACCACAGTAAAATAAAATTGGAAATCAATTCCAAAAGGAATCCTCAATGCCATACAAGTATATGGAAATTAAATAACCTGCTCCTAAATGACCATTGGGTCAACAAGAAAATCAAGATGGAAATTAAAAAATTGTTTGAACTGAATGATGGTAGTGACACCACCTATCAAAACCTCCGTGATACAGCAAAAGCGGTGTTAACAGGAAAGTTCATAGCATTAAATGCCTACATCAGAAAGTCTGAAAAAGCACAAATAGACAATCTAAGGTCACACCTCACAGAACTGGAGAAAGAAGAACAATCCAAACCCAAACCCACAAGAAGAAAAGAAACAACAAAGATCAGAGCAGGACTAAATTAAATTGAAACAACAACAAAATAAAATACAAAAGACAAACAAAACAAAAAGCTGGTTCTTTGAAAAGATAAATAAAATTGATTTACCATTAGCAAGATTAACCAAGAAAAGAAGAGAGATGATCCAAATAAGCTCAATTAGAAAGGAAATGGGAGATATTACAACTAATACCACAGAAATACAAAAGATTATTCAAGACTACTATGAACACCTTTATGCACATAAACTAGAAAACTTAGAGGAGATGAAAAGTTCCTGGAAATATACAACCCTCCTAGATTAAACCAGGAAGATATAGAATCTCCGAGCAGACCAATAACAAGCATTAAGATTGGAATGGTAATAAAAAAATTGCCAACAAAAAAAGTCCAAGACCAGATGGATTCACAGCTGAATTCTATCAGACACTCAAAGAGGAATTGGTACAAATCCTATTGATACTATTCCAGAAGACAGACAAAAAGGGAATCCTTCCTAAATCATTCTATGAAACCAGTATCATCCTCATACCAAAACCAGGAAAGGACATAACAAAATAAGAAAACTACAGGCCAATATCCATGATTATAATAGATGCAAAAATCCTCAACAAAATGCTAACAAACTAAATCCAAAAGCATATCAAAAAGATAATCAACCATGATCAAATGGGTTTCATACCAGAGCTGCAGGGAAAATTTAACATAGGTAAATCAATAAATGAGATACACCACAGAAACCGAATTAAAAACAAAAATCACATGATCATCTCAATAGACACAAACAATCATTTGACAAAATCCAGCATCCCTTTATGACTAACACCCTCAGCAAAATTGGCATAGTAGTGACATATCTTGAGGTCATAAAAGTCGTCTATGACAAACCCACAGCCAACATTATACTGAATGGGGAAATGTTGAAAGCATTCCCCCTTAGAACTGGAACAAGACAAGGATGCCCATTGTCACCACTTCTATTCGACATAGTGCTGAGGTCCTAGCCAGAGCAATCAGACAAGAGAAAGAAAAAAACGGGCATCCAAATTGGTAAAGAGAAGTCAAACTGTTGCTGTTTGCTGATTATATGATCATATACCTATAAAGCCCTAAAGACTCATCTGAAAAGCTCCTAGAACTGGTAAATGAATTTAGCAAAGTTTCAGGATACAAAATTAGTGTACACAAATCAGTAGTTCTGCTATACACCAAGAGCAACCAAGCTGAGAGTCAAATCAAGAACTCAACCCCTTTCACAATAGCTGCACAAAAAATAAAATACTTAGGAATATACCCAACCAAGGATGTGAAAGACAGCTACAAGGAAAACTATGAAACACTACTGAAAGAAATCATAGACGACACAAACAAATGGAAACACATCTCATGCTCATGGATGGGTAGAATCGATATTGCAAAAATGACCATACTGCCAAAAGCAATCTACAGATTCAATACAATCCCTATCAAAATATCAATATCATTCCTCACAGAACTAGAAAAAAGCATCGTAAAATTCATATGGAACCAAAAAAGAGCCCGCATAGCCAAAGCAAGACTAAGCAAAAAGAACAAATCTGGAGACATCACATTACTCGACTTCAAACTACACTATAAGGCCATAGGCACCAAATAGCATAGTACTGGCGTAAAAATAGGCACACAGACCAATATAATAGAATAGAGAACCCAGAAATAAACCCAAATACTTATATTCAACAGGACTTCGACAAAGCAAACAAAAACATAAAGTGGGAAATGGACACCCTATTCAACAAATGCTGCTGGGATAATTGGCAAGCCACATGTAGAAGAATGAAACTGGATCCTCGTTTCTCACTCTATTCAAAAATCAAGATGGATCAAAGACTTATATCTAAGACCTGAAGCCATAATGATTCTAGAAGATGAGGTTGGAAAAAAAACCTTCTGGACATTGGCTTAGGCAAAGACTTCATGACCAAGAACCCAAAAGCAAATGCAACTAAAAGAAAAATAAATAGATGGGACTTAATTAAACTAAAAAGCTCTGTACAGCAAAAGAAATAATCAGCAGATTTAACAGACAACCCACAGAGTGAGAGAAAATCTTCACAATCTATACACCTGACAAAGGACTAATATCCAGAATCTACAAAGAACTCAAACCAATCAGCAAGAAAAAACAAACAATCCCATCAAAAAGTGGGCTAAAAAACATGAATAGACAATTCTCAAAAGAAGATATGGAAAAATGTTCAACATCACTAATTATCAGGGAAATGCAAATCAAAACCACAATGTAATACCACTTCACTCCTGCAAGAATGGCCATAATTAAAAAATCAAAAAATGATAGCTGTTAGTGGGGATGCAGTGAAAAGGGAACACTTTTATACTGTTGGTGGGAATGTAAACTAGTACAACCATCATGGAAAACGGTGTGGAGGTTCCTTAAATAACTAAAAGTAGATCTACCATTTGATCCAGCAATCCCACTACTGAGTATCTACCCAGAGGGAAGGAAGTAATTATATGAAAAAGATATTGCACACACATGTTTATAACAGCACAATTTGCAATTGCAAAAACATGGAACTAGCCCAAATGCCAATCTATCAATGAGCGGATAAAGAAAATGTGATACACAGACAGACACCACACACAAACACACACACACACACACACACACACACACCATGGAATACTACTCAGCCATAGAAAGGAATGAAATAATGACATTTGCAGCCACCTGGATGGAATTGGAAGCTTATTCTAAATGAAATAAATCAGGAATAGAAAATCAAACATCATATGTTCTCACTCATCTGTGGGAGCTAAGCTATGAGGAAGCAAAGGCATAAGAATGATACATTGGACTTTGGGGACTCAGGGGGAAAAGTTGGGGGTGGCGAGGGATAACAGACTACATGTTGGGTACAGTGTACGCTGCTCAGGTGATGAGTGCACCAAAATCTCAGAAATCACCACTAAAGAACTTATTCATGTAACCAAACACAACCTGTCCCCCCAAAACCTGTTGAGTTAGAAAATAAATAAATCAAAAATAAATAAATAAAAATACACATTAAAAAATAAAAAAAAAAGAGGAGCTTGCCACCTCCTCCTTGCTCTCTCTTGCTCTCTCTCGTCATGTGATGCACCAGCTTCCCTTTCACCTTCAGCCATGATTGTAAGCTTCCTGAGACCCTCACCAGGAGGAGAGGCAGATGCCATGCTTTCTGTACACCCTGCAGAACTGTGAGCAAATTAAATCTCTTTTATTTACAAATTAAATAAAAGAATTTTGTAGTCTTAGATATTCCTTTATAGCAATGCAAACAGACTAATACAGCAATATTCTTAGTTTACATAATGGAATCAAGTACATGAAAACTATTATTTGAAGCAGGTATAATATTAGCCTTTGGCTTTGAGATAAGAACCAAAGATGTTGTTTTTCCTAGGCTATTGGACAACATATATATGAAGTCCATTATCCTATAAATAGAAAGTTGCTGTTTGCATTTTAGTTATAAATTTTTATAAATGATTTCCTCTAAGGAAAATTAACTTGCTCACTTCTCCTACTTATTGCTTCCAGCTCTGTACTACACACACACACATCTGTGTTGGGAATCTTTTTATTAAAATATAACATACATACAGAAAAGCATACAAAACATAACTATATAGCTTGATGAATTTTTACAAGCTGAGAACTACCAGCATCCCAGAACCCCCTGTCCTCTGATTCCCCTTACAGTCTCTGGTTTCTGTGCTCCAAAGACAGCCATTATCCTGACCTCCAATGCCCATAGTTTAGCTTGTTTTTTAATTGTATATAAAGGGAAGTAAACAACACATGCTGTTTGTGCCTGACTTCTTTTGTGCCACACTGCATTTGAAGATTCGTCCATGTTGTGTTTGCAAGACCTGTTTCCATGTTGCATAGTTGCACTTCATTTATTCTCATTGTTGTAGAGTGTTCCGTTAGGTGAATATAGCAGTTTATGAGTTTGTTCTGCTACTAGTAATCACTTAGTTTCTAGTTTGGTTCTGTTATGAATAGTGCTGCTTGGGCATTCTTGTGCACATTTTTTGGTGAACATTCTTTGGTACACATTTCTGTTGACCATATAAACCTAAGACTGGAACCGCTGAGTCACGAACATTCATTTGTTTAATTTTTGAACTGCCAGCTAGTTTTTCAGCGTTGTTGTACCAATTTACACTCCTACCAGTGCCATAAAAGAGCTCTCTGGTTGTTCCACACCTTCTTCAACATGTGATATTTTCTGTCTTTCCCATTTTAGCCACTTTGATGGAAAACATATCCTTATTAAAGACACAGATCATGAAAAACATCCCTGACCTGATACCTTAAGTGAACTCAATTTTGGCAATGTTAGCTAGTTTATTCTTTCTTAATGACATGCATCTGGGACAGATTGAGTGCATTCATCCACTGAAGTCCTTCAAAAGTTAATGATCTCCCATTCTTCCCCACCTCCTACCAAATACAAATGATATTAGCTCACAGTTACCATGGCCCCCTGAGAAAGCTGTTATACCAGTACTTCTTTTTCATAGTTTCTTTCAGTAGAGATGCTATGGGATTTTCTCCATTAATCAGATCAAACCCTACATTTAAAATACATTTCAGTTATTACAATGTCTACATTTTGTTCATAATTTAAGAGTCATCTAAGAGTAGTGACTTATGTTTATCTTGTGGCATGCCACTTTTATGTTTTCCAGAATCCTATTTTTCATTGCCATGATTGGACTGAAAAACAGGATGTTTTTTTCTATCGACTCACATTTCTAAAATTCCTTCTTGGTCAAAAGTGCAAGTCTGTTGACCCTTTCAACTTTTGTTTGAAAGGGACATTTTTGAGTTCTTATTAATTATTTTTCATTGCCTTTGTGTTTCTTTTGCTCTGTTTTACTCTGTATCTTTTCGAATGAGTACCATTCTGCTTTTTATCTACTTATTTTTAAAATAAAGAATTGGAGTGATTTTTCATGCTTTTCTAGAAGTATCATTTCATTAGAAAGATAATTCTAGACAATAAAAGCTTGAGTGCTAATTGTAAAATAGTTTTATTGATAAAATTTGTAATTTCTCTTTCTGTTGCTTATACAGTTTGATAATCCTATGAATTCTACAGAAGGAATTCACATGTAATGATCCTTTAATAACTAGTGCCCGAGAAAAATAAACTTATTCTACAATTAATTTAATTTTCAACACTTTAAATATCTTTAAATTTGTTTCTTCGTTTTGTTTCTGGTATCTTTTGCCTTGCAGAAATATGTAACTTTAAAAGAGCCAAATATATCTAGCTTTTCCTTTATGGTTTCTGTGATTTCTGTCATACTTGGGAATATCTTTCCCATCTCAAATTTACACAAGTAAACTTCTAAATTTTCTTTCAATATTTTTCTTAGAGCAAGGATTCATTTTTCTTCTACATGGATAATCAAACATACAAGCATCGTTTATTAAATTAGACATTCTCACTAAGTTCAATTAAAATCCTATAACTACTAAATCTTTCTATGGATGCTCAGGCATATTTGACTAATGTGTTTACCTATTCCTGTGCTAAAATTATACACTTACCTTTGATTACAGTTACTCCATAGTTATTTTAGTATCTGGAAGTCTCCTACTTTGCCTTCTTGTTATTATTCAGTATTCATAAATTTCTTGACTATTTCTAGAGATATATTTTTTCACATACATTCTAGAATCACTTTATATTGTTCAACAGAAAAGCTTATTAAGATTGTAATTTAAGTTGCATAACATTTCTATAATAATATTAGAAGTAGTGACATTTCTATAATAGTAGTATCATTAGGAATATTTTATGTACTTCATTTGGATTTTATAAATTAACTTTTATATAAATCTTATGCTACTCTTGCTATATTTAAGTCTAAGAATTTTCACTTTTAGTCCCTATTATAGATGAATCTTTCTTTTTTTTCTTTTGCTTCAACCTTGCTATTGACAGAGAAAAAGTTACTGATTTTCTTAAGGTATACAAAGTTAATTCTAAGGCTTTTCAAGAGCTACTGGAAAGAGACGGAGACATCTTTATTCCTGGAAGAGAGATTTTGGCAAACATCCTGTCATGAGGAATCTGAGAATCACACAACATGAAGGAAAGTAGAATCTAAGGATGGAGATATGGCAGGTTCTGGAGCTATTATTTGAACTCCTAGAATAAGCCATATTTGAAACCATTACCAGTTATCCTTTACATTATTCCCTATGTTCATTTAATTTACGTAGGTTTAGGCCAGGAAGAGTGAGTGGCCCATGCTTGTAATCCCAGCACTTTGGGAGGCTGAGGTGGGCAGATCACCTGAGGTCAGGAGTTCAAGACTGGCCTGGCAAACATGGTGAAACCCCATCTCTACAAAAAAAAAAAAAATTAGCTGGGTGTGGCGGTATGTGCCTATAATACCAGCTACTCAGGAGGCTGAGGCAGGAGAATCACTTGAACCTGGAAGGCAGAGATTGCAGTGAGCCGAGATCGTACCATTGCACTCCAGCCTAGGCAACAAGAGCAAAACTCCATCTCAAAGAAAAAAAAAAATTAAGTTGGTTTAAATAGGTCTTATTCTTCATTGTTTACCAAATCAGATGGTGTGGAAATTTGAATTTGGCTTCCCCAGATAATTCTTATGCTAGTAATCTTCAGAAAAAATACCAGGATCAATACACTCTATTACTATCATGAAAATATAATGAAAAATAATTTAATGGTATAGAGTTGACCATAGGAGAGTTGCTTCAATGTTATCACAGATGTATAGGATAAAGCTGAAATTGCTTCATTAAAGAGCTGAATTTTAATAGTTACTGATATAATAAAAGTATAGGAGCCTCTAAATACAAAACTATAAAAATGAAATGAAGTAATTGTGTGAAAGGAAGATGAAGAACATTTATTCTATTGCTTGCGAAATATAAATATATCAAATTTATTTATATATCAAATTTACATAATATGGATTTGATATATTTATATTTCTCTTCAAATGGAGAACTTAGAAATTCACTAGGCAATCATTACTTTATTCAAGGCAATTTTATGAATTAAACAAGATGCTAATTATACTATCAATAGCATAACTGTGCTTTTTGACTCAAAGAAAATATAACTTGAACCCACAATGATGTGAAGTTTCTTCTATATAGATCTTTGTTTATCCTGCTGATTTGTTTCCTCATTATTGGCTTCTTAAGAAATCGTTGCTCAACTCTGATTTTGTGTTTCAGCTTTGAGTCACATTGAGACCAATGAACATCTTTCAAGTATTTGATTATATTTGTGATTATATGTAGGGAACTTCTTTTCTTCCTGTTGAAAAATGATTGGGACTCAAATAACAGTAGTACTGACCATGTATCACTCAGTGTGCCATAACATAAATTCTGCATCATTGGTCAATTCATTTATTCAATCTTTTATTTCACTCCACACCCATATGGGGTGACTATGATGCAGACATGTTTATATACACAGCAGAAACATCACTGGAAAAAAACAGACAAAAGTTCTTGCTCTCATGGAACTTAGATTCTGACAAAGAAAGATATCAAATAAACCTTAAACAAATATAAATACACTACAGATATATAAATTATGTAAAGTGGTGGTAAGTGCTGTGAAGTAATGTGTAGTAGAGTAGGGGGGATAGAGAATGATAGTGGAGAAGGGGAAGGATGCTCTTTCATATGAGAGTCAGGAAAATCTCTGATAAGGTGACATCTATTCATGGAGTTGTAGTGAAGGAGAAATCAAAATGGATATCTAAGGGAAACACCTTCCAGGCAAGTAAGACCCTGAGACAAGAATATTCTAAGTATATTCAAGGAATAGCAAGAAGGTCTAAAGGGCAGGATATGATATTCATTTTAAAAGTTTGCTCTGTTTGCATATGAGAATAGATTGTAGAAAGGCAAGTGTAAAAGGCTATTACACACTTGCAAGATGTTTACTGAGAGATGACATTCAGTTTAGTTTGCTGGCATGGATCAGGATTTAGAAAAGAGAATGAACCTGGAGGGACAATTTGAAGATATTCAGAATGACTCTGCAGATTTTTCTTGAGTAGCTAGAACTATATGAAGATCAGGTGTGTGTGTGTGGGTGTGGGTGTTTGCATGTGTGTGTGTGTGTGTGTGTGAGAGAGTGTGTGTTGAAAAGGGGTAGACTAAAATAAATCAAAGTCCAGTTTCAGATAGCAGAAATTTAAGATGGCAACTTGACAGTAGATGTAAGCCAAAAAATGTATAAGTCAGGTGTATCCAGGAGATGTTGGGACTGAAGATATAATTTTAGGAATTTTTTAAGCATATAGTTGGTATTTAAATACTTGGAATCAGATGAAGTCACCTACACAAGGAGTACTGGTGGAGAAGAGTTTATGAAAATAAAGAGAAATCAGCAAAGGGGACAGCAAATAATTTTTTTTCCAAAAAGAAAGGGAGTCATTAGCTATATCAAAAGCTGTTAATAACTGAAGCAAGATGATTATGGAGAAATGACACTGAATTTTTCAGTGTAGAAGTCATTAATGGCCTTGACAAGATCAGTGTATGAAAAAAATTTTGTGTTTCAGTGGGCAACTAAACATAGTCTGACAACTCTTTTAGGGTATCAAATTCTACCCCTGCTCATTGTCTTTGAGCTGTTTTGCAAATCTTTGTAAGTGGTAGGTAATTGATAAACAAATTCTGACTTGTCTGTTAGTGACATTAATTGACTTTCTGTGTCCAGTTTGGTAGTGATCTAAATGAATGTGGAAAAATCAGTTTTGTCTGCATTTCCAATTAATTTCAACATTCTGTGCTCTAGATAAATTAGCGCTGTTTGACTTTTCCTTTGAATCAGTTATAACATCTCCGTGGCTCCCTCATATTATGTAAGTAAAATTATTTAACACATGTTCATTTTCATATCTGAATGAGGGTTATGATTTCACCTTTTTCTGAAAATTATCTTTTTAGCATTAACGTTGGTGTGGTGATGTAGGCAAAAGACTGGCTCAGAGGTACTTGACAGAAAATGGAAAATGGGGTCAAAATGGTTGATTTGATATTCAGAAAAACCTTTTTTGGTAAAGCACATTGAAAAATCTCAACACAATTTAACAATTTTTTAAATTATGGTAGGAAAGTAAAAATAAGGGAATCTAGAAGCTTGATATAAGAAGGCAATCCAGGCCTGGCGTGGTGGCTCATGCCTGCAATCTCAGAACTTTGGGAGGCGGAGGTGGACGGATCACTTGAGGCTAGGAGTTTGAGATCAGCCTGGCCAACATGGCAAAACCCTGTCTCTACTAAAAATACAATTATTAGCCAGGTGTGGTGGTGCACGCCTATAATCTCAGCTACTTGGGAGGCTGAGGCACAAGAATCGCTTGAACCGGGAGGCGGAGGTTGCAGTGAGCAGAGATTGCACCACTGCATTCCAGCCTGGGCGATAGAGTGACACTCTTTCACAAAAATAAATAAATAAATAAATATAAAATAAGAAGGCAATCCAGAGGAGTGAGTGAGTACTGGATCTGCTAATGTGAGGGGTCATGAGCTCTTGGGACAGGAAACAAAGCTTGAGACTAGAGCTCTGGTAGGATCCACAGCATAATGCCGGGAGCAGCAAAATCTCAAGGGAAAAACCTGACTTTGCTTTAAAATGGAGATGTCTGAAATACTTGTCTGTCCTGAACTTAGCTCTAGATAAGCTAGAATAAAAGAACAATTATCTGCTGAGAATTTCTAACCACAAGGTGGCACACACCTTGTTTGTTGAAGAACTGAGGTACAGCAAGGTGTGGCTAGAACACTGAACCAAAGGAATTGTGGTATGACCTTAGTTAGGTCTTGGCTGTCATCTCCTTGTTACCCTAACATAAAAGGTTGTGAACAATAACTTCTCTATGTCACTGGATAATTCAGCCATGAGGCTCTCTCTTGATTCACATCATAAAAACCCAAACATTATTCTTTTGTTGCCATGCACACTTGCAGGTACAAGGATGTTAAAATCTACACACCCCTCCCTAATTCTTATATTGCAAAAATTTGCCTGTTACATAATAATGATAGTTCCTTGAGTTTTTATCAAGTATTATGTTTACCCAGAAAAGAACAGTATTTTAAAAAGGTATTCTTATACAATTCTCCCCACTTTTTGCATTTTGTATTTTCTTTGGGACAAAAATGTTATTTGCCTTTGTTGGCAGGGACAGTTAGTTACATTTTTAGGGGAAAATCTCAGAATGAGAAACTAAACTCGAACTAAAATAAATATAAGTCTTAGTAAAAAAATCTGAGAAATCAAATGTATTTATTTAAAGTAAGCTTAGATCTTTTTTTGAGCTCAAATCCCGTGATAATTCAATCTGAATTTATTTTGGTGCTCTCTCACTCACACCCATCTTATGAAAACCAAAGCATTTGGGGGTCTTTTACTCATCCGGTTACCACTGAGATGCCTTGTCTAAACTTACAAGGGCTACTGAAATCTGAGAACCTTGGGTTTTAGTGCCATCTGGAAGCCCAGTAAACTTTGCAAAGGCTGTGAAACTCAGCCTAAACTCCAGCCCCTCAGGCATACTAGGCAGCCACACCCCTCCCACCTAACCCAAAACTCCGCTCACCTCCTGCAATGCTGTGAAGGAGAAAGCTGTAGGTTCCCTGGGAGTCTGCAGATCTCTCTTCCCATCCTGGACTTCTGGGGCATGCCTCCCCTCCCACCTTCTCTTTTCCACAAGGCACATGTCTCCCTTTCCCCTATCTGGCATAATTCCCTCAAGGAGTGCCAGGAAGGCAGATCATCTGCTGGATAATTAGCCTTTCTGTCCTACAGCACAAACCTCCTGTGAGGTTAAAAGAATGAAGGAGCTGGCTGCCTTCTTTAAGTGGACATGAATGTAAAAAAGATCCATGAAGCACAAAACACAAATTCTGTCTCGATTAGCTATGTTGATTCACAGCTTGTAGCCTCTCCTCATAACCTGAAATACCTGATAAAGGACGGCACGCTCCATCAAAACATACTGTCCAATTTGTGAGTGGTTGAAGGAGTGCCCCAAACCTCCATCGGCGGTCTGGCCTTTATAATCTTACACGCACAGTGTTTTATTCCTGAAAACTAAAGCTGAAGGAGAAAACTTAAATTACAAATGTCATCACTCATTTACTTAAAAATTATCTCCTTCTGTATATGCAGATGCTTCTTATTCTCTTGCAATCTTTCCAAGCCCTTTGCACTAGCTGTATTCTTTAGCACATTAAAGAAATAAAATCATTTCTTGACTCTCATGGGAAGATAAGATGGAAATGGCAAGATACCGCTGGGAATAATAGGCAGAGGAATGTTGCTT
The DNA here is from genome assembly GCF_000001405.40 of Homo sapiens. Lineage (NCBI taxonomy): Eukaryota > Metazoa > Chordata > Mammalia > Primates > Hominidae > Homo > Homo sapiens. The sequence continues at coordinate 73,081,093 of NC_000009.12, forward strand.
TTGATAAGAAACCAATAGAACTATACCTACTTTCTTTTTCTTTTCTTTTTTTTCTTTTCTTTTCTTTTTTTTTTGAGACGGAGTCTCACTCTGTCGCCCAGGCTGGATGCAGTGGTGCGATCTCGGCTCACTGCAAGCTCCGCCTCCTGGGTTCACGGCATTCTCCCGCCTCAGCCTCCAGAGTAGCTGGGACTACAGGCGTGTGCCACCACGCCCGGCTAATTTTTTTTTTTTTTTTTTGTATTTTTAGTAGAGGCAGGGTTTCACCGTGTTAACAGGATGGTCTCGATTTCCCGACCTCGTGATCTGCCGGCCTCGGCCTCCCAAAGTGCTGGGATTACAGGCGTGAGCCACCGCGCTCGGCCGAGCTATACCTACATTTTATACATGTCTTCAATGACACATTTATGATTAAACTAAAGATGTTGGAATGAAAATGACAAGTGATCATTTCTCAACATACAAGAAAGTCTATCTCAGTGTATCCATGGGCCAGGAAGAGAATACACTTTAATAAATGTGTTTTTTTGGGGACTAGCCCAGGCTGAGAAAGGAAAAGTCTCTGGTAGTTCCATCAGGTCTTAGTTTCCTGGGTATACATAACTCTGTATTATTTGGCTGAGAAATTAAAGGATTTTCCTTCAGTGTATTCTTAAATCATATTATACTGACATTTTATTATTCTCATGTTTTCTTTCATTATGAAAAAATTGTTGGGGAGGTGAGCATTTGCAAACCTCTTTTTATATTGCGTTTATTATGTGGAACTGGGAATCTCTGAAACTCCTTTTACTTTGTACTAAGTGGCTATGGAAAACATCTTTCGAGAATGAAGGACAAATTCTCAGAGGAAAAATACTGAATAAAAGGTTTCAACTCTTGCTGGCATTACAGTATTTCCTCACAAGGGGAGTGCATTTCAAATAGTCTCTTTTTTTGTGTAATACAGAGGAAAGCATAATTTTTTCTAAAGTTGGCATCACTACAAAAAGTCAGTCAATGCTCAACTTCTGGTATTTGATTGGTTGTGAGGGGTTTTGCTTTGTTTTGTTTCTGTATGTGGAGAGGAAAGGGACCAAGCCAGCCTTTCTGGATTTTGGAGCTGATATACTCTAGCACCACCTACTGGGAAAGGGTTTATAGTGCCCCAAATTATAAGAAACCCAAACTCAAAATCCTCTGATGCCTTCTCTCAAAACTTTCATTTATTTTTCTTCTTTTCCTATTCTTTTATTTTCTGTTGATTTTCTATTCATTTTTGTTTGTTTCCCTTTCTCTGGTATAAATACTCCAGCTTTCTCAATGTAATTCTCATACACAACTCTAAAACAACTCCCTAGAACAACTGCTTTTATGGCACGTGGAAAGGTTGGAGATGAGAAAAAATCAAGTCTATTTCAGGTCATATGTCTTCACCGCAAATGATGATTTATGGATATTAAATTCATAATCCATTATCTTACCTGTTAAATATTAATACTTAATATTAATATTTAATATTCTCAAGGCCAGAATCCATTGAATCATAATTCTTCCACTAACTAGCTATGAGGCTGTATAACCTCCCTAAGTCCTTATTTGCTCACTTGATAAAAAAGCAATGCTAATAATACATGTTGGATAGGAATGCTTTGAGAATTAAATGATATGTGATGTATGCAAACTTCAGCAGAGCACCTTTCGTGCAATGCACAATAAAAGTTTTCCATTATAATTACTCTTCTGAGGACAAAGTTCATGTTTTCATTCATCTCTGTAGCTTCAGAGTGCATAATAGAGGGTTTACATATTTCCTTCTATGTCTTAATATATACTAGAAAATTAATTGTGTAGAGTACAGTAGAAGAAAAAAACATTATTGCCATGACTATGAGCTAGCTACTCTGCTAAGCACTTTGTAGGTGTCATTTCATTCACTAGATAGAGGATACAGAATCTTGATTTTTTCCATTCTCAGTGTATTAGTCTGTTTTCACAGTGCTATAAAGATACTACCTGAGACTGGGTAATTTTTAAAGAAAAGAGGTTTAATTGACCCACAGTTCCACATGGTTAGAGAGGCCTCAGGAAACTTACAATCATGGTATAAGGCAAAGGAGAAGCAAGTACCTTCTTCACAAGGTGGCAGGAGAGAGAGAGAGAGATCAGGGGAAAGTGCCTCTTTTAAACCATCTCACCAGATCTTGTGAGAACTCCCTTACTATCACAAGAAGAGCAGGGGGAAACTGCTCCCATGATATAATCACCTCCCACCAGGTCCCTCCCTCAACATGTGGGGATTATAATTCAAGATGAGATTTGGGTGGAGACGCAGGGCAAAAACATGTCACTCCATTTCATAACTAACTTTCTAGGTAAAATCTGAGCACTCCTCCCAAGGGCTTAGTTTTCTTCAGAAAGGAGTGGGCTATACCGTCTCTAAAATTTCTTTCAGCTCTATTATCTTTACTGTAATTTTGCCAGCCTTAAAATTAGATTTGGGTATAATTCAGCAATTATACTGGCTGGGATTCTGCTTCTTTCCATTTTAAAATGAAAGAAGCAAGAATTATGGGTAACTAGAACAAGAGGTATCAGAGGTCATCTAGCCAACCTCCATTCACAGATAAGCAAACAAAAAAACAAAAAACACACACAAAAAGGTGAAGTATTTTCTGCCCAATGTCCTAACACTAGATGTAGCAATATTAAGAGTTTAGTCCAGAAAATTTGGAAGAGGTGGCACACCTGGATTTTGTATGCTTTAGTTTCTCCAGGATAGAAACAAAGGAGAATGTAGTGTGGCAGTAAAAATATGAGTAAGTATATACATATCACAAATGACAACCTAAGGAAATCCACAATATTAGATTTGGTGTAGACTTCAGCAAATCCAAAAAGGCTAAGACCATCTAGCTTATAACATGTATCTTCAGAAATATTCTGAGGTATAGCATAATGGAGTGATTTTTGAAACAAGAATCCTCTTTCCTTTTTATTTAAGTCTAAATTTAAATTACATTGTAGAAAACTTGAAAGGAATATGAAAAAGTCACCCACAATTATATGACACTAAATGAATGCTTTGATAGTTAAAAATATTTCTTACTATGCATATATTTTTTCTATGCATATATATAGTAATTATAGTATGCATGAATTAGTTTTATTATTTGATTACAGTTTGGCATATTGTTACATGATCTCTGTAGGCATCAAATGCTTGCAACATTATCCAGCAAATGATCATATAATTTATCTTAACATCCACCTATATCATTGAGCATTAAATTTTTCCTCTTCTCCCCTTCCCACCCTCTCTCTTTCTCCCTTCTTTCCTTCTTTGCTTTCCCTCCCTCATTTCCTCCCTTCCTTCCTTCCTTCCTTCTTTCGTCTTTCAGCATTTTAAATAATGCATTGTATTTATGGCTTTCTCTGTGTTTTAGGGTTTTCTATCAAATAAACTATCAGAATGGTTGTCAAATTGCTTTGTCAAATTACTAACTGCTTTCTTCCAAAGTGTATAGTATTTAACAATGCCATTGGTAATATAACATTTTACATGTTTTTCTCTACTCTCAAATACAAGAGGAATGAACATGTCTATTTAATTTCTTTTCATTACTGACATATTTAGACTTATTTAAATCATTTTATTTTGTATTTGTCCCGCTTTGTTGATGTTTGTTCATTCTTCCCCTTCCCCTTTCTTTTAAATTAATGACTATTGTAATACTATATATTTTCTTTATTGGTTTGGAAATAATATACTGAATTTTTTGTTCCCTGAACTTAAATTAACGTATGTAACTTAAAATGTATACATGAATTAAACAAAAACCCAAGCATACTAACTCCGATCAGATGCCTCCTGACTGTAAGTCAATATTATCCAGTATTTTAATTCCATTATGATTCTTCAACTTTATTTATTAATTCATATTCAATGCTTACTTAAATTTACCCATAGATTTACTAATTGCTTTGGCTGACGTTACCTCTTGAATCTCAGTGTCTCCTTTGGGGTTGGATTTTTTTTTTTTTTCCTGTGGTTTATCCTTGAGAAGGTATGTTAGTGAGATTTTTCTGGGTACTCATTCAGTTTTCATTTTCCTGAGGTACCTTTAGCGTGTCTTTATTTATGACAATTGTACCATGTTCTTTTGGGTAATCTTTTTTTTTCAGAGAGATATTATCTTTGAAGTACTGTAGTTTGATTCTGATCTCGTTTTTATATAAGATACAATCTGCGAAATGCAATGTATGATATGTAATTTAGTGGTATACATAGATGAATTTATATATTTATGATCTATATGAAGCACTATAATTTATCTTTCAATACATATATTTTAATATTGTTTTAGATTTGGCTCACGTTTGGATCTAAAGATTTATATTTTTCATAAATTTTGGCAATTTTTGAGCCATTATATCTTCTTATAAGGTCCTTCATCTACTCTTTTTTCTTGGATATTTCTTGGACACTCCAATTTTATCATTCTGTTATTTTATTCTATTCTATTCTGTATTTTTATTAACTTCTCTTTTGTAGATCGTATCCCTCTATGTCTCTGTAATCTGAATAGCTTCTTCGGCTCTACCTCCAAGTACTCTCACTCTACTTATTGTGTAACCTGCTATTTAATCCACTCAATTAATTTGTATGACTAGAGACAATACTTTTCTATTTCTAGAAGTTCTACTTGGCTTTTCTTTACATATTCCTACACTCAACCTAAAGAGATGGGCAGCACTCTCGTTAGCTAGTGACACCCCCTAAAAAGAGGGAATACTGTGCCAGGAAAACTAGCTCCTGTCAGACCCTGCAAGAGAACATGGCTTTTCTCTCTCCCACTATCTTCATTAGCATATAAGATGATCATATTTTTTCTCCATTTTCTGAAGTTTATGAAATGTATTTATTTTTACAAAAATATAAGTTTAAAGTAATGCATGAGTTTTTAATAAAATTATAATTAGAGATATAAGAAATATGTTTATTCATTAAGAAAGAAATTAAAAGGGCATGAATATATCTATTTCTAAACTCTGAAAACATATTAAAAGCCAACATTTGACAATTCTTAGAATGTTTTCAATACAGTTCTAAGTTTATGCTTAAAAAATAAAATAGCTAAAATGTATGCACTGGTATGCAGTCTCAACCAGGTACTTTCCTAAGATCTTTCTATATATTATTATAAAACAACCCTGTAATGTAGGTTTCTTTTACCCTCATTTTAGAATGAGAATATTGTGACACAAAAGGATAAAACTCATTTGAAGTTACATAATTAGGAAGTGATGGAACTGGTTTTCAGATGCATAATTTGGATTCAGTTTACATGGGTTTTAATTCCTGTGGCATTATAATTTTTAGGTATTTGACAATTAGGAAAATTAAAATCAAATTTCAATCAACCATAGACATTCCTTTAGCAGTCCTTTAAGATCATGTCCATTCAGTCTGGATAATTCTGCTTTGATGTGGTGGTTCATTGTTTTTGTTTTATATTTGTTTTCTTTTGTTATTGATAGTCTCTGTTTGCCCATTGACTATTTTTCATGTAATAGGCAAAAGGAATAAAAATAAAAGTAAAAAAATTTATTTTTTTTCTTTGTCTCAACTTGTGCCAAATTTGCTAGGCACAGAAAGAATCTTTGTGATGATGTTTTGGAGCATAGGCGGGATGGGATGTATATGGGGTCATAAGGAGCAGATCTGTAAGATTGGGAAGCCAACATTCTTATCAGTCTGCCATAGTGAAATCTTTCATTCCTGGCTAAGTAATTTTGGTTACACTTTCAAAAGGTCAGACATATTAGTGGGCCTCCATTGTTGATTGGATCTTGGTAATTTTAAAACATTTTGCATTTCATTTTTCGGTCAATATTATACTGTAAATATGAAACAGATTCTAAAACACAAATGCTTTCTTTGTGAAATATTCTGTTGAATAATTTATACAACTTGTAAAATTAATGTAGATAATATAGAATTTTTTAGAAATGCATTAATTTGGATTTCTGACTTTATATTTTCTCCTTGAGGTACCACTTTCTTTGATGGAAAATTTTCATATTTTCCAATTGAAAATAAAAAGATTAGACATCTTTCCCCCTTTTGTGCATTGAAGGGGTGGGTTGCCCCTCCACACCTGTGGGTGTTTCTCGTTAGGTGGAACGAGAGACTTGGAAAAGAAAAAGACACAGAGACAAAGTATTGAGAAAGAAATAAGGGGACCCGGGGAACCAGCGTTCAGCATATGGAGGATCCCTCCAGCTTCTGAGTTCCCTTAGTATTTATTGATCATTTGTGGGTGTTTCTCCGAGAGGGGGATGTGTCAGGGTCACAAGACAATAGTAGGGAGAGGGTCAGCAGACAAACACGTGAACAAAGGTCTTTGCATCATAGACAAGGTAAAGAATCAAGTGCTGTGCTTTTAGATATGCATACACATAAACATCTCAATGCTTTACAAAGCAGTATTGCTGCCCGCATGTCCCACCTCCAGACTTAAGGCGGTTTTTCCCTATCTCAGTAGATGGAACGTACAATCGGGTTTTATACCGAGACATTCCATTGCCCAGGGACGGGCAGGAGACAGATGCCTTCCTCTTGTCTCAACTGCAAGAGGCATTCCTTCCTCTTATACTAATCCTCCTCAGCACAGACCCTTTACGGGTGTCGGGCTGGGGGACGGTCAGGTCTTTCCCTTCCCACGAGGCCATATTTCAGACTATCACATGGGGAGAAACCTTGGACAATACCTGGCTTTCCTAGGCAGAGGTCCCTGCGGCCTTCCGCAGTGTTTGTGTCCCTGGGTACTTGAGATTAGGGAGTGGTGATGACTCTTAAGGAGCATGCTGCCTTCAAGCATCTGTTTAACAGAGCACATCTTGCACAACCCTTAATCCATTTAACCCTGAGTTTGACACAGCACGTGTTTCAGAGAGCACGGGGTTGAGGGTAAGGTCATAGATTAACAGAATCTCAAGGTAGAAGAATTTTTCTTAGTACAGAACAAAATGGAGTCTCCTATGTCTACTTCTTTCTACACAGACACAGTAAATATCTGATCTCTCTTTCTTTTCCCCACGTGCATTTAGCACAGAAGATTATAAAATAGCATTTATTTCTATTTTGAAGAGTTCAGAACACTTAAGTTAAAAAAAAAAGGGTCTCTAAAACAATTCCTGGGCATTCGTTATGAAGTTAGGTCTTTCCATTCATAATTGTTTCGCATTTCTAACATTTTGTGGTAAAATGATTAGATCCTCTTTTCTTCCTTATACCCCATTCCTCACATACTCATCATTTCCCAATAGAAGTCAGTTTTCAGTATTATAGATCAGGTTATTTTTAATAATATAATATAAGAGTTATACCATGAAGAGGTTATTAATTGGATTGAAAAGGCTTGACTGTTTTTTTCTGAAACTGTATCTTGGTGCCAGATAATTTTGGAGGTTCTTATCTCTTTTTCTTTTTCATACATAACACCTGAAATTTATTCCCAAACTAGGAGCAGAAGCAGACATGGAGAGATCAAACAAAGTGCTTGGTATGATCCAAAAACCTAACATTAAGGCCTAGCATAGTATTTATGATTTGCTGGATAGATTAGGGAAGCCAATTCCAAATCTCCACCAATGTGCAGAATTTACTTGGGATAAATTGTATCTCTTGGACCTGATGAGGACTGACTAGACATGCTTCAGAATCTCATGTATGTGTTAAACCAGATGATATTAAGGATTTTGTTTATGAAATAAACCATCTCATCACATTTCAAATTAAGAGGAGTTTTACTTGGTTTACATTTAGTATTGAGAAAGAAAGAGAGACAGAGACTTCTTTATTGGTTCATCTTTTCAGTCTTCTTTTAGCTACTTACTATTTCTTTTGTAGCCTTCTGGTTCATCCAGAGTGACTTGTGTCTCTTGATATATGTGTAATAAATATGCCATAAAGGAGGACAATATTATTAATGTAGCAGATGACCAAGAGTGGATTTAAACTCATTTCAATAACTTACAGAGGACAAGCCAAAAGAAACAACCCCCCAAAATAAATCTAATGTCATAAAACAATATTACTATAACTATAAAATGACTCATATATATATTTTCAAAAGCCTTTTCTTAAGGTGGTCGTTTGAAATGATTACAGTGAACACCCTAAAAACAGAATAAGGACAAGTGTGGCATGATCCTTCTAGGTCAATGGAAATTTAAGCCCTTCACCTGTGTGGCAAAATTACCACTCTGTTTTGTTCAGCTCAGAAATGTAAGCATTCAAACTAAGAGAAAAAGTGGAGAGAGCAGGGTAAACTAGCTTGAGTAAGTTCAACATATTACCTTGTGTGGTAGTCATGATTGTAATATGATCCCTGGGATACCCGGCCCTGGATGTATATGCCCTGTATGATTTCTTCTCCTTGGGTATGGGTAGGATAGTAAATATGATAGGGTGTGACTTGCATGACTATGATACATTTTATGGCAAAGGACATTTCCAGATAAAATTAACATCTCTAATCAGTTGATTTTGAGTTAATTAAAAGGGAGATTATCCTAGGTAGGCTTGGCCTACTCAGGTGAGTAATTTAAAGAGAGGGATTGGGGCCCACCCTGGGGTCAGAGAGATTCTCATACTGATCTCTAGGAAGTGAGCTGCTGTGTCCTGTGAGTGCCATGTGGCAAGGAGCCGTGAGCACCCTCTAGTAGTTGAACTCAGTCCCTAGGTGATAGCCAGCAAGAAAATGGAGAATGACGTCCTCCAACCACAAGGAACTAATTTCTGTCAACAGCCACATAAACTTGGAAGGGCATCCCAAGCTCTAGAAAGGTATGCAGGCTGGCAAACACCTTAAGCTTTATTAGATCCTGAGAAGAAACCCAAGCTAAGTTGTACCTAGACTCACAGAAACTGAGATGTTAAATATGTGTTGCTTTAAGCCATTAAATTTGTGGTAATTTATTATGGAGCAATAAAAAATTAATGTACCTTGTATTTCATTCAATTAGAAAAAGCGAAAGCTATGTTGAGCTAGCCTAGGCTCAGTATTTTATTACTGAGATAGCATATGTCTGAGAGTATTTATATACATGTATATACACATACAAACACATACACACATATATATATAAAGCATTGAATAATTTTTTTATGTAAGTTCAATTAAGTTTGCATGTAAGTTGGATAAGAGTTGAAACATTGGCTTTTTCTTAAAAATAAACAAACAAACAAACAAACAAACAAACACCTGCACTTTAGGAGCTTAAAGCCGTGACTGGAAGTTAAAAACAAGTTTATTATATGACTCAGCAATCTAAGTATTTATCAAGAGAATAAAAACATGTTCATACAAAGATGTATTCACAAATATTCATAACACCTTGTTCGTAATACCTTAAAATTGGAAACAGTTAAAATATCTTAAAAACAGATGAATAGAGAACTTCATAGGATGGGAGTACTCAGCAATAGAGAGAAATGAGCTTCTGAAATGCGAAACTATGGATTAATTTCAGAAATATTATACTTGGCAAGAGAAAAATTTAAAAAGGCCATATATAAAATAACACCACCCGAATAATTTTATTTCTGTGAAATTCTAGAATATAGAATAGACTAACATACAACAATGTAAATCAATGATTGCTTGGAGCAGAGGGTGGGGGTGAAAAGTATTTTAGAGGGATGAAATGTGTTGTATCTTGATTATGCTGGTAGTTACACAAGTGTATACACCTATCAAAATTCATTGAACTACACACTAAAAATGAGTTTATTTTAGTGAATGTAACATATACCTCAAAAAAGCTGATTAACAAAAACAGTAGCTGGTATATAGTGAAACATAAAATAAATACTTGTAAATGAGCAAAACTTGACAAAGTCAATTTTATTATTTAAATAATTTGATAAAGTATTTTAACAAATGTATTTTTCATAGTAGCCCATGTGGATCTATATATAAATAGAAAGCCACAGAATATACATTATTAATTTGAAAATGTAAAATGAATGTCCTAAATTATTTATCTCACCTATCTTCGACAGTGGGTTATCTGCAAGAGTTAATTTGGCATGTTTTCCATTTTTAATGTAACCTAGTGTTATTTTTTTCCACATCTTGATGATCCTAATGAACTTTGGTCATCATAGGCTTGCTGAAAAGATTTATCACAAAATGATTAACAACACAGTTTAGAGAGTCATGAAGACATGAGGAATCATAATGGTTACATTTTGATACTGGAGTTAATGTATTCTGAGTTACAGGGAAAATAATGACTTAAGTAAACTGGCTTGAAAAATTTTTGGTCCAATTATTCCTTAGGAAATAAGACTTTCGTGTCTTTAGATGTATAAGGATAAAGTGATTCTTTAAGTAGTCATGAATTTAAGTTGCCAGATTCTTAAAAGTAAGATCACAACATTAAGAAAGTTAAAATATTTATATAGAATTGTAAATTCTATATAAATATATTAGGATATCTTACAGGAAATTTGGCAATGCATATCAAAAGGCAGAGGAATATAATTCAGACCTCAAACTATTATTATTCTCTTTGTTTTGCTTTCAGATATTACATTAGATTGTCTTCTTCTTTATGCAAATCTGCAATAAAGTAGGATCAGTTAAAAGCTGTAATTCTACATTGAAAGCAGTAATTTTATTAACTAGCAAATGATTAAAAAATAAATCCAAGATTGTATTTCTATCAGTTCATAGCTCTTCAAAGATCTTTCAAGATCCTCTGGCACATCCTTAAAGAATGCTGCATGGGAAAAAGTGCCTGTGTATAATTATCCACTTTATTGTGCCCAAACCTCTCAGCATCATTTGTTTTTGTCAGCAGGTGACGGATTCTTCGCTGTGCAGCTGGAATATCACAGTATATAATATGGACCTGATAAAAAATGAAGATTAGATAATTTTATTGACAGAAACTTTAAACTCTGCACTTGCCACTATTTAACTGTTCTATTCCACCATTAGAGGTTTTTGGACAAAGGTTAATTGCTCAATAGGCTGGGAAGTTATGAGAAGGATCTGAGAATCAGGGGCCATTGGATTAGATGCCATTTAAAGTTCACTGTGGCTGGAGATTCTATGATTCTGGAGATTCTGATTTCAGAATGCATTTTTATTCTTCCCCAACTCAATATGCATATAAAACTGACTAATTATGTTTTATATTTGCATAGCACTTAAACACTGGCTTATACATTGTTAAATAAATCCAAACAGGTGAGTTAAGACTGTTTGTTTAATGCTCCACCGTGGTTTACACACCTCTTGGTGCTATAGAAACAACAAGCTTTTTGTACTCATCCCATGTAACTTCAGGGAACTGCTGTGTTTTTTCTGATTCAATTTTGCATTGTTATAATACAATTTTTATTTCCATGACTTTTTGTAGCAAAATATTTACATTTTGTAAACAGTGGATGTCTTTTCTAAAATTTCATTTTTCTTTCTTGTAAGCTGTAAAAAGTTTGTCTTGTGTGCTTTAACTTCCTTGCATTTTCCCTTATTACAGAGTCAATAATTTTTGCAAATACATATAGACATATTGTTTTAATAAATAATTCAATAATTTTATTTTAAGATATGCCTATTATTGACATTTTCTAAATAAGTGCCATTTTGTCTATGGCTGTCTTCCAGGCCCCAACCATTTAAATTATTCAGGCTCCAGAATTCACTACTCCTATACTTAGGTAATTAGAGTTATAAACTTGAGAATAAACTTGACCATTAACTTGGCATTAACTCGACCAACTTCAAAAGTATTGACAGAAAAATAAAGAAAAGAGAGGGCTAAAAATGCATAAAAATTGAAATAGAATCATGACATTTAACTGTTTATTAAGTATTTATTGTTCATGGTAACAATAGGATATTCTATAAATACTTTATATGTAAAGTTGATAATAGCCATCATAATTACAGCATCTGTTTTTAACAGGCTTTCAATATTTAAGATACCAATCCATCAACACTCTCTTGTCTTTAGTATCTGAAAGATAATAGCTCCTTTAATTAAAGGTCAATGAGGAACATGCAATGCAACCAACACAAAAATCAAACCTATGATTATCTCAATGTTTTAATTAACTGCACCATAAGCATAAATTACAGTCTTGATGATGGTGAAGAACACAGAAAAAAGTCTGTATTACAATTATTTTGCCTTTGACCTTGCTATGGATCATTCCTTCCAATAAATACATTATTGTATTAACAATGCTTTCCTCCTATAAAAGATAAGAAAAACATTTATTCTTGATTAGTTTTCTTGTTATAAATTGAATTTGAATTTGTGAAGGCAAATGTGGGCTGTCTGCATATCAGTTCAATGTTTTCTTGCAATACCTGTCTACTCTGGAGAGATAGGATGAAATCAGAGGAACTGGAAATGCATGAGATGGAAAGTTCAGGAACCCTAGTTCACAGTTGAGGAACCCTAGGTCACCACTCACCAGCTGTATGACTGTGGGTGATGTCACATAAGCTCATTGCTTTTCCCTGAATAGAATAAGAGGATTGGACCACATGAGCTTCTTGCAAAGTGAGCCCCAAAGGGCTTGGTTTCCTAATGAATTTTCAAGCATTTGTCCCTTTGAGACCCCCAATTACTTTATCTAAGCATCAACAGAGCATCTCTGTCTTTTATCATTATTTTTGTTTCAATATGTTTTATATTCGGGGTTTTAGGGATAAGATTTTCTTAGGAGAAAGAAGCCTCTAATTTATAAAAAGGTTTTGAAAACCACTGGTCTGAGTTAGCAGCAGCACTCTTTCTAGTTCACCAGTTCTCTGTTTTGGTTTATTCTGATTTGGTGAGCCATTTGCCCCAGCACACTCGACCAGGAAATTAAAAAAAAAAAAAAATGGATAAAACACCTTCCCTCTCGTGTCCTTAATCACCGAAGTTTCATTTGGAAAATGTCACCAATATTTTCTGTGCTAACTAAAATTTGCAGCAGTGGATTGTTTCTTGAGGACCATTCAATCTCCTAGGTTTACTTTCACTTTGTAAGATCTCTTTAATAGCTCTTTCTTATTTGGGCAAGGCCTATTTCATTTCTTCCAGTGTGACAAAGGACCTTGCTATGTGTTGTTCTAACAGGATATTCTTCCTTTCCTCCACTGGGCTAATAGCCTGGAGAAAAAGAATACAAGTTTAATTTTAATTTCTGGATAATAATGATTTTGTCTTTTAATCTATGAAGTAGAGCAAACAGTATTATCCTATCATATGATAAAAAGCACCAATACAACGGACTTATGAAAAGCTAAGTATGTAAAAATATCAAATACTTAAATTCTGACACGTGTTTTAAAATATATGTATATTTTTAAACTGCTCCAGAAATGTTGGGGTAAATAGTTTGAAACTTTGAATTGAACAGTTTGTTTCTGTTGTCTTTTAATTTTTTCAAGTAACTGAGTGCTTATTTGAGGGAAGGAGAAAACCTTTAAGAGTTACTTTACAAAACCCAATACATGCTTTTAAAGGGTAATTTCTACCTGTACTCTAAATAAGCGATAAGCAAAATGAGGTAAATAACAAAATGAACATTTTATTAACTAAAATGTCCCTAGGGAATAGTCAACATTAACTTAATAAATAATTGTGGAATGAATAGATGGGTAAGCATCTGCTTTAGTCTGTTTTGTGCTGCGATAACAGAATACCTGAGAGTGGGTACTTTATAATGAAGAGAAATTTATTTTCTCATAGTTCTGAAGGCTGACAAGTTCAAGATTGAGGGGCTGGCATCTGGAGAGAGCCTTCTTGCTTCATCATTCCATGGCAGAAGGCAAGGGGGCAAAAGAGAGAGTCCAACTCCTGACAACACTTTCATTAAGGCATTAAACCTACCTATTGGGCTGGAACCCTCATGGCCTAGTGACTTCTTACAAGCCACACCCCTTAGTACTGTTACAATGGCAATCAAATCTCAACATGAATTTTAGAGGGGAAAAACATTCAAACCACAGCATTCTGTGCTTGGCACCCCAAAACTCATGTCCTTCTCACATACAAGATAGATTCATTTCATCCCTAAAAGTCTTAACTCGTTCCAGCACCAACTCGTAAGTTCAAAGTCCAGAGTCTCATCTAAATGAGATATGCGTGAGACTCAAGGCATAATTTATCCTGAAGCAAATCCCCTTCAGCTGTGAGCCTGTAAATTAAATATGTTATATGCTTCTAAAATACAGCGGTGGGATGGGCATAGGATAGACATTCTCATAGGCAAGAAGGAAGAAGTAACAAACAGATCCCAAGTAAGTCTAAAACCAAACAGGACAAACAACATGAAACATGTTGTTTGATAGTGTTAAGGCTCCAGAATAACCTTTCTTGACTCTGTGTCTCACCTCCCCGACACACTGTGGTAGAGACTGAGCCTTTGAGGTCCTGGGGAGCCCCACTCCCGTAGCTTTGCTGACTACAGCCCACGTAACTGCTTTTGCATATTGGAGTAGAATGCCTGTAGCTTTCCCAGGTTGGCTTTGCACTCCGCTATGGTAGCTCCATTGTTCTGGGATTTGGAGCTGGCTCCACTTGGCACTGCCTCAGTGGAGACTCTTTGGAATGACTCCACTACTGCTGCAGTTTTTTGTCTGGGCCTCCAGTCTATTTAGTAGGTACTTTAAAATCTAGTTGGAGGCAGCCATGCTTCTACAGCTCTTGTACTATGCACCTGAAAATTAGCACGAGGTGGATGCTGCCAAGATTTACAGCTTATACATTCTGGAGTAGCAGGTGAAGCCACATCTGGGTCTACTTGAGCCATAACTGGAGTGGTCAAGGCAGCAAGGCCTGATGCCCCATCAGCCCCCCATGACTGTCCCCTGAAGCCATTCTACCTCAAGACTCTAGAACTCAGCTTGAGATAGGAAGGACAGCCTCAAAGATCTTTGAAATGACTTCAGAATCTTTCTCCCATTATCTTGATATATAGCACCATGCTTTCTTCTGTTCATACTAATCTCATCAAAGAGTTGCTTGGACATACCCTTTGTATTCTCTCCCAAACATATTTTTATTCTTTACATGGCCAGGCTGGGGATGCTCCATTTTTTTTTATATCTGATACCTTTTCATTTATTTATTTATTTATTTATTTATTTATTTATTTATTTGAGACAGGGTCTCACTTGAGTGCAGTGGCATGAATATGGCTTACTGCAGCCTAGACCACCTGGGCTCAAGCAATTCTCCCATCTCAGCCTCCTGAGTAGCTGGGACCACAGGTGTACACCATCACACCTGGATAATTTTTGTTGCATTTTGTTTTGTTTTTGAGTAGAGACAGGATTTTGCCATGTTGCCCAGGCTGCTGTTGAACTCATGGGCTCAAGCAATTCTTCTGCCTCAGCCTCCCAAAGTGCTGGCAGTACAGCCATGAGCCACTGCACCCAGCCTGCTTCCTTTTTAATTACGAATTCTATCTTTCAATAATTTCTCTCTTATTGAGTTTTGCTATATGCTATTGGAAGAAATCATGCAGCTCCATCAGTGCTTTGCTACGGATAGATTTCTTCAGCCAGATATCCTAGTACATGGCTCATAAATTCTGCCACTCAAACAGGGACATAATTCAGCCAAGTTCTTTGCCACTTTATAATAAGGATATCATTTCTCCAGTTCCCAATACCTTGTTCCTCATTTCCATCTGAGACCTCATCAGAATTACCTTTACTGTCTATATTTCTATCAACACTCTGGTCACGATCACTTAAGTAGAGTTGTCCCTCAGTATCTATAAGGAATTGGTTCCAAGACCCCCAATTGATACCAAAATCCATGACTGCTCAAGTTCCTTATGTAAAATGTCATAGTATTTGCATATAATCTATGCACATCCTTTCATATGTATACTTTAAATCATCTCTAGATTACTTACACTACCTAATACAAAGCTTACACATTACTTCAACAGTACAGTATTCAACATTGTACTTGGCACACTGCAAATTCAAATTTTGTGTTTTGGAACATTGTGAATTTTTTCCTAAATATTTTTTATCCATGTTTTGTTGAATCCACAGATGTGGGATTCATGGACATGGAAGGGCAACTATAATCTCTAAGAAGTTTCCGCCTTTCTCTACAGTTATCTTTTTCTGAGCACTCACAAGAATTGCCCTTAACTCTTTATTTACATCAATCAAGGCTTTTTCTAGCCTGCTCCTCCAAATTCTTCCAGCCTTTACCCTTTACTCAGTTCAAAGCCGCTTCTACATTTTAGGTATTGATTATGGCAACAGCCCCACATCTGGGCACCAATTTTTTGTCTTAGCCCGTTTTGTGCTACTGTAATAGAATACCTGAGACTGGGTAATTTATACTAAACATAAATTTATTTTCTTACAGTTCTGGAGGCTGTGAAGTCCAAGCTTGAGGGGTTGGCCCCTGGCAAGGGCCTTCTTACTTTACCACAATGCCATGATCGAAGGTGGAAGTGTGGCAGGCCAGTTCTCCCTGACAATCACACAGACAGGCCTGCCTAGCACCCCAGTTAGATAGACAGATTTCCACAGCACTGCCTTAACACTGAGCGGATAGTTAAACCTAAGGAAATCGTGCCCAGACATCAAAGCTAGAAATGAAAAATATGGTCAGTAGGAGGTTTGCATGGGCTTTTCCCTTGCTGGAGCAAGGGAGAATGATAGAGACACCCTTACATCCCTAGTGCCAGGACCCGTCTCTGGTTGATGAAATCTGAGATGAGTCAAGGTAACGGAGGCAGCTGTTTGAATAGATTTATTGGAGAGTCTAAGGCAGCTCTCTGAACCAAGCTGTAAAGGAGATAGGCTAGAAATAATCACTCCAGTACCACAGTAGACAGGGCTTGAAGGTACTGGGAACCTTACAGCTTAATCAAACTTAGCAAGCACTTTTTTGCCTCTGACCTTCTAGCTGAAACAAAATTCGTTACAATAGACTTCGGTGAATGCTTCACATTGGCACATGACCCCAGCCTAGATAAGCACTAAGAAAATTGTTACACTTCGAGTTGGTCTGGTGGAATTATCGCTGACCTACTCCCTGAGTCTGGTTATAGCAGTAAATTCCCTTCTTTCCTAGTTTGTCTGCTTCTCCTTATTGGGCCCTGAGAAAATGCAGCCGGACCTGGCTAGGTTCCGGAAACAGAAGAGCAAGAAAGAGAGCTTACTCACCAAAACCCATTTTATTAAGGCTTTAAACTCGCCCATGAGGATTGAGCTCTCAAGGCCTAATCACCTCTGCAAGGCTCCACCTCTTAACACTATTACAATGGCAGTTAAATACCAACATGAGTTTTGGAGGGCACAAATATTTAAGCCATAGCAATAGCTATTACTTCAGATTTTGAAGATGGCTTTGAAGATTTTGCATTTTCAATCATAATTTTAAGAAACATTTTCACTGTATATTTTCCCTAGATCTTGACTTTCCAAAAGTGTCATAAGAACAAAATGTGTTCCATGTCTACCATTCATCTGCCTTCTGAAATAAAATTATTCTCCCAGAAAGAACACAAAATTAATTATTTTAATTAATGGTCTAAATGTTAGAGGAATATCACTATATCACTGTAAGTTTTAGTTGCCTAGATTGATAATAAGTTTTACATTAATAACATTTTCAACAATTAATGTTACAGTCAATGGGAGTCATATTTTTATATTTCTTTAAGTCAAAATCCACAGTTGATATTTTGTTATAGTGAGTTCAAGTGATTTTTAGCTAACTGTTCTCATGTTTAATTTGCTATGCTGCTATGAAATATCAGTGTTCTAAAGAACTGTGGAACTAGAATATGGGGTAGAGAAGATAAAATAGTTAAATTAAAATCCATATTTATAATTACATACTTTAATTTTGTCATAAAATTAATTCTCTTTCAAGATTTGCAAAGTCAAATGTTCTGTGTTCTCAATATTTTCATGGATTACTTAAGCTTTGAGAAACCTAGCTTACTGATTTATGAATTTGCAAGTTATCTTGAAATATTTCCTGTGGAATCTGTGGTAATTTATTAGCTGCTTTAGAGTTTAAAAGCAGAGAAATATTTAATTCATTTTAAGATGCATTTGTGGGACAAATACTATCAGAAATAATGTGATTACTTTCACAATACTTTTACCTTTTTTAAAGTTCTTTTTATGTTTTCTCTTGTATCAGAGACAAGTATTTACACTCAGCTTATGTTGCCAAGATAGGGAACATTCTTCATACTATCTACTCATTCATTCACTACATTAGGTGTTGGAAACAGAACAGTTGAGGTTCTAACTAGGACACTGTTTACAGACAGGAATCTTGTAAGCAAGAAAGTAAATCTGAGAAGGTCATGATAGTAAGAGTATAGTAAATATTTGTTACATTGAAGTGAATTTAAAAATTTATAACAAGAACATTAATGACAATTTGTAAACGACAACTAATGATTACATTTCACCACTGAAAATCAAGATACTAGTAATTAAGATCAATTATAATACTTATCATTGAAGGGGAAAAAGCACTGATGAAGAAGAAAATGCAACTGAAATGTCCTCCCACTTTTTCATGACTCTCAAAGGATAGCAACATTTCAAAGTAGCTAGAAAAGAGGACTGGAAATGTTACCAACACATAGAAACAATAAATACTCAAAGTGATGGATACCCCAACTACCCTGACTCAATCATTACACATTCTATACACGTAAAAATTCTCACATGTACCCCATGAGCATGTAAAATATTATGTGCCAATAAAAGAAAAAAATAGAACAAGATTTAAAAATGATAATCTTGATTAAAATGGTTACTGCCTCTGGCTTGCTCGGCTCCATCATTCTGATTTCCTCTAGTTCAACTGGGAGTAAAAATAATTGTGTGTGTTTTTTTTCCCCTTAGGTCAAATGCATTGTTCTGTAAAAAGTGGGTTATTTATTGACTTTTAATCCCAAGATGTGTTTAAGATATATGCTTCTTACATATTTTTACCAACTTTTTTCTAAAAGAAAAAAAGAAAACTCAGGGAAAATATATCTCATGTGAAGTTAAATATGGAAAACGTTTTATCTTACCTTAAAAGTAATTAATAACCTGTGATTATGAGCCCAATGGGGGCATTATGGCTGAGCCAATGAGTGTGTCTTGTGCATCTACTGTGCGTCTGACTCTAACCTAGAGGCTGCTGAGTAAAAAGTGTGGTTGTAGGAAACTGAATCCTAATCTCCTAAGAAAGTGTGTGTGTGTGTGTGTGTGTGCGCGCGCGCGCGCGTGCATAGGTGTGGATGCAGGTCTGGATGGAGTAGGAGAGGTGGTTAGGTATTGACTCAACCCATGATAAAGAGGTGACTCAGGCAAGAGCAGTTTCTCATACTCAGGGAAAGAACATTCCGGGAGCTAAGTGGGAAGCAGAAATCCAGTAAGAAAGAAGGAGGTGATTAGAGCTCATGAATGGAATTGGGCCAACTCCGTGTGTCATTGCTTCAGGATTGGCTCTTTCACAGGTAAAAGCAAATGTGGAGTACCTGGACATGGAGCTGGAGTGAGTGTCAAGTAGAGGAGCAATAAACAGTGAGTCACATATGGACAGGAATAGCCACATGTTGTCTATTAATTTGGATTTTGCTTTCCACGGTCAGTTATGCCTGCTATGACATGGTATGAAATGGGGATCAGCCATTCAAAGAATCCAAAATAGCAGATAACTTACTTATAAGTGCCTGCATGGAAAAGGGATGGCTAGGGAACCATATCTGCAAAGTAACATGCTTGTTTCTTCACACACACACACATACACACACACATTTTAAGATACTTTTCCATTGTATTCTTTCCCTAGATCTTGGCTAGCCACAAGTATCATGAAAACATTATATATACATACGCACACACACACAACACATATATATATACACATATAAATATATATGTAAAATTATTTCAGGTTCTGAGGGCTTTCAAAATACTACTCAAAGTTTTTATGAAGTTAATGATGGTTTTATTTCATTTGCTACATTATTCCTCTGCTGTTCACCCTAAAATTAGGTCTGGTTATTACCACTCAAGATCATGTTTTATCTTAATTATAATCATTGATTCAATAAAACTTTAAATTGCAATATACATGTCAGGCCATTTTCTACAAAAGTCAGAGGGAATAGTCTCCTCTTTCAATGATACAGCATCTATAGTTTTGAATATTCTCAAGCTAAGGCACAATATGAATCTAGTGAGTTACTTATCTAGAAAATGTGCTTTATCTAAAAGTCAGAATCTATATCTCAACATGACATTGTGAAGTGCTTCTTAAATCTTCATGAGTCAAAAAAAAAAAAGACCCATAAAAGAAAATGGCAAATATGCATTTTGGTATCTATGAAATAAATGTCTTCAAATATATTCCTTCTGGATGTCAATCAACATGGTCGTTTCAGTTTGTTAATGGACTGCCTTGTGCATCAGAAACTCAAATATCCGAAGGATATTTACTTGAAGGTAACCAGATTAATGTTATTAAGAGTTATTTTAGTTATTCTAAAGCCATGAGAAAAGATTACATTTGTAAGCTTGTTTTTATTCTCTTGTTCTGTTTCTACATCCAAATCCCAGGACATCATCTTCCCTGGGGATACTGTTGCATTTGGATGGCTATGTGCAAGTTTTAAATTTTCCTGGACTTTTTCCAGCTCCACCATAATTTCTTTCAGTTCTTGGGCAGCTGATATAAGAGGAAGAATCGGGAAGAAACTTATAAGAAATTTTCATTAAAAAAGCATTGTTAATATTTCATGAATAAAAAATTATAGAATTTAGTTTACAAACAGCATTGATCCAATGTGTATTTATTAATTTGCTTATACATCGTTCCACTCTCATTCATTCAATATTTATTGAATATTTACTACACGATGAACACTTAGTTTAGAATAAAAAATGCAGTGATGAACAAAAGACTCAGTGTGTCTGATAAAGTTTATATTCTAGTGAAAAAGGATAGAAGCAAATGACTGAACACATATGTTAAAAAATTGAAAGATTGTAATAAATATTAGCAAAGATGTAAATAGAGTACTGTGCGTATACATTACTGGGGAGATCTGATTAGGTAAGGTTGGTTAGAGGAGTTTTCTCAGTGGGAACAACTTTTGAAGTGAATCTTGAAGAATGAATAGAAGTTGACCATGCTGAAAATGAGAAGGTGAGTGTGAGAGAGAATGCTTCAGATGAGAGAACAGAAAGCTAAAAGGCCCTGATGGAAGAAATACGTTGATAATATCTTGCAACTTATGAGCTAGTGTGACAAGATCTCAGTGAGTAAAAGAGAGAGGCTCAGGCAGTATGACAGGGCCTGGATCAGGCAACTTAGTGCCTTGTAGGAAATAATAAAGAGTATGGGTTTTACTTGCAGTCCATTGAAAGCCATTGGAGGGGTTTAGGCAGAGTTAAAGCAGATCTCTGTGACTGCTGAGTGATGAATAAATTGGTTGTGCCAAGACAGGAGCGGGGAGACCATTCAGAAGTGGTTGTAGTTTACCAGGCAGCAACTACAGATGTTGGTGACTCAGGTCAGAGTAGGGGATGTAGAGATGGATGGATTTAAGATATATTTTTGACAATTAAACTTACACTTTTAAAATTCCAAATAAAAGAAGAATCAAGAATGAATGACTGTAAAATATTTGGGCTTAGTAAATACGTAATATCCATACTCTAATTTTTAGATGGATAAATTAAATTTTACCTCATAACAATAAAAAGGTACTCATATTTGAAGGACTAATTATTTTTCTGATTAATCTTCCCACAGTGATATATTATGACATAGTTCCCTACATTTAGAGTTCCTGGAACTATACAAGGAAAAACATAAGGAAGCAAAGCATATGAGAGTCACACCTACTATTACTATTTACTGGCCATCTATTGCATTTGTAACTTGTCATGCCCCTTCTTCTCAGGATCTTTTGTTAAGTTACTTTATTATATATGATTTACATGCCCCCCAAAACTGCAAGCTTTTAAAGTATACAATTCAACTAATTTTAATAGACCAATATATCCATAAAACCACCACCACACACAATGTATGAATTATTTTAATTAACCCCAAGTTTCTTGTGCTTCTTTGCACATTAAGATCCCACAAGAAAATGTTGTATGTATATAGTCACATGTATTTTTTTTAAATTCAGAGAAAAAATAATATTTTAAATTTACCCAGATATTTATCATTTATAATGATTTTTTCTTTCTTCCTTAATATATGAATTTTTCTCTACTACCTACTTTTTCTTCATCCTCAGAACTTTCTTTCAGCATCTCTCCTGGTGCATGTACAAGGACAATACATTCTCTTAGTTTTCTGATATCTGAAACATGTACTATTTTGCCTTCACTTATGAGGGATTTTTTGCTGGACATGGAATTCTGGGTTGTCAATTATTTTTTCTTTCAGTACTTAATTTTCCCACCTTTCCAATTTATAAATATTTTTAAAGATTTTCCATGAACTTGAATTGTGTTCCCTTCTGTGTGATGTATTGTTGTTCTTTGTTCCGCTTACTTTCATGATTTTCTCTTTATCTCTGGATTTCAACCATCTGATGAGGATGAGCTTAGGTGTGACTTTCTTCATATTTCTTCTGATAGGTGGTGCCAACCTTCTTGAACCTGTGAAACACTGACTTTCACGAAACTTGAGAAGTTTATCCATTATTTCTTCACATTTTTTCCTACCACTTCTCTCTGCCTTTTTCTTCTGAGAGTCTGATTATAAATATTAGAAATTTTCATATACTTTTACAAGATTTCTGAGGCTCAGTTCTTTCTTTTTAAATTATGTTTTCTCTTTTTAAAAATTGTCTAATTTATATTAATCCATATTAATTTTACTAACTCTTCTTTATATGATTTCCATTCTGCTATTAAGCCTATTTAAAAAAATTAGATATTGGGTTTTTTAGTTATATAATTTCTACCTGGTTATTTTTCATATATTCTGTTTCTGGGGTATGATTTTTCTCTTTTCTTTTATTATAAGCAGTTAAAAGAAAGAAATCCTTAAGCATAGTTATATCAGCTGTTTAAAAATCCTTATCTGATAATTTCAACATCCAGCTCATCTCAGGATTGGTCTTTGTTGACTGTATTTCCCCTTGAGACTGACTTTTCTGGTTCTTTACATCATATTCTGTTCAGTGTGATTATTGTGTCTTTGATACCTAGAGTTGTTATATATCTTTGGTGAATTTTGATTTCTTTTGTGATTTAGTAGGCAATTAATTTGATTAATTTGATTAGCTGCAACAAGTTGCAGCTCAAAACTCCATTCACCTCTCTAAGTTATGTCCTACTCCCCAGAACACGTGAATATGTCAGGTTACACGGCAAAGGGGAACTAAAGTTGCAAACAGTATTAAGGTTGCTAATCAGCTGACCTTAAATCAGAGATTAGCCTGGATCATGTGGGCAGGCCTAAGGTAATCACAAGAAACCTTAAAACTGGAAGAAGCAGTCAGAAAGGGCGATGTGACAATGGGGCAATGTTGGAGACCTGCTATGCTGCTGGCTTCAAAGATAAAGGGAGAGGGTCACAACCAGCAAATCTGGGCAGTGTTTGAGGCCGGAAAGGCAAGGTGATGGATTCTTCCTGACAGCCTCCAGAAAAGAATTCCATACTGCTGACACCCAGATTTTAACCTAGTGATGGTTATTTTGAATTTGTTACCCACAGAACTCTAAGATGATACATTTGTGTTGTTTTAAGCCACTAAATGTGTGGTAATTTGTTAGAGTTGCAATGAAAAAAATACAAATTTTCCGTCCCCAAAATTTGAAAACCAACTCCAGAGAAAAATAACATTGCTGTTTAGTCAAGTGAATGGTTGATTTTGTAATTGTGCAAGAAGTATTTTAAATTGAAATTATAATTAAGGAGTATCATTTCTCATACTGACTGGGGTAAGATTATGGAGACATAGTCGAGCCGAATTCCCCCAGGCCTAACCTTCTAATTCTTCCCTCATGGTTCTCTTGCATAGCTCCTATGTCTTAAACATGGGGCTGGCTCAGAGCGTGAAGTTTCATAAGTGAGTCCTGGCTAAGTTCTTTGTCTCTTTTTCCAGTAGCCCAAATATCAATGTTGACACCTTAAAAGGTACACAATTTTATAAATTATAGACAATTCCCTGTTTCAGACTCTTTTTTAAAATATAAATACATGATTCGAACATTTTTTTCTGCATACAAGAAAAAAAGTTGGAATAATGCATGACATTCATATTAAACATTATTCATCAGCACTGAATGAGAATTGCAAAGGCTGAGAGACAACCAGCATTTATCTATCACATATGTTCAAAACGATCATCTTTAACATCTATGTGATATCTCTCACATATGTCGAAACTTTAAAGACAGTTGCTGCAAAAGTTTTGAAATATTTCCTTTACACCACTGAGAATAAAAATATCAGAAGGAAGAGGAGAAATATATAGATAATACAGCAATAATAAAGTTTAGTATGAAAAGAGAGTTGTTTATTTTCTAGTACTGGTTATAATTATCTCTGAGGTTCTATTTAGTATTTTGTATATAATTACCTTTCTGGTAGGTTGGGTGCAAAATAATTAGTGTTTTTTTGTTTTGTTTTGAGATGGAGTTTCACTCTTGTTGCCCAGGCTGGAGTGCAATGGCACAATCTCGGCTGACTACAACCTCTTCCTCCCAGGTTCAAGCAATTCTCCTGCCTCAGCCTCCCAGGTAGCTGGGATTACAGGCACACGCCTCCACACCCAGCTAATTTTTGTATTTTTAGTAGAGATGGGGCTTTGCCATGTTGGCCAGGCTGGTCTCAAACTCCTGACCTCAGGTGATCAACCCACCTCAGTCTCCCAAAGTGCTGGGATTATAGGCATGAGCCACTGCACCCGGCCACGTAATAAATTTCAATGGCAAAACCACAATTACTTTTGCACCAACTTAATATAAGACAGTTTACATTTTAAAATTACCTTCAGTGTGCTTTGCTAGTTTTTCTTCTTCTATACTACTAAGTCATAATATGCCTCACACATTCTCTTGAGTATCTTTATTTTCTGGTCAGAATCATTCTATAGAGAGAAGAAAGGCTTAGAGCATCCTTGCAACCATATTATCTAACCATAAATCTCTGCCCCTTATAACTGAGGGACATTATGTAGGATGAAACCTCAACAAGCCCCGTATACTAGAAAAAGACAGTAACTGTCAAGGACACCTGTTTTTTAGTGTGCAGTATCTGTGAACAAGAACAGCTGGTAACCCTGGATCTCATGGGTGCTAAGTCACTTTTCAGCCTGATGTTAATAAACAATCACCTCAAACTAAATGATAACAATGGTGTTCTATGGACAGTTCTTGACTTAATAAATAAAAGCTCACAAATCTGCCTTGGAAAAGTTACCTTATGGCTTCAAAAATCTAATCTGAGTAGCTTAAAAACAGAGCTTTAACAGAAGGTAACCTTAAACACAACACCAGGGCCTGTGCAAGATCTCTACAGAGAGATTTTTCTTTGTTTTGAGAATTTTTCCTGCTCATTCAAAGCTTATGGGAATTTTTCAAATCGGGCTTTATTTAGTACTTCTCCATAATTCCCTGTAAATGAGAATGATAAATTTAGTGATAGAAACGGTTCATATTTGGAGTGACTGGAAAAGGATCAAGTTCTTAAAAAAATGGCAGTAAGTTCTTTCACATAGATGTATCTTTCACTGACTTCTATGCCATAGTACCACTGATCTTCACATTTTTCATAATGCAATATCTGATTTTCATATTTCTACCTATTAGCATTTTTGACTTATTTACAAACATCAGTAAGAAGCCAGAAATAGTCACAAATTTACTAAGGAATAGGCCAACTATTTTTATTCTAAGTAACAGTGAGAGAATCAAAACTCACATTTCTAAACTTCACTGGAGTAATGATTAAAACTCACTGTTAATTATTGTGCATGTTTTGCAAGTTGAAAACTTCAGAGACGAAGTACAAATTAATGTGAACATTTATCTCCCCCGCCTAGAATTCTACTGTTACAGAGGCAGGGATTTCACTTGATTGGTTCATTGCTGTATTCCTAGCATTTAGCATACTACTTGACTCAGAGTATGATCTAATAAATATTAGTTTAATAACTCAAGAAATTAAGAATAATCTGACAGAAACAAATAAGTCTATGAAAAAAATCAGTTGCACTTAAATTTAATGTAGATATTATTTATTCCTGAAAACCTCATGCCTTGATAAAGTAAAAATATAGTCTTGGAGCCTTGAATGCAGATTTCTGTATTTAATGTCTCCCTGGATTGCACTTCTATTCACAAGGAGAGGGTACCTTTCAAATGTATCATCTTGTCTTTCATATCCTCAGCATTTGTCAAGCCTATGTATGTGGGACAGGAATGAAAATGTGGATAGTATGTTTCTGTGTGTGCATAAACTCATGTATATGCATATGTGTGTTCTGTGCCTAGATGTTTTCTCACCTGCAGATCCACAAGATAAGCTCTGAAAGATTTTAGGAGTATGGTCAGATACACAGGGTTTCATCTATGCTCTTGGCCAGGAGAGGGAGCTGTCACCTGCTAACTACAGCATGACTCTAGGTGCAAACTCATTTTCTGTGAGGATCCATACCTCAATGGTAGCTTTTACCTAAATACAAACTATACGTTGTGTTTTCTTTATTTTTTATTTTATTATTATTATTATTATTTTTTGAGATGGAGTTTCGCTCTTGTTGCCCAGGCTGGAGTGATCTCAGCTCACTGCAACCTCTGCCTCCCAGGTTCAAACGATTCTCCTGCCTCAGCCTCCTGAGCAGCTAGGATTACAGGCACCGGCCACCACGCCCAGCTAATTTTTTGTATTTTTAGTAGAGATGGGGCTTCACCATGTTGGCCAAGCTGGTCTTGAACTCCTGACCTCAGGTGATCCGACCGTCTCAGCCTCCCAAAGCGCTGGGATTACAGGTGTGAGCCACGGCGCCTGGCCCCCAAACTATAGATTTTGATTGTCAAATACGTCAGTACGTCAATCAAACAAATGAAAACCTAATAAAGTATAACATAAGACCTATTGTGACACATATTATAACTTTTTAACATAAAACTTTTTATAATGCTAGATAATAAGTTGGGTCAATGGTAAATTATTAACACTTAAGTACTATAGCATTAATAATGGTAGAAAATGTTTATCACCGTTCACCTTCTCTTTTCTCATAAACTCCATCTGCTTGGTTATTTGTGTTTATGTTGCATTTGATGCATGTCTTGTCATTTGCAAAATACGAGTAAACCAGAAAAAAAGTAGAAGATGAAATGCTCATATGACTATATAAAAAAACTTTTGAAGATGTAACACAATGTTTTCAGGGTTCACCTCCAAAATTTTCATCTACTACATATAGGTTCTGTATTAAACATTTATTAGACATTATCTTGTATAATTCTAAAAAATTATCTTCACAATTGGTCTTATAAATCCAATTAGCAGATGAGGAAATAACTACTTAGAGAAAATAGGTGACTTTGGCCGGGTGCGGTGGCTCATGCCTGTAATCCCAGCACTTTGGGAGGCCGAGGAGGACGGATCACAAGGTCAGGAGATCGAGACCATCCTGGCTAACACGGTGAAACCCCGTCTCTACTAAAAATACAAAAAATTAGCCAGGCGTGGTGGCTGGCGCCTGTAGTCCCAGCTACTCGGGAGGCTGACGCAAGAGAATGGCGTGAACCCGGGAGGCGGAGCTTGCAGTGAGCCGATATGGCACCACTGCACTCCAGCCTGGGCGACAGAGCGAGACTCCGTCACACACACACACACACACACACACACACACACACACACGAGAAAATAGGTGACTTTGTAAGGATCATACTACTCAGTGATTAATTTGACATTTGAACTTTGATCATTTGACTCTAATTCCCATATGATTATCTCTTCTTCTAAATTACTCTTCTGATCAGCTGTTTACCAAATCTCTAGCACATGCCAAATATGAGGTCATTTCTTTTCCTCATTCCCATGGTGAGCATTTGAGAACAAAATCTTACTCGATCTCATAGCAATCACTGTATGCTAAAGGCGCTGATGTTATTCAAATAATTTATTATCATTATGTTAGGAAGTCTAAGAAGAGCTTATTGTTCTGCTCTGATCTGGTTTGGCCTGCCTTACAGCAGAATATTCTGGAAACCTGAGGTGGCCAGTGGCTTTGTCACTTCTCTGGAATATTGAGAAACCCACAGAGACTAAGAGGTTGGTTCATTAAGAACCTGACTAGGGAACAATAAACACAACCTGTCCATATATCACCACAGTGGCTTTGTTAATGATATTGATTCTACATTTACTACAATGACTAACACAATTGTAATGCCTCATGTTTGCATTTCAAGTAATAAGGAAAGAAGTCTTAAATCCAAACCTTTTACTAATCAAGATGGCTATTCATAAGTGTTATTCGAAAGCTAAGTTGGATCGTATTTGTCAGTATGTTTTCAAAACAGAAGGTGAGTTACTGAATAATTTTATTTATTTATTTATTTATTTATTTATTTATTTATTTATTTATTTATTTTGAGGCGTAGTCTGGCTCTGTCGCCCAGGCTGGAGTGCAGTGGCGCGATATTGGCTCACTGCAAGCCCCGCCTCCTGGGTTCACGCCATTCTCCTTCTTCAGCCTCCCACGTAGCTGTGACTACAGGTACCCGCCACCATGCCCGGCTAATTTTTTGTATTTTTTTAAGTAGAGACGGGGTTTCACCATGTTAGCCAGGATGGTCTTGATCTCTCCTGACCTCGTGATCCACCCGCCTCAACCTCCCAAAGTGCTGGGATTACAGGCATGAGCCACCGCGCCTGGCCTACTGAATAATTTCATTTAATTCTTGAAAATTGCATACAAAATACGTTTTAATAAGAAAATACATTTTAATAAGAAACATGAAGCAGAAGCTTAAGTCTTGTTTAAATGGGGTCATTCTTCATAAGTTTACGTACGTGTGTGTATCTATGTAATTGCCAAAGACTCATTACTTTATAGCAAACTTATCTTAAAAGTTTCTATTATCTACATTGACAGCTCTTACACTTTGATTTGTTTATAATAGGTGAATTCTCAGTCTAGCTTTAGCAAGTAATTTCAAAATTAATACTATTTTGATTTTGTTCAACAATTCTTGCTTAACCTGATGTATCTTACAAACAGGTTGTATGACCAGTTTCTTAAGGATAGTTGAATATTATATTAATATTATTGTTTGTTTAAAATAGCAAAAATACTTAATCTCTACCCCCATCCCCCCACGGCTGGATTGTTGACTTCTTCTTTGATTGGTGGTTTAATACAGAATGAGAGACTGGGAATTGAAAGAATGAAAACTTAACACTTTCAGTCCACAATGCTTTGAGTCCCCAGGTGAAGTTTGATTTCGGTAGTTCTTAAAATTCCTAAGATCCACATAGACAGTGTAGCACATTGTCTAATAGTACAGAATCCAGAGCCATATGGCTTGGGTTCAAATTCCATTTCCAACATTTACTAACTGTGGGACCTTGGGCAGGTTGCTTAAAGTCTCTGTATGCTCACCTATGAAATGGGAATAAAAACAGCACCAATTTCATAGGACTGATAAGCATAAGTAAATTAATATGAATAAGACACCTAAAAGTTGGCCTGACAAAATAAGAGCTGTATTTGGTACCTTCTGTTATTATCTAAACAGACTCAAATATTTAGATCTTTGTAAAATCCTGAGCAGCTCATATATTCATTCAGCATTTGTTCTCTGAGCCTGTGTTATATGACGGGTGGTATTCTAGATTCAAGCACTACATCCATGAACAGAACTACAATTCCTGCTTCAATTATTTCGTCATATCAATATCCTGTAACTGTAGCCTCCTCAAAATTCCAACTGATCAAAAATATTGTCTATTTCAAGATTTTTGCTTTTCAATTTTAGTAACAAATATCTAGTTACAGAAACTCATTTATTTACACCTCTAAACCCAATTCTCTTTGTCTCCTTTCATACTGTTTTTACATTTAGTGCAGTGCCTAACATATACTAAGTATATATGAAAAATATGAATAAGTAGTCAAAATGGAAAATATTCCAACCCCATTCATTATTCAATGATTTTCAGATGCATTCTTGCCTGTCAATTCTAAAATTAAAAAATTCTAAAGAGGTAACATTAATTCAGAATATATTCAAAATCTCTTGTGGAATAAATATATTCTTCACTTTTGGGGACGGTTACTAGGTTGAAAAAAAGTTGTCTATCTTTTATCCAAGTGTCACTCAACTGGTATTATAGGAATATTTGGAATACCATGAATGTGGACTGCATCCCTCAAAACAACACTATGATATATCTTTGTTATTGAGCTTGTTTTTTCATATTTACCAAATGCTTGCAAGGACATACTCTTGTTTATAGTATTTTCACAGATTTCTGGGATGAATTTTATATTATTTCTAAGATAGATGTCACTTAATTCAATAGGTAAATGTTCAAAAACTGCCTATATTCCTAAAAGATATGAATGTATTTTTGTGCATTTGTTTCTACACAAATCAGAAAAAATTAAAACAAAATACATTTGCTGGACCCATTTCTTTCATGGAGAGCATATTTACCTTGGTGATGTAAGTTGTAGCTAAAGTATATGGATCAGAGGGCTGCTTTGCTGGAAACACTTTCAGCTCGCTGGCCTCTGGTCATCTTCATTACTA
This sequence comes from Homo sapiens, assembly GCF_000001405.40. NCBI lineage: Eukaryota > Metazoa > Chordata > Mammalia > Primates > Hominidae > Homo > Homo sapiens. Next base: position 73,111,890 of record NC_000009.12, read on the forward strand.
CTCCCAAGTTGTTTTCACTGGCCATTGTTGACATAAAGGCAGAATAAAATAAACATAAGAATAGTATTATATTTCTTGGTTTTCTGAGAAGCATGTTTTGTGAAGAGAAATATATATATATATATGAAGTTACATATATATAGTGTGTTATATGTATAATGAACATTTACATAGCTAAATTACATTAACATTTTCTATTTTAGCTTTTTTGCTTCATCTTCATCAGGATTTCTATCAGCTATTGCTCAAATAAATAATACCTACATTTGATAAAGGATGTGTTCAGGAATGAGATTGCTCTACAGTATTCCCCCCTCATCTGTAGTTTTGCTTTCACGGTTTCAGTTACCTGTAATCAACTGTGGTCCAAAAATATTAAATGGAAAAATCCGGAAGTAAACAATTCATGATTTAAGTTGCATGCTGTTCTGAGTAGCGTGATGAAATCTTGAGCTGTCCTGCACCCTCTGTCTTGCCCGTTCCCTAGTCCAGAGTATCCATACTGCAGAGCTGCAGGCACGCCCAGCCATTAGTTCTTGACTTAAGGAAAGGAAAATTGCAGGCTGAGGTTGCTAAGATCTATGGTAAGAATGAATCTTCTATCCTGGAAATCTCAAAAAAGGAAAAAAGAAATTTGTGCTAGTTTTGTTGCCACACCTCAAACTGCAAAAGTTGCAGCTACGGTGTGTAAGTACTTAGTTGAGATAGAAAACGCATTTAATTTGTGGGTGGAAGACATGCGTAGAAACATGTCCTATTGATGGCAATAGAGTTTAGTTATATCCTTGGATTCAGATATCCATGGGCATCTTGAAACATATCCCCTACAGATAAAGAGAAGCTATTGTATATTCCTTCCATGCAATCTTTCTTGTCAGGTTTTTATATCAAGGTTATACTGGCCTCATAAAATGAGTTGGAATGTATTGCTTCTTCTTCTAATCCATGGAAGAGTTTTGGAGAATTATTGCTCATTGTCTCTTCAAATACTGCCTATTGCTTATATTGTTTCTTATTGCTCTGGATCAGATATATTTTGTATATTGAGCTTTTTTTCCATTTGCCATCCTCTCATAAGCATATTTACTTCTTAATACATTCTTTATACATTTTAATGACCTCAAAGTTTTTTCTGTTATATATAATGCTTCAATAAGGAGATACATATAATTAATTTTTCATGCTTTTTCACTATTCTCTTAGGATACATTCAAAAGGTTGAGAAGAAAAAATAATGGTTAAATACAAAGGCTTTGAAGTATTAAAACCTGATATCCTTTCCTAGTGCTACACCATTCAATCAGTTTGATTTTAATCAAATGATTACCCCTCTCAGGACACATTTTCTTCATTTGTAAATTGTTGAAGGTAATACCTACCGCTTAGGGGGTTTGTGACTTAATGGGCTGATGTAAAATTAATATATCACCAGATATTTATTAAGCCACCCAATACAAAGTAGCTACAATTATTATCCTCCTCATCATTATGGAAAAAAAGTTTATTTTGTTTGCTTAATATAACAGATATAAACATACCTCTTTGTATCAGATTTATTCTTATTCTTAACACTTTTACATAACATCAATTCCTACCACCTCCAGGTTTTATCAATATAGCACAAAAACTATTTTTTGAATACTTATTGTTATGATAAGCAAATAGAAACACATTCTTTTTTAAAATTTTTTTAGAGACAAGTCTTACTCTGTTGCCCAGGCTGAAGCACAATGGTACAATCGCAGCTCACTGCAGCTTCATGTTCCTGGGCTCAAGTGATCTTCCTGCCTTAGCCTCCTGAGTAGCTGGGACAATGGCGAGCCACCATGCCCAGCTAATTTTTTTTTTGTATTTTTTTTTGTAGAGGCAGGGGTCTCCCTATATTCCCCAGGCTGGTCTTGAACTCCTCCTGACCTCAAGCAATCTTCTTGCCTTGGCCTCCCAAAATGTTGGGATCACAAGTATAATCCACCATGGCTTGCCTGAAACACATTCTTCAATGTTCTGTAATTAGTTAGTGGAATAGACTATTTGTATGTTATTTATCTTGGTATGGGTTGCCTTTTATCAAACTTGTTCTACCAGTTAATAAAAACATTTGCATGTTATATAATAAAATACCTTTGTCCACAGTGGTATTATTTTCTTTGTATCTAATGAGCCAACTGAAAAAACTAAGTTTTCTGTTGATGCCAAATCTATTCATCCAGGGCACTCCCAGCTCTGCAACTTCAAAAGGGATAGGTAAACTTGGGTGAAAAACATTCATGGGAATGTATTTTGAAGAGATCAAGGTGTAACCTCAAACCAACATTAAACTGAAGGAAGAACTCTGTGGTAAGAAGTCCCACAGAGTAAGGAAGATAAAAATACTGCTTTAATTACTACTTCCTCACTATGGCCCAGAATTTTAATCTCTCAGATGAATGCTGTTCATTATTGAACAGGTGCAGATTGGAGAAACTCTGCCAGAACAGTGCATAGAAAAAAGGCAATACTGCATTGCCTTATTTTAAACATGCCTGAAGGTGCATTTAGTTAGTAGACAGCATAGGTTATGTTGACTTTACTCTGTTTTGTTGGAAACCTCTCAAGTTTTTACATCTCTATCATCCAGGTTGAAATATAAAAGGTTTCAGTCATGACCCAAATGAAGCTCAATCTGTGCATATAGAACGTCTATTTTCGATGTTAAGTATCTTGGAATTATAAAATACACTGGCTACTACATATGTTGCCAATAAAGTATTTGATGATACAACTTTCCCCTCTCTTTCTACCCAAGGGGCAGTCTCTTTTGAGAATCAAAAAGCCTGAGTTTTAGTGGTACAAATATATGCCAAATTGCTTTTATCAATACTGTTTTGTGAAATAATTTTAGCTTAAAGAAGAGAGTGGATGAAAGGAATAAGTTATGCTCCAGGGCCTGGATATATTCTTATTCCCAGGTTAATCTGAGTATTGAGAATATTTGAGTATTGAGAATACTCACATGGAAATCATAAAAAGCCAAAAATATAACCTCTGTGGAACACCTGTATAAACCAAACTTATATAGGTAACTTTGAACTACACAAGAGCTTTCTTCCGTCTTCTCCAGGCCTGTTTCTCAGGCTACCTTCTCAGGGCTACCATGCTTCCCATGTCATCCTCTTCCTTGCTATGAGCTAAGAGGACCTTAAGGAGGACCTAAGAGGATGTCTTGTTTTCTTGCATCTCAAGGACCTGCCACTGTGAAATAGCAACACTTTTGAATCATGAAAGAAAGGCAAAGAAAGTAACAGAGATGCTGGGCCTGACCACAATGAGCTGCTGAACAAATGCCAACAGAGATCTATTTTCAGATGTCTGGTTATATAATAAAAATATCCCTCTATTGTTAAACTTTCTGTTACTTATTAGTGGGAGCATTCTTCACTGAAAAAGATGTCCTGACTCCTGCTTGTTACTTTGAGATTTTTCATTAAGTTGATGACCAGGTTGGTCTATCATTGTCTGATATTTTCCTGTTGGCTTGGGCTAGCACACTGATGTCTGATTAAGTATATTTTTCTAGAAAATTAAAATATTTGTGAACAATTAGAACAATCTATCAAACTGGTCACTCTTTGGCCCATTTCAGCAATTTATTTTTTTTTTTACTTTCAGAAAACTACCTCTTAATGGGGGGGGAGAGAGAGAGAGATTCTTTAACCTTTACTGAATCCTCTCCAAAAGAAGACTTCCATTCATACAAATAAAAACCCAATCATCATAAGATGGCAGGTTAGTACCAATCCCATTCCTCAATTTCTAAAATCTTTCCAAATCTCTTCCTTCAACCCAGCCCAGTCTTTTCCCTCTCTCTTGTCTTTGCACTGCTACCCTTCCTTTGTTACAAATAATTCCCGGCTCTGAGCAGTGAAAATCAATCTGGTGGATTTCAGCTGACAGGTATTACTTTTCCCTTCCACACTCACTACTCCAGGCCATACAAACAAGAAAAAAATTCTCACATGTGAGTAATGTGAGAAGTTGTAAGTATTCATCTGTCATTTTTCTTGTATTATAGCAAGGGATAATGTGTTTAAAAGAATACTATATTTAAAAGCAAGTGTTAAAGAACTATAAATAAGAAAGAAATATCTTATTATTATCACTTTATAGCATGACTCTGGTTTTTCATATTCCAAAAGATACCTTTAAGACTTATGTTGCTTTGGGTGTTGAAAATTCCTAGGTTTGTAATAGTCTTATAAGTTTAGAGCAGCACTTGGATATTTTGTTTGCTGCTACTGGTTTTGAAGTATTTGACAGCTCAGCGTTTCTGTCTCTGCTAATCTATGCTTAGCTCTAGCTAACTGCCTATTCCCTCTGATTCATTGCATGAAAGAGAAACAGTGGCTTTCTTAGTCATAAACCTGACTTCATATATCTTGACTGAAACTAAGGGATTCAAGATTCACAGCAAAATTATAAATGTAATTCATGGTTTCTCTGACTGCACTTTTCCCAGTCATGAGGTTTGGCCCTCACAGAGGCAAGGATATTTATCTTCCTTTAAGTATTTTCAAACCATGTACTAGTTCTATTTAAACTAAAATCTGCAGGCCTATTAAAATCGTTTTAGAGCCTTGTTTCTGCTAGGAATATCTAGTATGGATTGTTTCCAGTTTTAGAAATCAAGCCCTTTCTACTTCTGGACTATTTGAATACACATCTGAAGCAAACACATTAAAACATACTAACAGTGTCTTTTATGTAGCAATGAGACAATGAATCAATAATTTGTGCCATCTATTTCATGCTCAATTAAAAATATTTGAAATTATTTTCTATATGGCAGAATTTTACAATTGGGAAGATCTTCTTTAATAAAAAAACTTGATGGATGAAAGTTTATTCTGTACTGTGAAAAAAATGGTCACTCAGGTCTATTAGGAAAACACCTATTGACCATGGGGTAAAAATAACCTCAGCAGGGTTTTTGTAGATTCTAAAGGAAAAGAGGAGAAAATGATTAGGAGTAAGATCAAGTCTGTTGTTGGGAAAATTAGCTGTTATGTTGAAAATGTACTGCAACTTTTAAATTGGATAGACACATTTCTAACCACGTAATCTCATTCTTATTCATATAATCATGTAATGCTCATACCTGGGTTGTAATGCCCTTTTCTTTTAAACCACAGTAGGATTCTAGGAAACTTAGATCTCCAGAACATCCTCCATAGGAGAGCTTAGTTCTGAAGCACTCATCTTCACTAGGATATCAGTAAAGACAGATGGGTTATGCTATGGAAACAAATCTCAACACTCAGGGCTTATTGCATACAAATTTACTCCTCTCTTGCCCACACAAAGTCATTTGTGGTTCAAGTAACTCTCTAGGACAGCTTCCTTCCAAACAGTGACTTGGAGATCCAGGTCCTTTTCTTTTTTTTCTTTTTAAATCTTCTAGCATTATCTTTTGGGACTGCAGTGATCACCATGGCAAGGGAAGAGAAATAACTCACACCGCCTCTTAAATGCCTCATCTCATAGGTGATATATTATTGCTGTTCATATCCCATTGGTCAGGGTAGTCTTGTTGTCCCAAAATAACTACATGGAGACTGGGAAATGTGGAAAAGAGCATAGGGATATTTGGTGAGTTCTACGGTTTGTACCTCAGTCCACTTGCCCCTCTACATCCTCACCTGGGAAGAGTCCAGACACACCTCCCTTGACACAATTCCTAGCTCCCTCTTCTCTCAACACAACTCTTAAACCAACCCTTGCTGACGGTGGTGCTACAAGAGCTTTGCCTTGATACCTGTGGTACAGGGGAAAGGGAGCTGTTCTTGAGAGCTACCAAATCACAGCTGACTTTGGGTGAACAAGATATAAAGCTTTATATATTAAGCTGATGAGATTTCAGGGTTCATTTCACTACCACAATATAATCTATCTTATCCTGAATAATATAATTGAGTAGAAAATGTCTTCTTTCTTGTGTTGCCTCTCCAAATCACCAACTTTGCCATACATTCTACCATTTGTATCCTTGAATCATCCCTCAGATTTATTAGAAACTTTTACAACAATCTTGGCTCTGTACTGATTCACAGCTTTGTCCTGGCTCTTCCTAGTTTGATGCTTTCTCCTGCCTCTTCTCAGTTCAATGCTTTCTGACATTTTTATTTTTCTATAGGAACATGTTTTCTTGTTGCCAAAGAGAAGCAGGAAAATATTGATCTGTAGGCAACTCTCAGTAATTAGGACTATAATTAGATCTCATCAAAACTGTTCATGCTAGATAAATTTGATGACATTGGAAAGTTTATGCCTGATTAGATTATTTAATTTCTCTAGTATTATTGCTGTTACTGAGAACTCATAAGCGGAAATTCTTATGAAGGCAAAAGAATATATTTAAAGCCATGCTTTTGAAGGTGTGTTAAAACCTCAAAGATTACCTTTTAAAAACCCTGAGCATTAAATACCAGGATTCATGTATATTTTGGATTAAAGTTTCATCTTACCAAGCAATTAATCATAGCTTACCCTGTCTGTATTCTCTATTGCTTTTAATTCTTTTAGTCACACTGGGTGGGTAATTTTTTGTTTCACCAGGAACAATTCCAGGCAAGGGAGCACCAGGGGAAGTGACTACTTGTGTCATGCCTCTGATGACAAATCTTTTTAGGTAACCTTCAGCTCCTTCAGAGAGTCATAGAATTTCTTGGAGATACAAAGTTTCTGTAAGCATATTATTTTTTCATTATGTGAAAAGAAAAATAACCAAATGTTTAAGTTTGGGACTGCTCTCAGAAATAAACAATATGATTTTAACCATATTTTGAATATTTTGTATTCATTTCAATAAATAAATGTAGAGGTCTTAATATGTTCAAATTATTATGTTAGGCCTTTTGGGGATTGGGGAGGGTCAGATAGTAACTTAGGCCTTTCCTTTCATGTACCCACATTCTTAAACTACATTTAAAAACAGAGTTACAGTTACAGGATCACCTTCATCAGAGCCAATAGGTAAAACAATAGAAATTATATTGTAAAAATAGGAAATTTTAAGTTAACATTTCCCTCATAGTAGAAAACATATGTTTTACAAACTATGTCATCACTGGAATATGATAAAATGATACAGCAGTTCCTTCCCACATTTTCATATGAATCATTCATATAACGTAACCTTTCTCCCAGTCTTCCAGTTGCAGGTCAGGGCAAGGGCGCCCTTTCTCACTCTGGAAACTGCTTGATCATTGGAGCAGCACCTTAGGTAGCTGAATGACTCAGGATTGCCTAGGGGATTCGAGGATTAGACAGCTTAAATGTATCCTGGTTAATTCTTGATTTGAATTATTCCAATTGTTGGTTTTCATTAATGGGTAGGAAAATCTTTTTCTGGAAACTTTTCAACCCAGTAATGTGAGCTTCAAGATCCTGATAATATGAGTGGATTTTCTAGCACCTACATTAAACTCAGATTGCACAATCAAGTTTTCACTTAAATGTAAAAGAACCCAGAGACAATGTTGAGGAGATGGAGCCTATTTTTTCCAATGCATTACTACATATTTAATACTCTGATAAAACTGCTGGGTTTCTTTCTCATATCAATATATGTCAAACCAATGTGTTATATGTATTACAAGATTCAATGTGCTCCATGTTCCTCCGTTATCCTTGATTTTCTCTTCAAATACTTACTTCAAGAGGAGTTATTCATTTAGAAAGACCATCCTGGCTAACACGGTGAAACCCCGTCTCTACTAAAAATACAACAAAATTAGCCAGGCGTGGTGGCGGTCGCCTGTAGTCCCAGCTACTCGGGAGGCTGAGGCAGGAGAATGGCGTGAACCCAGGAGATGGAGCTGGCGGTGAGCCAAGATCGCGCCACTGCACTCCAGCCTCGGCGACAGAGCGAGGTTCCATCTCAAGAAAAAAAAAAAAAAATTGAAACACTCTGAAAAGATCTAATGAAATTGCAGGTAGGGTAGATGTACAATATTTAGGGTCAAATAAACAGCCTTCTTTGGCAGAATGATTTTAAAATTTTTTTCATAGTTGAAGCACCATAAGTATGATTCATAAATATACTAAATAGAAATACCTTTAGTGAAAAGAATATTGAGCTTCATGGGCTATGACTTAGGTTAATTGAAGTATCATCCAGGATTCCAACAGAATAAGGAATGACATACTGAAACAGGATAATTGATGAGATTTCTATAGAGAGAATTTCTTAAAGGTATGGGATGGGGTTTTTCCAAAAACAATGAAGAACAGTACTGTGTCCAAGGACTAGTGCTAGCAAGGAGCTATTACTAACCACAGGCCGGAAAGACCAGGGAAAGAACAGTTATCATAGCCCAGAGAGAGCAGCTATATGGAGAAGGCCATTCAACTAAAATCTCCAAATCTCCTGCTTGTGCCTTCCTTTGGCCAAACTCAACAGGAGGTTAGAGAGAAAGGAAGCCATCAAGGTAGCCCCTAAATATCAATTCTCCAGAATACACAGCAGGGTAAAAAATTGTGTAGAGTCAATTTGAGAAAGGAGGAAAAACAGAAACATCTAGCAAATTATACAATTAAAACAGTTAAATGGCATGGTTGATTTTTGGCTAAGCTGGACTCCATGCGCCCCTCTTATCAGACAGCATTTCTTCTCTTCTTGTTTACCCATAGGCTCATACATTCGACATTGTTTTCATTTACTGATATATGTGAATGCTTTCTTGGGGAAGAAGAAACATATTTTGGAGGTTGGCAGGAGGACCTTAAGTAGTAAAACAAATCAAAGTTGGAATAATGTCTATCTCTTACATGGTTCATTGGATTCATTTTGAGACAACATGGAGAAGTCAGTAAGATACAGTGAGAAACCAGGGGATGAATATAAAGAGATTTCAGAGCCCACGTGTAAAAATGAGGAGTTGAGGTAAACTGTTTTCCCTATCTCTGCATGGAATCCAGGAATATTTTGGCAACTCCAAGACTGGAAGCTACGAAAGCATCTGGAAACAATACTATTGGCACAACTATTGAACTCATGATGATGAGTGGCAATGGTAAGGCTTTCTCAAAGGTCTTCATGAATAGTAGAATTAAACCACAAATGAGACCTGGTGGAAAGAAACACCAGGACAGACATAGTGGCATGTTGGTAATATTTAACAACCCCTCACCAAGGTTAGGGAAAAGCCCTAGCTTGTCATGTTTTCTACCACAGCCAATTTCAAGTTACCAACAATCACTGAGCTTGGATTTGGGGATTTGGGAAGAAATGTGCACAACTGGATCTGCTGAGCTGCTAGGAAGCCACTCTAGCACAGTACTGGCTACAGGCCCCATATCCTTATTGTAGCCGAAAACTGACTTCGAGTACATATGAGATGCTTTTTAAGTGACCATGCACTTTCATGGGCATTACTTTCTACCAGTCAAGTGGTGGTTGCTGTCATGACTTAGCAATAAAAATAATATACTACTTAATCAATTTCCCAATTGTCTCATATCAATCTGATCTGAGGTATTTGGGCAACTTAAATTATATGTCATAATTCTAAGAATTTATAAAGGTATGCTGATGGCCTTTATGTGTAAAATAAAAAAGAATACAAATGGGATGGAGCAATACAGTGTCTAACACAAGGTCATATGGACCCTGTATATTTGTTTCTTTTGCTACTTTGCAACCACCAATATTTCTCCTGCTTTGACTTGGGTTGTTTCCCTTTTGAGTTTGCTTTAGTGACTCTCTCTTCCTTACTTAACATAATTGTTTCCTTAACTTCTCCGGAATTTTTTTCAAGGTAGTGGGTGACTGTTCATGCCTGGTTTGACTCAACAGTGGCTTCTGAATTTGCATAAGTAAGGGAATATGAATTGTTCTAGCTCCATCTTCTCTTTCCTGGTTGTAACATTCCCAGCTTCAAATAGACTCATACCTGCCTTTGTATCCCCTCAGATTATTGCTAGTCAGCTGTGCCCTCTGATTCTGCCACCTGACAGGTTCTTGAAACTTCCTGGCAGTCTGCTTCAGGTTACATAGATTATGACACATCCTACTGAGAAATTAAATTGCTGCAAAATATTAAACCAGAGACATCTATTTCAAAAGCTCTATGTAGGCAAAGTGTGTCTTTTTCACAACTCTACATCCACCTTCAGTGTCATTTTACTATTTATTGTCTGTTTTGTGTTCTATAATATAGCAAACAAGCAAGTGCATGTCTCTTAAATCAGACGTGATAAAGCTATCATCAGGAAGACTAGGAATATCAACTGCTAGTGGCTTTCTACTGGGGGAATACAAGGGGTTGGGAGATATTTTGGAACAGGGTTAATCGCCTTGTTTTCCAGCAATCATATCAAAAATTAAGTCACATCTACCTGGTTAAAAAAAACAGTTTTGTAGTAATTTATTTTTGTATTTGGTGTTGAAACTTCTAATGTTTCTGAAGAATTTGAAAAATTAATTCCTGCATTTAGTCAACAAATATTGATTTAATGTGGACACTTTAGGAATAAAAATACGAATCAGATACAGATTTTTCCTTCCAGGACAGTAGACTCTCCTAAGAGAAATACACCATGTACACATGGAACAATGCTAGAAACTAGGATGTAAAAAGTCCTTTTACATAGAAAGGGCTATGAGAAAAGTAATAATAAAGATAAGAAAAGAGAAAAAAATCTTTTCAGGTAGGAGATTACAAGAAGACATTTGGAGGACTGGTGTGTCCATCTGTTTCTGTTGGGGGTGAAATAGTAAGTGGGGGCATTTCTCATAGAATATAAATTTTGAGACACTTAAAAGAACAACGAACAAGTTGTTTTATCTGGAATACAATAGTTATTACAAAGCATAACAGAAGGAACTGAATTAGAAAGGGACAGTGCATCTAGACAGTGGTATTCTTCAATAATTACGGTGTGAACTCATTAAAGGTATTTGATCAGAAACCTGGATAATTCAGAATTATTCATGAGGACAATTTAATCTGGTGACAACACATAATTATAGGGAAGAGGGGAAAGGTAACATTAGAGAAGGGAAACCCTAACAGAAGGCTATTGCAAATATAACAAAGCAAAAGCAGTGATATTCTAAATGATGATAAGCTCAGTGAGAATAGAGGGAGAGATGAGATAGAGAGGGATCAGTTATCAGCATTTATTGAGCATTTACTCTATGCTAGGCACTGTGCAGAGAATTCTGTATGGATTATCTCATTTTAACTACAGAACAAGCTTATGAGGTAATATGAAAGAAATAAAGCTTTGCATTTTGTTTACAGTCAGGAAACAGCCAAAGACTGCCTTTTACACTTTCATAAGATGAGCTGCTCCTGTGTGAACTGCTTTCCCTCATACAAGAGGCTACAGATTAGTTGGAAGATCAAATAAGATAAAAGAAAAAAAGAACTCTGAACTTATTCATAAGCTGCCGTTAATAAATGGTAAACTATATGAACTAACATTATTTCATACAGCAGACTATTAAGATTTCAATACTTTTTTAAAAAAAACAATGATTTCTAGGTTTTAGAGTTAATACAAAATAATGGCCTCTTTGGCAACATGATTTGGTGCATCAGAGAGTCTTTATTATCTTTTTACATTGGAGGTCAAAAAAGATGGAGAAAGAATCTTTAATTTATGATAAAGGACAAGAAATGTTCTAATTTTATTTCTATTTCATCATGGCAACCAAGGCAATTTGTAGGACAAAACCTGAGTGAAGTATGTGTTTAGTTTTATAAGTTTGATTTATATCTATCTAAGGCTCCTGGCTCAGTCTGATTGTTATTTATTATTACTTTTCAATAAAAGCTAATTTTTAATCTCAAGAAAGAATATATATACACACATATATATGTATATATACACACATATATATGTATATATACACATATATACACACATATATGTGTATATACACATATATACATACATATATATGTGTATATACACATATATACACACTATATATGTGTATATACACATATATATACACACACATGTGTATATACACATATATACACACTATATATGTGTATATACACATATATACACACACATATGTGTATATACATATATATACACACACATATGTGTATATACATATATATACACACACATATGTGTATATACATATATATACACACATATATGTGTATACATATACACACATATATGTATATACATATACACACATATATGTATATATACGTATATATACATATACACACATATATGTATATATACGTATATATACATATACACACATATATGTATATATACGTATATATACGTATATACACACATATATGTATATATACGTATATATACACACATATGTATATATACGTATATACACACACATATGTATATATACGTATATACACACACACATATGTATATATGCGTATATACACACACATATGTATATATGCGTATATACACACACATATGTATATATGCGTATATACACACACATATGTATATATGCGTATATATACACACATATGTATATATGCGTATATATACACACATATATGTATATATGCGTATATATACACACATATATGTATATATACGTATATATACACACATATATGTATATATACGTATATATATATATAGTGTGTGTGTGTGTATGTGTGTGTGTATGGCAATGATTTGAATGCCTCTTCTGAAACTCATGTTGCCATTTAATTGCCATTGTGACAGTATTAAGAGGTAGAACTGTTATGAGGTGATTAAGTCAGGATGGCTCCACCCCATGAATGAATTAATGTCGTTATTGCAGGAGTGGGCTCATTATTGCAACAGTGGGAATTTATAAAAGCCAGTTTGGTTCTCTCTTGCTTGCTCTCATGCTCTCTTGCACTTCCGCCTTCCACCATGGGATGATGCAGCATGAGAGCCCTCACCAGATCCTGGCACCTTGCTCTTGACTTTCCAGCCTCCAGAACTATGAACCAAACAAATTCTGTTCATTATAAATTACCTGGTTTGTGGGTATTCTATTACAGCAACATAAAATGGATAAAGACTATATATATATATACACACACACACACACACACACACACTCACAAATATATATTCATATTATATACTTAACTGTATTCAATATTAGCATCTCAATTTTACAGGTTAAAAAATATTCTGAAGATTAGTTAGCTAAATAGCATACTCAAGGTTGTACAGTAAGTAAAAGATTCAGAAATTTAAGATAATTATTTACTTATTTATGGATCTTTCAATTTATTTATGTATATTACACCATAAAAAAACCACCTTAATGAAGACAGGTACAGTTGACCCTTGAACAGCATGTGGGTTCGGAGTGCCAACCCTTTGTATAGTCAGAAATCTGAGTAGAACTTTTAACTCTCCAAAAACCTAACTGCTAAATAGCCTGCTGTTAACTGGAAGCCTTTCCAATAACATAAACTGTTGATTGACACATGTTTGTATGTTATATGTATATATACTGAATTTTTACAATAAAGTAAGCTAGAAAAAATGTTATTAAGAAAATCATAAGGAAGAGAAGACATATTTCTTCTCAATGGAAGTGCAGCATCATAAAGGCCTTCATCCTTCTCATCCTTAGGTTGAGTAGACTAAGGAGGAGAAGGAACAAGAAGGGTTAGTGTTGCTGTCTCAGGGGTGGCAGAGAAAGAGGTAGACAGGTAGAAGGGGAGGCAGGAGAGGCAGGCACACTTGATGTAACTTTTACTGAAAAAAAATTAATGTATTAAGTGGCCGTATGCAGTTCAAACCCATGCTGTTCAAGGATTAACTGTGTATGGACTGTTTTTCACTCCTATATTTTCAGTACCTAAAACATTTCCTGGCTAAATCAATATGGTTGCATAGATAAATGAAGGCAAGTAGTATGACCTCTGAATCACTATTCTCAGCCACTGAATACTGCAGCTTCTCTGGAGACACTCAGAGACTTGGATGGATGAGGAATAAGGGTGAGGTGCTGTAAGTCAGAGAAAACTAGGATGACACACACATGAGTAAGAACAGGTTTAAATGAGATAATATTACAATATTAGAATATATGCTGATTTGTGTGCTCACCAAATGTTTGCCTTTTCAGTTCACACCTTGTCCAACTTTGTAACAGTTATGGACTTTTGGGTTTTTTTCCTCACAATAAGCCTATGTTCTGTAAGCATGAAGTTATTGTGTTTTAAGATTTTTAAAAAAATTTTACTTTAATTTCTAGGATACATGTGCTGAACGTGCAGGTTCGTTACATAGGTATACGTATGCCATGGTGGTTTGCTGCACCTATCAACCCATCATCTAGTTTTTAAGCCCTGCATGCATTAGATATTTGTCCTAATGCTCTCCCTCCGCTTCCCCCCACTCTTTTTCCTATATGTGTTAATTGGAGATTGGCTGAATTGGAAAGTTAATATTTTTGTCTATATTTAGTTTCTAGGATTTAAATACTAACTCAGTTTTGTTTCCTGGGAATAAAATTGTCTCTTTATTGTATTATAACATGAGATTTTGATGTTTTAATTTGTAGATTTAAAAGTTAATTCACACTGGTTGTGAATAAAGCATTTGTGAAACTAACATAAAAATAGTTTCCCATACAAAATATAATGTCCATGCAATATTTATTTAAAAGTTTATTTTAGCTCCGGAAAGGTGTTGAAGATTATTCTATTAAAAGTTGAATTGTGTTTGGGATATTTTCTATTGTATGGGTATAAACAATGTCCCCACATAAATTCATTCTTGAAGATAACCCAAAGCCCCTTTTACATTAATTTCTCATGTCACTTATAAAGTAACATGCAACATTTTCAATTTCTATTATTAAAAATAGTACTAAATGATTTCACATCAATTCTTATATTTGACAGAATAAAAATATAATCACCTAATTTTTGTATATATTTATATAAAATATTCCTAATTTGAATAAAAAATACTATACCACATTTACCATTTTGTATCTCTTTCTATTAAGAACTGCATCTCTATGTTTTGTTCTTAAAAGTTTGAAAGCTGGATCATCATTCTTGTAATTTTTTTAGATAATAAGAAAGATGTTAGGTATATTAATTTTGGAGTTAAAGATTCATAGTAAATATCTTTTGCAGGCAATGAATATGTAAAATTATAATCCCAGGTAAAGATAACAACCATACAAACAGGCCGGATACAGTGGCTCACGCCTGTAATCCCAGCACTTTGGGAGGTCAAGGCAGGTGGATCACGAGGTCAGGAGTTCGAGACCAGCCTGGCCAACATGATGAAACCCAGTCTGTACTAAAAATACAAAAATTAGCCAGGCGTGGTGGCATGCACCTGTAATCCCAGCTACTCGGGAGGCTGAGGCAGGAGAATTGCTTGAACCCAGCAGGCGGAGGTTGCAGTGAGCCAAGGTCGTGCCTCTGCACTCCAGCATGTGTGACGGAGCAAGATGCCGTCTCAAAAAAAAAAAAAAAAAAATCATACAAACAATAGAGATGAGGAGCGAAAAAAGTAAGATCAACTTTAACATTTTACTATATGGTAGAATGTCATTCAATGAGTCATTATATTAATTAGATTTGG
The DNA here is from genome assembly GCF_000001405.40 of Homo sapiens. NCBI lineage: Eukaryota > Metazoa > Chordata > Mammalia > Primates > Hominidae > Homo > Homo sapiens. Next base: position 73,127,475 of record NC_000009.12, read on the forward strand.
AAATATAAAATTATGTACAATCAGATTTAACAAAGTAGACTAAAATATGGGTCTTATTATTAGTCCTTTATGGAAGCAAAGAGGTTCTGCCACTTGTGTGATTGTTTACTGCATTTTTTTCTTACATATAGACAACAATTCTCAAAGTTGGCTATGCATTTTGTTTTTTAGGACTGTGATGGAAATCCCTGTGTGTGCAGTTAAGAAAACAGAATTTAATATATATTAAACTAAGCAGAGGCTTTAATAGTAATCAATCAACTAAGTGTTCTTTTTATTCTTCCAGTATCCTAGACTTTCCTTATCCTCGGTTAATGTTGTACCTGGTGGTCTAAATTGATCATTCTGTGGGGGACACATTTCCTCAGCCTTGAAGGAACTGTGCTCTTGGTACCCTGCCCTCATCCTACTACAGCTGCTGTATTTACTCATTCACTTTTATCAGCAGGTGGAGAAACGTCAAGATGTATCCAAATGATCTTCCCGGGTCCATAGTTGATACTCTATTATATAAAAGCTATCCTGGGTAAACTTTTTAGAGCAGCCTACATTGACCAAGTATGAGTGGCAATTTCAGGTTCCTTTTCTGGAAAAAACAGGATGTCTAATGGAGCAAAAGCTAAAATTGTGAGGACAGAAATCAGGTGTTCTGCAAATGGTTTCCTGGCAATGAAGGCTTAGGGCCAGAGAAGACACCATGGGTGCTCTTCCCTCTGATGGCTCTTTCACTACATTCATAGCTGCCTCAGTGTGCTCTCAGTCCCATGAGACAGCACCCTGTGATTATCAGTGGCTGCTGTATTAGTTTGCTAGGGGTGTCTTTAAGACTGGGTGTCTTAAACAATAAACATTTATTTTCTCAAGGTCCAGAAGCCAGAAATGTAAGATTAAAGCATCAGCAGGTTTGGTTTTTCTGAGAAAACTCTCTCACGTGGTATGGCAAGGAGAGAGGCCATTTCTCTTTAAAGGCCCTATCTCCAAAACAAGTCACATTCTGATGTACTGTGGGTTAGGACCTTAACTTATGAATCTGGGTGAGGGACCTGCAATTCAGGCTGTCACAACCACTTTATCTGCACAAAAGGGAACTAAATATGCCTGGAAATTTACATTCCCTCAGTCATAGCTCTAAATCAATGACTGGTAGGTGCACAGGTAAGACTTTACCTCTATTGACCAATTCAGAGTTGAGATCTATACTGTGCCCAGAAATGCATGGCAGGCTTGAACAAAAGATGTACTTCATTGGAAATTGCTTGATAATGCATCCTTTATTGGTCTTCTTCTGTTATTATTCCCATTTCTCTGTAATTTCTTGGGAATATACTCTAATACATAAGTTACACACAAATTTTCATCATAAGATTTGTCTTTCGAATGCTGTTATGGGTTGAATTGTGTCCTTTAAAAATATATCTTAAGGTCCTAACCTGTAAATATGACCTTATTTGGAAATGCAATCATTGTAGATGTAATTAAGGTAGGGTGAGATAATGACACTATGTTAGAGTGGGCCCTAAATCCAATATGAATGGTGCCATTATAAGAAGAGGGAAACTTGGACACAGAGATAGAGACACTCAGGGAGAATGTTATCTGACCACAAGGACACAAAAAGGAGAGTGCCATGTGAAACCAGATGTAAATATTGGAATGGTGCATCTATAAGCCAAGCAATGGCAAAGATTGCCAGCAAACCACCAGAAGGCAGGAGAGAAGCACAGGACATAATTTCGTTTGGAGCACCCAGAGGAAATCAACCCTACCGAGACCTTAATTTGGAACTTCTATCCTCCAGAAGTGTGAGAGACTAAATTTCTGTTGTTATATGCCAGCAAGTTTGTGGTACTTTCTTATAGCAACCCTAGGAAACTAATGAAGAAACGCAACTTGAAAATAGGTTATTTCAGAAGTGGTCCTAGGAAGCATACACTTAGGAAGGGATTCTGAGTTAGATCACTTGCCATCTGGATAACAACTGGATCACACTGTTGGAGATTAAACTGTTAAAAACTGAAAACTCTAGCACTGTCATTGCATAACTTTTGCCAGTGGTGAGTTGGCATGGGATACAGATGAAAGGAGACTACACATGCATTTCAGAGCTATGGGGGGATTTATTAATTATAAGATTTGGAAATTGGTTGGTTGTTGCTAAGTGTCATTGTGCCGAAGAAGAAAATTGACAAGCTCAGGTTTGTCCGTTACTAACCAGGGGCATGGTATGAAAGATTGGAGGACTCCAGGGCAGCATTTAAAGAAACCCATGCTTTCTATAGCTAGAAGACAGATTGAAAGGAAGACTGGATGATAAACTTTACTATAAAAGTAGTAGAAATACAACAAAAGATGAGTTAATAGCCTTGGCAAGGTTTTATGCTAAGTCAGAACCCTGATAGAGATGGTGCAGAGAATTGTAGGTGGATGTGCTCAAAATTATAGAACTCGCAGATTCCTTTGAACCCCTGGGCATATAAGAGTGGCTTATTTAGTTTTGCTGGAACATAGCAGCTTTCTCTTGCTTGAAGGCCACACCAAAACCTCAACCGAGATGGATGCCTTTGACGATGATATTTGTCCTTATCAAGATCTGACTTCACTTTCTCTCCTGTCTTCTAGTTCTGTATCTAAGTCTCAGCATGGGCCAACCAGGGAAGGGAAAAAATTACTCTCCAAAAGAACATCAAGACGTGATTAATTTGCAGCAAAAGGAATCAGGACAGCATGCCAGGAAGTATATCTTGATAGCGCTGGATTGGGGTGAGAGCTGGGGATAGTGAGAGAGAAGCTTGATAAAGGAACATTTGTCAACAAGGGAACATTCTTCCATGACTGAAAACTCCCTAACAAGAGCACCTGGGAATGGTTCTAATACGCTGCTTGGATGGTTACTAAAAGTTCTGTAGGGGGAAGAAAAAGGCTCACATTAAATTAAGCAGAGATGACAGAACTGCTTTAGCAGAGTTTTGAGGAAGGGCTCAAAAGGCTCAGAGAAGTGAGCATGCTAGAATGATTCTATTGTGTAACACCAGAGAGACTACCAGCTGATTATGTTCATTGAAGGGCCAGAGAACATTCTCATCACAAAGCTGATAAGGAATGTGCTATTGATGGAGGGATTGGCATATTTGAGAAGCTTAGTGATAGCTGGACCGAAGTTGACAGTAGGCAATACTGTTAGAGAACTGGGCTCCCTAGTGTCAATGGAAATGATTATATTCCAGAATATCAGGGGTCAAGTGCAATATAGTCAACCACTAGAGATCTATGGTGATGGCTGATATCCCAAGGTGTTTATCGAGAAAAAATAGATGGATAGACAACAAGAGCGTGGTTGGCTATACATAATCAAGGATGATTAAAACTGGATGAGCAATTGGAAGCCTCATGTCATCAATGCCCACGGAATATTACTTCTTGACCCAGTTTAAAAACCTGCACCAATTCTCAGACCCACAGAAGGAAGCTGCAATGCCACAAGCATACACAGCAGAGATTTCTGTGCATACAGTTGTATACATTTTAAAAATAATCCACTTATAATTTGAATTACAACCAGGGAGTCCACTATGCATATTCTAGTCTCTTTATCTTGGGTAATGATGCTTCTCGTCTCTGGAATACCCTTTGGCACCTTCTCTATGTGAGTGCTATTTCATGTTTTAAGGCTTACAGTAACCTTTCTCGATGACCTCTATCTCTTAGTAGAAATCACGTTCTCCAAACAGCTATCTTGTTCATTTAACATTTACTATATTCAGTTTTGAATGGTTGTTAAAATTTTTATGTAAATAAAAGTTTTTTGGAATTGTCCATTTGATATATTTAATTTATTCCATTTATTAAACTTGAAGTAGACCTTCGAGAATCAATTATTATTGATTCTCAAAATGCAAATATTATTATAGTTATCCCTTTATCCTAGATTGTTAATTGGTTGAATTATTTGAAATCCTTGAGATAAACTAAAATAGACAGGAATACTTAATACAGAATGATTAACTTGGGTAGATAGACAGATTAAACTTAGCTTTTGTTTAAAAGCTGGAATTCTAAGTAGTCAACATCAGATGAGTCAAATGAAAATTGATACCCATTGTAGAACTAATGAATGGTCTTGCAGTTTAAGTCCTTTCTTAACTCTGTCATCTTTTACTTTGTAATGACTAAAAAGCTACAATTACTATCACAGGAGTCTTCAGTATGTTACCATGCCAAAACTGGGAAATGTGGCTGGCTGTTTCCTAATGGAAAATTGTTAGCTTCTTGGCGACATGAAGAAAAGGATGTTGGGATTGCCCTTTCAGACATCAAAATTCATTACAAAACTTTAGAAATTAAGATACTGTGGTACCGGGAACGAGAAAGATCAAAAAATAGACGGAAGAGAACAGAGAAAATTGAAAGACATATCTATATGTCTATATCTGCACATACAAATATGCATATGCAATCACACATAGTTGATAAATCTCACAAGAAATAAAATTTAAAAGAAAGAATCAAAGTGAATATGGTGTTAGTAAAAAAAAAAGGCTATGAATTTTTGAATACTTTTTCCCAAGGTGGTGACATTCCAGCATATACTACAAACAAAAGAGGCCATTCACCGGATGATATCATCCCTTCAAAAATAAACTTATCCTCAATTTCCTGATTAAAATCAGACATTCTTCTGCTTGACAGAGGTCCTTACTTCCTGTTTTCTCTAGCATTTGCCAAGTGGCTCTGAGGACTTCGGTGTAAGAACACTCACTTAACTGTTCTGTAGTGCTGACTTTGAATACTTGAACAATAACCCACATTTCTAAATTTTCAATTTAAATAATGGTGCTTTTTGTTTTTAATTTTGCCTCATTTTCGAATCCTAAGGCTATTAGAACAACACCAAGATGACAGTGTTTCTGCTGTAACTTCCGTCTGCTTCTGCTTCTCAAAGTTGTGTAGTATAATTATTTCTATAGCAACCAGCCGAGGAAATGCCTTGCCAGCACACAGACTCAAAAGAGAAACATGCTGAGACAGGCTCAGCCGTGGGGCTTCGGAGCGCCTGGAGTTTCCAGCATTAAACGCTACAGCTGCAGAAGCCCATGCTGTTACCTTCTCTCCTCATCCGTTTTTAGTATTTGTAATATTTCTGGCCCTCCCACATCTTTGGCAATGTTTTCTAACGTCCCTCTTCTCTTTCTTCAGTGTTTTTCATAAGAACGGTCCTTTCATTTCTGTTTTATGACGTATAGTCTTCTGATAATAACACGATAAGCATTGTGGTGGTTCTGAACATACAACGAAATTAGAAAAAGTGGAATAATAAATAATTCACTTGTTTTCCTTCAGCTTCATAAGGTTTCTACTAATCTGTTTTCCTTATGGGCCAAACTCTTAGAGAAATTTGATCAGGTGCCTTTAAAAATATAGAAACACGTTCAGAGAACTTCAAAGAATACAAAAAATAATGTATTTCTTTTCCAAAATAACTTCACTTTCATCATAAAACATGAAAAATGGTGAAAGAATCATTTCCAAAAGAAAACCTAAACTTGTCTGATTTCAGGACACACTTTTATCTTTAAAAAATTTTTCCTTACTGTTGTGAAAGGAAAAGAAAAGCTCAGGACCCCAAATTCACTATGCCAAAAGGGAAGAGTTAAACTTGGAAGCTGAGTCATAAAAATAAATAAATAAATAAATAAATAAATAAAACAACCCAAATCTGCCTCTCCTTTTGTTCCTAAATTGACAGCTAATGTCTTCAGAGGGGGCATCCCTCACCCTGACAGTGTAAATTAACAGTTTATCTTCACTTCAAGGGTACAGAAGTGTAGGAAAATGACACGGTGAAATAGATGGGTACTCACTGGCAGCAGTTTCATCAATTCTAGCTTCAAATTGTCACCTAATGCCATTGTTTTATTCTGTAACCTATAGATTTACTTTGTAATGATTGATTCTGTAAAATTGAATTATAAGGTTTATTTTTGTTAAAGTTTTTTTTTTGTTTTTTTTTACTACTTTTAGTTTTTTTTGGGTTTTTTTTGGTTTTTTTTTTTTTTTTTTTTTTTTTTTTGTGACAGAGCCTTGTTCTGTCGCCCAGGCTCTGGAGTGCATTGGTGCGGTCTCAACTCATAGCAACCTCCACCTCCTGGGTTCAAGTGATTCTTCTGCCTCAGCCTTCTGAGTAGCTGGTATTACAGGCACCTGCCACCACGCCCAGCTAATTTTTGTACTTTTAGTAGAGACAGGGTTTCACCATGTTGCCAGGCTAGTCTCAAACTTGTGACCTTGGCCTCCCTAAATGCTGGGATTACAGGTGTGAGCCACTGCGCCTGGCCTTAATTTTCATTTTCAATGAAAGTTTTGTTAAGTTTAATTTTAAAAAAACTTGATGATTCAAGGTTTCATTACACAAACTCAGGTAAAGTTACTGGATGAATGAATTCTTTTGTATACCTAATCCTGTAAACAAACCAGTAAAGGAATAGAGTAGCCTCTATATTTAAAATTCTGTCCCCAATATATGAAACTGACATAGTGCCAATGCAAATTAGCTCCCTTGCTGAACATTTTCATTCACACTGTACACACCACAGTGAGCCAGGACATTTCTTTCTCAGTAAGATGTTCAGAACTCTGGCCAACAACTGGCTTGATGTTTGCATTTTCCATGTGACGTAGTGTTTTCCTTGGTTGACTATTATGGCCCCACCCTGATGAGCCAGTTGTAGCAAGCCAAGCCCCAGCTTCTGTACCCAGAAGATATTCCACCTCTTGCTCAACAAAGCAGCCTTGGGTGTTTATGACACCTGAGGTAATGGTTCACAATCGGGATTCTTTCAAAAAGTACTCTCAGATTGATACTCTCTGTGTTTCCACATATGTCCCCTCCATGCTTTCAGAGAGGAGTCATGCATCCTAGAATCAGCCATGTATTGTGTCAAATGGCAAGAGGTATTTCCTGGAACATTTCTTAATTGTGTTGCTCTTTTTATTGAAATTGTGCTAAAATATAAATTCAGCACACAGGAAAAGAAACCTGTCCGTGGCCCATTAGAAGTTTCCAAATCGCCTCTTATTTGAAAGTGATGAACTATTTTTGTTAGATTTGTTGTTTTTTAATTTCTCAAATTTATTTCCTGAAGAAGAAATACAGTGTTTCCTAGGGTTTTGTTGTCGTTGTTATTTTTAAAAATAATTTATTTCATTTTTTAAGTCCAGATCTGTAGAAAATATAAAGTTTCTTTTTTCTCTGGGAGCTCTCATCTTGAAGAATTATTTGAAATGTATGATTATTAGCCTAAGAAAGCTGAAAATCAAATAAATTATGTTTTGATCTTCACAATTAGCAGTGTTTTTACAATATAATTTTTCATATTTTCTCTAAATTGTACATTCATATCATTGATGTAAGCAAAGTATTTTATGTTATAAAATTTTTTAAATTTCTAGAAAGATAAATAAGACGTGAATTTCAACCAATAGTGTCAACAATTATTTAAATACATTTTAGACACAGAATGGCAGAGTATTTAGAAGTGTATTGAATTTGATTACTTTCTAAAACGTGTGAGATCAGAGTAAGTCTTAATATCTATCCAGTTGACTTAATTCATGCTTTAATATTTTTCTGCTTGGTTTGTTTTGAAGATAGAAAAAAGCATTTTGTATTACATTTTCTGTAATCAATATAACTTACATCTGGCAATTTTCTAAGGAGTGTAAATTTGTTTGAAATACAAAATAAGTTGCCTAGAGAATCAGCTTATTTATTTTTCCAAAGTACTTTTAAAAAATTGGAATCTAAGCATTTATTTATAGTCAATGACTTCTAGTGAATAGAGGCTAAGAAATAATGAAAAAAAGGTTTAAACATAAGAACTGAAGGATAAAAGCTAATTCAAGAACTGAAAGAATTTCAGAGACTATATTAAAGAAAATTATGAAAAAGAGTTCAAGAATAATCAACCCTGAGAAAAGATCATAAATGGACAAAAACCAGGCACACACAATGCCTTTGCATTGCATTCATTTCATTATAAAGACAATGAGTAAGTTGAACTGTCTCATTATTTCATCACTTAGCTTTGTCTCAACTGTCAGGTATGAAAAATTACTGAGAAGAATAAAAGTTTTGAAAAGGAAAAAAATTTGAAAAGTATGAACACACTATGAGTGCTAACTCCAGAATAGCTGGTTTTTCAAGAATTATACAGGAAACTGAGTAATGATGTAGTAGTTAGAAGCAAAAGTGTAGTTCTGAGGTTCTCACACACTCCCAAAATGGAGAAACAAAGGGGATACTTGTAGTTCTATGGGATTATACATATAGGAGTTCATGGGTGATTTTTCAGCACTAAAATGTAGCTGTATATGGGTTCATAGACACTGAAGTCCTCATATTTTGGCCTCTATTTGATTTTATTATAAATCCAAAATTTTGCCTTCCAGGTAGAATTTTGGATAATTTTATGCCTCCAAATGTCAAAGGCAAGCTGGGCATCATGATCTGGCATAAAGAACCCTTCACTCAAAGAAGGTAAAAGATCTAGATTCAAGTGGCAACGTCTTTATTTAGCAATCACTGGCTTTAGCTAAATCCAAAATTCACTGGGCTTCAGTTTGAAATATGTACAATGGGCCAAGTGTGGTGGCTCACACTTGGAATCCCAGTACTTTGGGAGGACAAGGGGGAAGGATCATCTGAGCCTAGGAGTTCAAGACCCACGTGAGCCACATAACAAGATCTCTTCTCTATAAAAAACTAAACATATGCCTGGTGTGGGTAACATGTGCTTGTGGTGAACTATGATCACACCACTGCACTACAGCCTGGGCAACAGAGTGAGACACACAGTGTGTGTTTGTGTGTGTGTGTGTGTGTAATGATCATGTCACCTTCCCACAATACAATTATGAAGATGAAATAAATATACATGGAAGAGTTTTATAAGCACTAAAGTGTTAAACCAATGGGAAGTTTCACTCTTGACTGTTGTAGCAGATAGGATTTCACTTCTTTCTCTTTTATTTAAAATACTTTGTAATTACATATTTGAGAGGAAAATGCTAGGCACTTATCAATGTCTTTGGCCTCAGAGTGGTTTTGTACCAGATCAAGAATCAAGCAGTCAGAAGACAAAGTTCCATGTGGTCAGTTACATACTTTAGTGGCACCATGACCTAAATGTCGGCATGAAGACAAATTTATCTATCTATACTCAAAGATAAACACACACCTATAAATACATGTATTTTATTCAACTAAGAAAGTAGGTTGAAACCCTCCATTTGATATGTCTTATATAGTGAATTATTACTAAATTTTTACTAGTTCTAATTAGTACATTTTTGGCACTGCATTTTCAATATAAAATGGCCTTAAATTGAATAGTGATTGTAATTAGATTTATCTTTCTGAATCAAAATTTGCTTTATTATTGTTAGAAAAATCTCTACAGTAATGCTCAGCAAAGTGCCAATGAGGCTTCTATGCAAGAATCAGAGTAGAAGGAACATATTGTCATAACTGTTGTCTCCTTGATTCAGGTCCAGTAGCAGAGTCTATTACTTCCATGTGTTTAAACATTTTTTTCCAAATTTAATACTGCAAATTATCACTTGGCCAAAAATATTGAGAAAACATAATTTACTTCTTCCACGAACCTTGACATTGAATGAATGCTAAATGCACACCATGCATACACATTCACATATATTTGTCTGTACTATAGCAGAACAATACCAATTCAGTTTTGTAATTTAAATGGCCAAACCTTGTTACAGTAGGTAAAACATTTATGCTCCCGAAGAGTGTAAAAATCTTAGACAATGAGAGTTACTTAAATCCTGAAAGTTGCCAGGGATAGTCATAGGGCCGCTGGTCTTTTCAGAGAAGTTCAAGCTTGCCTGAAAGATCTCAGTATGTGGCAGAGTGTACACTAGAGGGTGGGATCTGTTGAGCTTCATTCTTAATCCACAAAGAATCAGCTAGTCAGTCAACCATAAATAAACACAATGACATCATTACCTTGCCTCTTGCCACCTGGGCGTAATGCCCTGCAAAGTTTTATGTTTCAGAGTTTCAGAGTCATGGGCACAAGAACACTGTTGATTGATTAGAAATATTAGCAATAGCCAATGCATTAAAGAAACAAAGAGTGTTAATTCAGTTTTACCAGGATGGATTGAATTCTCTCCTTACTCATTTGACTTCAAGTAGCTCTGCACTGGCCTCTCGTAAAGTATTTACTCAGGAACTTATCCAAGTCAGTGAGGTATTAACAATGCTTTTATCTTTGATTCTCTTACTTAGCTTCATCCTTAATATGTTCTTACCCCCAACAACCCTACCACCTCCAACCGGTTTTTAAAATTATACCCAAGTAATATTTATTGTTCCTTACAATGAGATCATTATAAATTCCATTTTGTTCACTTTGAATTTTGTTTGTTAAGGACATACTCGCAACATGTTATTAAACAAGAAAGCCATTCTTCATTATTGTCATCATATTATCAGCAGTGAAGGATTTCATTTTAAGATGAAGAAAGGGGGAAAAAGAATGTTAGAATGCAGATACTGAAACTAGAATTGATTTCACAGATATTAATCTTCTGTATCTGTTGCTCAATCATGGGACTTGTGTTGAAATATGGAACAGGTCAGTATCGGCTCAGCTTTATTCTGCTCAAGTTCTCCTTGCACATATCCTTTTGGGCTACTGTAAGAGAAATATTACCAACTTTCCAATGCTGAAAAGTAAAAAAGATTGCCCTCTCTATTTATTATTAAAGAACTCCTTGGACACATAAGCTCATTCTAATATAGAGGCACCTCATCACTCATTATTAATTTAACAAGCATTTGTTAAGTGCCTATTATGAGCCAGGCACTGTGCTAGGAAATGGGACCAATAAGAAACAAATGAATTTATAGTCTGTTGGGGATACACACATTAAACTCCTAATTACACGGACTTAATCACACAAATAACTATATATTCACATTAAATTCACTAAGGAAAACTTCAGTGTAATTCCTCTTAAGTCATAGTTATACGTTCATTTTTCCCCCTAATTCTGAATGGGAATGCATGAATAACAATTAATTTAAATACCTATTATATATTGAGCATGGCTCTATGTGGTAGGTAGACATGTCATTTGAAGTCATAAGCAAACTAGCCTTAGTTCAGATATGTCATTTAATTCACTTTGCCTTTAGGGAAGAAAGTCTAAAATTCTGTGAGTTTCAGTTCTTGTTTATCATCAGAAAAATGGAAATGGTAATAATTTCCAACATGATAGTTCTGAGGTTCAAAGAGGCATTAAAAACACGTCAGATGCTCTAATGAAGTTTCTAAGAATATGGAAGCATTAAATATTAATATAAATAAGAATAAGGTTACTCAAAAAACTGAATGAGAAAGTTAAGAAATATATCATGTGAGTTGCAACTGGGCTTTCATAAATGCAAAAATTTATAGAAAAATGAGAGGACCATATTTACTGGGAACAGGATGAGCAATTGTGCATAAATGAGAGTCAAGAGCATTTTGAAAATTGTAGAGAAACTGGTTTCATTAGGCTGAGGATATATGTGAAGCTGAGGGTACAGAATGGGAAGGGAAAAGACAAGTCATCACCATTTTAGCCTTAACTGCAAATTGAAAAGGAAGAAAGAAATTAAATATGCTGTCTTCCCATTTTTAGTTCTGTTTAGATACTAAGACACGTGAAGAAACTTTTATTTGTACTTTATGAATTTTGTGTTCTGTGTTCTTAGAAATGATGGAAATAGTTACTCCCTGTACCTGGAAAACATGATTTCATTTGAAAATAGGTACAGAGCTAGGAAAACAGGCTCCTAAAGAACATGGTGTTTGCTTAAACTGACAAATTAGAAGTAGGAAAGATTTTATTGTTTTGCTATACATATTTTTATGTACATTTTCAGCATTGATAGAATACATGCACACACATACATACATCCAGTTTTAGGTAGAACCATAATTCTGAAATCATAATTCCCTTTATACCAGTGCAATGGATATATGTGAAAGAGAATCATTATTTCAGGCAGCAAAAAAATAATAAGACAAGATCAACTATTAGGAGAGAAAGAAGATTTTAATATTGATTTAAATTGGAGGATATTGATTAATGTTCTCAGTAATATGTGAAAAGAAAGAAAAGCAAGGTGCCAGTCTTCATAGAAAGAATACATTATATTTTAATGGAACAATGTCTTCCTGATTTCTTAAAATGAATGTTTTTGATTTAGATTTTGTTTTTCTCTTGAAGAAAATATAAATGTAATATTGCATACCGATCTGCCAAGGCTTAGGGCAATTTCGTTCTATTGTCTAAAACCTGAATCAAACCTTCTTTTGGAGCCATCAATGACATATATATTGGTTAGAGTTATAACCAAAAAGTGATTTGAATTAATACCTTCGGTAAATACACTATTGACTTAAGTGTAGATTATAAGAACTCCGCTGAACATAAATCTCAGTTTCCAGATGAGAAATGGTCCTTTTCCTAAGCGTAAAAAAATGGACATTCCCAAGTACTCTCTGTCTCTATATACTTTATGTCTCTATGGACCTTCTAGAACTTTGAGGTAGATTGCAACCTTTAATTGGACACTCCTCATCTTCTCTGACTACAAATGGACCTCCAAACTAAGCAGTAAACTGGTAGAGACTGGAGAAATCTTCAAAACCAGTCACGAAATTTCCAACTGAACATAATTTTAATAAGTTCTCCTCTCAAATTTGCTACCTTTGGGGGGCTATCTAGTTGAATGTACATTTTATGGAAGGTCATAAAAATTCAGATCTAATCTTTATTTTGTTTCTGATTCTCAGTAGCCATAGTTATTCAAAGAAGCACACCTTATTCAAAGTCCATCAATCTAGCCCAAATGGTATTTTACATTATGTTATGATTGAGCTGGGCTTTAAAAAGTACCTGGCAGTCAACCATGACAAAATGAGAAATTTATATAATGGGACTTCATAAATAGTGAAGTGCTATACAAATGAAAAGGGCTATGTTCAGCGTTAACAAAAATGAAAGACTCACAAAAAGATCACATTCATGGTTGTACATTGTCATAAAATAAACTATGGTTGCCTAACTTCATGATATTTCATATAGAATAGGTATAAATGAAACAAAATGAGGATTTATGAGCATTATAAAAAGATAGGCCTTATTTATATTTTCAAATTTTGTCATGTTATAGTTGATTATGACAAGTAGTTACATGATTCACCACTTTTGCAAAAACATCACATGCATAAAGAATTAAGCCAATTACTTTTAGTGCTGGAATAGTCGTGAGGTGGTATTTATGCTGATAGTAAGATTTTTTTTTTAGATTAAGTCAGTACCAACAAAAGACTTTATTCTGTGTCTGTTGCTACCCAATGGAAGTAATGTACTTACTTTTTATGTTCTTTCGAAATTCCATTTTAACCATAGTTCACTGCTTAGATTACAGAATAATGTTTTTTAGGAATACCAGGAAGAAAATATAGACAATTTATTTTAGATAAAACTTTACGGATTTGAAATCTTTTCAGATAATAAAACTGGAGATTCCAAGTAAGACAGTGAGTGGATGTCATTTCTGAAAGAATGTTGTCGACTTCCATTATTTTGTCTAAGAAGTATTCCTCCCTGATGTTAAGAACAGCCTTATCTTCTTCTAGGTAAAACAAATCACGTGGTTCTATTGAGGTCTTCCCATCACAATCATCAACTCTATGTCCTCAGTGGATTGTTTTAGGTATAGACCACTGACTCAAGCTAGATCAATCAATACACATGCACAGGATTTTTACTTTAATTTTCTCAAACAGGGGAAGAAACAATGCTTGCCTCATAAAGAAGCTGCGAGATGTAAGGATAAGAATGTTGGCTGTCATGTTGCTACCATGATGAGAAAAACTAGTCTGATAAATGCAGAGATAAGAGAAAGAAAAAGAAACTTCTAGCAAGATTCAAATTCCTGGTTCCAAAAGAGTCTGAGAGCCAAGTCTAAATGTGGAGTTACAAAATATACTCCAGTAATTTTCCAGTACATTTCCCCCTTTCTGACTAAATTTGTTGCAATTCAGCTTCTATGCTAGTAACCCTGACTAATCTGGGGAATTTATATTTAAAAATACAAATCAATAATACTACTGTGAAAGGAAAATCTTGGGGCCCCCAAATTACTAAGCTAAGGGAAAAGTCAAGCTGGGAACTGCTCAGGACAAACCTTCCTCCCATTCTATTCAAGTCATCTGCTCTCTGAGATAGTTGTGTATTCTGATTGCCTCCTTTGGAAAGGCTTATCAGAAACTCGAAGAATGCAACCATTTGTTTTTCACCTACCTGTGACCTGGAAGCCCCCCTCCCTGCTTTGAGTTGTCCCCACCTTTCTGGAAGGACCCAATGCAGTTCTTACATACATTGATTGATGTCTCATGTCTCCCTAAAATGTATAAAACCAAGCTGTGCCCTGACCACCTTGGGCACATGTCATCAGGACCTCCTGAGGCTGTGTCATGGACGCACATCCTTAACTTTGGCAAATAAACCTAAAATGATTGAGACTTGTCTCCTCATTTTTCTCGATTGACACCATAGATCTTATTTATATTAAGGAACGATTAATCAGTAAAATTGAGACATGCTGGTTGTAAAGTTGCCCTTGCTTACAGGGCACTTTTCCCGGGAGAGTTGCTGAGGACCCTGCGTTGCTTACCTTGCCAAGCTCTCCGGAGCCCATTTTGAACCTATTTCTCTACCCTGTCCTTCAGTAAAGCCTACTTGCTATATAGCCCAGCCCATTGTGAGAGCTCAATAAATGTCAGTAATTATCACCATCTGCCCCCTCCCAGCCTTTTACATACATTGTGGAGTCTGGCGCCCTGTCCTCTGCTGTTGACAGCTACTACAGCTGGATTTAGTTGAATTATCTTCTGATGTCCCTGCTCTGTGCCCCTGGTTTCATTGGCCCAGGTAGGATGAGTTATTCCTCCGCAATTTGACTTTCACTCTTAAACACAACACTGATAACGGCGTTTCCAAGGCCCCCTTTTTCACAGGCCTTTGGGGCCCACAATATTAATGGATGCGTGTAATCCCATCACAACATGGCCACGAGGGGCAGATATTAAATTTGGATGCCTTCAAAGGTCTAATCATGACTGCCTTTAATGTTATCAGTCCATTCTGCTTTTTTTTTTCTTTTTTCTTTTTTTTTGAGACGGAGTCTCGCTCTGTCTCCCAGGCTGGAGTGCAGTGGCGGGATCTCAGCTCACTGCAAGCTCCGCCTCCTGGGTTCACGCCATTCTCCTGCCTCAGCCTCCCAAGTAGCTGGGACTACAGGCGCCCGCCACTACGCCCGGCTAATTTTTTGTCTTTTCAGTAGAGACGGGGTTTCACCGTGTTAGCCAGGATGGTCTCCATCTCCCGACCTCGTGATCAGCCCACCTCAGCCTCCCAAAGTGCTGGGATTACAGGCGTGAGCCACTGCGCCTGGCTTTTTTTTTTTTTTTTTTTTTAATTAAAGATATTGGCTATGCTTGTAAGAAGATGAGACACTCTTCTATTTATGATCTGTTGGCTGCAATTACCGCTTAAGGCAAAAGTACTGTTTCAAAATCTGCACTACTTATGAGTAGACTATGGAAATCCTATAAGATGAAGATTAAGCTTTTTTTTTTTTTTTTTTTTTTACATAAGCAACAACAACTTATATCACTAGAATGTAAGTTTTGTGAGGGTAGTAGACTTTTTGTCTTGTTCAGTCACAGAATCCCTAGTGCCTGGAATAGCACTTATTATGTGTGATTGCTAATATTTTTTTTTTTTTGGAGAGCTAACACATAGTTACTGGCTACGGTTGAATCACTTTGCTAAATAATTGAATAAATGTAGAGTATTTTGTGTGTGCACCTACAATGTGCAAAGCCCTGTGAAAAAGATCAGGTATGAATATGAATGAGTAGTAAAGAAACAGTCTAGGAGGGGAGGGATACAATATAAAAACAAGTACACTACAAAGTCAAGTAAAATGACTTAGTATTCAAGATCCAACCAGTGTGCAGTATGCTTTTTAGAGAAGCACCACTCCTTTTTATAAAGATTTGAAATTATACTGTGGAGGACTGGCTTTTGAGATGGGTCTTAAAAATGTGAATAGGATTTCAACAGAGAGAGCTCAAACTCAGAGAAAGCCTTGCCCCAGAAATCAGTTTGAAAGTCTTCTGAGCCTCTGTAAGACCAGTAGAAATAATGTCTCAATAGCTGAAATAACTTTAATTTATTAAGCAACGCAAGATCTTCAAGACAAGTAGTGTAAGCAATTCTAAGTGTCCCCTCCTTTGGGAAAAATGTGGTTTTTCTACCATTTTTTTTTTGAAGTGAAATGAGTAATTTGAAAACACCTCTTTTGTTTTCTTCTTTTTCTAAAGATCTCATATTTCAATTTAAAGCATCTGCCAAGTTAAAGTTGACCTGCCTGTTTAAAAATATACAGGTATTTCAAGAAAAGAAATGGTACTATCTTCCCATTACTTAGCTTCAGGGAGGATTATGCAATCCCCTGACAATCTTTCTCCCCTAATTCCCTACTTCCGGGCAAATTCTAAAGTCATGATTCATCAGACCACAGTTAGATATCCTGAACTCTTGAAACTTCTTCTGCAAAAGCAACTTTGTTTGCAAAATGGGTTCTTCATTAATTTTCCCAGAAACACTTTTTTTCTGTTAGTGACATTCACTATACAATAGTTCTCCTCAATGCAGTACTTATTTTTAACAAAACACTGTCTATAGAGTTTTAAAAACTATCTCATAGTTATATTAAATTTAGTACATTCAAGCTGCATAGAAATGTAACTTAGATGTTTCAGTTTAAAGGAAGTTTAGGAAACACTGTATTTTAAGAAGTCCATGAGGCAGTTCTGATCTGCATTTCATTTCCATATTGCAAATATCAAATACTATGAAAATATTTGCCTAACCCATCATTTCTAATCCCAGTGAGTTTTTGGTGCTCCCCCTTCACCCAACTAAGCCTTATTCTCTTTACATTTAGAACACTTTAAGCAAATTTACCTGTGTCCATAAGCAAATAAGTCTCAGCTCCAGGCAGCTGACTTCTTGTTCACCCAGATGGAAATAAAACTACAATGTGCATATTATAAGCACCTGCCACAGCCTCTTTAAAAATGCCAAACCTTAACCAGGCAACAGGATACAGTTTCAAATAGGAAAAGGAGTTTTTGATGGAGCCTAAGAATCTTTAATTCTCTGGATTGACCACTGTAAACCCATTAGCTGAATTTAAATTTCTTGGAGTTCTTCTGAATCTGGCTATTACATGTGGAATTTAGAATTGTTTCTTTTTCACATTTTGCTTATTTTTAGTCTCTCCAAAGGACTCCTGGTTATGTATCAGATTTAGGGAAAATGTTAGAATTTGCATGTTTGGCTTTGAGCTTAAAGATGATCATAGTTATGTAAAGTGTGCAGGTTATCCCCCTTCTTATGTTATATTTTTACCCTTTTTTATGGCAGTTTTGTGGCCTTCCATAATTGTATAGATATATAAAAAATACAAATACTTGAAAAGTTAAGAGGATGATTTTTGTATACTAACTAGCTACACAAGTGTCACTTCTAATATTTCTGTACAATTACGACATTGCAAGACATTTTATTTTAAATTATTTGGTTATTAAAATTTGTCTTATATCCCTTGCTATCATTATGCATGTAGAAAAAAAAAGATGTGTTGTTGCAAAATTTAAGCATTGTTACCTTTAAACTATGGTTAGTGCAAAATAGGTGTCTTTTCACTTCAACTGTAACCAATTCTGCATGTTCTTGGAGGTGCACATCAAGGGACTTTTTGGTGATCTTTAGATTTGTAGGTGCACTGCTGCTTCATGAAAGAGACATTCTGGCCCATCCATTGCCTCCCTTAAGTCTACACGAGTGTGTAGACCCAACTCTACACAGATCGGGTGGCTTAATTAACAGAAATTTATTTCCTCACAGTTCTGGAAGCTACAAGTCCATTATCAGGGAGTTAGCAGTGTTGGTTCCTTTTGAGGCCATGCGGGAAATATCTGCCCCAGGCCTCTCTCCTTGGCTGTGGATGGCTGTCTTCTCCCTATGTCTTCACATCATCTTCCCTTCGAAAATTCTTGTCAGTGCTGTTTCTTAGTCTCTGCCCCTCAGCATTACTGTATTTGTCCCACTAGAGGACTAGGGGTTCATCTCTTTCTTCCTATTAAATCTTCAACCAGGAAAGGAAGATATGAGGAGATCCTCAGTGCAAGGAATGGCCCTCATCTCAAAGGCTAGTAACTCTTTCCTTGTACTGGTTCACCTGTTCTCCCAAATATTCTGGAAGCTTATTTCATCAACTATGCTGTTTTTTGTTAGTTTGTTTGTTTCCTGTGGCTTCACTCTTCTTCTATAGCTCCTCATGGTCTACCTGAGAACACGTTCAGATTTCCCAATGCTACCTCACAATTAATATCTTGTTACTCTCTTTCGGTTTTCCACCATTTAGTGAAAGCGTGTATGTCTAAGAGTTGCCTACACTTAACTCCATATCCTCAGCTCCTATGGTCTTCTCAAACCAATTTCTCTCCACTGTGTTTCCAAAACCCCTTATCCTTAAGGCCACCACCTCTTTCTTAATTTCCAAGTACAAGAGCCATTTCTAAATGACTTCCTTTTGGAGCCTCTTTCTAAGTGACCATTTTGTATCCTTTTGCAATGTTTTTCACAGCTTTCTTCCTGACACTTTCACCTGCAGTTGCGTCATCAGGATTACATTATCTTGGCTTGCTTTCTGCCCCTCTTAATTATCTTATTCTGTGTGTTTTTTATTTTAATAGTTGCTGCCAAATGACTTTCAAACCAACAAGCAAACAAGCACCAGCAATATATGAGTGTATCCTTTTCTAATACCATTTATTGCTGGTAAAGGTGTTACAGAAAATTTGAGGTCATCACCACCCTGATGGGTATATATCCATATACTGTCATTTCTTTAAACAGTATTTCCCTCACCAGTGTAAATTTGAACAACTTTTACTGTTTGTTTGGCAATTTGGATTTGCATATCTGCTGACTCGGAGGCATTTGACTGTACTCAGGTTTCATCCATTTTTGTTGTTTGGATTGCTTGCTTTACAATTGATAAGAGCTCCTGGTACACTGTAGATAGTAACACTTTGTTAGTGCATGTAAGGAAATATGAAGTTTTTGTAAGAATCTACTGATTTTGCTTATTTTTTCCACTTGAGGATTTTTATTTGCCTATATTAAAAACACCTCTCATTTCTTTTATAATAACAGGTTTTAAGCCACAGATTAGTCTCCCACCACAGAGATTATAAATGTTATTCTCAGAATAGATTATCCTGAATAGTGATCTTTTGCAAGTTACTTTTAACAAAGTATAACCATATTTGACTTGTAAATGAGAAAATGAGATTTAGGATTTATCAAGTTTCTCTTTGAAAGAAAATTTCATTTTTCTATTGGATAATAATCTATTTATGATAAAGTTAACCAAAATCACCCCAACCAATGCAAAGCAAACATTTATTGTGGCTTGGTCTGGAAAACTTTCATTACAAATTTAGCTACAAGATATTTACAGAATATCTTGTAAAGTTTATTGTTTGTTTTATATATTTACTCCCATTTTAATTCCAGATCCATCCAGATCCATGTTTTTTTATTTTTTAAGATAGTATAAAGATCCAGTTTTTGTTTAACTATGCTAGTTTAAAGAATTGTTTTAAATCACTTTTTAAACCTATTGAGTTAAAATAGAAATTGAAAAAAAGTCATTATTAAATTTAAGGATATTAATCTTTGGTTCGTGTCATAAATCCATGGAGTTGGCAATGATTATGTGAAGACTTGCTGTATTTTTTGTGTTCTGATTACATAAGAATTTTTGAATTATTATATTAGAAATTATATGGTCCTGGTATATCTTAGAAAGTATATAATCAAATGAAGTTCCTTTTTTTCATAATAGACTCTAGTTTTTAGAGAAATTTTAGGTTTACAGAAAAATTGAGCAGAAAGTACAGAGAATTCTCATATACTCAATTTCCCGCTGCTCTTAGTTTCCCCTGTTACTAATATTTTGGATTGATGTGGTCCATTTGTTATATTGGTGAACCAATATTGATACATTATTATTAGCTAATTGCCATAGTTTACATTAGGGCCTACTCTTCATGTTATACATTTCTATGTGTTTTGCCAAATCCATAATGTATGCATACACCATTACAGTATCATACAGAATAGTTTCACTTCCCTAAAAATCTCTTTTTTTTTTTTTTTTTTTTGAGACATAGTCTCGCTCTGTTGCCTAGGCTGGAATACAATGGGGCAATCTTGGCTCACTTTAACCTCTGCTTCCCAGGTTCAAGTGATTCTCCTGCCTCAGCCTTCTGAGTAGCTGGGACCACAGGCGTGCACCACCACGCCCAGCTAATTTTTTTTTGTATTTTAGTAGATGGGGTTTCATCATGTTGGTCAGGCTGGTCTTGAACTCCTGACCTGATGATCCGCCGCCTCGGCCTCCCAAAGTGCTGGGATTACAGGTGTGAGCCACCATGCCCAGCCCACTTCCCTAAAAGTCTCTTATTTATTACTCCTCCCTGCCACCAACTCCTGGCAACCATTGATCTTTTTACTTTCTCTATAGTTTGCCTTCTCCAGAATGCATCTCATTGGAATGAAACAGACATAGCCTTTTCATACTGTCTTCCTTTACTTAGCGATACTCATTTATGATTCCTTCATTTCTTTTCCTGGTTTAAAAGCATTTCTTTTTATCATTGAGTAATAGTCCATTACATAAACGTACTATAGTCCATGTATTCACTTACCTCTTGAAAAATATCTCAGCTGCTTCCAATTTCTGGTAATTATGAATAAACTGCTATAAGCATACATGTGCAGGTTTTTGTGTAAACATGTTTCCTAACTCATTTGGGTAAATATCTAGGAGCACAATTGCTGGATTGCATTGTAAGACTCTGTTTATCTTTGTAAGAAACTGCCAGACTATTTTAAAACAGCTGGAACCTAGAAAGCAGAGTTTGACCTTTTGACCTTAACACATATCTTCATTTTCCTTCTGCAAAACTTCTTGAAAATTATTGAAGTAAAATTTGTTATTATAGCGAATGTGACAAGGTCTTATTCTCTTACTTTCGAATAATATAGAGAGGGATATGGATACTATACTCAGGGATTAAACAAAATAACTTGTGCAATACAAAATTACTAATCCTAGCATGATCCTGATGTTGGAAGTATACTAGTTGAATCACCAAGTCATTCGCTGACTTTTCCTAAGTCACACAGTAATAGATACTAAGCCACCACCAAATTTGAGTTTTTATCTTCTCTAAGATTTTCCACCCACAAAAGGAAATATAGAGAGGCAGGGAGGTAAGATCTTTTTCCCTAAGTGAAGTCCAACAAAGGTACCTCCCTTTGGCTCTAGCTACCCACATGACTACTTCATTAACCTGAAAGAGTAAAATTTGAAAAAAAATTCTGTCTTTAATTCATGTGAATAACTGAGGAATAATAATAATAATAATCTCAATAACTCAGTGTGTGTGTGATAATTATTTGCCATGTTTAGAGGCAAAGGGAAAACATTTAGAATGTTAGCCCTCAAAATGCTTTGACCTGGGGACACATGAGAAACACACACTAAAATAATGATTTTTGTTGGCTGTGGATAGGGGGTATGAGGAAGCTGTGGGGAGATTTTGGAATATCTGTGAAATGCTGTTCTTGATCATTCAGAATATACTCTTTCTTCCATATAACAAGTAATGCTTAGATAGAGTTAAATGTAAAGGATGAGGGGACAGCTTACTAAGATCAGATATTTTGCAAGAGTCTTATGCACAATGAGATGTATGTGAGAGACTCCATATTTCCTCTCCTTGTTTTGTTTTGTTTCCTCTTCACTATCAGATTCTAAACCAAATGAGTGAAAATAAACATGCTGTGAAAAACGTAACATATAGAGATTGATTTTAACTGTCTTTTTTCTTTCCTTCTCTTTCTTTATTTTCTCTGTTTGTAAAGTAAGTGGAGCCGATGAATCATCATCTTCTAGAAACAGCAAGAGTGGTGAGTCATTTCTCTGGAGTATGTGGCATTTCACCCACAGAAAGCATTTAACCCATGATTATCCCCTCACTGTTAATGATAACATATTTTACTTGTTCTTTTATTTCCATAAATCTACTCGACATTATTATTATGCGGAGAAAAAGATTCTGACAGATTATTCACAGCAATATACCTACATGATTAGTGGCTTTCTTTTTGTGTTATGTTTGGGAGTTTCACTTGCCTTTAGTGTTACAGCTGGAAGTTAATTTTGGAAAAACATTCTTTTCACTTTTTTTTTCTTAATTCTGCTACAATTATCATATTTATTGTTGCTATTTTAGGTTTGCCTATGTATTACAAATCCAAACATATAAAATAATTCCATTCAGTTTATGGCACTGGTAATAGCAGCAACAAAGCAAAATGAGACTATACATGTTTTCTAGGTTGTTATATTTTATAAAAAGTAAGTGGAATTTTTTCTTCATTTCACAAGAGCATCACTGTGCAGGAATGTTCCAATAGTTCCATTACCAGAGTTAGGAATACAAACGCAAATTAAAGAAAAAAAGAAAACCAGATTTTGTATAATCATCTTATTCCTTCTCACCTGATGACATAAATATGGTATTAGAAAGTTAGTCTACATCTGTCAAGATCAATTTGCAATAATATCAATTAACTTAACTTGTTAGCAGGTAACTAATTAATTTTCAACTTACACATATGATAGTAAAAACATATATTGACATTTTCTTAAATATTTAGATTAGATGATCATCCTACTTCAGGATATGTTGACTTCATTGATATTGGCATCGAGCACTTAGAATGTATTATAAAATACTGCCAATCTTTAGAAAGTATTTTCATTAACTTCCTAAACTTCATGTTTTTTATGTGAAATATCTATGAGGAAAAGAGGAAAAAGAACAAACCACTAAATGCAGCATAAATTGAGCCATAATGCTGTGAGATTTTACACCTGTGCACTTTAATGGAAACATCATATAATACTTTGTAGGGTTTAAAGAAGAATGAAAATGAACCACTATGGAAGTTACCAGAACCAATTTTCCTCCATTGGGTGGGAAATTTCTTATGGAATGTGTTCTGTAATAGTTGCTGCTCCATTAATCCTTTCATTTTATAGGTCTAGTTCCTTGTTTTGGTGTTCAACTAGTCTACAATGTCAAAGATGTGTATCAAAATGTATATATAACTGATCTATATTACAGTTTATATATATAGTTCTATGTAACTGACTCTATTTAAAAGAATTAATGTAGATAGGCCTTCTGATGTCAATGCTTTTATTGAATGTCATAATGATCAAATTTTTGGCATTACCTTTGTTCAAAATTTTGAGCCAATCTGGAACTTTATTACTTCTATATTTCTTATTTATAACAACAAGCTATATCTAGGAACAAAAGTCGTTTATTTTTTAAGGCAAGAAAAATATAAATAGAAAATTATTCGGCACTGTGTAATGTTAAAATTTACAAATATATGTTATTTCTCCATTGTCACAAGAATTCTAGTGGGTAGACAACTTAGATAATGCTCCTATATACAAAAGTAAAAACAGCTAGGCATGGTGGCTCACGCCTGTGATTCCAACTCTTAGGGAGACAGAGGCAGGAGGATAGCCTGAGCCCAGGAGTTTGAGACCTGCCTGGGCAATATAACGAGACCCCATTCTCCACAAAAAGCGGGGGAAAAAGACAACAAAACAAAAGTAAAAACAGGTTCAGAAAAATTAAGTATGTCCCTAAAGTCACAGAATAATAAGTGATGGAGGTGGAATTCAAATGTAATATTTTGTTTGTTGGTTTGTTTAGTTTTGAAGGTAACATACTTTTTAGTCTACAACCTATTTAACTACAAAAGTGTGCCAATCACTGGTATTAGGATTGGGGCAGATGTATACTCTGAAAATAAAAGTGCAAAATAAATATCCCATCTGGAAATAAAAGTGCAAAATAAAGAGGGAGGAAAAATCAGCCCTTCCATTTCTTTTCCTTTGTAATGCCAGTTGAATTGGTTTAGTGAGTAGTTTTGCAAGACTTGTTTCACTTTGTTTTTGGACATAGCTGAGCCATGTACTTCAAACAGAAGGCAGCCAATTACTAACTTCTGGTTGCTAGGTGTGGCTTCCTTTAAAATCCTATAAAATCAGAAGCCCAAGTCTCCACTGCCAGTGTGAAATCTTCAGAGAAGAATTTCTCTTTAGTTCTTTGCAAGAAGGTAGAGATAAAGGTAAGTCTTGGTTTTCCTTTTAGTTAGTTTTGGTTGTTTTGAAAACTTTTCTCATCACTATGTTAAATGTTACTGCTTCTACAGGATTTATGGTTAGTTGCATTTAACATGATAAGTCATTCATAAATCTTTCTGTAGAATTACATTGGATATTTATATTTTAGGAATCACAAATTACAATATTTTTGTTCTACTTAGTTAACAAATACAAGTAAAAATAAGATAAGTTTGCTTAATACTGGCTCATTGTACTCTTGGTAAGTTACCATGAGAAAGAAGGGAAGAATGTGCTTTCCCTCTGGTAGCCTTAAAAGAATGTGTTTTTCCTTTCCTTCCCCTTGAAATATTTCTTCCCAAGAGCTGTGTGTTTTACAGAGAAATCGTGATGGGGGCTGCTTTTTGGGGGCAAGAACAAAAGTGATAGGAGTGGGCTGCAGGGAACTGTTTCAAAATAGTAGGACTTTCATAATTTATTTTCTTCTTTTGTAAGGAAAACAAGATAGATTCAGACCTCAAAGTGCTAATCATGCTCTTTGTAATAAACATTTAAAAATATATGTTATATTTGCTTATGCTATTTAAAATAAGAAGGTCCGCTTATTACTTTTTTCATTTAAAGAGGGTGTGGCCACATTCCTTTTCTTGTAGGCTCTGTGTCATATACAGTCTTTTCAAGTGCTGGCTGGAAAACCTAAAAAGAAGGGAAATACTTTCTGGGTAGTGTCAGATACATTATCCTAGGGGAATGTCAGTGAGGCCCTCCAACAGCTATTCCACTTGATTGTTGCATGAGCTAATGGCCATAAAACTCCTTAGAAAAGCACAAAGCAAAACTAAAGAAGAGTATTTACTAGTGTTGGATATATTTGTAAAAGTGAGATTACAAATCATGTATCTGGCTATTTTTTTCTTAAACATGTTCCTTCAAGAATTTTTCTGTTCGTTCATTTTAAATATTTATTAAATGTTCTGATTTCTTATGTTCACTGCTAGCTAATTAACAAGGATGGAATTTTTCTTGCCTTGGTTATATCTAAAAGATTGTAAAAACTTTGAGAAAGCAATGTTGCCCTCTTTCCACAGGAGTATTTTGGTAGCTGTAAGAGAATGCACATTGCAAATGACTCAAATGTGGTAAAATGTTGGTTTCATAATTCTGAAATGGCCTCTTCCCCAAAAGTGACAGTAACACCCTAGCTCCAGGCTCAACCACATCCAGCACATAGCCAACATTTAACAGATGTTGACAAAATAGTTAATAATAATATTATTAAGGAACCAGCCAGAGTTTCATGCTTATTAAATACTTTTTCAACCAGAAGGTCTGCAAAGGTTGATTTCTGAATATGACGTTAGCTCTCTCTAGACCTATTAATTTACGACATTTCAAATCAGAGGTAAACCAGCAGACCTATTATTTTTCAATGATAAACTATAAACAGTTTTTTGAAGTCAACTATTTCCTTTTCCTTTAAAATTGGACAGAATTTCATCAGGAAGCTCAGAACAATCCAATTTATATAATGCCTTCCTTCATTATGCTAATTTTCTTCATCTTCATCTACTTGAAGTAATATTTAAGATTGGCACTTCAGAGCTGTAAATGGATCTTAGATGATAATTACTTCAACATTCTTATTTTATAAACGAAGACCCTCTGGAGAAGCTAAATGTTTTTCTTGAGGTCAGATCGCCAGATAATCAAGAACCAGTATACTTCAATTTGTATTTTATATCCTATAGTTGTGGGTAGAAAATGTTCATTAAATTAGTGTAGATATGTTTTTTAAAATATTAGCAATGATACATGATATTCATTCAATAATACTTATTAACATCCTAAATTCCAGGCATTTTGCTAGGGATTGGAAGTACATACATAATGAATATTATTATTTGTATGTTAGCACGGGCCTCATGGCCTGCTCCTGGGGAATATAAACAAGCCAATGGAAAGTGATAATACAGAAAGGTGGGGCTGGTGTAGGGGTGAAGTCAGGATGCTTTGGGAGAGCATGGAAGGTCACCGAATCCAGTGCTGAGGAACTAATGAAGGGTTTCTGAAGAACGTGATGAGATCAATGCTGATGAGTCACTTAGAAGTAGCAATTAGTTAGGCAAAGGGAAGTGAATGTGGAGGAGGAACAAGCATTCCAGGCAAGAAGAACACCCTATCGAAAAGCCTGGAAGCAAAACATTAGTGAGGCTACCTTTCATAAATTGCTTTCTGTAAGTCATGCCATTGTGTAGTCTTAATTGCTTTCTCTCACCAGGGAAGGTGTGGGAAGGACTTGTGAAATACATATTCGAGGAAAAACTATGCACAAGGCCGTGCATTTAAAAATAAACTCCCTAAGGCTGGGGTGAAACCTGCTACGGTCTGCGCAAGTTGACTGTTAATGAATTTGATTCTCAGGTGTGAGTGATTAAAAGAACACTGATCATGTCATTTTCTTTTTGGTCACTAATTCCCTCCCTCCCTTCTCTTTCTTTTCTTTTTTCTTTTCTTTTCTTTTTCTTTCTTTCTTCCCGACAGAGTCTTGTTATGTCGCCCAGGATGGAGTGTAGTGGTACAATCTCGGCTCACTGCAGCCTCCGCCTCTTCCTGGGTTCAAGTGATTCTCCTGCCTCAGCCTTCTGAGTAGATGGGACTACAGGTGCACACCACCATGCCTGGCTGATTTTTGTACTTTTGGTAGAGACGGGGTTTCGCCATGCTGGCCAGGCTGGTCTTGAACTCCTGGCCTCAAGTAATCTGCCCACCTTGGCCTCCTAAATTGCTGGGATTGCAGGTGTGAGCCACCATGCACAGCCAAAATATATAACACTTTGGAATCAAAAGGGATGGATTTATGTCTCCATTCTTGCCACTACTAGCAGGAAGACTGCTTGAAAATAGCACTCAGTTTTCCCAGATAGAAACTGAGGATAATGATTAAAGGCTATTATTCCAAGCAAGGGTTAGTCATTGCTGTTACTATCATTGCAAAACTCTGATAGTTCTAGATTGTAACCAGGAAGATACAATCAACCACAAAACTCAGCTTCCTCTGTCACAAATTCTAGATAGAGGTAGCCTTTCATGAGGCTGAGAGATGGAAAAATGAAGCGGGGGGACTCTCTTAGGACACATAAATATGCAAAAAAATTGCTACGCTTTAGAAAGCTATACATTCAAATCATAGATAAGCTGACATTAGTAGGCAGTGCATGTTCACAAAAAGACCATTAATTAGAAGAAATGTGAAATATTGTTAATTTCCTTATAGATTTGCCTATGTATAAATGGCCAATTTCACCGTCAATGAGCTCATGCTAAGTACTGAAATAAACTTAGTTTTAGAGCTTATCTTTGGTTAGTTGAAATCTGTATTGAGTTAGTTGAAATCTATAAGTTGATAGAACAGGCTCTTTAAAATCTATTGCAAGCTTTATACACTACAAACAAAAAGATAGAAAAAAGAAAACCTTTCATGAACTCATTGGCTTAGGCAGGTTTTCATGCAGAGTGTAGGTATTGAAGAGTCAGAACGGCTTAAGGATAGAATTTGGCCAATATATAAAAAAATATATATTTGGTATTTGTTAGTTGTATTATAATTATTCAGAAGTTCAGTTAATACGTGCAGTTGGCTTTGAGCCCTTAACCAGCTGTATGTGATAAAATCTGTTTCCTTTAGAGCAATTTCTTATATCCTGCCTTGATGCTCCTGTCTTTAATCTTTGCTAAGAGCTGGTGGTGAATTTGGCTGAATTCAGATTCCGTTTTTCTCTAATTGATTTCTTGAAGAAAATTCTCTATTGGTTGCTTTTCTTTCCTAGATTATGCTTTTAGTCTATCCAAATACTTCAGGCTAGAATGTAGGAACTTAGAAGATACAAATCACAAAGCTGTCTCCTCTAGGGATGCTCTCTCTTTCAAATAAGTGACTTAAACAACTTATTTTTGTTATCTTGTGTTATGTAATTAATATACCTTTTCCTGGGCTTTCTCTGGCTTTTTTTTTAAATGGACATTATTCAAGTATTTTTTAGAAGTAAAAAAAAAACAGTACAGTAAAGTTTTTATAACGTTTATTTTGAAGTTGTCAGAGACACCTTTAATATTAGACTGGACAATATCTTTAGTCTTTCTTTTGCTTTCTTTTGAAGTTTTTATTTGCTAATTGAAAAGAATGGAATAATAATAATAATAATAATAAATAAATAATAATAATAAATAATATAAATAAATAAATAAATAAATAAAATAAATAAATAATAAAAACATGTTTTTATAAGTGATGGAGTAGTACTTTGCCAAGTGATGAATTTTAACACTCATTTTGATGATTCTTCCTTATCAAAGCCTTGGATGAAATGATGAAAATGGAAATTTTGAGTGCCTGAAGCTGCTAGAATTGCTTTTAAAGTATTGGGTGTGCCAATTAAGAAGGTGGAATATGAAACTCCATGTGGCAACCGCAATTGCATGAAACTAGACTGTAATGGGAACTAAAACCTTGTGCAAAATTGCGGGTTGTTACTTTATCAGGAAGCAATTTTAAGTCTATCAATTATATTTAGGAAACAGGCTGCTTTAAATGAATGGAAAAAGTATTGGTTCTTCTCACAGATGACAGAATAGTAATAAGAGCAATCCCATGCGAATTAAGTGGGGATGATTTCTGCTTTGGATATTATTTTCTTCATGCATTCAGTGTTATTACTTGCAACTCCAGTTACTTTTTAGCAGGTGAAAATGGAAAGAGTTTGTCTGAACATGCTGTTGAGGAATCAGTTTATGGAATCAGTTTATGCCTCATGAGTCATTTATCTTCATATCAAGAATTTAAAACTGCCAAGATTGTCCTCCCAACCTCTCTCACAAACATTCATGAGAGTAGTCTCTAGAGGGGTGAAACAGAATGGTGTAGATAGACAGATCAGTGTAGACCTTGAGCAAGGCCTCTGAAAAACATCCCCAGACTAAAAGGATCTGTGATGGCATTTTGTGTGTGTGTGGCCAAAACAGAGAACACATTAATTTTCAATATACTTAAGATCTTAAAAATATATGTCTCATTAAATAAAAATATTGCCAAGTCATGATAGCAATTCAAGAAATTTCCTTTAAGATAGAGTTTGCCAAAAGAACATGCATGTTACAATTGCACCTCTAGGCTTCCTGCTACAACAAAAAAATCCAGTATAAAATAATTCTTTTCTGGGTTTTTTGTGTTGGGTGGGAAAATATGTAGGACTACTATTTAGACAGCTCAAATAGGAAGAAATGTGAAGATAGCAATTACTTCAATGCTGAGTACTTTTATATCAAGAAATAGAAAAGGAAACTAAATTATTCAGGGAGAAATATCACCTGGATATCTTTTTACAATTAAAATTTTAAATCTGAATTCACTTGTACAGATTGGCACAAGTTATTTTACCTTATAAATGTAATCATTGGCTGGGAGTGGTAGCTCACACCTGTAATTCCAGCACTTTGGGAGGCCGAGGCGGGCAGATCACTTGGGGTCATGAGTTCAAAATCAGCCTAGCCAACATGGTGAAAACCTGTCTCTACTAAAAATACAAAAATTAGCCGGGCGTGGTGGCTGGTGCCTGTAATCCCAGCTACTCAGGAGGCTGAGGCAGGAGAATTGCTTGAACCCAGGAGACGGAGGTTGCAGTGAGTCGAGATTTCACCACTGCACTCCAGCCTGGGCGACAGAGAAAGACTCCATCTCAAAAAAAAAAAAAAAAAAAAAAGCAATCATTAAGCTTTTCATCTAGCCATTACTTTTGTACAGGCTCTCATTAATTCCACATAGATGGTCTAATGGTCTACTAAATAGTATTCTAATCCTCCATCTTGTCTATCTCTTAGCCATTCTCCATGATAAAGGATGAATGGTCTTTCGGAAACATAAATGAAACCATGCTGCTTTAAAAAAACAAACAAACAAAAAGAAACCCATTAATGTTTTCCCAAAGCTTTGTGGACACATTGAAGCTTCTTGTTTCAGCTTCTGCCAACATTTCTCGCTCCAGCAAACTTTCTTCTGCTTCCCAAATATGACAAGCTTCTTCTTTAACTTTTCTGCCAGGTTAATCTTGACTCATTTCAAGAGAGGCTTGGGTCAGCCAGGGCCTACTCTAAGAAGTTTCTTTAGCCCTTATGTTTTCCTATGGAGAGCACACACTAGCTTTAAGTCCTGAGGGTACTTAAGATGATATTTCAATGTTTTTGTACTCTTAGTGCTTGGCATATGGTGGGTGGTCTACAAATTTAGAACAATGTAGTGAACCACAAACTCCTCTCTTCAGCCTGTGTGCTTACTTGTAGTAGTTGTCTGATCTCTAAAATTTAGAACTGAATATGCCAAGAAAGAGTTCAATTTCAGAGAGGAGGGTATGGTTTCATTTTAAGTATAAAAGCTTCCTTTAAAAAAAATTACGTCTTACATTTTGTTATGCTCCTAAGTGTAATTGATCCTGGAAAGTAAGCGCAAGGCTACTCTCTAATGCTAACTCTTATGTATGTAAGAGGTGAGGAAGGAGAGGTTGTGTGTGGTGCATTTGTTTTGTAAAAGCATCTAACTGTTTTCTTTCCAGACACTTTTTCAAAAATGGCAATGGTATCAGAATTCCTCAAGCAGGCCTGGTTTATTGAAAATGAAGAGCAGGAATATGTTGTAAGTAGAGTGATAATAAAATTATGATTACAATATTGAAATAAAAACGAATATAAGTAAATGGCCATTAATTTATTTCTCTCTCATTCTTAGCAAACTGTGAAGTCATCCAAAGGTGGTCCCGGATCAGCGGTGAGCCCCTATCCTACCTTCAATCCATCCTCGGATGTCGCTGCCTTGCATAAGGCCATAATGGTTAAAGGTAACGTGTTTCCTCAAAACAGTTCCCTCCTGGACATTTCAGAATGGCTATTTGAATGACTGTCAAAAAACAGACATGTGCAATGGAAAGAATCTGTTTCATTTTGAAGATAAAAACATTTCTTTGCCAAACGAAGATGTAATTATTTACTTAACACTGAGGAAATTGTGTTCACATCAGTGGAATCTCTATTGTTACAGCAGATATTACTGGCTCATTTCTAGCAGAAATTCCATGCTGAAATTAAAAGCTCTGTTCACATATAGAGTTGCAACTAGTATCAAACACTGCAACACTGAGGGCCAGGAAAAGTTAATTGTCTCTTCCTTTCTCACTCGAATGAAATGTCATTCTCCCAAGTGCTTCCTTGATATGTAGTATAGCATCGATTTTTTAGGCTGATATATAATTTATATTTCTTAATTTGTTAAGAAGTTCTTTTGGAGCATCTCAGTAATGAATTATTTTATGTCAATTGATGATGAAGAAAATTGGTGTTAAAGGCTGTTGGCCCTTTATTTCCAGGTGTGGATGAAGCAACCATCATTGACATTCTAACTAAGCGAAACAATGCACAGCGTCAACAGATCAAAGCAGCATATCTCCAGGAAACAGGAAAGGTAAGTTAGAGTGGTAAATTTAGATATTTAATTTCAGCATAGTTATACTTAACCATGGATTCGGAAGCACAGTTACCTAGTTCTTTAAGGTTCTAACCACTGTTTTCTCATTACATCTATGATTGGGATTGCAGTGTTTATCCACTTTGTTGCAATTTAATCAATTTTATCAAATTTCCTATTTTTATACATTAGTCATCTTGGTGTATATTGTTTGCAGATGTGGTGCTCTGGGGACAAATTTTTAATTTGAACGTAAACATCGAGATTGCTGCTGTCAATAAAGAATATGGTCTGATTGAAATGTACTAATATTTAAACTGAACTGTTTAATGCCTAAATTTTATATATAATTCTACTTTAAAAATAAGCCTTATGTCTTTTATACCAAATATGAGTAGTTTTCTAAAGCAATGAAATTAGAAAACTATATAATTTCAGTATCTGATTATACTGCTTGTTATTTGAGAAGTACAAACCTCAAAGATTGGAAACATGAATATATTATTTTAAAAGTAATTTTACTTCTGTTTTCTGTTAGCACACAGTCCTCTGTGTTTTGATCTTTGTGATTTCTCCCCTGTGTATAAGATTACTAACCCTATGCTTTAAGAAGTTATTGATGAATTCAGTAAATTTTATTTTAATCCCTCTAGATCTGGAAGGGTAAGATAATGTTTCAAAATATTTGGTACACTTTGTATGTGAAGGGAAGAAGCTCTAAAAGATGGTTGGGTTTAGGGATGAGTTGTACGATGACCTAAAGTCAGGTAATATCACATTTTTTAACCTAGCATGTTACTTATTGGAAGTCCTGATTCTAATCTTTTTTTTTGTAGCCCCTGGATGAAACACTGAAGAAAGCCCTTACAGGTCACCTTGAGGAGGTTGTTTTAGCTCTGCTAAAAACTCCAGCGCAATTTGATGCTGATGAACTTCGTGCTGCCATGAAGGTAAATCGCCCAATTTGAGCAAACTCCTTTCCTCAAGAGGATGTATTGGGCAAGTCACTTATGCTTATGTTATTTTCAAAATCTAGTATAGTACCTGTCAATCAGTGGGAGTTTGAAGAATAAATAAATTAATACCTCAATGAAGGAATTAATATATAAATGAAAACAGAAATGTTGGCACTAACACCTTCCATGTCATGTCACTATATGAGTCATATATTTGCATTTTTATTTTTACCCAAAATATTGATGATAAACTTGTTTTGTTTTAGGGCAATGTAATAGAGCTTATTGTAATTATTAAATGTTGTGGGTGAAATTTACTAAATGACAGAGTCAAACAAATTTTGGAACACCAAAAACTCATTGATCCTCTTGCATGAAGATTTTTTTCTACATTTATCCTTTTCTTCTCTTCAAATTTAGGGCCTTGGAACTGATGAAGATACTCTAATTGAGATTTTGGCATCAAGAACTAACAAAGAAATCAGAGACATTAACAGGGTCTACAGAGAGGGTAAGTTGTAATGTCCAACAGTCCAAACGCCTTATTTGAAAAGGAAATCTAATATACTTTCTTAAAATTGACTGTCTATGGTAATTATGGCAGCTTTGGAATCTCCACATATCAAAATGTTTCTTTATTGTTTGGCACATGTCTATTAAATGCTGTTACCAGGCAACGCTTGAGTTGCTAGGTTGCTGACAAGGGAGATGGTGTCCCAATCCGCATCAAGCTTGCGTTTTAATAGAAAATGTTCCTCTAGGATAAATGGCCACATACGATTATAATGGAAACCTCAATTCAGAGCATTGAATTTTTAAAAATTTCTGAAAAACACTTTTCTATTATTCTGGAATGTATTTTATAAAAATGTCCCAAGGTCATTTTTTTTGAAAAGAATATATAATAACAAAAAAATCTCCTAACAAAATGTTTTTCATTTGTCCTTGAAAAAGTAAAGAATTAGGTGCTTATAATTCTCTGTTGGAAACCTTAACTTTATCGTTATGAACATAAGAGACTCACTTTATCTCTAGTTAAATTCACAGAATAAAAGACTAGTCTTAGCTTATTTTATCTCTCCAGTGAAGCATCTCATTTAAATGATGTGCTCAACACTGAAAAGAGGGTAATTGCAAGTCTCTTACCATTTTCCTACTCTCATTTCCCTGAGCTGCTGGCTTTTTGGCTTTCCCAATGCAATATATGGCATATAGAAGATCTTTCTGCTTGATTCTCATACCAAGCATGGAGAATACAATAGCTTTTGCATATCATTTTCAGAGGAATTTAATAAAAGAATAAAAATAAGGAAGCTTTTAAACCTCATTTTCTGCAATTCTTATTTAATTACCAATGTTTATGTTAGATCCATGTGTCAGTGGTAATAATGATGATTATTTTTGTTTGATAAAACATAGTTTATAAAAATAAGTGTTTATATATTTTTCATATGGCCAAGATATAGGCCAGTGATAGTTTATTACATTGCCCAGTTTCAAGTTGTTTTAGTCCGTTTGTGTTGCTATAAAGAAATATCTGAGACCAAGTAATGTAAAAAGAAAGGAAATACTGTACAAGTAGTATGGGACCAGCGTCTGCTTTTGATGAGGGCCTCATACTACTTCTACTCATGGCAGAAAGCAGACAGAAGCAGATGTGTGCAGAGAGGGAGAGAGAGAAAAGGAGGTGCCAGGCTCTTTTCAACAGCCAGTTCTTAAAGAAACTATGAATGAGAACTCACTCCGAGCCATTCATGAGGGATCTGCCCCCATCATCCAAACATCTCCCAACAGGCCCCACCTTCAACAGTGGAGAATAAATTGCAACATGAGACTTGGCAGGGCCAAACAAACAATATGAAAACCATAGCACTAGTCAATTATAAATTCAATTATTTTTTCCTATTACAGTATTATTTTATGTAGTTAAGCAGAAGTGTTTACACACACATAAATCATCAAACTGCATTACTTATAAGACATTTATAGTTTTTAAACTAAATAAATAATTTGCATTCAAGCAAGTACCTCATTTTGTTCTTTTAAACAATTATTTTATTCATTCTATTGCTTAAATTCTGCCATGTTGTATTTCAGAATTAATTACTAATGTATACCTATACAATTTATTCTTAACGAAAGCTTTATGACTGTGAGTTTTCAATCACAGTATTATCTAAATTGCTCCCATTGCTTCATATGAAATAAATTCAATGATCCAAAAATTTACCTGCTTTAATTTTTCTCTTCTTATTTAAAAATGATAATATTTTGCAACATGTTCCATAAGTCATTGAACACTGTGGCACTGTGAATTTTCAACCAACTTAGAGATGTCAGATATTCTTATTATTATTCATCACTGGTTTACTATAAAATCTATTTTTCTTTTTTCTCAGAACTGAAGAGAGATCTGGCCAAAGACATAACCTCAGACACATCTGGAGATTTTCGGAACGCTTTGCTTTCTCTTGCTAAGGTACAACTCAGATACTTTAGGAAATGCCTCTTGTTTTATAAAGACTAATTTCTTAGTCCATTTTGTGTTGCTATAAGGGAATATCTGAGGCTAGGTAATTTTTAAAGATAAAAAGGTTTATTTGGCTCAGGATTCTGATGGCTAACAAATTCAAGTTTGGGTATCTATGTCTGGTGAGAGCCTCAGGCTGCTTCCACTCCTGACAGAAGAGGAAAGGGAGCTGGTGTGTGCAGAGACCACATGGCAAGAAAGGAAGCAAGAGAGAGAATGGGGAGGTGCCAGCCTCGTTAACAACCAGCTCTCGTGGTTCTCATGAGCAAGAACTCATTCCCAGTGACGGCATTAATCTCTTCATGAGAGATCAGCCCCAGGACCCAAATACCTCCCTCTAGGCCCCACCTTTAACACTGGGGATCAAATTTCAACATGAGGTTTGGAGGGGAAGAACATCTAAAACCATCGCAAGTAAAATCTTGTATCTGAGCTCCTTCTAGAAATGAGTAATAGAATACCTTTTTCTCAAAAAATATTATTTATCTGAGTTTAAGATAATTAAGTAAATCATGCAATTACATGCTAGAGAAGAGCTTACAATAGAATGGGATTTCTTTCAGGGTGACCGATCTGAGGACTTTGGTGTGAATGAAGACTTGGCTGATTCAGATGCCAGGGTAAGGAAGTGCTTACAAAATACTGCTGCAGTTCATCTTCCTACCTTAAGTGGGGCTACCACATGATCCCCTGTGAAAGCAAATCTAAGATCTTCTGAGAGACCAATGGCTTCTTAATGTTCATTTCCTGAATGAGGCATGTCTTTCTGTAGCCCCCACACACAAAAAAGTAGTCTTTGTAAGTTTTCAATATCTCTCATTATTCGTAAAACCAGAGAGAACTGAAGAAGGACAATACAAATTTGATTTGTCATTCCCAAGAATTGTTTGTTAAAAAAAACTCTGACCTTTCGTTGTACTAGGTATAAGAAGGGGAAATGTAATTTTTTTATTATGTGCAATGGAAAGAGTAAGCATATTTAACGTTATTTTTAACAGAGAACTTTGGAATGGTTTATAGATGTCAATTTATATTGTCAAAATATTACTGCAATGATATAACAAGAGTATAGGATAAATTATAATAATATATGCTTTCTAACATATTGTTTTATTTAGTTTCAGTGACATTGCTGATTATTTATATGCCAAACCACTGGCAACATAAGAAAAATCATATCATTTTAAAGCCTGGAATTTCCATTTAAAACAAACAAACAACTAATATTTGCATTATGCCTTCTCATGGAACAGTATTCTCTAGAGAATTCATTACAGTGCTTCACTAAGGATAGAGATTTCTTTGTGCACCCCCATCCACTTCTGCTATACCAGTACATTATCATGTACATAATAGGCACTCATGAACTTTTTGTTCAACAAATGCATACATATCAGATCAATTTGCTTGAAAAATGCAAAATAATTTTTACATACATTGAAGGTTTTATCATTTTAATAGAAATTGTTCAAGCATATTAAGGAACAAGAGTTAGCATTTGAATAATTGCCCATAATAAAAAATTCTTATTTGCTTTTGACATTTCTGAATTTGCTTTCCATTTTAAGACTATCAGGGTTCTTAATATATATTTATGGAGGTTACATGGATTAGTGTGACCCAAGAGAATGATGGTAGTCAACATTTCAAAGTTAATAAAGACCGCTTGTGACAATAGGGCAGGGATTATATTTTTCATATATAAAAGAAAAAAATCTGTCATTTAGTAAGGTTGATCTATTTGTCTAAGATTATGCAGCTTTGAAATTGCAGAGTCAGAATTTGAATACAGAAATTCTAACATCAAAATGCAAGGTCCAGGTTACGGTTGAATTATTGATTTATAAGTAACATTTGCTGATAATTACTTTGAACAACACAGAGTAAAAAATCTTTAGAGATCCCCTTGGAGTTGTCTTACTATAGAGCATAATCTTAAAGCAATTTAGTTCAGCAAACATTTATTCTGCAAACATATATTCAGACTCTAGTGTTTACAAGGCACCTTGAGAGAAACTGTGGAAGATATTTGACAAACAAAATAAGGTCCCTATCTTTAAAGAACTTGCAATCTTATTGTTGACTACTCTGATTGTATTGGGCACAAAGCGATTGCCTATATAATCTTTGACAAGGTCTAACATTATTGTGCAGATATCATTTCAGCAGATAGTGAAGTGTTTACTTTTGTGTTTCTTGACAGGCCTTGTATGAAGCAGGAGAAAGGAGAAAGGGGACAGACGTAAACGTGTTCAATACCATCCTTACCACCAGAAGCTATCCACAACTTCGCAGAGGTAACAATAAATTTCTTTTTCTGGAATCTGTTTATGGAAGATGCAATTTTCTTTTTTGATGACAAATAAGAGAAAGTAAAAACAGAACCCTTTTTCAATATCACTCCTGTATCAAACAGATACAGTGTTCCTGACCCATTGTTATTTGTCAATTTGTCCAATTTTGTACAGCCGCTACTTTATCATATTTAATACATTTTGTGACTTGGGCATGTGGAACATAATTTTGTTATTTTCACTGCTTTTACTCCCCTAAAAGATTTGGAATATGTGTGGGAAAAGACATGCATAACAGAACAAATGAAATTAGAATGAAGAAAAACAAAAAAAAAAAAACAAAAAACCCTCAGAGCTAAATGAAGAAAGAAATATGTAGGTGCTTTGGAAAAACAACAACAAGACAAAACTCAGAAAAAGTCCTGGCCTTTGAGTGCAAGATTTAGCTCTGGGCCTCTTGGAAGTGAAGGCGATGGAAAAGTTATGACAATTACCAAAGTTCACCATCTTATAATAGTATACTGATTTCTACTGTTAAATGTAAGAGAAATTTAGTGCACAGGTCTTTATATAAGGGAAGATCCATTTGCTGTGGCTCTTAGAACTGCTGTAGGAAGTGCTATAGTTGTCAATCACATGCCGTTTCTAATAACTGTCAACATTTGCAAACATTTCGCCAAAATATATAGGAATACCAAAATGGCCAGGTAAGTTACATTCCTAGGAGAGGATGAAGTATTCACGTTATGATTAATTGGGTATATTGCTTTAAAAGGTGTAGCCAAAGTTGTTATTCTAAAAAATTCTTTGAGTCAGTTGCCTTGATTTTGCTAAAGCTTTCTAAAGAAAAGGATGTTTTGCATGTATCTTAGTTTGAATTTAATATTCAGTGTTTCAGAAATACACCAAGTACAGTAAGCATGACATGAACAAAGTTCTGGACCTGGAGTTGAAAGGTGACATTGAGAAATGCCTCACAGCTATCGGTATGTAGTCCAGCAGTTGAAAGAGTTTTCTAACTAGAAATTGTATTTTCAAAGCTATCCTATACTTAACAAGAACAACAGCAACAAAACCAATAAAAGAAAACAAAAAACAATCAGAAGTAGTGCATCTGTTTCAATTGAAGCAACGTAAAAGATTGGCAAAGTACTATAACCTTAATAACAATAGATATTATTCCCCTTTTCAAAAATAGAGAGAGATAGACTATACTTATTGAGCACCTACTTATATCAAACAATGTACCAGGCTGGGCACACCACAGAGGCAATTCAGAATGGTCACTGAGAGCATGGGATCTGGAATAAATGTAACATCTGGATAAATGTAACTTCAAGTCCTGGTCTACTGCTTGTTAATTGTACAATCTTGGGCAGGTCCAGGAGAGTCTGATTCAGTGGGTCCGAGTTGGCCTCTAAAAATCGGTACTTTTTAAAGATCTCCCAGGTTATTCAGACAACCATCAGGGTTGGGGAACCTATGTTCTCAAGCAGTGTTTCTCATTCATGACTATGCACTTGAATCCCCTGGAAAGCTTGTTAAAATGCAGATTCTGATTCCCCAGGTCTGGGGTGGAGCTTAGATTCTGCTTTTCTAACAAGCTCCCCATTGATGCCAATGCTGTTGGTCCATAGATCTCGACAAGATGAAGAACACTATGAACTGGAATGTGCTAGTATTATTTGGGTTCTGTTTTATATTTAAGCCCATCCTATCCCAGAGTTTTTTCTTCATTTATTCATTTATTTTTACTTATTTGTTTGTGCAACTCTTACTTTAGACACAGAGGTACATGTGCACGTTTGTTCCATGGGTGTTCTGCACTCAGGCAGTGAGCATAGTACCCAATAAGTAGTTTTTTGACCAATGCCCCTTCTCTCCCTGCCCTCTCTAGTAGTCTGCAGTGTCTGTTGTTCATAGGGTGTTCTTTTTAAATGTTCTTATAGTAACATAAATAAAGTATTTACATAGGCTTGAACACCTAGTGGCTTCTCCACTCCCAAGGAGAATATATGTTGGATAGCGCAAACTACTGAAGTTGCTCTTGAGATGTATTTAAGGTAATAAAAAAATTGATCGTCAGGGAAAAGAATATTCAAAACCACCATCTAGAGAGTCACAAATACCTTCTCAGAAGTTAACTGCCCTATATTGGGAGATGAGAGGTGAAGAATGATGATGAGGGATAGAACACTGTTGGCAAAATTCTATATTTCCTGTTTCTTTCATATGGATATTTCATTTTTTTCATGGTAAATACATCAACTAAAATTTTCTTCTCTAACAGTGAAGTGCGCCACAAGCAAACCAGCTTTCTTTGCAGAGAAGCTTCATCAAGCCATGAAAGTATGTACCATTCTACTTATATGTCCTGCTTAGAGGAAGAATTATTTGTAGAAAGAACAGAAAACCTCATGTTGTTTGAAAATCTCACATTTAATATCTTCCCATTAATGAGAATCATTGTTCTATTTGATGAAAGAGGTAATACACTACCTTCTCAGAATAAACTTCTGTTAGATTCGGTGCTTTTTTTTACAGATGAGATTGTAAAGTGAGCCTGTAAGTGATTTACGGCTCACTTGTGATTTGCTTAAAACATGTGTCACCACGGGAAGGGTGATGTACTTTCTTTTTTAACGTGTAATTTTAGTGGCCTACTTCCTCTAAGGTTGTGAGTTTTATAATCTCCCACTTTATGAGTCTGATTTGTTGTTTTTATTATTCTGTCTTTTATGCCACAGATTAATAGTTGAAACTTTTGAAATGTCATTCTATGATTAAGGATGTAGAATGATGTATTTGAGATCAACTATGTCACTTTAACTTTACTGTCTGACATGCATGGTATTATACAAGGTACCTCTTCTATTCTGACATTTTGAGCCCACAAATGAATAGTTATGAAGTTATCTTCCTTTTTTCTTTGCAGCTCCAAAATAAGGAGGTTTTCAGAGAGAGAGAGAAAGAAAGATCTAACTATTTGAATAATATGAAGGAATATTTTGAATATATATGAATAATTTGAATAATATGAAATGATAGACATGCTAGGTACTGCTCTGTAGTGGTTAGCATAGTTGCTGCCCCCTTTCTGCCATAGTCTAGTGTGATATTTCGTTGGGTAATGATGAATACCTGGTGCCATGGAAGAGAAAAGTGGGACATATACTCCAGACTTTGGAAATCCAGGTAGCATTGCTGTCAGCTAAATTAACACCTGAAGTTTAAATAGAAATGAGCCAGATGAGGGCAAGAGTGGAAGAGATGGGGATAAAGCAAGGGTGGTCCAAGAGGAAGAAGTAACCCACACACAGGCTTGAAGGCAAAAGGTAACATAACCTTCTCAAGACAGTAAGTATAGAGTGATGGTGCACACTGGAAGAGATGGTAGAATTAGGCAGGATATTGTAAGCCTTGAAAAAGAATTAGGCAGGATATCGGAAGCCCTGATTAGATTCTATCCTAAGAGCAACAGAAGATCACTGACAGTGTTTTAAATAGATAGACTAGTTTATTAGATTTGCAGTTTAGAAGTTCCCTTTTTTTGTAATTATTGGACAGTGTAGAGACCGGATGGTGAGAGATGAGTTAGGAAGTTGTGACAGCTCTCTATACCTACCGCTAATGTAGAGGATTATTTATTTTCATTTCATTACCATTCGTGTAAGGTGTGTGTGTGTGTGTGTGTGTGTGTGTGTGTATAGCTAGTTTCTCTATAGAAATTATATGGAAGAGTAAGAAGGCTTCACTTTAAAATTCATGTTTTTAATGAGAGTATTTTCTGAATATGAGACACTTACCCTCATTTATTTTGGCCAGGGTGTTGGAACTCGCCATAAGGCATTGATCAGGATTATGGTTTCCCGTTCTGAAATTGACATGAATGATATCAAAGCATTCTATCAGAAGATGTATGGTATCTCCCTTTGCCAAGCCATCCTGGTATGTTTTGATTCCTCTAATGCCATCCCAACAAATGAAAGTTCTTTTTGCAAGATCTTCAAGGAGAAGAGTTGACTTATTGTATCTATAAATTTAATATGTAAGATTAATTTAATATATTATGGTGTATACTTCATGAGTAAATTGAACTTTCACTGGTAAAATCTACTAGTGAGTTCTCTACTGAAATACTGGGTACATTTTTCAACTAAAGTCATGGAAACATTTAGTTTCCCATGCATAAATTCAGCAAGCAGAATATTCTAGTGTTCCCCCTAGGGTAGATAGACATTGTGGTTTATTTTGCCATTAATATTTGTCAGAGGATTAGAAACTCCTTATTCAAAATATTTATCTTAATTCTATCACATGTAAAATGTTTAAAATTTATGTTCAAATTGTCTCATAAGAATGTTAAAAAATAAGACAAAGAACAGTCAAGGGTTTTGGACTTACTGAAAGGTAGATAACGATTCAAATTTAATTAATTAGTCATATTGGATAACTAAAATCTACCCAGAAAATGTGAGAAAATTACAGGCACTATACATTTCTCTTCTTCTGGTGAGTGAATCAGGTATCTCCTCACATAAGATATGAGATTATATTGTGTTATACTTATTTAATTTTGTGTGATATTTCATTCATAGAAAATAATGGCACTAATATAAAACATAATTAATTCAGAAAAGTTTGTAATCTCAGTCTTGAAGGCTATTGCTTTTTTATGCAATGATAAAAAATCAGTTATCTGTTGTATATATTGTTTAATTAAGTGAATGGTAATGTGTAATCTCATCTACAGCTAAGTCTAAAAATAATTCTTCTATAAGTAAAAAAAAATAGAGAATTATGGTTTCGACTAACATTAAGTATACCTTTTTTTGAATCAACAGGATGAAACCAAAGGAGATTATGAGAAAATCCTGGTGGCTCTTTGTGGAGGAAACTAAACATTCCCTTGATGGTCTCAAGCTATGATCAGAAGACTTTAATTATATATTTTCATCCTATAAGCTTAAATAGGAAAGTTTCTTCAACAGGATTACAGTGTAGCTACCTACATGCTGAAAAATATAGCCTTTAAATCATTTTTATATTATAACTCTGTATAATAGAGATAAGTCCATTTTTTAAAAATGTTTTCCCCAAACCATAAAACCCTATACAAGTTGTTCTAGTAACAATACATGAGAAAGATGTCTATGTAGCTGAAAATAAAATGACGTCACAAGACAATTGGTGTGTCATTGACTCTTCTATTTTGATTTTCTTTTCTGTGTAATTCAGTGGTTTAATTTGACATTAAGGGATACAAGCCTGAATTCTAGATTATAATTATTTAATGAAATAGAGTTCACATTCTGAATTGAAGAAAATACTTATAGCTTTTGAAAAGGGATACTACATTTTATCGTATGTGTACAGACTATTGAGATTGTGTCTCTGTATAATAAATTTATTGCACTAGCATTATAACAATTTGATATATTCTATATTTCATTAACTAGTATAAAGATGAAATGGCAATACTTGTAAAAAGTTCTCATGTTTGTTTCATGGTAATTTTAGGTTTACTTTTTCTAAGAAACTGCCAAATTGTTTTCCAGAGTGGTAATACTATTCCACTTTACCACCATAAATCTAACAGTGGTTCAGTTTCTCCACATCCTTGCCAGCATTTGAAGTTGTCACTATTTTGTATTTTTAGCATTGCTTATTATTTATTTATTTATTTAATTTATTTATTTATTTTGAGACAGAGCCTTGCTTTGTTGCCCAGGCTGGAGTGCATTGGCGTGATCTCGGC
Source organism: Homo sapiens (assembly GCF_000001405.40). NCBI lineage: Eukaryota > Metazoa > Chordata > Mammalia > Primates > Hominidae > Homo > Homo sapiens. Next base: position 73,170,965 of record NC_000009.12, read on the forward strand.
TCACTGCAACCTCCACCTCCCAGGTTCAAGTGATTCTCCTGCCTCAGCCTCCCGAGTAGCTGGGATTACAGGCACCCACCACCACACCCAGCTAATTTTTTTTTTTTTGTATTTTTAGTAGAAATGGGGTTTTGCCATGTTGGCCAGGCTGGCCTTAACTCCTGACCTCAGGCGATCCACCCGCCATGGCCTCTCAAAGTGCTGGGATTACAAGCATGAGCCACCGTGCCCAGCCGCTTATTTTTTATTTATTGTTGAATCTTGAAAATTCTTCATACATTCTAGATATTAGTCGTTCATCAGATATGTGGTTTGCAAATATTTTGTGGTAGTCTATAGCTTGTCTTTTCATCATCTTAGCAGGTTCTTTTACAAAGTAAAAATTTTCAATTTTAATGAGATCCAATTTATTATTTATTTTTCTTTTATAGTTGTACTTTTGATGTCATGTCTACAAGCTCTTTATCTAACCCTTGGCCTTAAGAATTGTTCATGTTTTTTGCTAAAAATTTTATGATTTTACATTTTACATGTAAATTTGTGATCCATTTTGAGTTGATTTTTTATAAAAGGAGAGACTTAGGTTGTGGTTCTTTTTCTGTTGGCATCGTTATCAATGTCCAATTGCACCTGCACCATTTGTTGTTGGTTGAAAAGGCTGCCCTTTGTTAACTTGCTTTTGCACTTTTGTCAAAAACAATTGGACATATTTGTGTTGGTCTTTCTTTAATTTTTGATATTTATATTTAATGAAAATATAAAACCTTGCAATTTCTCATTCTCTATGAATAGATGATAGATATCAATTTAGTTAAGCTCTTTATTTCAAGGAGAGCATCAGCCATGGTACGAGCTCTTTTTTCAAAAAGGCAATGGGAAGAGTTACTTTCCCGTGAGCGCCTTCTCACTAGGTAGAGCTGGATAAAGGTGGTAACAATTTATTCACCCTCAAAAGACTTGGGTTGTGGGAGGCAGAGCTTGCAGTGAGCCGAGATCGCGCCACTGCACTCCAGTCTAGGCAACAGAGCAAGACTCCATTTCAAAAGAAAAGAAAAAAAAAGAAGACTTGGGTTGGCCATGGGATATTCTGATCACTCTGAGCTGCATTCAGAGTTAACCCTCCTTCACCTGGTTGTAGCTTGTCTTGATCGCTGACCTTAACTTTCTTCTACACACACCTGTCCCGCGTATCATGTGTTATAGTCACGATTACTTGGTGCACAGCATATTGGCAAATGGGTTGACAGATATGCTGCCCCTTATGGCCTCTGGATTTTATTATATACCATATCGCCTTTGTATGCTTGATTTGGAAGAAGTACCTATGTGGGAAATCAGAGGGAACCTGGAGCTGTTATATCAAGGCAGGATGAAGTTATCAAGATACTTTTGTTAGCACTATTCTAATAATTGGGGCCAGGTGTTTTTTGTTTTTTGTTTTTGAGATGGAGTCTTGCTCTTGTCACCCAGGCTGGAGTGCAATGCTGTGATCTCAGCTCACTGCAACTTCCGCCTCCCAGGCTCAATTGATTCTCTTGCCCCAGCTCCAGGGTAGCTGGGATTACAGGCAAGCACCACCACGCCTGGCTAGTTTTTGTATTTTTAGTAGAGATGAGGTTTCACCATGTTGATCAGGCTGGTCTTGAACTCCTGACCTCAGGTGATCTGTCCGCCTCAGCCTCCCAAAGTGCTGGGATTACAGGCATGAGCCACCTGGCCAAAATTTTTGCCAGTCAGTAAGAGAGCTACCTTGTTCAGATTGCATCCCCACATCTTCCTACTTCCAATTAATTTTAAAGAAACTGCCTGAGCTCTTTACTCTCTCTTTGCCTTCCTTTCCCTCCCTGCCCAACATTTGCTCTTTTCTGTTCTGCTCTGATATGTGACTTCTGAAGACTTTATCATGCAGGTTCTCTTGCCTTCTGATTTCTGCCTGAATTCAGCTTATGGAAGAACCTGGCAGGAGCTGGGAGATGAGGCGGAGGTACTCCTGCTCCCTCCCTGATTCTAGAGACTTATTAACATTTGTGTTCTTCTACAGTCACAACTTCCATCAGGTGTCACCTTGTCTGAGGCTCTAGCTCTCAACTATTTCCTCTCCTTGCCCTTTGGACTTGGGATTCCTGCTGCTGCTGCTCCGTAGATACTGCAATATCTCATGTGGGTTCTCTTAACTTGCCTACACCTCTAAGGAAGTACACCTCAGTATTCCCATAATTAAAACAATCGTCAAATGTCCAGCTTGTTATACTAGCCATTTCCTTCTAGGGCCCTGTCTGACATACCTTCCGAAAGTGCTGAACTTACTTACTTTATCAAAACTACTTGGAAGGCTCCTGAATAAATTCTAGACAAGGTGACAGGTAAGTGGATACACAAATGAATAGGAGAGCCACCTCAGTAAGTAGTAGTAAAAAGCAAAATTTTAGAAAACAAAAATATATAGCTTTCCATAATCCATGGAAAAAATGGTAAGGTGAATTTCACTAAAATTAAAAACTTCTTCTTTGCAAATACACTATTATGAGACTAAAAAGATAAACTACAGACTTGGAGAAAATTTTTGCAAGACAAATATCTGTTAGAGAACTGATAAACAAAAATATAAAAAAACCTCTAAAGTCTGAACAGTAAAAGAAGTTAAAAAATTTTAAAAAATAAGCGAAAGATCTGAACAGGTACCTCACTAAAGAAGATATAAAGATGGTAAATAAGCATATGAAAATATGCTCAACATCATATATCATTAGGGAATTGCAAATTAAAACAATGAGACACCGCTACACTCCTATTAGAATAACTAAAATCCATTCCATGTCAAGCAACAGAAACTCTCTTTCATTCCTGGTGTGAATGCAAAATGGCACAGCCGCTTTGGAAAACAATTTGGCCTTTTTTTTTTTTTTTTTTTTAACAAAGCTAAACACAGTCTTACATCATTCAGCAATCATGCTCCTAGGTATTTATGCAAACAAGTTGAAAATTTATGTCCACAAGCAAGAAACCTGCACACAAATGATTATAGCAGGGTTACTTGTCATTTCCAAAACTTAGAAGCAACCAAGATGCCTTTCAAAAGGTGAGTGAATAAACAAACAGTAGAATACTATTTAATAATAAAAGGAAATGAGCTATCAAGCAAAAGACATGGAAGAATCTTAAACACATACTGCTGAGTGAAAAAAGCCAGTCTGAAAGTCTACATATTACATGATTCCAACTATATAAATACTGAAAATATTGAAAAAGACAAAACTTATGGAGACAGTAAAAAGATCAATGATTTCCAGGGGTTAGGTTGAAGGGGGGAGGGATAAATAGGTGGAGCACAGAACAGTTTTAGGGCAATGAAACTATTCTGTATGATACTATAATGGTAGATACATGGCAGTTACACATTTCCAAGAACCTGTAGAACTGTATAATACAAAGAGTGAATCTTATGTAAACTATGGATATTGGTTAATAATATATCAAGGGAAAAATAAGGGAGAGGTAGAAAGGGTGTATGGAGACTCTAATTTCCGTGCAATTTTTCTGTAAACCTAAAACTGCTCTATAAAAATAAAGTCTATTAAAATAGCTATCTAATTGTAAAGCTCATAATATAGCCAGGGAGAAAAAAGCTATGCAAAATATGATGGTATAATGTATTAAAGGTAATATATAGGCACATAGGAAGCGCTTTGGTAAATCAAGAGAGAGTAATGGATTCAGGAAAGGCTACAAAACAGCAAAAACCTGAATGGCTAGTGGCATTTCATATTCCTGAATGAATTAATTATCTTTTGTATTGAGAATTAAGACCTAACAACTATAATTAGATGCATTTTTACAAAAATATTATTCTGTTTTCAAATAAACCTGGGAGGGAGGTGTTATCTGCTTTCTACAAATGAAGAAATCAAAGTTTCCAGATTTCTCTGGACTTGTCCAAGTTCATACAGTAGGTCAATGAATAAACACAAATTTGAACACAGGCTTTCTGACTATGGATCCATTTCACTAAAGTTACAGGAAGAAAATTATGAGAAGAAAGACCATAGATATGAGGGAAAAATGAAACTAAATGAGAACCTGCTTCAGATGCCAGGTCTTGTTGCAAGATACTATTATAAAATAAGTTGGTTTTGTCATGGAGTAGTGGAAACTCTGTACAATCAGTGAGGAATCTCTTAAACACAATGGTAATAATATTTTCAAATATATAAAAATCTAGGAAGTATATATAATAATAAGTACATTTTTACCCAAAAAGTAAAAAATAGAAATATTGTCTTTTGCTTACAGATATAGTGATTTTTTTTTTTTGGCAAATCTAATAAACAAGGCCATGAAATGCAATTGTATATTTTCTACTTTTTTTGATATCATATTCCCCTTCAATGGTTAGGTTTAAAGAAAAAAATACTTGAGAGTTGTAAATGTCAAATATTAGAAAGAAATATATTTATTATCAAGATTTAGGAGAAAAGGCTGCTCTGCTTATGGAGTAGCCATTCTTTATTTCTTTACTTTCTTAATGAACTTGCTTTCACTTTACTCTATGGACTTGCCCCAGATTCTTTCTTGCGTGAGATCCAAGAACCCTCTCTTGGGGTCTGGATCAGGACCCTTTTCTGGTAACATCTTCCTGGTGACCATGAAGGGACTATACTGAAGAGACCCCTGACCTGAAGGAAATAGATTGCAGCACCAACTTTGAGAAAGTGGTGGGGTACATTTTACCCCAGTAAAGGATGATGTTGGGTTAGAGGCCCAACTTAGGAGAGTCTCTCCTAAGACAAAGAAGGTTAAAATTCCCCCCACCCCACTTTTTTTTTTTGAGACGGAGTTTCGCTCTTGTTGTCCAGGCTGTGCAACCTCTGCTTCCCAGGTTCAAGCCATTCTCATGCTTCCGCCTCCCGAGTAGCTGGGATTACAGGCATGTGCTACCACACCCAGCTAATTTTTGTATTTTTTAGTAGAGACGGGGCTTCACCAGGTTGGTCAGGCTGGTGGAACTCCTGACCTCAGGTGATCCACCCACCTCGGCCTCCAAAAGTGCTGGAATTACAGGCGTGAATAAAAGGCAAGGACGCTTGACCAAACTTGGGTTTGAGGACCAGCATAGGAAGGTTAGAGTGCTTCCTAAAATGTAGGGGGTTAGAGGCCCCTCTCAGTAAAGTCTCTCTTTGTTAAAAATGGATTTGGCACTATGGGATGTTAACCACTATTCTCTGTGGATTAATCTGCCTTGCACTGTTTGCTGATGGCTATGGGTGAAAGGATTAGGCGTGTACAGGATCATGGGACATGGGGAGCTTTTTCCTCCCCAAAGGGGGAAACTTGAGAGCTGATAGGACCCCTGGAAAAGATCCCTTCACAACTGTCAAGCGACCGCCTGAACTTTTGATTCAGTGTTGCTACAATGGGTGGGTCTTTCTCTGGCCTTCCTGAGCTACTTGCCTTCCCTACCTCATCACAGGCTATGCTTTTCTCTCTCTTTCTCTCCTTTCCCTTTCCTATCTTTTCTTTTACTCAGGGCAGCCATCTTTCCCAGAGACCACGTGTTGAAACTTCTTTAATCCACTTTGAATGGATTAAAGATGACAGAGCCTTACCAGGGGCAAGTGTGAGCCTTGCCAGTTCAATACTGGCACTAAGCTGAGTGACTAATGTCTATATTTTGTCACACGTATTTTGCTCTGCCCAGATGGCAAATGTTAATGTGGTTACCCCATGCAACCCCTTGGGTGGCACCTTACAATACTGAGAAGCTTTTGTTTGTGATTCCACAAAATGCCAGTCTCCTTAGTCACTCAGCTTAGTGCCAGTAGGGCGTGGCTTCCCCCCCAGCTCTCCATCTTCTTTGGGCGGCATACTTTTCAGCACTCTCTGTATTCCCCTGCACTGGCCTTCTACAAGCCTTACTCTGTCTATGCTTCCTCCTGTCTCAAGGGCTTTGGACTTCCTCAGCCTAAACACTATATTTTTCTCATTTCATTCTTGTTAACTTTGCTAATTCTTCAAATATCAGCTCAAATATCTCATAGACCCTTTTAACACTACATATCTCTGTACTATATTAAATGCCAGAGTTGTAATTTTATATTTAAGCGATTATTTAGTTAATATTTGTCACTTCTTCTAGAATATGAACAGGTTGTTTGCATAGACTATTTCTTTTCTTTCTTCTTTTTTTTTGCCTTTTATTGTTGTATTGCTATTGTCTGGTACAATAGCTAGCACTTAGTAAAATTATGACAAAAAATGATAGCTTGTGCTATTACAGGTTAGCTCAAAGTGCTTATTCTTTATGCTAAGGCATTTGGTGGACATCAAGAATTATACTCGAATACCAAGGATACAAGACTGGAGCACTGCTGTGTCATACGGTCTCTCTAGCTCTCTTTTCTTGGTTAGTCCAACATGTTGGGGAAAAGATCCATTCTAGAGAAGACACCAGGGCCACAACTGCAGCAGGAAAGTTGCTTTACCTCAAGGACTAGCATGCTTCTGTAAAATCTCTTAGGGATGGAGTGGTTCTACCATTTCAAAATAGCCCTAATTGACAGGGAGCATTTGTTTTCAGCATTTTGCTTTTTTGCTAATCATAAGATGAGCTGAATGAACATCATTGCTAAACTCTATTGAAGGTCTGAGCATAGACAAGATCCAGACTGATGTGAGACAGATTGAGAGCAAAATAGGACCTGAAAGATCGGGAAAGCACCATGGGAGCATCATGGACACAGCTTTCTTCTGGTCCCCTGGAATGTCCCTTTTACATTCACTTGAACACTGGGTTTAAAGAATCACTAATCTAACACTACTATTTCTAAAACTCCTTCAATAATGTATGTGTTACCTATATCTGCTGTTTGGTCTACGTTCCTTCATTCTTCCACATTCACAAACCAAAGATTAGGCTTTCTTGACTTTCTGTAAATTGAAAGTTGTATTGTTATTTATGTATTCATTGTGACACACAAAGAGCTCTGGGAATGAATGTTAACTAAGCAAAGCTGTTTCACCCTCTATTTGTTGAATGAAATTTGTCTTTTGTTTTTTTTAATCTAGTGACACCTAATTGCAACCTGTATTGTCTTTTAATTTATAGAAACATGAATACTTTTATGAAAACATTCAAAATGCTTTCTTATAGGACATCTGATAATTTGAGAAAATAATTTAGGTACTTAGCCAAAAATTTTATACAGTTCTAAAAGTGATGACTAAGTGGCACCTTAAACTAATCCTTTTACTCAGAAACAGAACTAGGTGATTATGTGAGTATGCTGATACGAATCAATAGGCCTCTAAAAGCTTAAATGTGAGGAATAGCAGTTGAGTCCTTGGTTGCAAGCAAGAGAAACTGATGAGCGGACTTATGAAAGAGGAACTTATAGAAGCATCTAAGAGTGTTGGAGTAAAGGACTCAGAGTGGGTGGAGGATTGGAAGCCCAGGTTGAGAACTAGGCAAGAAATTTAGGAGTTACGAAGTACAAGAAGCAGAGGGAAACAAACGTACAGCCATTTTCTCATTGCTCACACATCCTAATCAGGAGACCACCACTCTGCTGTCACCAAGACCTCTGCAGGGAAATATATCCAAATCTATCTCTTCCTGACAGGTGGTTCTGGCTACAGGAATCACTTGCAATTGCAGTCAAATGGTGGCTGAAGCTGAAAATGGAGGATGGAGCAGCTGAGGGCTGGCCAGGCAGCTCTTTCTTTATATAATAATCTCAGGGCCTGTCCAAGGAGACTAGATTCAGCGTTCTCCCTGCATGACAGTCTCAGGGAAGTAAGCCCACTGAGGCAGCAGCCCAGGGCTTCAATACAAGTGTTCCAGCTACCAAGGCAGATGCTACACCATCTTCTGCCACCTAGTCTCACAAATCACAAATGATTTGTGTCACATTCTTTTGGTTACAAGCAAGTTACAGGCTCAGTTTCAAAGCAACAGTAATTAGACTACCTTTCAAAGGGTGAGTAATGAGGTCTTAGATGATTTGGAGAAGAACAGAGAGATCGTTGGAACCATTTAGAGGAAACACTATTATCCCTGTATAAAGGACAATAATATATTTAATCACATTCCTTGTACTTCATTTGCAATATCTTCCATAGAGTGGCTATGAAAATTCGTAGATCATTGTTACTTTAAAAAAGAAAGCCATGGCTCTCACATTCTTATTATTTTAATACAAGAAATAACTGCCTTGGGCAATACTTTTTGGGGGATGTTGACAAGCCATGTTCAATGTATTAGCTACATTGTGCTGAAGATTATACTCAGTAAATGAAGATTGAGATTAATCATGATTATTTTCTTTTGCAAAAGCCATGAAACATTGCTAGCCAATAAGAAGGAAAAAACATTTGTATGTATTTGCTAAGGATTCATTATAGTGTGGGAGCAGAGTGGATAGTGACTTGGGAGCCAGAGAAATCTGAGTTTGAATCAAGCCTCCACCACTTATTGATTAAGTGACCTCAAAGATAGTAATTGCCTCTTTTAAGTGATAGTTTCTTATCAGTGAAATACTACTACTACTGCTACCAACTGCTGTACAGAAGACAGAATGATCTGAGAAGGAATTTTTGGACTGGAGTTTGTGTACCAGCTACAGGCTGTACCAGAAATACAGGAAGAGAAAGGGCTTTTAGTAACTGGAAACCCAAAATGCAGTCATGTGGAAATGATCCTTTTTTCTTAACTTCAATGGTAAAGATGTGGGAGGTTGACTCAATAGTCAAGTGACCCACCTGCTAAATCCTTTGACTTTGATGTGTAAACAACGTGCCTTCTTACAATTATTATCATTGCTTACTTTTTTGACCCTGAAGACTGACTCAGAGGAGTTCAGTGTCCTCACAACCCTAACTCAGAATTAGGCTATGTGATTCAAATCCCAGCCCGACTCCTCACTGGCTGTGGAGCTTGGCCAAGTTATGTAACTCAGGTTGCTCATACGTAAAATCAGGATATTGATGGTCATGATCAAAACTAAATTAGATAGTCCACATCTAGCACACAGAAAGCACTCTGTAAATATTAATACACAGTAGCTGCTGCTACTGTAAGAAGCTTATAATGCATTTCCAACCAAGAAACTTTCCTTTAACAAGATAATGCATTATGAAATATCCTATATTATTTGAAACATTAGATCATTTCCAGCTATTGGAAAGAAAAATGTAATGAGATTTTTCACATGTAGTAAACTAAGTTATGGGTTATATTTATTATATTCTTGTCTCACTGCAGATTAAAGTTTACATATGTAACAAACCTGCACGTTGTGCACATGTACCCTAGAACTTAAAGTATAATAAAAAAGTTAATCTTTTAAGTAGTAGAAAGTTTATTTATAGGCTGTTCTTTTCTGCATAACGGAACTACAAATGACTCCAATGTGGGAGTAAAGAATGTGTCTGTGAAAAAGAGCAGAGTAGAATGCAAAAAATTGATATGAGAGAAAAGAAAGGAAATGAAAATGTCATTCATATATCTGCATATTAATAATTTTACTTTTTTTTTTTAGGACCCAGCTATGGAGTCTATAAAAAACTCAGGTTTATCCCCAAGCTGAGTCATCAACCGAACAGCCCATCTGGAGAGCAGACTGGTTTTGGCTAGACTAATGGAAATACACTTTTAGTCTCTGGGGTCTAACTGGAAATGATTATTGTCATTCCATTTTCATGGAGATTGTGACTGTTGGAAACTCCATGTTGGCAGAATGCAAACCAGCTGTTGATTTCAAATGCCTCAACTTTATACTTTAACTATCTTTATCCTGTTTTATCTATCATCTATGTATCTTTCTTTTAGATTAGTCTTTCTAAATGTATTACTATAGAAGAAAAGTGTCAAAGAAGCACACACAAAATCTGTCTACATAGAGAAAACTAAATTGTATGTTAATTCTCAAGAGAAAAAGAAAGAAGAAAGGGAGGGAGAAATAATACAAGGTTTTGGCTTGTGTTTAGTGGGATAACAAGTTGAACTCACATCATAATTTGAAAAAAGCAAGAAAAATAAACAAGAAAATATAGTCAAGCATGGCTACATAACTTGTGGGGACAATGCAAAATAAAAATAAGGGGGCCCCTATCAAAAAATTACTAATTTCAAGAAGATGAGAGTAGATTATTAAATCAAATATGGGGCTGTTCTGAGCATAGGACCCTGTGAGCTTGTGCAGATTGTACATCCATGAAGATGGCCTTGAATATAGTTTCTTTTTTTGCTTAAAAATAATCTATTCTCCTTAATGAATACTCACACTCAAGGAGGGGAGACATTAACTTTTATTGCCATCTGGTATGACTTTTAGTCTGATCTGATAATGTACTACTTATTTATTTACATATTTAAGATTGGGTCTTGCTCTGTCACCCAGGCTGGACGGCAGTGGCACAATCATAACTCACTGCAGCCTCAAACTCCTGGGCTCAAGCAATCCTTCCACCTTAACCTCCTGAGTATTTGGAACTACAGGCATGCACCACCATGCCCAGCTAATTTCTAATTTTTTTGGTAGAGATGGGGACTCACTATGTTGCCCAGGCTGGTCTCAAACTCCTGGGTCCAAGTGATCTTCCCATCTCAGGCTCCTGAATAGCTGGAGTTACAGGTATGCGCCACCATGTCAGCTCTGTTAATTTACCTTTTATTATTTCTCAATTTGTTTAGTAAAACAAAGCTTAGTTTTCAATTTCATCTGTTTAGAAAAATAAAGCTTAGTTTTCAATTTCTCTTCCACCTCTTCCTTCCCTGGCTGGGAAGTGTGTACAGGGGGACGGATATCATTGTAGAGTTTAAGGGTTGACATCTCTGGCCCAGTGTCTTCTGACTCCACTGTTTGCTTGTTAACATCTCTTCTCCACTTGGGGGATCCTTGATATTGGAGGCCAAAGTCTGTATTTGGTTAACTGGGATGTGAGAGACTGCTATTATTCCAAGAAGGACAGTCATCATCAGATCTTAAATAAGGTAAGACACAAAGTTATTTTTATTTCTAGTGTATGAAAACTAGGGAGATTAGAAAGGTCAGATTAACTGAAGACAAATTAAAAGGATTGTACATTTGCTGTACATATAAGCTGTGATTCATAGTAAATGTATGTCCTAGTCATATGTGATAGTTTTTCTAAAATTATTTTAAATGTACAAAAAAAATCTTTGTTTATGCTTTCAGTGAGTTTTGTAAACGTTTTCGAGACAACAAATAAACAAAAATCTCATTTATTTTTAAAAGTTACAAATTTGACTTCCTATATAAAAGAACACTGCAACAAAACCATGTATTAAGTGAAGATTTTTAAAAAGTGAATACATTTTGCCCATTGTTTCTCTGTGACTTGTTTTGATGAGTTTAGTAGGAAAAGACATTGGTGGGGGCATATTATTGCTCCTTCATACTTTAAATCTTTCTTTACTGGTTCTCTTCAGCCTTCATTTAAAACATTTAAGAATTTTCCATCTGCAAAAAATAAAAACAAAAATAAATAGCATCTGATCTAATATATGTCCATGGCTTCTGCTGCCACCGTAAGCTAAGGACAGCATTACCCTCTTCAGTGAAATAATGGGTAAATCATCATGAGGGCTGTTTAGTGAAAAATAACATCAAAACAGAGCTGAGAGGAGGAATTTCTGATTCACTGGGTTCTTCACCAAACTATCCTACTTCTGTGGTAGGAGGTGAGTATGTCTATGTGGACGTTAAAAGTATCCTTTGAGTTTTGATTAAAGGGCCTAAATGGTGTTGTTCAGAGTGCAAAGCCTTGATAACTAAAATATCCTATCATAACTACTCATATTTGACAGTGAAGAACAGTATAACCTTTCTCCAATAAAATGGTGGCATAAAAATTAAGAACCATGAAATTATTTTAAATAGAAAAACTTGGCTAGTAAATATATTTACTATAGAATGATGACGTACTGTCTTAATAATGTTTGATATTAGCCAATTATTCTAGAAAAATGAGGAAAGTGTTGGAATAAAGAATGCTAGAATACTAAATAAAGAAATTTATCTATTGCACTTTTTGGAGAACATATTTTCTGACAGAAAGAACAGAAATGAACTATAATATTTTCAACATGATTCTCATATCCTGTAGAAAGCTTGTAAGTTTTTCTCTAGGGAGCTGTAAAAGACACAACTGTGATACAAACAGGCATAGCGTTACTAGGCTGAAATTTTTAATCTGTTGGCTTCAGTATTTCCATAGATTTCCCAAGTATGTCAGCATATTTTTTGATATGCATTAGCTATAGTATTTGGCAATATAATTTATAATTATTTTAAATGTACAATTTCAACTCTTGTACACTGTTGATGGAAATTTAAATTAATAAAGGTATTGTAAAAAACTGGTGGAGGTTCCTCAAAAACAAGAATTACCATATCATCCGAAAATTTCACTTTTGGGTATGCACCCCCAAAAATTGAAGTCAGTTTGTTAAAGAGATGTCTACACTCCTATGTTCATTGCAGCACTGTTCACAATAGCCAAGTTTTTTAATCAACCTCAGTGACCAGGCACAGGTGGGTGGATAAAGAAAATGTGGTACATATGCACAATCAAGTGCATATTCAACCTTAAAAAAGAAGGATATTTTCTCATGTGTGGCAACATAGATGAAATTGGAGAACACTATGCTAAGTGAAATAAGCCAGAAACAAAGACAAATACCACATGTTCTAACTTACATGTGGAGTCCAAAACAATTTAACTCACAGAAGCAGAGAGCAGAATGGTGGTTACAGAGACCAGTGAGTGGGAGGAATGGGAAGATGATGGTCAGATGGTACAACATCTCAGAAAAGAGAAAAAATTCTTTTGAGTTTTATGACATAGAATGAGAAATGTAGTTAATAATACAGAATTGTACATTTTAAAATTTAAATTGCAAATGTTCTCACCACAAAAAAATATTGTTTGAGGTAATGGATATATAAATTAGCTTAATTTAACTATACCACATTGTATTCATAAACCATAACATCACTTTGTACTCCATAAATTTATATAATCATAAATTGTCAATTTATAATAAAAGATAAAAATATTTATTTTAAATGATCACTCATGAAAATGTTTGCCTCTGGTTTCATCCAACTTTTGATCTTTTCTGCCATCTAGTGGTAATGTTTTAAAACTTCCTTCTAAGTGTATACAAATAATTAAAAAATGAAAAAGTACTGTATTACAAAATGTAAAAGTAAAATGTAAAAGCATGTTCTGTTGCTTCACAAGGTCTGAAATCTAACCTAGGACCCATAAGCCCTAGGCATGAAAAATATTGGGGAAAAAATTTAAAGAATATAAAATAACTAAAATTGTCAACAATGGGTAAGAAGTATATATTATATATATGTGTATATATATAGTATATATACACACACACACATATATACACTGTGGAAATATAGAATGATTTTATATAATATATTTATAATATTTATTTGAAATAAAGCACCAGAAAGATAATTTGGATTTACCTTGCATAGTATTAATGGATGGGAGGGGCTTCAATATGGCTGAATAAAGGTGCCTGGCACTCGTCCCCTCCACAAAGAACAACCAATGCAGTACATAACTGCACATCCATCGAATAGAACATCTAAAAGAGAAGACTGGAATTCATCTGGAGTCCACACAATGGCATTACTCCAAAGAGGGAATTAATGCTGAGTCACACTCACCCACTGAGACCCAAGAAGTTGGCACCATGGCATCAGTTTGAGAACTCAGATCCCACTAGACTGCATTTCTTCCCTCAGGCCCAACAGTCCCATACATCCCCACATCCCTGGAGAACCATTGACATCCCTCCGCATTCACCTAGAGGGCTGCAGCAGCACAATGCTGGTTAGACCAGGCAGTGAGACAGGGTTTCCAGCATTTTAGCCAACACAGTGTCCTACACCCCAAGGAATGTGTGGTGAGGCACACTAGGGAGGCTGCCCCAGGACAAAGAGATCAGAAGTGTGCACTCCTCAGAGCCTGAGAGATGGCTGCCACTGCCACTGACAGCAACTATCCCCTTCAGTGGCAAGAATACTTTGCAACTGCATATGCCTTCAGAGGACCTAAAGACTGGTTCTGGGGCCTGAGGAAAGACACATGATGCCCACTGCCACCATCAGCACCACCACCAGTGCCAACACACATCATTCTGGGGCCTGGGGACAGATCAACCTGCCCACTTGATATGGTTTGGCTGTGTCCTCACCCAAATCTCATCTTGAATTGTAGCTCCCATAATTCCCATGTGGCATGGGAGGGATCCAGGTGGGAGGTAATTGAGTCATGTGGAAGAGTCTTTCCCATGCTGTTCTCATGACAGTGAGTACGTCTCACAAGATCTGATGGTTTTATAAAGGGAAGTTCCCCACACATGCTCTTTTTGCCTGCTGCCATGTAAGACGTGACTTTGTTCCTCCTTCACCTTCCACCATGATTGTGAGACCTCTCCAGCCACGTGGAATTGTGAGTCAATTAAGCCTCTTTATTATAAATTACCCAGTCTTGGGTATGTCTTTATTAGCAGCATGAGAACAGACTAATACACTGCCATTGCCAGCACCCATGTACACCTTAAGGATCCTGAGGAAAGACCCTTTCTGCCCACTGCCAACCCCACACACACTACCTGAGGACCCAGGGACCTACCCACCTGCCCAGCCCACCGCCACTACTAAGAAAACTGCCTGGAAGCCTGAGGACTGGCCCTCCTCGACCCACTACCACCAACACCCATGTATACTGCCTGAAGTCCCAAGAACCAGCCCCCCCCCCCGCCAGCTGTTGCCACCACTGGTGCCTGAGGACTGCCTCACCTGGTGTCTCCATCCCCAGTAAAGGCTCACCAAAGCATCCACTTGCAGCTGTAGCCTAAGTCACTGAGAAACTCACAGACACCACTAACACTGATTATAGCCAAAGAAATCAGAGACTACACTACTGCATTCACCAGAATCAGAGCCAAAACACCTTACTCAACCAACACTATAGATACTTCTATTTAAAAAAAATAAAAGCCAATCAATAAAGTTGGAAGACGTGACAGTTAGATCAGATACACAGATATCAATGACACAAAGAAGCATGATAAAACAAGGAAACATTACACTCCAATAGGAATACAATAATTCTCTAGTAACAGATACCAACAATTTACACACACACACACACACACACACACATAAAATACCTGAGAAAGAATTCAAAATAATGATATTAAAGAAACTCAAAAACTCAAAGAGATATAAGAGAATACAGATAAACAATACAGAGTGATCAGAAAAATACATATATATTCTGAAAGAGAAATTCAACAAAAAGATAGATATTAAAGAGAAATAAATAGAAATCCTGGAACTGAAGAGTCCAAGCTAAGAAATAAGAAATACAATCAAGAGCCACAACAATAGACTAGATCAAGCAGAAGGAAGAATTTCTGAACGTGAAGACAGGTCATTTGAAATAACCCAGTAAAACCCATAAATAAATAATAAAAAGAATGAAAGCCTATGTCACATATGGGACACCATAAAGTAATCAGATATTTGAAGTTTGGAATTTCTAGAAGAAGAGATAGCCGAGGACATTTAAAAACTATTTAGCAAAAAATAGATGAAAACTTTCCAAGTCTTACAGGATATGTAGATATTCAGGTACAGGATATTCAAAGATAACCAAATAGATTCAACTCAAAAAGATATTCTCCTAGGCATATTATTGTCAAACTCTCAAAAGAAGACAGAAATAGATTCTAAAAACAGAAAAAATACCAAGTTACATGTAAGGGAATTCTCATCAGATTAACAGCAAACTTCTTGCATAAATCTTACAGGCCAGAAGAGAATGGGATGATATATTCAAAGTATTAAAAACCCCAAACCCCAATGACCAAGAATACTACACCCAAAAAAGCTGTCCTTCAAAAATGAAAGACAAATAAAATCTTTTCCAGACAAGCAAACCCTGAGGGAATTCATCACCACTAGACTGACCCTACAAGAAATGCCTAAATGAGTTCTACATTTGAAAATGAAAGGATAATATTTATCATCAACATAACAAAGAAAGTATATAACTAATTTGTAGAGCTGATACACAAATGAGAAGAAGAAAGGAGTCAAATGTTATCACAAAAAAAGCCCAACAACTCATAGGGTAAACAATGGAAGAGACAAAAGGAAACAGAATATACAAAACGATCAGAAAACAATGAACAAAGTGATAGGAACAAGTCCTCACCTATCAATAACAACCTTAAATCACATGTTTTAAATTCCTCAATTAAAAGATATGGACTTGCTGAATGGATAAAAACATAAATAAATAAAACACACAAAAAACCAAGACACATCTATATGCCATCTACAAAAAATTCATTTAAACCTGTAAAGACATACATAGACTGAAAGAAAAGGGATGGAAAAAATATTCCACACAAATGAAAACCAAAAATATGCAGAAGTAACTACACTCTTATCAGAAAAAAATAGTCTTTTAGTCAAACATAAAAATAGACAAAGAAGATTATTATATAAAGATAATTCAGCAAGAAGATATAACAATTGTAAATATATCTGCACCCAACACTGGAGCTCTTAAATATATAAAGCAAGTATTGTGAGAATCAAAGAGAAAGGCACTTAAATACAATAATAGCTGAGAACTTCAACACCCCACTTTCAGCATGGGACACATCATCTAGACAAATATTTATCAATAAACATGGTACTTGGAATGTACGATAGACTAAATGGACCTAACAGACATTTACAGAATATTTCATCACACAACTGCAGAATATATATTCTTCTCATCAGCACATAAAACATTCTCCAGGACAAACCATATGTTAGAACATGAAACAAGTCTCAGCAAATTTTAAAAATCAAAATTGTATCAAGTACTTTTTCAGATCTCAATAAAATAAAGCTAGAAATCAATAACCCGAGAACTTTGGAAGCTGTGCAAATACATGGAAATTAAACAACAGACCCCTGGACAATCATTTGATCAATAAAGAAGTTAAGAAAAAACTTCAAACATTCTTGAAACAAATAAAAATTGGCACACAATATATCAAAACCTATGGAATATAGCAAAAACAGTGCTAAGAGAAGTTTATCACCATAAAAGCCTACATCAAAAAGTAGAAAGATTTCAAATAACCTAATGAAGGTTCTCAAATAACTAGAAAAGCAGGAACAACCCAAAATTAGGAAAGAAATAATAAAGATCAGAGCAGAACTGAACAAAATGGAAACAAACAGTAGAAAAATAAAAAACCCCAAAAATTGGTTTTATGAAGAGATAAACAAATTTGATAAACCACTAGCTATACTGACCAAAAGAAAAGAAGAGAAAGAAGACCCAAACAAATACAATTAGAAACAAATAAGGAGGCGTTACAACTGATACCACAGAAATACAAAGGGTCATTAGAGAGTGTTACGAACCACTATATGATAACAAGTTGGAAAATGTAGAGAAAATGGATAAATTCCTGGATCCAATCTATGAAGACTGAACCAGGAAGACACAGAAAAACAGCACAAATAAGTGACATGTGATGAGACTGAATCAGCAATAAACAGTCTTCCTAAAAAGAAAAACCTAGGATTAAATGACTTTACTGTTAAATTCCACAAAATTATAAAGAAGAGCTAAGACCAATTCTTTTTAAACTATTTCAAAAAATTGAAGAGGTGGAAATTTTTTCTAACGCATTCTACCAGATCAGCATTACCTGATGCCAAAACCAGACAAGAATACAACAACAAAAAAAGAGAACTACATGACAATATCCCTGATGAACATGGATGCATAAATTCTCGACAAAATATTAGCCAACTGAATTAAATAGCACATCTAAAAGATAGTACATCATAATCAAGTGGGAGTTAACCCAGGGATGCAAGGATGGTTCAACACATGCAAATCAATAAATGTGACACATTGCATTAACAGAATGAAGCCTGAAAACCATATGATTATCTAGATAGATGCAGAAAAAGCATTTGATAAAATTTAACATGCATTTATGATAAAAACTATCAGCAAGTTAGGCATAGTAGGAATATACCTCAACATAATAAAGGCTATATATAGCAAACCCATAGCTAACATCATGCTGAATGGAGAAAAGCCGAAAACCTTACCTCTGACAACTGGAACAAGATAAGGATGCCACTCTCGCCACTCTACTAAACACAACATGAAAGTCCTAGTGAGAGGAATTAGGCAAGAAAAATAAATAAAAACGCATCCAAACTGGAAAAGAGGAAGTCAAATTTTCCCTCTCTGCAGGATTATCTTATATATAGAAAAAACTAAAGACTCCACCAGGAAACCCTTAGAACTGATAAACAAGTAAAGCTGCAAGATACAAAATCAAAATACAAAAATCAGTAGTTTTTCTACACACTAATCACAAACTGCTGAAAAAGAAATCAATGAAGCAATGCCTTTTACAATAGCTACCAGAAATACCTAGGAATAAATTTAAACAATAAGATGAAAGATTTCTAAAAGAAAAACTGTAAAATTTCCATTCAATTATTTAATGAAAGAAATTGAAGAGGACACAAATAAATGGAAAAACATGCCACACTTATAGATCAGAAGAACTAATGTTGTTAAAATAGCCATATTATATAAAGCAATCTACAGATTCAATGCAGTTCCTACCATAATGCCAATGTCATTCTTCACAGAAATGAAAAAATATTCCTACAATTTGTATAGAATTACAAAATACCCTGAATAGACCCAGCAATCCTGAGCAAAAAGAACAAAGCTGGAGGCATCACACTACCTGAATTCTAAATATACTACAAAGCTATAGTAACCAAAACAGCATGATATTGGTCTAAAATCACACACATAGAACAATAAACAGAATAGAGAACCCATAAATAAATTCATGTATTTACAGCAAACTCATTCTTTACAAAGGTGCCAAGAACATATACTGGGGAAAAGATACTTTCTTCAGTTCTTCACGTTGGAAAAACTGGATTTCTATATGCAGAGGGATAAAACTAGACTCTTATCTCTCACCTTATATAAAAATCAACTCAAAATGAAACAAAGTTTAAGCATAAGGTCTAAAACTATAAAACGACTATAAGAGAGCATAGGGGAAATGCTTAGGAAATTGTTCAAGTCAAAGTTTTTATGGCTAAGACTTCACAACCTTTTAACAGAATCATCATCTGCACTGGTAATAAATGAAAATGTAGTGAGGGCACTGATTGCTGCCAGTGCTGATCACTGGGGATGGAAACAAACAAAAGGAAACAGTGATGTTTACTGGCAGGATCATTTTGCTGGCTTTTAACTATAGAAACTATCAATAAGAATGAATAACTTCATTTAGAACTCAGTAATTTTAAGAGAAAAATCTGGCAAGTCACAGTCCCTGGATGAATGATTCTTGCTTTTTTTTTTTTTTTTTTTTTTTTTTTTTTTCAGGAGATGAGTCTACTTTATTTTTGGTACCAATTGAAAAAAAGTCAGAAATTTACAATAAAATTCAAAGGGCCCAAAATACCCAAGACAACTATGAACCAGAAAAACAGTGTGAGGAATATACAATACAATATCTCAGAAGTTAATACGAAATGTGTATTTATCCTATGTCCAAGTGTTCTCATTGTTCAATTCCCACCTATGAGTGAGAACATGCGGTGTTTGGTTTTCTGTCCTTGCGATAGTTTGCTTAGAATAATGGTGAACATCACACACCAGGGCCTGTTGTGGGGTTGGCGGAGAGGGGAGGGATAGCATTAGGAGATATACCCAATGTAAATGACGAGTTAATGGATGCAGCACACCAACATGGCACATGCACACATATGTAACAAACCTGCACGTTGTGCACATGTACCCTAGAACTTAAAGTACAACAAAAAAAAGAAATGTGTATTTATTAAGATAGTGTACTATTGGTACAAGAGGAGCAAAAGCAGAAACATGCACAAATGTTCACTTGATTGATGATCAAGGTTATGATTCAGTGTAATAAAGAAAGGACAGTCTTCAAATAAATTGTGAATGTTTAATTTTATATCTTTATGTGTATATTGTGTGTATACACACACACACACATAAACTACAAACTGATTGCAGATCTAAATGAAAATGATAAAAAGTATGCCAAATATCTTGAGAAAAACAGAGCAACACACATTAAGTCCTATGTGTTATCTGTAAGTATTTGCTGCATGGCAAATACTTAGAGGCTTAAAACGATGGGTCATTTATTATTTTATGTTTTCTTTGGGCCAGGAATGAAGGTGTGGCTTAGATGGCCAATTATGGCTTAAAATCTCCCACACAGTATTGTTAAGATGAAGCTCTCCTGGTTCTGAGTGCTGTTTAATTCATGAATCATACTGCACTTCAATAAACAGCTATATTTCTCTTTTTTTTTTTTCAGCTATATTTCTCATGAGAACTAAGGAGACATGAGAATTTTGCAATGCTTGATTCTGAACTGGATTATTTTGCTATAAAATGCTAGGATTGTGATGTTTGGGAAAATCTGAATGGAGTCCGAGCATTAGATATTAATAATACATCATTATTTTATGATTTTGAAGGGTCTAGGGTGCTGATGTAGAATAACCCATTTCTATGTAAGAACTACATAGATGTATGTAGTGTTCACAGAACACATTGCCGGCCTCTTAACTGTTTCAGAAAACAAAATTTATTTTTTTGGGCCATATTTGCATTATTTCTTTAAGTTTGAGATTATTACAAAATTACCCAAAATTACACATTAAGTAGTATACTTAAATGTATAGAAATACAAAAAATAAAACAAAATAAAAGGAATCTAGAATTTGTACAATTTATATACCTCAGTATTGGGATAACTTTTTTGATTAATTTTAACAAAGAACAAGTAATTATGATTTTTCATTAACACAATCAACCAAATTTTATTTCTTAATGTTGATAATAATAGGATATACTCAAATGGAGCTTATTGTGTACCAAATATTATTGAGTGCGTTACCATTTTAACTTTCTTTACTCTCTCAGTGTCTATCATATCAAATTACAATAGCAAATAATTTATTTTTTGCTTATCACCTGTATTAAAAATAAAAGCATTCTCTTCTCCTTTTGGCTCTTCTCTAAGTGAAGTAGTTCAGAATTCATAGCATTTTGTTGAGGAGTATTACTTTGATTCTTTTAGTCTATTTATCTAAGAAGTACAATTTAATTTTAGATGATCCCATGGTATGAAGTTTTTTAGCAGTTGCAGCATGGATGGATTTAAACGGATAGTTCTGCAGCCTGAACTTAAATGTTTTCAGGATAAAACAGTTTCAAAAATGACTTACCGAAAATCTTCAACTTGTGGCAATGGAATTTTGGAACCTACAGAGCAGTGTGATTGTGGCTATAAAGAGGTTAGTGGCAAAGCTTACAGGTTATCCAGAGATTTGTTCTTTCATTATGTTTTGTGTTTATTTTTTATGGCATCTATAGATATAGATATGATATGTATAAGGGGGAAATTTGAAAAAATATATTTACTATTTTGTCAAATATAAGATAGGGAGATATGGGGCATGCAATAACTGACTCATCCTAAATTTGAAACGTTTAGAGTCTAAACCCTGGGTAAGTGTGACATCAATTTAAAAAACAGATTTTTATCATTTTAGAAACATTAGTAGCAATATCACTTTTAGTACCATACACATCAGTAGCATCAATAATATCATTATCATCTAATCATCCCTTAAATTCCACCAAAGTGACTACATTGGTTGGCTAAGTTATTAAATGTGTGTTTTCATTTATTTTCTTACCTCCTAATTTTAGTCCTTGCATCTGTAGCAACTTCATTTATGTTAACTTGCTTCCAAAGAATTAGACTAATTATAGTCTTTGGTTCATTGTCATTTATGATAATATACATGATGCAATAATGATACATCCATGGCCCAATTATTCCTAATTTTTCACCCTTTTCTCTGTCCAAAAAGCAAATTCTATCCATATTTTTAATTTAACAGTATCATTTTATAATTTGACCATAGTTTTTATCAGCTTTGAATTTTAGACCATTTAAAAAATATCGCACAATCTTCTGGGACTGTTTTCTTCATCCCCTACATTACTAAAAATATCCATGTAATTTTGTGTGACATAGCTCATTTATTCACTTTTTGTGTAATAATCCATTATGTATGGAAATATACAATTACTGATTTTTTTCTATTTATGAGCAGTTGGAGTGTTTGTAGGATTTTCCCCCCTCCCATTCTGAAGAGTTTTATTATGTCTTGTACTTAACTCTTGATGTACATAAGAGTCTTCTGGCTACATACTTAGATGTAGAATTTCTGGGTTATCAAGTGGGTGGATCATGCCTTAGCAATGGGAAATTTATTTCAAAAATAAATGTGCTAATTAACACATCCAATGACTGTTTACTGTATAACAGGTTGTTTATTTTATACCCGATTTAGCACATGGTATTGCCAGACTCCGTCATTTTTGCCAGTGTATTTGTATAAAATATTATCTCTTTGTGGTTTCAATTAGACTTGCCTTAATTGCTAGTAAAATTGATTGTATCTTCATAGTTTGACTAACCCTATAAGTTTTCTTTGCTGTGAAATGGCTGTTCTTTCCTGTGAAAGGTTTATTTGATTTGTATTTTCATCTATTAAGTATTTTTTCCTTTTTTTTTTTTTTTTTGGAGTTGGAGTTTCACTCTTGTCACCCAGGCTTGAGTGCAGTGGCGTGATCTCAGCTCACTACAACCTCCTTCTCCCGGGTTCAAGCGATTCTCCTACCTCAGCCTCTGGAGTAGCTGGGATTACAGGTACCTGCCACCACACCCAGCTAATTTTTGTATTTTTAGTAGGGACAGGATTTCACCATGTTGGCCAGGCTAGTCTCAAACTTCTGACCTCAGGTTATCCACCTGCCTCAGCCTCTCAAAGTGCTGGGATTACAAACGTGAGCCACCATGCCCCACCCTTTTCCTTTCTATTTATTTATATATTCTTATGCTGATTAATATATGTTAAATGTCTTTCATATTCTTACATTTTCTTCAATATAATTTTTATGTAAACAATTTCACTACTTGAAACATTAATGTGTTTCCATTGAAAACTGCATTATTTCAGCTTCATAATATGTTTTTGTTTGAGTGGTAAAAGTTTTGCTTTCTTTCATGGAAGCTCTTTGTTTTTCCTTCAGTTTTCACTCCATGCTTTGATATGGATATATTTGACTATTGTATTTCAAGACCACTAATATTTCCTTTTATTAAGAGATCCAGTGAATTTTTCATTGCAATATTTGACATCTTTGAAATTTCCATTTGGTTCTTTTTTTAAAGATTCTTGCTTTTAAATACAATACTCTTCGCTGCTTGTCTCCTGGTGCTGTGACTCTTGGATTTATTGCAGATTGTCCAAAGCCAGGTCACACCCTCAAGAGTGATTTTCAATTGTTTAAAATCACTAACATCAAATTGAGGGTGTGAACCTGACACCATGAGAAGACATGAAAAGAGATAACTGCAAATGGAAATGTAAGGCAGATGGGAAAAATCACCTATTAATAGCATATGAAATCAGACAATTATTTAGTTACTGCTTTCCAGGGATTTAAAAAATCTGCTCCCAAAGACCATATATTTTCTTTCCATTGTGAACATTTTATTCTTTGTCAGCTGTGTGAAGAAAAAAGCTTTTTGATTTTCTTTTGTCTATTCTTGAGAAAAAATTGCAAAACACATACTAGAAAATATTTTCAATAATTTTATGTATTTCTTTATAAATGCCATAAGGAAATATATGTACAAATAAATATAAACATGTTACTAAATTAAGAAAATGATATCAGATACCATATTCTATATCTTCCCTCATCTCATAGTCTCAACATATATCATTTGTATTATTTTATTTGAAATGCATATGTCATTTTTTTAAATTCATTTTTCCATTACCTGAGAAAGTACCATGGTCCCAGGTAAATCCATTTGAAAAATCCGTATTTTTACTTTTATAGGTAGCTCAATTCAGTAATTCTTACTACAAACATGTAAATTTCTTTCTTAATTCATTAACTTTTAAAAATATATATTAACAGCCCTATTGCAAAAGATGAAGATAGTATCTTTCTTACAAAATCTTTCTGGCCCTACTTACTCCTACTACTATTTGTTAATTACATAGTTATTTTGAGTTTTTCTGATAATTGCATTTACACATCTAAATGTTGGGTCAGTTCTGGAATATTTTTGGTTCCAGATAAAAGAAAACTTGATTATCATTATGGCTTATGTGGGTAAGAATTTATTTGCTATTCATAGCAAGAGATCTAGAAGTGCATGGTTGCAGGGTTGACCAATAGGCTTAATAACATCAAGGCCCCTGGACAGCAGCTTTGCAATCTCTTAGCCTTCCCTTCTATGGCTGAATAGACATCTATAAGTCCACCTTCTCCTTCCATCCCATTTTTTGGGTGTATATATCTCCGCCAGCTGCAAACATGGAGGCTAATGCATTCTGTGTTCAGCCTTTTACTTATTACTCTGACAGTAACCCCTGCTCTCACCTTTTTTTTCTGCCTTCTCAAGCACATGTTTCGTGTTGTTTTCTAAATTCTAATTTATCCATCAGCAGGACTTTATCAGCTTTCCATATTATAGAAATTCAACATTTAAGTGGCTGGTTGATGGTACATTTTCTTGCCTTTATCATTGTGAATAATTTATTCTTCTTGGGTATGTAAGAAGAAGGGAAGGAAAACTCTGTATTCAGGTCAGTTTTTTAAAAAACTAAAAAACTGAAGGTTTATAAGCATCATTGTGAAGTGTCTTTTCTAACCTAAATATAACACACAGATATTTTTCTTTTTACTTTGTGAATTAAAAATTTACCTTGTGAATTAAAAGTTGAATGGCAGAGATTTATTTACTTTGTTTTGTCATATCAAGTTGATATTGTTTGGATCTGTATCCCCACCAAATCGCTTGTCAAATTGTAATCCCCAGTGTTGGAGGCAGGGCCTGGTGGGAGGTGATTGGATCATGGGGATGATTTCTCATGAATGGTTTAGCACCATCCTGTTGGTACCATCCTCATGACAGTGTGTGCGTTCTCGTGAGATCTGGTCATTTAGAAGTGTGTGGCACCTCCTCCTTCACTCCCTCTTGCTCCTGCCACGTAAGACGTGCCTGTTTCTCCTTCGCCTTCTGTCATCATTGTAAGTTTCCCGAATCCTCTCCAGACACTAAGCAGATGCCAGTGCCATGCTTCCTGTACAGCCTGTGGAACTGCGTAAACCAATTAAACCTCTTTTCTTTAAAAATTACCTAGTTGCAGGTATTTCTTTATAGCAATGTAAGAACTAAAACGTAAGTGGTGAATTCATAATTTCAGTGAAAACTATGAATCTAAGCTTGACACTCATGAAGAATTTATGTGCC
This sequence comes from Homo sapiens, assembly GCF_000001405.40. Classification (NCBI taxonomy): domain Eukaryota; kingdom Metazoa; phylum Chordata; class Mammalia; order Primates; family Hominidae; genus Homo; species Homo sapiens. Next base: position 73,196,472 of record NC_000009.12, read on the forward strand.
AGGAACCATGCTCAGTATGATTTTTCAAACACTGTTTGTATTTTTTTTTTTATTTTGAAGAATTTCAGACTTACAGAAATGTTGTAAAAATAGAACAAAGAATTCTGATATACTTTTTACACAGATCCTCAAATTTTAATATTTTACTCCTTTTCTGTCCTTTTTCCACACACACACACACATACACACACACAACATACACGCACACACACATTTTTGACCTATTGAAAAGTAACTTTTAGGCATGATGGCTCTGTGCCACTGAATAGTTAAACGTGTGTTTTCTGAAAACACCATGTTTTCTTACAAAATCATAGTAAAATTATCAAAATCAGGAAATTTACATTGACACAATACTGCTATCTAATTTGCTTGCTTACTTTACAGTAGAATCTAAAATATATAATTCTAATACTATTCAGACAAGAGGAGAGAGTGCAGTATTTTTGATTGCCATAGCATTATTAGATTATTTTATCAATTTGAACTTTACTTTTTGCTTTTATATGAATATAAAACAGGAATAAACATGTCCTGAAAATCTGAGCCTCTAGAGCTAGGACTGGGGCTTAAATTGATTCTTGGAGGCTGTTAAAAACATTTTATGTCTTTGATAACTCATTAGCTTTTTATTACTTTAGACCAATGATTCCCAACAGTGAATCACCTTTGTTACTATATTCTTCTAGTTTCTTGAAATTCTTCTTGGAGCTTATGATAATTAAAATTAAACTGTTTAATTTGTAATAAGTTATTAATATGTCTTCTCCATTAAAATGAAAGCCCTATTTCTTAAAACTAAAACTTGAGATTCTATGTAGCTCCTAGAAGTTAGAAAGAGCAGTACATATTTATGTATAATATATATGTTGAATATACATATATTTAATATATGTATATATATAGAATATATGTATAGAGGTGTATATATACACAGCTGTTTATATATTGTGTATTCAATATATACAATATACATATATGTATATTTAATATATATTTATGCACACATATATTTTGTATATTTTATGTTTATTTTTATATTCACATTTATTATGCTTTTAATATTACATATTCATTATCTATATAATTTATACCTGTATTTATAAATATTGCTGAATGAATACACTGGATATGGATATTTCTTTTTCTGAGACTATTATAACTGTGTCTACATGAGAAATTTTAATTTCCATGTATTTATTAACACATTCAAGAAACATTTATTTAATAGCTATTACTCACTAGACACTGTGGGGTCAGAAAATCCATTGATTCTTTAGATAATGCTACCTTATGCTTTGTCTGTAATACACATCAAGCACTCTATTTTATGTAATTTGACTGTCCGTAATAATCCTTTAATGGTGTGAGGATATGTGAAATATTATTTTTTATTTATTAAGAAATTTTTTTCCTTTCCTTTCTTTTCCTTTCCTTTCCTTTCTCTCTTTCTTTCTCTCTTTTTCTCCTTCTTCTTTTTTTTTTTTGGCAGGGTCTTGCTCTGTCACCCAGGCTGGAGTGCACTGGTGCAATTCTGGCTTACTGCAGCCTTGAAATTCCAGGTCAAGTGATCCTCCCACTTCAGCCTCCTAAGTAGCTGGGACTTCAGACATGAGCCACGATGCTCAGCTAATTTTTAAATTTTCTTGTAGAGACAAGATTTTGCTATGTTACCCAGGCTGGTCTCAAACTCCTGGGCTCAAGTGATCTGCCTACCTCAGCCTCTCAAAGTGCTGAAATTACAGGTATGAGCCACTGTGTTTGGTCCCTTTACCAAGAAATTTTAATATGACAGGCATTCTTAAGCTTTAGTGGTGCAGAAAATAAATGAAAGCATTGACTATTTTAAAACTGTGAATCTCTTTTGAAGAATATCTTTAAAGTTTTAACCATGCTTCAATAAAAAATGATATTCTTTCATGAAGTTTAAATATTGCTATTTTCAACCTGGATTCTACACTTTCCTTCTTTCATCACTATTTTCAATACCCTCACATTTATAATGTTTACTGCTTATTTCTTCTGTATCATGTCAATTGAGGATAGTGAATTTGGGGCACCAAAGCGTTAATTTTTTGAAATGAAATAATATAACAAATATTTTAAACTACATAAAATTAGCAAAATGGTTATATTTGACATTGTATATTTTCTCAGGTGGCTATAAATCCATTTTATAAACTCAATTTTTTCTTCTTAAAATATAATGTGTGTGCATAGACACATAAATGTCAGGTATGGAGAAATATAGGAAAGTCCTCATAACTTAAAATTAAGGTACAAATTAATACATAATGGATGAGATTAGTCATCTATACAAGTGAGTGAGAGATCATCTGTGAATATGTCACTGAAGAACCATATTGTTCAATAGGGGTGTAGTTCAAGAAAGTACGATTGCCATATTTTATTTAAGGTAACTGCAGCCTAATCTTTTCATAAAGTAAAGAAAGATGAGGAAAATGTAAACATAAAGGCTACAATGTGTAAGAAAAAGTATAATGTCCAAAAAGTCTAAAAATGCCAGGCTCAAAACCTGTCCACATAAGCAAGACTCCAGATCTTGAGAATACAGTTACTTTATAACCTAGATTTGTACATATGTATATGAAATGTACAATTCATATGTACTACCTTATTAAAAAAGAGAGCTCTAATCTTTGTCTCATCATGGCACTCCTTTCATTTGCTTCATAGCACTTATCACAAGCCATAATATTTTTTGTTAAACTGTTCATTTTCTGTCCAGAATGCAGACTCTTTGAGAACATCTATCTGATTTGATCACTGTTGCATCCTGATTACATAGTGTCCAAAAAATATATTCTGAATTAATAAATTGAACAATTTACTTAATGAAAGTATCCCTCAGTTTACTCCTACTGTATGCATAGGTTAGAATAGTTAAGGTTAGAAGGATTAAATTAGATAATCTCAGTAAAGTTCTTACAACAGAGACTGGCACATACAAACATATTTTTCCCTTTTATTTGTTGCTATTAATCTTATTAGTGTTATTATTAAGAGAAAGAAGCCAGGGAAGGGCACTGAGAGGGAGGATGGAAAGAATAAAGGAAAGAAGGAGTATAGAAAGAAAGAAGGAAAAAAAGAAAGGAAGGAAAGAAAGAAGGAAAAGAAAAAGGAAGGAAAAAAGAAAAATGGAAGGAAAAAGGAAAGAGGAAAGAGGAGGAGGAAAAGAAAAAGGCAGGAAAAAAGAAAAATGGAAGGAAAAAGGAAAGAGGAAAGAGGAGGAGGAAGAGAAGGAAGGAGATGGGGAAAGAGGGAGGGAAGAAAGTATTGGACAGAAAAAAGTCACCGGATTTTGACATAAGCTGGATAAAACACTTGTCCAGGCCACAAACTCGTTCAAATTCTTAGATACCCTGACATCAGATTCTTTGGGTAACATTCCAATATTAACATATCAGAAAAAAAATACGTTCAATTTTACATTAATCAGTTGGCATTCTGGATTGAAAGATCGGACTCTGTTGCATCGAGTTACTGGACTCAGTCCCTCTGGAGATACCAAACTGCCATGGCACACAAACCAACCTGGGGTTCAGGGGCTCCGAGTACAAGCAGCAGGATTTGAAACAAGCTGAGACCGTGCGCGTGCTGCCATCTAACGGGCTCTGCTGTGTGCCCAGAGGCCGCCTTCACTCTCCTGGTTTTTCTACCTTGTGACTCCATATTTATATTTACCTAAATAAATGTGTGAGTACAAGCTGTATAATTGGAGATGAGTAGGAATATTAGTTAAAACAATTTCCCACTTGCATTAACAATAACGAAAATGCAATCAAGAGCATTCGTAAAAGACAGCCTTAAATAACTGGTTTCATGTTGCAAGAGCTTTTTATGATTGAGGTTGCAATAAGTTATAAAATAGGGAAAACCTTAACATTCTGCTTTAGCCTTTATTTTTTCAAAGAAAAATATTATTTCTTTGTATATACGTGAAAAATGTATACTAGTTTACTGTGGCGTAATTGCTATACCATTGATGAAAAAATAGTTTTATGAGAGATGAGAAATTGGCTGAGTAATTTACTTCTTAGATCGAATATAAGTCCATATAAAATTCATTCAGCTTGTTATTTCATTACACTTTGTCACTACTTCCCTCCCAATACCTTGCAAAAGAAAAAACCATGAAAAAAATTATGGACAAATTCTGTGTACCCAGGTATCAGGTGACAGTGGAAGACAAACTTCTTTTGAGGTAAACAGAATTACTTTTTCCCTTGCAAAGGCCATGGGATGGGTCCAATGTGATATGACGAACATCTATTCTTCTTGGGAAAACATTTATATTGTGAAGGTAAAATACAAATTACGTTCTGAGACAAATTTGTGGCTTTTTCTCAACTGACAGTAAAGACAATTAAGGTAATTTTCACCACTAGATGGAGATATTGCCATTTATAGGAGAGAGTAATGTCTGGGTTGTGTATTTTTTTTTTTTTTTTTTTTTTTTGCACTCAGAATCAGAGAGATTATATATGTCCTCTGTGACCCACTGCGTGCATTTACTATCACCCACCCTCCCTTCCAACACACACATACACATAATAGTGAGCTAGTTTGAAAGACACAGAGCAAAACTAAGACAACACGCCATCTCATGAGTTAATAATGGATTGGCCACAATGGAGCTACAAAATAAATTCAGAGTGAAATTTCCAGCTATGAGTCTGACATTGTAATTACGGGAGTTGAGTGCAGGTTTCTCTCGAAGCATCAAAGCATTTCACATGGCTAGGATAGAACCATAATCCGATCAGCTGCAACTGCCACAGCAACAGAAGGACCCTAAAAATAGGACCCCTATGGTAATCTGTCTGGATTACTAAATTCAGTGACGGCTTGGCAACAAATCAGGGAAATGTTTGCGGAAAAGGATTTAAATATATCATGAAGTTCTATCTGCATTATGGAGAAATCCATAAGGCCCCCAATTCCAAGCTACTGCTTCAGGGCTGCTTCCAAACAACCCAGCTCATTTTGTCAAAACATCACCTTTCTGTCATGCCTTTTGCAATTTAATCATCTTAAATCCATTAGTGGGGGCAGGGGAAAAAAAGAGATTTCAAAGAAGGCCTACCTACACCATTCTCTGGTACCTAAGTTTTACGCCACGGAGTCTTTATAAATATAATTTTAATTTATTAATGGTGATAGAGAAATTAATTGGGGACAATATGGATTCTTATAAAAATATTATTTAAATAGGTAAGGGTAAGATTTTTTTAACTATGCAAAGATGCCTGTGACATATTCATAGGTAAATAAACAGAAGGTAGCTAAATATCTGGGGTGTGTGCTCAGTTTTACTAACTAAAGAGAAAGATATTTTTGTTGACTATGGACTGATTCAGAATCTAGAATAAAGCAAAGATACAGGTACTCTGGTGTACATATTTCTCAGCATTTATGGTTAATTATTTTATGGGCTCTCATTGAAGTTTTCTAACATGTCAGGGAGTTGCACACAACTTCTCAGCCCTACATTCCCTTTTCAGGTCTAGAAAAGCTCCCCAAGGTTACCTTTGCCCAGGCCTCTCATATTCAGAATGTTTCTATTTTCTTTCCACAGTTGCCACAGATCACACTCTCCCCATTTCCTCAGGATCCTATCTTTTTCTCTCCCAAGATGCTGCAGCTTTCCTATCCCCTCATTCTGGATACCCCCAAAACAATCCTATAGAACAATCTTTTTTGAGTCTTTCACTGAAAAGCACTTAAAAGGATTCAGGAAGTTAATAAATAGCAAATATAGGAAAGCTACAGAACGTGCAGGCAAGATTTCTCTTCTAAATCCTCTATCTGCCCCTAGAGTTTCTTGTATTCAAAGTCTATAACCCTGAAAAATCTTAATCTTTCTTTTAATTGCTATACTATTTCCTAAGACATCAAGTTGTGTATGCCAATGTTAATTTCACATGGGATGATATTCTTTGCAAATTGATAAAATACCTGGAACTTTGAACTCTGACTCAAGTTAGCACTCCTTTTGTTTTTAATACATGTATCTATTTTGAGTCTTATTATTTTTTGTGGGGTATTTTGGGGAGAGGTGGGAGATTTCCTTTACTAATCAGAGTCAGATGTTCTGCAACTATTATTACTTTTGCTTTAGCAAGCTCATCTACTTTCAGAATCTTCTCAATACTGGAAATTTTGATACCAACCAATAAAAGCAGACTCATCATCCATACGAAATTATGCATGTGTGAAATAGGATAATGAAAGATTGTCAAGAAGCACAAATTATAACCAACGTGTAGCAAATTTTCATAACCCCGTGATTTTAATATATAAGCAAGATATCTATAGCCTTTGACATCATTGTGCATAATATTAAAGAAAACTGATAACTTTGTACAGCCTAAAAAATGTACCTTGCCTTTTGTTGGTGTATGTTGATCAGAAAATGAAAACTATGCATTTTAGTGTGTTTTCTCTTTCCCCTTTACTGTGAAAATGCTTAGATTCAGAATCACTGACCAATTGAACTACTGTGCTCTTTTTGATACCTGGGAATATCTAAATATTCTGCTGCATTCATAACAGAAAGCATGCCACCCAAAACTTAGTGGCTTAAAAGGTTCATTTTTAGTTCACAATTCTGTGGTTTGGAAATTTGGCAATATTCAGTCAGCAGTTCCTCCCCTTGTCTGACCTTGATTCCCTCATGCAGCTGCAATCAGCTAGTAGGACAATTGGGGCTGTGGTCCCAGACGGCTTCACTTACATGTCTAATGGTTGGCTGAGATGATAAGAAATATCAAGCCATGTGTCTACAAACACCTAGTAGACAAGCCTTGTCAAGTGGCAGCTGGGTTTCAAAATCAACAAGAAAAGGCAAACCCCAATGTGAAAACCTTTTTCAAGTCTTTGCTTATGTCACATTTGCTAATGTCCCATTGGCCAAAGTAAATCACAAAACCAGCCTGGAATCAATGGGTAGGGTAATAGAGTATTCTTCCTCTTGAATGGGAAGAGCTACAAGGGATTGCAACCTATCATCTCTGCCTTATTATTATTTTAATTTTGTTTTACTTTTTTCTTACATTTATTTCAACTTCTTTTTTTTTGGGTCACTGTGACACACATAACTAGGAAGTACATAACATATATTTACAGATTAATTCATAGTTATAAAGTGAATGCCTGCAGTAACACCACCCAGATGAAGAAGTAATCAGGTTAATAATAATCCTGTTATAACCCCATCCCTTCCATGCAAAGGAATCTATCATCTTGACTTTTATAGTAAGCCATTCTTTGTTTTTCTGTATGGTTTTACTATGTATATAAGCAATACATTTTTGTTTCACCTGTTATTGTATCTTTTTTGAATGGAGTAATACTATATGTATCATTTTGTGTCTTACTTCATTTATCCAATATGATTAATCATGTTGCATACAGCTATGGCTCTTTCACCTTTTCTAAAATATAATTTTTATACACATTATATTTCTGATAAACATGTAGGTTGCTTTAGTATTTTTATTATTATGAACTATGTTGCTACAAGTTTATAAAACCTTGCTGAGAGATATTTTAAAACTTCAGTAAATGGAGCAATACATCATGTTCATCACTGAAAGACTTATTTTAAAAATGTCAATTCTTTCAGATCATTCATAAATTCAATACAATCTCAGGAGTACTTCTCATTCCCTCATCCCCCAGACTTGCCTAAACACATCTGCCAAATTAATCTGCCTAAAATACTGTCTTTCTCTTGTTATTCTCTGCTGAAAACCTATAGTGACTTCCTAGTCTCTAGAGCTCTGCTATTTAATACTGATACTACTAGCGTCACGTGGCTACTTAAATTTAAATTTTAATTAATTAAAATTAAATGAAATTAAAATTCACTTTCTCACTTGTACTACTCATTCAAGCGTTCCATAGCTGTGTGTGTCTACAATGTTGAACAGTTCAGATATAAAGCCTTTCCCGTATCACAGAAAGTTCTACTGGGCAGCATAACGTGCCAGAGAATAACGTCAATTTCAACATGGCAATCAAGAAGTTCACAGTCTAGAATGTAATGCTTAGGCCAATCTATTCAAAATCCCTCTAAAAGACTGTGAACTGTGATCATTCCTGCCTATACATACTTGTACCTAACAATTTAGATATACTTCTCTTGTTTGAATATCATTTTGAAATCTATTTGGCCAACTCTTATTCTAATTATTCTCTTATTAATGTTAAACTTCTTTTCTAAACAAGAATGATAATTATCTTCAGCACAATTTTTGTAACTATATCCATGTATACTAGTATTTATTATTGACTCTTGTTTGTGGATGTTTCATGTTGAACATAAGTTTCTTGATGAGAGGACTATCATCATTACTTCTATGCACTCCCTCAATATTATCAACTGCTGGGCTGTTGTCCACTGATAATAACCAGTTCTAGTAGATGACAACATTATATTTCCTCAGTAATGTTACCCAACCACTGTTGACCTTTTTCTCTAATGAAAATATCTCTCTCAGCAATAATACAGTTCTATATCTTCCTTGCTACCGCCATCTTCATTCTTATGTAACGACCTGTATGCACGAGAGCTTCCATTCAATATCAAGGCCCTTGGAAGATCTCTGTCCAGCACTTCAACAACATCTCAAAAGGTACACTTTCACCTTCCTCCCTGTAAATTCTTGCATTGCACCACTGACTGTGACAGCAGTGGTGGTCAAAACTGTCTACTGACTATGTCATGCCTAATTACTTATGTATTGTTGCTAGAGTTGAATAATACAAATTATTAATGGGTAGTACGCCCTTCATACCTAATTTCCCAAGTTAAATTTATATCTGTTGTTATTGGCCACATGTCATAGGCTGATACATGCCATATGTAATATTTTCAGAAAGCTTTGTTAAATATTGGTTTAAAAAGAACTGCTAGACTCAGTACATTTCTCAACAACTGAAGTGCCCATGTCACTGGCAATTTTACCAGAGTTGACATTTATGTAGCCTGACTCTCCTTTCCCATTCTAGTACAGAATGCCAATGACTACACTTAAATGCTCAAAATACACTCTTCAGACTCTCTGCAATTTAGTAAAAGACCCATTTTGTTGGCTTGCTGTTTATTTTAATATGATTTATACTAGGACATTTAATTGTTGATGATTCTGTGACACTGATGAGAAAAAAAATGGAAATGTGAGCTATTTGTCTGTTAGCTATTGTTCTATCTCTGCACCAAACAAAAACAAAAACAAAAAGTCACTAGACTAAGTTATTTTAGAGATGAAATCAGGATAGCCCATTCCAGTTGAAGTTTGGCTCCCAAATATTCGTAAGACTAAGCAAATCATTTCACCTCTTGTTTCTTTGGTGTTGGCCTGGATGCTGTGTAACATCCTCTGAAATTCAAACTAAAATGGAAGAGACACCAAAGTAGAGGGAATTTGTGTTTTTAAAAATATATAACAAAAATAATTCACATTTTTTTGTATGAGTTTGAAAATTACTTTTGTAGAATTAGTTGTAAGTTATCCTGAATCAGTCTGGTATCAGTATTTACTATCCATGCCTGTCAAGGGAAATTTTTCATTGCACACCTTAAATGCTCTGCTTTCTTTGACTTGGCACTGTTGTGTTCTAAATTTTAAAAATTATCTTGCTTTTTAACACAAATGTCCTAGAAAGGGCAGACATCAGGCCCTTATTCTTGGCATTTGCCAGCCGTCTGGTCTCTTAGTTTGATTAGTAGAATGGTGTTATGAGAGGTGCTGTCTTAACTCCCTCGCATCTCTATCCTACCATGAATCGATTCATAGACACTTGATCATAACTACAACTGCAACAGATTTTGTTGTTGTTGTTGTCTCTGAGGTCATGATTTTTATATCTTAAAACAAAAATATATTTAGATTTATTCCTTAGAAGGCAAAGAGATGATTTTAGTTGTTATTTTGTTTTGTTTTATTTCCAGAAGGACCATTTATCTGTGATCACCATGTTGATCTTTTTTTTTCAGAGGAAGTTCTACTTTTCACTCTTTATGATATTCTTATAGGCCTAGATAGCAGGAACAAAATTACACAAGAGGTATTTATTTCTTCTGTGCTAAATATTAACATAGGGTAGCAGTATCTGTGTGTAGAAAATTACCAATGCTTCTTTTATCTGGTTAATACAGGTAAAATAGAAATATTATCAGAATTGAATGTGTAGTGTTTATTGCAATGAAACATTTGTATTAGGTTTGCTATGTAAGTGTCTATAAACTTTTAGACTCTTAGCTCTCTAGTTACAGAAGCCTATGGCTGGATTTTACCATATAAACAAGTTTGTTGGGATTGTCTTCAATTGGTTTATGTAAATTGTACTTTGAAATATTCCCTTAAAACAATCGATACACTACAAATTGTGACTCATTCTTATTTACATTCTTATTTAGTAAAGTAGTTTCTCTAATGACTGCTTCTAGCAACATTTTATTAGCCTAGTGTGAGGTACTGAACATACTAAGGAGAGAAAAAGATAGCTTTGACTTCAACATATTAATTTAGACTACTTCCCTTTTAGTTCAAAATAGGGGAATTTGCTAAAGCTCTTACTTATTTTCCCCTGCCTCAACACAATTGAAATCCCCAAAATTATACAAACACATAAAACTCTAAGCTTCTTTCCTTTTAAAGATACTGCCAGAAGATACTACAACATAGAAAATGTGTAGTGTTTGTGAGTTTGGTATATTGAGCCTAACAAATGGGTGAATGGGAAGGTTATTTTATTGCTACTTTTTAAAAGGTTGTTACAAATAATGAAAGAAAAAATTAAAACATTATTTTCTGAATTGATTCTCATCCTTTTGTCTTTGGCAATGATGCGTAGAAGTAGAATATATTGTAATTCAACTTCATTCATAAATTCCCTGTCTTTTATCAGTGGCTGGCTTTGAAAACTGTCAGGGACGTAGGTACCACATATGGCTTTGTACAGGAGTTTAAAATCTTCTTGCTTATGTCTGTGTGTGTATGTGTGTATGTATATTTGTGTGTGAGTAAATATGTGCACAGGCGTAGATAACTTATTTTTCTTGCTGTCTGAAGTTGAATAAAATGGGGGAACAATGATGATTTTCTTGTTGTCCATGTCACTTATTTAGAGAGGGCTTCCATGGCAATGTGGTAACCATAACCATATAAGCACAGTATGTCCTTATCCATTCAAGAAACTCCTAGTAGAGTTTTAAATTTTCTCTCCTCCAGCTCTTACTCCCCAGGGCACAAACTGTGGTTTATATCTGACCAACAGAATATTAAGCTGTTCAGGGAAAATATGACATTTCTTTCAAGCTAACAGTGGCAGCCACTTTGCCCCCTTCTACCTGGTTCCTAGCATGAGATGTCTTTAAATTATAATCATTAGCTGTAATCACGGCCACATTATTAATGGTCTTACAACACTATGTGCAACAGTATAATTATTTTCCCTCTGTTCCCTTCACAAGACCTACCATAGACCTTTGGTAAAATATAGCTAAATTGGAAATAATTCCTAGTTGTTTTAAAGTAATTCTTATTTTATTTTTGTTGTTGATGGTAGGCAAATAGTTATGAGTTCATTATATCCTTCTATATATATCTCCACATCTGTGGTGTCTATCTGTCTAGTTATTTAACTGAATCACATATGAAGAACCAGGGCTAATCTGGCAAGCGACTCACTTTAATACATACGGACATAGATAGCACTTTACTGATTCCTGATTGCTGAAGAGGACTTTCCCTAGACACCTTTATTATTAATGAGTGAAGATGAGTTAGAAAAAAAGGGAAGATTTTCATGTCATTTCTTTCATAAATCAATCTCCCTTACTAATAAGTTTGATGCTATCATCCCACCACACGTGGAACACCAATTTTAAGCTGTTTTCTTAGCAGTGATAATGGATATGAGCTAATTCTTTCATGTTGTCTTTTCCATGTGTCTTCCCAAAGTGAGACTTTTAATCTTGGTCTCAAATACTTTATGCTAAACAAATGGACCAAATAGCCCCTACTCTCACTGCAGAGATGACAAGGGAGAACTGCCCTAACATATAACTTCTGACCCGTACCCACTGCTCATGCTGTATTCTAACAATGCTGTATAAAGAGAGAGAAGGGCATAGGAAAAAAGTGAAAATGGTTATGGGGACAGGGAGGTTGCTAATTTATTTGAGTAATCAGAAACTACTTATTGAGAGTTTTTAAGCATTTACTGTATATCATCAGTCACCAGTTCATAAGTCTTTCTCTTCTGAAGACTATGAGTTTTTAAAAACAGGGAGTGTATACCTTCTTTATATTTATTTATATTGGGATTCTCAGCTCCAAACACAGTATATTTTGGGCTCAGCACGAAACTGAGCTCAGCACCAAACACAGTATAGATACTGTGGGCTCAGCACCAAACTCAGTATATACAACATGGGGGCTTGGGGCATGTCACCTGAATGAATTGTATTGTGATTGGGCACTAAAAGAACACAATGATTAGCTACATGCCTATCATATAAACGGCACTGTGATTAGCATCAAGGATAAAAAGCAAGGGAAAAAAGTGAAAAAGAAAATATTGCTAGAACATGGTGTATGGTTGATGAATCATTAATTCATTTGTCTTAGTTTGATTTCTTCCAGGTGAAAACCCTGAAACAGGGGTTCAAGTACATTCATGTATTGATTAGGAGGTGACTCCCAGAAACACTACAAGGGAAGGAGGAAAGTTATACAGAAAAGGCAACACAGTCAATAAAATGGTACACTCTCAAGCAAGTGTTCACTGTAGGTAACTGGAGATTAATCCCAATGGAGACCTCTGGAAGACAAACTAGAACAAACACCTCAGAGTTATGTCCCCACATAGGCAAGGGAGCTGGAGTATTTGCATTGTTGGAATTGCTGTTTGATACAGGAATACATTCTTAAATAAATGTGCTTCTGTTATACATCATTTTAATGCACATTTCTCGCTTTATGTTATCTTGCTAATGACTTATTACTTGCTGTTTACTTTATATTTATTTTAGACTATGGAAATAATGTTAGACAAAAAGCAAATTCAAGCAATTTTCTTATTTAAGTTCAAAATGGGGCATAAAGCAGCGGAAACAGTCAACATCAACAGTGCATTTGGCCCAGGAACTGCTAACAAACATACGCACAGTGGTGGCTCAAGATTTGCAGAGGACAGGAGAAACTTGCAGAGGAGCATAGTGGCCACCATTGGAAGTTGATAATGATCAGTTGAGAGCAATCATTGAAGCTGATCCTCTTACAACTACTTGAGAAGTTGCTGAAGAACTCAACATTGGTCATTTGGCATTTGATGCAAATTAGAAAGGTGTAAAACCTCAATAAGTGGGTGCCTCATAAGCTGAGCGAAGATTAAAAAAAATCATTTTGAAGCGTCGTCTTCCTTTGTTCTACACAACAATGAACCATTTCTAGATCAAATTGCCACATGCAAGGAAAAGTGGATTGTATGTGACAATTGGCAACAACCTGCTCAGTGGTTGGACTGAGAAGAAGCTCCAAAACACTTCCCAAAGCCAAACTTGCACCAATTAAAAAAAAAAAAAAAAAAAGGTCATGGTCATTGTTTGGTGGTCTGCTGCTAGTCTGATCCACTACAACTTTCTGAATCCCGGCAAAACCATTAAATCTGAGAAGTATGCTCAGCAAATCGATGAGCTGCACAAAACCTGCAACGCCTGCAGCCGGCGTTGGTCAACAGAAAGGGCCCGAGTCTTCTCCATGACAACACCAGGCCACACATCGCACAACCAACACTTCAAAAGTAGAACGAATTGGGCTATCAGGTTTTGCCTTATCTGCCATATTCACCTGACCTCTTGCCAACCGACTACCACTTCTTTAAGCATCTCAACATCTTTTTGAAGGGAAAATACTTCCACAACCAGCAGGATGCAGAAAATGCTTTCCAGAGCTCATCAAATCCCGAAGCACGGATTTTTACACTACAGGAATAAACAAAGTTATTTCTCCTTGGCAAAAATGTGTTGATTGTAATGGTTCCTATATGATTAATAAAGATGTGTTTGAGCCTAGTTATAATAATTTAAAATTCACAGTCCAAAGCTGCAATAACATTTGCACTAACCTAATATATTGTTTTAGTCTGTTCAAGCTGCTATAAGAAAATGCCATGAAGTGAGTGGCCTATCAACCACAGAAAATTATTTCTCATAGTTTTGGAGGCTGAAAAGTCCAAGATCAAGGTGCCAGTATATTTGGTGAGTAAGTGAAGGTCTCCTTTCTGGTTCATCGACGGACCTCTTTTCACTGTAACATAACATGGCAGAAGGGGCAAGGTTAAAAAAATCTTGGGATTTTTTTTTAATATGGCATTAATCCCATTAATTTCCATAATGACAAAGTCCTCATTAGGTAATCACTTCCCAAAGGCCCCTCCTCCTAATATTATCACCTTGGGGGTTAGGATTTCAACATATGAATCCTAGGGGAACACAACATTCTGGCCATGGTGTACATAACTCTTATTAATTGGAAGTACTCCCGGGGGATGTGAATTCCCTGGCATTTCTCACCTGCTTGCAGGTGAGAAACATGGGCCCTTGAAGCCAAGGATAGTTCTCAAAGGAATGCCAGCATGGAAGCTGGAAGTAAGATTGACTTACAATCTCCCACGGAAAGGACATCATGTGAAAGAAAGAAAATATGTTTTATTCATATTTGTGTGTACTATTATATTTTTAAATGGTTACTAAATTGTTAGAAAATAAATACTTTTTCAGTGTTTCATTTAACCACTTAATAAATGAAACTGTAAGCTATTAATTTGGTGTAGGTATCATAGAAATATTATTAAACATTAAGTGTGCTATGAACCAAGAAAGTTCTAATCTAATCCATATGCCTCTTTTTTATGTGTTTGTCCTTGTAGAGAACCTTCTCCATGAGTAATGTCTACGCATTGCATAAGTCTATAAGAGCAGACTTTCCTTCTGCAGTTTAAAGTTATTTGAATTTCAGAAGCAGGAGAAATCTCACATGACTATGCACACCCTGAATTTCTGTATATGATGAATACATATCATATGTTGATGTGCTTTATATTTCTGGTAACAGTATATAATTTTTATGAAAAATGTGACCAAAATTATCCTCATATGCTCTTTGGCCCCTTGATTTTAGAAGAGGTTTCCAATTCTTTCCTCGGTATCTTTGCTCATATTGAACAAGAAAGTAGCTCTGGGTTAAAAACCTTGCTGTTTGTACATTGTCTATTAAATAGCTTATAGACAACTATCTAGCCAGCAATGACAAATGTGTAGGTCATTGTGATATGTGTTTTTGTTGTTGTTGTTTTTGAGACAGAGTCTTGCTCTGTCACCCAGGCTGGAGTGCAGTGGCATGATCTCGGCTCACTGCAATCTACGCCTCCTGGGTTCAAGTGATTCTCCTGCCTCAGTCTCCTGAGTAGCTTGGATTACAGGCATGCACTACCATGCCCAGCTAGTTTTTGTATTTTTAGTAGAGACGGAGTTTCACCGTGTTGGCCAGGCTGGTCTCAAACTCCTGACCTCATGATCCACCCACTTTGGCCTCCCAAAGTGCTGGGATTCCAGGCGTGAGCCACTGCACCCGGCTTGTTTTTAGTCTCATTCATTACTTTGATCTATGATTGAGTTGTGTCTGGCTTTATTTGCCACCTTTTAAATTTTATACACTTTATGTGTTATTGTAAGTCATTTAGAAAACTTTGGGCCAGGCGCGGTAGCTCCACGCCTGTAATTCCAGCACTTTGGGAGGCCAAGCAGGGCAGATCACCTGAGGTCAGGAGTTTGAGACAAGCCTGGCCAACATGGCAAAACCCCGTCTCTACTAAAAATGCAAAAATTAGCCAGTTGTGGTGGTGGGTGCCTGTAATCCCTGCTCCTTGGGAGGCTGAGACACAGAATTGCTTGAACCCTGGAGACAGAGGTTGCAATGAGCTGAGATCATGCCACTGTGCTCTAGCCTGGGCAATGGAGTGAGACTCCATCCATCTCAAAAAAAAAAAAAAAACAAAAAACAACAACAGCAACAACAAAAACAACTTGTGGAATAGGTAAAGAATACATTAAAATGCACAGAGATGAATGATTACTAAGCCAAAAAATGAATATATAACAAGCTAATAAAATATATATCATAATCATAATACAGGCACAACACAATAAAAGATATTACATACAGAGCAAATGTGGCTTTTATGCGTGTATCCACTTTATCCTAACAGCACTCTGGTGATGCAGGTTCTATTATTTTTCCGTGTGCATCACATTCATCCTGTAGCAGAACCTGCTGGTTCCCTACCACATTCCCTAGGGCTTTACCAGGTCACACATGGAGTTCTGATTTCTCACTGCCAGACTCTGCACCTCTTTGCCCAATGGCTCTTCTGACAGCTGGAGACAGGTGTGCCCCTTGCACAGCAGTCTAGAAGTACAGGAGAATTAACACAACTTTTACTTATCCCTCTTCACCCATGTTTCCTGGGATAACATCCTAAAAAAACTATTTGTACTCAAATTCTTATCTTAGAGTTGTCTTCTGGAGGAACCCAAACTAAGACACATCTGAAAATTCATTTGTTCCTCCATGTACGCATAAATATGAAACTACCTGGACTTGGAGAAATAAGTAAGTGTGTTTCTGGGACTGAGAATGTATTGACTCAGACTTGCATAATGGGAGTTGCTCAGAGGAAGGATAAGGGAGTAAAATGGATATCACATTAAGAAAAGGTACTAACAGTATAGGTTCAAGTTATGACAATTAGCCAAAACCATTTTATTTCTAAGTAAAGTAGTTAAATGAAATGGTGATCACATTGCACAAAGGCATGGCTATGCTATATTACACTTGCAGAGAGAGAGAGAGATGACTGGTGGAAATGATTGGCTACTTACTGACTCTGGGTTTTCTATCAGTTGGCAAAATGATGTGGGAAGACAATTAGTAAATTAAGTCTGATGTGCTGAGTGAAATCTGAAACGTTGGCAGCCATATTCTGTGGGGAAGTCCGTGGCAGGGGCCAGACTGGGTAGTTTAGTAACACTTACATAAAAGACAAAGACACTCACACTCAAACCCATCCATTTTGTGAAGCAGATAAGCTGTACTGGTCTAGGGAAAGTGTTAAGAGGACTGTATTTTCCTTAATATCACTAAAATTTTTTAAATTGATGTTATATCTCTCAGGCACTGGCATTTCTAAGAATTGTGATTGACAGTGAACTTGGATGAGAATGAGGTTTCCATCAGATTCCTAACTTATTTTAATTTGTTAACCTTTAATAATCTTTTTTGGTAAATTTCACAATTTGCTGTAAATATTCCTTTTTCCTTTTTGATTATATTTTTATTACAATTTAAAATATTATTTTATGATAGTGGTGTGTGTGTGTTAAAGTATGCTAATGACAATAAAGTATTGTTTAATCTATGATTGCCTGAAACTAGGTATGATCACATTTGGCAGCCTATTCAGGACTGAATGGAAGCTATGAGCTTTTCCACTGGAGTCATTACAGTGCACACTGTGAGTGTGAATGTTCATTAGCATATTATGGATCTATAATTTCTGCCTAAAAAAACTATGCAAAGCAATTACCCAGCATGGTAGGAGCTCTGTTTTGAACTTCAACATTTTCTCCTTTCCTTCCTCTTTTTAGTGTACCTTCTCCGTACCCCTGGATATTTGTTTTTCACTAAATAGAAATATTGCATAGTTCAAGATCTCCGACACTGTGTCATTTCATAGAGCTCACACACTCTGACCAGAAGGAAAGATGGGTTCCGGGAAGCTGAGGCTACTGAAGATTATCTGAATTCTGGTTGAAAGGCCAAAAGAAAATGTGTATTATGGAAAAGTGATGCTCTTAAAGCAGGAAGTGGTCTCTGGGCCATTTACTTGTTGTGTGACTTTGGGATACTCAGCCTCTCAGAGCTTTGTTTTATTGCCTTTCTTTCAATGGGATCAATAAGGTCTAACTGGCAGAGTGGTTTTGAACAGAAAAGAAGATGATATATGAGAAAGAGCTTTATAAAGAGTTCATAGCTGTACAAAAACAAAGTTATTGCCATCATTACTTGTGTAGCAGGTGGTAATCTACAAATTGCTTTAATATGTATTGTTTAATTTGGTTTTTAGAGCTGCACTCTATCTAGAGTAGAAAGAGAAACTCCCTATTGCACAAGATGGGAACACTGAAGTTCTGCAAGATCAGGTAGAGCCAGGCATAACCAATTTTACAACTTAAAAAACTGAATAGAAATGCTTGGCTTCTGAATTTGGAATTCAAATTTAAATGCTCATTTTAATTTAATTATTTTGTATACAAATACACATGTGTATGGACATACAGGAAAAAAGAGAGAGGAGAGAGAGGAAAGGCAGAGAGGAGAGAGAGAGAGAGAGAAAAAGAGAGACAGAGTCTATAATGTATCTTAGCACAGATCTCCATTGTGCCTGTTAAAATCAGCACAGATTTTCATTTCAAATTCTGTATCGGAGTTTCTGAGTTTTCCTGTGGCTAAATGTTTACCTAGATATCTCTGCTGTAGTTTCCAGCTTCTGTAGAATGTCTGGTGATTGCTCCTGTCATACAGTAGATTGTTGTGGTTATTCTCATGTAATGGTGAAGGTCTTTACACATATTGCTGCTCAACAGATATTTTGAAATTGGGTATTAGAAGATCTAGCTTTTCAGGTTTTTTTTTTTTTTAAGTCATTTTCTCTATCCCAGGCTTAAACTTTTCACCTTATTACTTGGTCTTCTCTTTCCTCTGAAACTCTTAACTTCTATTTGTTTTTATGCGCATCCCTGCTCTAAATTCCTGTCCCTTTCTTATGCTAAGCTTGTCATGAATCTCTTTTGTTATTTCCTCACCTAAACCTTCAGAACCTCACTTTCACTTCAGGTGGTTTGTCAAGATGAGCTCAGACTAGAATGCAGGCTCCACGTGGGGAGAGAGGATTGATCATTTCAGCCCTGTGTCTCCGGTGTCTGAAAGTAGTGGCTGACATGTAGTGGATAAAGAATAAATAAGCATTGAATGGTACATAAAAGTATTTCCTAAGAGGGATTCTCATACTAATTAGAAAAGCAATTAGAAGTATATTGTACGTATATTTCACCCCATTATATATTTAAATTGGATTCAGAAAAATTATAATAGATAATTCCTAAACAGACAGTAATATTTTACCAAAAGCATATTTTAAATGTGTTATATATTCCTTGACACTTAAATTACTTCCCTTAAACACAGCACTTGCTACAAATTCACATCATTTTTTTTTCATCGCTTTTGTTTCATTTTTTTCCTTGCCCTAGAGATTGCTATTGTGCTGGATGTAGGCATATTCTGAAAACTTCATTTAAAAATTAATAAATGTGTTTAATTGGAAAATGAGAACTGCTATGTTTTCATGGGTACTGGGCAGATACTTCCCTGCTAACCCTTATCCCCAGATTCTTTTTCTTTAATGTCACTCTCTGTAGAATTGCTTGATCAACGAAAGCGTGTCTCTTGATGAAAACAGACTGTTCCTCAAAGAACAAATTAAGGACTTTCAGTCCTGGAGGTAAAACACTGTGAGTTCATCATGCAGTGCTGTTAAACAAATGTGTTATGTGCCTGGCAACTCTGTCACACAATCAACAGGAAGCCTGAAACACAGAGATGAGCTGATTTGCACATTTTCATCAGATACTTGCAAATGCAATCAAAATAAACCAATAAGATTTAAAACTTCTTGTCATGACTCAACCTCTTGGAATTTCCCACCTTTTAACAAATCATTTATTTCACATTAAATGAATATGTTGAAGTTTTGCAAGCCATTTTAAATTCTAAGTTCTGTTTGAGGGTCTAAGTGTACTTTAAGAATGACCTCTCAAGGAGCTGCATAGTGTAATGAAGAGAATGGAGGAATTGCAGTCTCTTCTTAATCAATTATAATGTCCTCCTCTCTTTTCTTCCCTCCTTTTTTGGTCATTTCTTTCCATCCTTCTGTCTTCAGCCTTTTCGCTCTTACCCCTATTCTCTCTTTTTTAGTCTCCAGCTCAAATTTTGTTCCTAGTGAATATAGGCAAATGGAAAAAAAGTGTTGATTTCTTGGTAAATTGTTGCTATTCACTCAACGAACTCTTTCTTGGAGGAGCCACTATGTGCTAAGCACTCTATTAGGCATAAATGTGATTTTCAGCAAGCCACAGTCCATATCAACATGTGGCTCAGTAAACTACGTTTATTTAACTAACTCTTTCCCAAATAGAGCTTTGTTGGTAAAATGCATACCCAAAGTCCACAACTAATGTGCTTCATCAAATTTTTTTTTTCTTTTTTTCTGAGACAGGGTCTTACGCTGTCACCCAGGCTGAATGCAGTGGCACAATCATGGTTCACTGCAGCCTTAAATTCTCAGGTTCAATCGATCCTCGCACCTCAGCCTCCTGTGTAGCTGGAACTACAGGTGTGCATCATCACACCCAGTTAATTTTTGTACTTTTTGCCGAGACAGAATTTCACCATGTTGCCCAGGCTGCACTTCACCAAATTCTATATCCCAATGT
This sequence comes from Homo sapiens, assembly GCF_000001405.40. Classification (NCBI taxonomy): domain Eukaryota; kingdom Metazoa; phylum Chordata; class Mammalia; order Primates; family Hominidae; genus Homo; species Homo sapiens. Next base: position 73,217,119 of record NC_000009.12, read on the forward strand.
GAAAGGCAAGGACTCGCCTCTTTAAAGCTGAAATAATTTAGAGTGACTGGATGAAGGGAGGAAAATCTATATCAAGCTCCATCTTTTATGAAATGTGGATTGGAGTATTGAACAATTGACAATTAATTTATCTAAATTGGTGTTAACATATTTGCAGTTTTATACTACAATTTAGGTTTTCATAATAAGGTCTGTCTAGGCTTCGTATATGGACTCAGCTCTGTTACTTTTTAATGAACCAGTGTCGTATGTAAGAACCTGAATGCTTTGCTGGTGTGTGTTTAGGAATTGCTTATACATCACTGTAAACCTCAGCTACATTACGGAAAATATGTTATTTCTACTTGTACAGTCAAATCGTAGTTAACATAACAGTTTCTGTGTTCCTCTCAGTGTTTCTAGTGCACCCTTTGAAAAGCTTGGGAGTCCTACCTTACAATTTCATCTACCAGGGATGAATCTGAAAAATAGGATTTCTTTTCAGAGACTAGGTCTTAGAATAAAGTAAATGATTCGTAAATAAAATTATATATCCAAATGTTTTATTCCTTCACTGTGTCTCCCTCAGAATTTCTATGTTGAAATCCTAATCCCCAGTACCTCAGAATGTGACCTTATTTGGAAAAAGTCCCATTGTAGGTATAATTAGTTAAATTAAGATGAAGTCTGATGTGGTGTGGCTGTGTCGCTGCCTGAATCTCATCTTGAATTTCCATGTGTTGTGGGAGGGATATGGTGGGAGGTGATTGAATCATGGGGGCAGGACTTTCCTGTGCTGTTCTTGTGATGGTTAAAAAGTCTCATGAGATCTGATTTTTTTTTTTTTTTTTTGACGGAGTCTCGCTCTGTCACCCAGGCTGGAGTGCAGTGGCGTGATCTCGGCTCACTGCAAGCTCCGTCTCCTGGGTTCACACCATTTTCCTGCCTCAGCCTCCTGAGTAGCTGGGACTACAGGTGCCCACCACCATGCCCGGCTAATTTTTTGTATTTTTAGTAGAGACAGGGTTTTGCTGTGTTGGCCAGGATGGTCTCAATGTCCTGACCTCGTGATCTGCCTGCTTCAGCCTCCAAAGTGCTAGGATTACAGGCATGAGCCACAATGCTTGGCCGATCTGATGGTTTTAAAAAGGGGAGTTTCCCTGCACAAGCTTTCTTCTCTTGTCTGCTGCCATGTGAAACATGCCATTCACCTTCCACCATGATTGTGAGGCCTCCCCGGCCACATGGAATTGTAAGTCCAATAAACCTCTTTCTTTTGTAAATGGCCCAGTCTCAGGTACGTGTTTATCAGCAGTGTGAAAACAGACTAATAGAGTAAACTGGTACCACTAGAGTGGGACACTGCTGAAAAGATACCTGCAAATGTGGAAGTGACTTTAGAACTGGGTAAGAAGCAGAGGCTGGAACAGTTTGGAGGGCTCAAAAGAAGACAGGAAAATGTGAGAAAGTTTGGAACTCCCTAGAGACTCGTTGAATGGCTTAGATAAAAATGCTGATAATGATATGGACAATGAAATCCAGGCTGGGGTGGTCTCAGATGGAGATGAAAAACTTGTTGGGAACTGGTGCAAAGTTGACTCCTGTTATGTTTTAGCAAAGACACTAGCAGCATTTTGCCCCTGCCCTAGAGATTTGTGAAACTCTGAACTTGAGAGAGATGATTTACAATATCTGGCAGAAGAAATTTCTAAGCAGCAAAGCATTCAAGAGGTGAATTGGGGGCTGTTAAAGGCATTCAGTTTAAGGGAAATAGAGCATAAAGGTTTGGGAAATTTGCAGCATGACAATGCCATAGAAAATAAAACCCATTTTCTGAGGAGAAATTCAAGCTAGCTGCAGAAATTTGTGTAAGTAACAAGGGGCTGAATGTTAATTCCCAGGACAATGGGGAAAATGTCTCCAGGGCATATCAGAGACCTTTGCAGCAGTCCCTTTCATCACAGGCCTGGAGGTTTAGGATGAGAAAATGGTTTCATGGGCCAGGCCCAGGGTCCCTCTGCTGTGTGCAGTCTAGGGACTTGGTGCCCTGCCTCCCAGCCTCTCCAGTGATGACTAGAAGAGGCCAAGGGACAGCTTGGGCTGTTGCTTCAGAGGGTAGAAGCCCCAAGCCTTGGCAGCTGCCACATGGTGTGGAGCCTGCAGGTGCACAGAAGTCAAGAATTGAGGTTTGGGAGCCTCTGCAAAGATTTCAGAAGATGTATGGAAATGCCTGGATGTTCAGGCAGAAGTTTGTTGCAGGGGCAGGGCTCTCATGGAGAACCTCTTCTTGGGCAGTGTGGAAGGGACATGTGGGGTTGGAGCCCCCACAGAGTCCCTACTGGGACACTGCTTAGTGGAGCTGAGAGTAGACAGCCACAATCCTCCAGACCCCAGAATGGTAGATCCACCAACGGCTTGCACCGTGTGACTGGAAAAGCTGCAGACACTCAACACCAGCCAGTGAAAGCAGTCAGGAAGAAGGCTGTATCCTGCAATGCCACAGGGGTGGAGCTGCCCAAGACCATGGGAACCTACCTCTTGCATCAGCATGACACGAGTTTGATACATGGAGTCAAAGAAAATCATTTTGGATCTTTAAGATTTGACTACTCTGCTGGATTTTGGACTTGCATGGGGCTTGTATCCCCTTTGTTTTGGCCAATTTCTCCCATTGGAATGTCTGTATTTACCCAATGCCTGTACCCCCATTGTATCTAGAAAGTAACTAACTTGCTTTTTATGTTACAGGCTCATAGGCAGAAGGGACTTGTCTCAGATGAAATGTTGGACTGTGGACTTTTGAGTTAATGCTGAAATGGGTTAAAACTTTGGGGGACTGTTGGGAAGGCATGATTCATTTTGAAATGTGAGGACATGAGATTAGGGAGGGGCCAGAGGCAGAATGATGTGGATTGGGTATGTCCCACCCAAATCTCATCTTGAATGCCCATGTGTTGCAGGAGGGACCTGGTGGGAGGTGATTGAATCATGGGGGTGAGTCATTCTCATGCTGTTCTTGTGATGGTTAATAAGTCTCACAAGATCTGATGATTTTAAAAAGGGGAGTTTCCCTGCACAAGCTCTCTTCCCTTGTCTGCCACTATGTGAAATGTTCCTTTCACCTTCTGCCAGGATGGTGGGGCCTCCCAACCCATGAGGAACTGTAAGTCCAATAAGCCTCTTTCTTTTGTAAATGGCTCAGTCTTCATTATGTCTTTTTCAGTAGCATGAAAACAGACTAATACAAAATCACAGTAGACTAGGGTGGGCCTCTAATCCAATATGACTGGTGTCCTTGCGAAAGAGAGAATTTGTACACAAAGAGAGACACTCAGATAGGGAGAAAGCCCAGTGGGGATTAGTCATACTGCCACAAGCCAAGAAACTTGCAGAAGTTAGAAGACTACTGGAACTTCCCTAGCACTTCTTAAAGAGAACATGGCCTTTTGAACACA